>NC_000023.11:140929381-141628626 GCF_000001405.40 Homo sapiens
GGGCAGCAACTATCATTGGAGCCTGCTGAATCTGCCCTCTGAGTCTCCATATGTGAGAGTATCAGAAGGCCTTGATTAACCGTCTCAGTGGGTGGGCTTGGCCCTGGGGAGGATGAGCCAACCCATCCTTAAAGTGGTGATCTTAGCTGACTGGCTCTGAGGTGACTTCCAGGTGGCACATAGATTGGATCCAGAATGAAAACTCAACAAATCTGGGATTTTTCTTTTATATATATATATATTTTAAAACCAGCCAAATTTACAAATTTATAAGTGTTCATTATAAAAAATATAACACAAAAGCATATGTAGTAAACACTGAAAATACCTTTTCATCAACCACTCTCATCAACCCTACCCATGCTGCACCCCTCGCCCCTACCACATCCTACTTTCTTGCCCAGAGATAATCACTAATACCTGTCTGATGTCATTGAATGTGTCCTCGCAGACCATTTTCTATTGAGATACAAATATAGCAATGTGCATATACAAATTTTCAAACACATATATCACATTATACTACACACATTTCACTATGACATGCTTTTGCCACATAACAATACACCTTTGAGAGGGATATTTACAGCTCAAAACAAAAATAAACCACAACAAAGGTAACTTCAGTTAATAAGATTTTGGTTTGTATTCTTTCAGGCCTTTTTCTATACATACATATGCATACATATATATATATATATATATATATATATATATATATATATATATATATATATGCACCCATGCACACACACACTTTATTGAATTTTTAAATAAAGGGTATCATGTTATATACACTATTATATTTTTCCCTTACTAGCATATTATGAAGATCATTTCATGTCAATACACATAGGTCTTCCTCTTTCTTTTAAATTGCTATTTGATTTTAATAAAATAAGACCGTGTCATGTAATTTTGCCTGTTCTTTATTGATGGGCAATTAGGTTGTCTTCCCAGGGTGTTGTTGGTTGTTACTGTTGTTGCATTTCTTATAAACCACACTGCTGTGAATAGCCTACATATTCATTTCTATGTGCACAAGTGATATTGTTTCTATAGACAAAAGTCCTAAAGCAACGGATGCACTCATTTGAAATCAAAAGACAAGGTCAAATTGCTCAAAAAGATCTCTTTCCTCAAGTCCTTGCTAACACTAGATATTGCTAAACTTCTCAATTATTGCAAATTGAACAAGGAAAAATGATTTCATTGTTTTTTAATTTGTATTTTCCAGATTAAATACAAGGTAGACCTGCTGTTTCATTTTTAATTTGTATTTTCCACTCTAGATAGTCTACCTCCTGACTTTTGTTTCCTTCTCTAGTTTCTTGCAAATCCAGGTTATCCTATGCAATGCTCCCAGGAGAATTTTCCCAAAGCTACTTTTTATTTCTTTTTTCTTTCAAAGACAGGATCTCAGTCTGTTACACAGGCCGGAATGCAGTGGCATGATCACAGATCACTGCAACTGTGGCAGGAGTTATTAAGAAATTATTTTAGGCAGATAGAGAGGAAAAGAGGTCCCTGGAAGGTTTTTCGCAGCTCCAAAAAAAAAAAAAGGTTCTTGTCTAGCATGAGAACCCCGGCTCTTAGACCAGGGCTGGCAGCCTTTAATATGCAAATACAAGCCATTAGAAACTGGGTCCACCCAACATGGCGATTCCCACTGTTGTCCTCTTGCCCTTGCCCCCACGTGTGCCTGACAGCATGGCCGCCCCCGCATATCCCCGCGAGTGTAGAACATCAGGGGCCCTGCATTTGCATATTAAAGGGTTGGGGTGGGAGGGCCAGGTTTTTCATGGGCCACACGAATGACATACCTGCTCAAACCAATCCCCTGAGCCCTATGCAAATCAGACACCACCTCCAGCCATCGCATAAAACTGGCGGGTGTCCTTCGAATGTGGGGTCTCCTCTTTCGGCTTTGGAGCCTCCTTCCCTCTGTCTCTGTACCAGGGAGCATCTTCCTTCTGCCTTCTCCCTTCTTGCCTATTAAACTCTCTGCTCCTTAAAACCACTCCACGTGTGTCCATGTCATCTTACCTAATTCGACTTGAGATGAAGAATCTGGTGTTCCTCCACTCACGGGTAGCAATATCACAACCTCCAGCTCCTGGGCTCAAGCTATCCTCCTGCCTCAGCCTCCCAAGTGGCTGAAGCTACAGGAATGCACCACTCTGCCTGGCAAATTTTTTTTTTTTTTTTTTTTTTGTAGAGATGGGGTCTTGCCTTGTTGCCTAGGCTGGTGTTGAACTCCTGGCCTCAAGCAATCCTCCTGCCTTGGCCTCCCAACCCAAAGCTACTTTTCAACACTTCACTTTCCTGATCAAAAACGTCTACTTAAATTTTCCAGATATTTAGTGAATTTCTGCTGTGAGCCATGATCTCTGCTAGCCCACTGGGAAGAGGAGTGCTGGTTCATGACCCGTCATCTGCATGGTGGTGCAGGAAGCTCTTCTTTCTCTTCGTACATGAGGTATTCAACTAGCTCCTAGTTAATAAACCTCAAAACCCCCTTTTAAATAACTTTGGAATAATCCGCTCCATACTTTAGTTCTGTAAAAGCCAAGCTCATTTTCGCTTAGGTATGGACTGTGTGGCAGCATCCAACCTAACAAGAATGATTCTGAAATTTTTTCTTAATATTTGCGGAAATGAAATTAAGCCTCTCTGTCTGACTCTCAGCAAAACACTCTTTCCCTCCTACTCCTGTTTGCGGATTGCTGCTGTCTCTTGTCCACACCAGCCTCTCTGTCTCCATTCAGTGGAACTTCTACCAGACACTAATGTCATTCAATGGAAATTCAAATAGTAGAATCTCCCCTGATCCTGTAGAACTTCCTAGGTGGGGTGTCTCTGGCAACACCAGGATCCAAGTCCTGTGGATGGGCTGAATCTTTGAAACCCTTCATTTTGGTCTCAAAGAGAATCATAAACCTTTTGTTAACTGCATAATCACCCCGCCTTCCCTCCTAATGCCTTTTGAGCTGTCATCGGTGTACATTGTTCGGCAACAGTGATGGGAATAAAATTGCTTTTAAAGAGTGAAATTCTAAAATGTGTTATTTTTCTGCCATTTCTAATTCTAGAAAAATAATAGTACTTCTTTTTAATTTTTAATAAAACATCTTAGGTGATAAAGTTAATGATATATAGTCTGAACTAAGGGAGGGGAAAACATTGACTTCAATGGAGCTGCTTCACAGTAATTGGTACTTCATAAGTGCCATTTGTGCCTTTGTGACAGAGATGGTGAAATTTATCAAAAAGGTAAATGCTCAAAGAAATGGAATTGGCACTTGGCTTTCTAGATGTCTCTTTTGAAGTATACTTCAAAAGTTTTAATAGGTAGAAACTGTTTGAATTTGGCTCCTATTTGCTCTAAATTTACTGATACAGTCATTTTTTTAATGCAGTATAGGGATGCTTGTCACTTGAGCTCAATAGTCATTACCACCAACAACCAAAGTTTGTTTCACAAACCTATTATGTGTCAGTTGGAGGACAGGCAACTCCCGAACTGTAATTCTCTGATCCTCAGCAACTACTAAAGCTAGTAAATACTGATAAAAAACCAGATGTATCAAAAAGAATCACACATTCATTCCACAAATAGTACACTAAGATGTTTATAAACACCCACCCAGACCAAGCCAGTAATACATTATATTTCTGTTTTCTTTGCAAAGCCTCACATTTCTACAACAAAAAGCTAAAACCTCAGTGATAAAAATTAATATGAAGTCAGAAGATTTAAGGCTTAATTAGAATTCTGATCCAAGACGGCAGACTGTGTGAACTGCTGTTGCTAAACTGTACTGTGTAAACATTGCATACTGATGGAATTTGCTTGTCAACTCAACTGGCATTTCTGTGCAGTAAGCTTGTCTTTCTGTCAGCGGAGTGCATCATGGGAAAAGATCAGCATCTCGAAGGAATATGATCTGCATGTATAAAGAGGAGAGAAAAAATCCCTCAAAGAAAAAGAGGTTCTGCTTGTTTTTCTGTTGTGCTCAAAGGTTAAAAAGGTCACAATGTGCATTTTGGTTTAAGGATACTGAGGGTTTTCTTTCCAAGAATTAAAAGATGAACTTTTTTTAATTTGAGGGAAAGTATCATTTGTAACTTTGGCTAAGTAGAGCAAGCCATGGAAAGAAGACTGCAGAGAAGGAAAAGATTTTTAAAATATGTTGAGCTTTTTCCTAATCCTTCCTGTGGAACTTTGTTTGCTTATATCTACTACCTCAGCCAATTTATCTAAATCAAGAAGCACAAACACACACACAAAAACCCTAAGCAACAACATAGTGCAATGTAAGAAACATAGGAGCTGGATCAGATAGACAGCTGTTCAAATCTTGACTCTGCCACTAGATCACCTCTCGCACCTTAGTTTCTCGTCAATTAAATATTGGCATAATCAAAGCCACGTCACATCCATATGAGGGTCAAATGATACAATGTATGTGAAAGCCCTGGTACTCAATGATTAAGAAATGTTTATTAAATGATTTGAGACAGTTTATAATTTAATACGTTTTTCTTTCCAATGATATTCTAAAGTCATTGTGATTCTCTGCTATATTGTCGGTTGAGTTGTTTCATAAGCTTCTATGACCAGGGATCATGTCTGTGTAATTCTTCGTTCTCAGCTCTACAGTATGCATAGGGACTTTCATAAATGCTTTTTGCTTGCCACTGCTCAATAAACAAATTTCTGCTTCCTGCTGGTCCTCTGGTCCTTGTTTCCCCTTTCACTTTCAGTTGGCACGTAATAATTATACATATTTATGGGACACAGGGTAACATTTGGTACATGTGTACAATATGTATTGATCAAATCAGGGTAATTAACATATCCATCACTGCAAACATTAATAACTTTTTGTGTTGGGAACATTCCAAATCCTTTCTTCTAGCTTTTTGAAAATATATAATAAATTATTGCTAACTATATTTACTCTACAGTGCTATGAACTAGAGTAAACACTAGAACTCATTCCTCTTACTTCTGATCCTTTGACCAGTATACTCCTCAATGTTGTTTGTCTGTTGGGTTCAGAGAGCGTCTGTGGCATTCAGAGAGTGTCTGTTGCAGACAGTTTTGGACAGGCTTATTTATGGTTAATCGTGGGGGATTTATTTCAACACAAACACTGGAGAAGAGGAGAAAGGGAGCAAGGTGCTTGGTACATATTGGGCATTCAAATATTTGTAGAATGTACTAGGTGCATGTGGCATGCAAATATAGGCAAAAACAATGAGGCAAAGAGAAAAGGGGGTAAAGATAGACAAAGAGAAAAGGGGGTAACAATAGCTAACATTTGTTATAATTATTGAATGTTTGGTACTTTCAGATGAGAAAACTGAGGCTTAAAGAAGTCAATTAAATTACCCAGGTAACTGATAGATCCGTAATATTTTATCTGAAGCCCTTGAGAACAGGTATGTTTCAGGATTCAAAAATTGTTGGATTTTAGAAAGATATATGGTACATGTATCACATATTATACAAAATCATTAGCAGGATTGGTGGCAATAGCACATCATCAAATACATTAATATTAATGCATTGAAATATATGAATATTTACACCTAGTGAAATAAATAAAGATTATAAATAGTTCCATACTATTTCACGTCAATTCAGGTTTTGCTGTCAAATAAGTTACAAAATACCCTTATTTTTCAAAACCTTTTTTAACCTTTGGAATTGCAAACAAGGATTGCAGGTTTGTGGTAAATGGTAGAGAATAATGAATAATGAGTGACAGCCCAGGTGTGTCAGACTCCAGAGAAGGGCTATTGCCGTGCTGCCTTAGTTTTCCACTGCTGCTAGACAAATTACCACAAATTTAGCAGCTTAAGGAATGCAATGTCTTATCTTACAGTTCTAGAGGACAGAAATCTAAAAATGGGTCTCACTGGGCTAAAGTCAAGATGTCAGCACTGCTGCATTTCTTCTAGAGACTCTAAAGGAGAATCTATTTTCTTGCCTTTTCCAGCTTTTAGAGGCTGCCCACATTCCTTGCCTTATGGCCCCTTTCTTCCATCTTTAAAGCCAATGATGGTAGGCTAAGTCCTTACCTCTTATCACTCTGACCTTCTCTTCTGACATCCTCTTTCATATTTAAAGAGCCCTTGTAACTACGCTGTACTTGCTCAGATCATCCGGGATGTAGTAGAGCACTACCGTGGGATGTGTGTGTGTGTGTATATATATGTAAATATATATATAAAAAAATAAAAAAATATATATAGAAATATGTATATATATATATATATATATCCTACTGGGTCTGTCTCTCTCTCTCTCTAGTACATATATATGTAATATATATGTAATAATATATGTAATATATGTAATAATATATCATATATACATATATACATATATACACATATATACATATATATACATATATATATATATATATATATATATATATATATATATATATATATATATGTAGTAGAGAGAGAGAGAGAAAGAGACAGAAACAGAGATTTATTTAAGGAACTATCTCACATGATTGTGGAGACTAGCAAGTCCAAAATCTGAAGTCACCAGTAGGCTGGAGACCCAGGGAAGAACTGGTGTTGCAGTTCAAGTCTGAAGGCCCTCTGCTGGAGATTTCCTTTTTGCTTGGTGCTTGGGAGAAATTAGTCTTTTGTCCTATTCAGGTTTTCGAATGGTAGATGAGGCCCAATCAGATTATGCAGGGAAATCCACTCTACTCAAAGTCCATCAATTTAAATATTAATCTTATCTAAAAAGCCCTTACAGAAACATCTAGAATAATGTTTGACCAAATAACGTTTGGTAAATAAGCAACGTTGACACCTAAAATCAATCATCGCACAGGTAATCTCATCTCAAAGTCAGTGGATTAGCAGCCTTATTTTCATGTGCAGCATTAATTTTCCATAGCCATGTAATCTGTCATATTCGCATTTCCAGGGATTAGGACGTGAACATCTTTGGGGGCCATTATTCTGCCTACCACAGTGTGGTTGCACAAGTTGCACACAGCACAATTCCAAGGGGGCACCATTCACCTAGACCGCAATTTGAACAGTAACCCCAAAGCCATGCAATCTGGAGGTCCTGTTGCAGAACCTATTTGCCTAAACACAGCCATTGCACTTAAACTGTCTACCAGGGAAGGAGTGTACTGAAACGTTTTCCAGCTTCTGGCAAACAGGGTGATGATGGCTTCTGTATCAATGTATCAGTAATTATGCTCCACAGGAGATGAGAGGGAGCCAATGTGGGAATGTAGGGAATGTAGGGAATCACCCTGCGGAACATAGGGGCAGAGCTGTTAGGTTTGCAATTCCAAGTTTTCCTCAGGCTTAAGCTGAGATAGTCTCGAGTAGGCTTTTATAACTCAAATAGGATTGTCTCCTCCGGATAACTCTGAGTGTTTTGTGGAGGGGAGGCGAAAAAGCTGCAATCCTGATTATAGGAAGCCTGGTGTGAGGTTTCAAATGAACACTTTCCAGTTCATCCTCTGAGGCAGGGAATTCTTGGGTCTGGTGTGGCTGAGTGGGTGATGAATATTATTTTAATAGCTATGGGGCCAACAGATCTATGACATTTTTCTGCAGAAAAGCATTTTTCAGGAGAGCTGAAAAAATCCTAGAGTATCTTATATTTTCATTGTTTTTTTTTCCATAGATGACAGAAAAGCAAATACCTTTTAAATAGTCAAATTATCAAAGAGATGGACCTTTACCACAATTTGCTCTATTGCCCTTTCCCCAAACTAAGCTAAGAAAACAGACAAGAGAGGAAAGAAAAATCAGAAAGTCTTTTCAAATATGCCAGGGCCATTAATTCAAACTGTTTCAGGAAACCTAGGAGGGAAAGATCCCTCTTTTGTGGCTGATGTGAAAGATCTCATTTATCATTGTTTGCAAAAGCTCAATGAGGCAAACCTCTATCTCTCAACCCTTCCAGTTCCTACAGTACACAGCCACACTCTAGATGTTTCATTGATGTAAAGAGAGTCATTACTACAGATAGTTAAGTAAATCGGTAAAAATTCTGCTGTCAGTGTATAATCACTATTTAGTTCTTTGTAATGTCCTCAGCAACTTCGGTTTCTGGCATCCTATTGCTCAGGGCAGGGGCAACAGTCTGGTTTTGATGTTGATTGGCTTTTATTAGGAGACAGGAAGTTTGATCTAGATTAAAACAGTGCCAGTGAACATGGAGAACATGAAAAAGGTCAGCAGGTTAGGTGAGCAAATTGCCACCAAATGGAGGATGTGACCTCAATTTTTCCATTAACAGAGACGACCCAGAGCTGACAAGTTCTTGGAGACACAGTATTTGTTCAAAACAGAGAAATACAAAAAGGAAATATTTGACAGTTCTTGAAGCTCCTATGTCTTCATCTGAATGCCCATTGGGTTATTTGTTAATGGGATTAGCACGCATTCTGTCAGATCTCTTGACTCCACAGCCCATGCTCATTCTGTTATGTCACATTATTAAATTATGCTCAGTATCTTCTGCTTAATGTGTAATACATCTTAGAATGGAGAGAGGACAATCTGGCTAAATTTTATAAAGATTTGAAGCAAAAATGAAAACAAATTATTGCTTAAAAGTTGAAGGCTTTGGTTGACAGACAAACCAACATAGAGAAGACCTTACTATATTTTGTTTATAAACACGATTTAATATTTTAATCTTTCCAGATTTTTTTCAATTGTCAGGTAATCAGAGCCTAAGGCAGGGGTCAGTAAAAGTTTTCTGTAAAAGGCCAGATAGCAAATATTTTAGGCTTTGTGGGACAGATAGTCTCTGCTGTAACCACTCAACTCTGTTGCTGTAGCATAAAAGCAGCCATAGACACTGTGTAAATGAATGGGCATGGCTGTGTTACAATAAACTTTATTGACAAAACACCTGGAGGACCATATTTGGCCTGTGGGCAGTGCAATTTTGATAATAAGGTATAAAAATTAGAGTGATAAAGAAGGTCAGTCACCCAATCTGGTTGCAGATGGGAACAGCTGTCAAAACCATTGTTTCCTATATGTTTTCAACAATATTGGAGTTCTTAAGGCCTTTATTTTGTCTCCCTGCTGTTCTGCACTCTGCTAGCATGCCACAGGATCCTTTGAGAAAGGGGAAAAAAATTGGGGGATGGGTGGGTCATTGATTAGGGTGCCTAGGATGCTTAAAGGACATAGAATGATTTGGCAAAAGTTGCCTTATGTGCATGGGTATAAATCATCCAAGAGTTTTCGTTCTTATTTTCTGACAAACAGCAACAAATTACCTAACCAAGACAAAATAGATACATGTTCTTTTCATCATTTTGGGGCATGGAGGGCAGAATCCAGCAAACACTAGGCTCAGTCCTCCTAAAGAAAGCAAGCTTTTGAACTATGAAGCTTAATTGTGGTTACTCCTCCTTCTTTACTTAGGAAACATGCTCCCCTCTCTCAATATCTCTCATTGTTAAGTAAGTGTCGTTCCAAGGGCCAGATTTTAATCATAAATGTCAAGTATACTTACAAATGACACGTGCACATATAAATATCAAATGAACCATGTAGTTCCTCATATCCTCTCCTACTGAAGTGCAGAAGACACCATGCAGGAGACTCACGAATCGAGGATTTCAATTCTTAACGGAGTTTGTTCTTGTGCCGGAGGCACAGCTATCTAGTTAGCTGTTCTATTCACTTGACAGCTTCGCATTGAAATTGTAACATTTTTCAGAATTGAAGCCAATGAACCACGTTCTTGTTTATAGGAAGTTACACACAGAGTGCAAGCCCTCCTGCTGAATTTTTTGAAAGAAAATGGGATCAACAGAAAAACATAATTTTAGAGGAAATTGGCTGTGTGGTCAATATTTTGAAATGCCCTTTGTATTACTTACTTAGTCACGTGACTGGAAACCATTTGCCTTCATGTCAGTAAATCTTCCCTGCTTGTGCAATGGGAAGCCATGGCCCCTATTTATATTTTCACAATTTACCTTTTCCTGGAAATGGATCCCTTTTCTCCAAACTCAATTTTTGGAGTTTTCAATAAACATGCAGAAGTTCTATAATATGTGCTGAGTTTCCTGCACATGTGTGGATTCCTTTCTTTATCCATTTAGTAAATACTTATTGAGTGTCTTATCATGTTTTAGGTGCTGGATATAAACAGCAATGAACTCAGAGAGCTTACATTCCAGTTCAGGAGACAGATCTTAAATAATTAATCATCCTAGTAAATAAATAATTGTAAACTGCAGCAAGTGCTATGAAGGAAAAGCACATTGTGCTCTTAGAGCTCAAGATAGGCAGAACTGACCTAGTCTGAGATCATGGAAGACGTCTCTAAGGAAGTGACCATTTGGGCTAAGACTGGAAAAATGAGTAGAGGTCCACTAGACAGAGTGGGAGTCAGAGTATGCCAGGTAGAGAGAACGCTAGATTCAAAGGCCTTGAAGTGGGAAAGAACACAGAACACTACAAATAGACTAATGTGTCCTAATCTAGGAAGGGAGCAGGACAGGGACACAACAGTCATTTATTCATCAAATGTTCTGGGAGACTACTGTGTATTGGGAACTAATCTAGGTACTGGGGACACAAAATGACAAAAGAAGAAAAAAGAAAAAAATCCCTGCCTTCATAAGAGTTCACATTTTAGTTGGTGAGAGAGACTATAAATATATAACAAGGAATTAATTAGATTTTCTATAGTGATAAATGCTAATATGGTTTGGTTCTGTGTCCAGCCCCCACCAAATCTCATCTAGAATTGTAATCGCCACATGTCGAGGGAGGGCTCTGGTGGAAAGGGATTGGATCTTGGGGGCAGTTTCCCATCTGCTGTTCTCATGATAGTGAGTGAGTTCTCATGAGATCTGATGGTTTAAAAGTGTTTGGCAGTTTCCCCTCACTCGTTCTGTCTCCTGCCGCCACGTAAGTCATACCTTGCTTCCCCCTTCACCTTCTGCCATAATTATAAGTTTCCTGAGGCCTCCCCAGCCATGTGGAACTGTGAGTCAACTAAATCTCTTTTCTTTATAAATTACCCAGTCTCAGGTAGCTCTTGATAGCAGTGTGAACATGGACTAATACAATTGCTCTGAAGAAAATGAAGCTGGATGTTCAGTGAAGGTCTATCTCTGGAGATGCCATTTGATTAAATATTGATTGAGGTGAAGGAGCCATTCAGATGAAGATCTGAGGGAGGAAAATTCTAGGTGGTAGAATTAGCCTGTAAGAACATACCTGGTGTGTTTTTTAGACTATATTTTATTTAGTGTTCAAAACCAATTCAAGAGGCAGCTTGAGCTAAGTTCATGGCTAATACATATCAGGGTAGGATTTAAACCCAAGTCTATCTATTCCTTCCCTTTTCCCATCATAGAGTAATGCCTCTTTAGAGGGTATTAAGCCATGTCCATGTGCACAGGTCATTTAATCAAATCATCATTTAATCATTACAGTTATTTATTTAATCATTTCATTTATGTATTTAATCATTTCAGTCAAAAGTGTCACTCCTGAGAGTGAACAAAACCTTTAGTATGTATCCTAGGTGAAACCCCAAGCTATTGCTGATAAAGGTGTTCTTCCCTTTTTCTGTTGGAAAACACTCCTGCGAATCTCGGTATTAGGAGAGTTCACACTTACTGTATAGTATGTGATATGTTTGGGAATCACTGTACAATGTAGAGAAAGTCCCAGGCTAATAGGAGACTTGGGTTTTATGCTTTTACTTCCATTCAATTAGTTGTACAAACCTAAGCAAGTTACATCCTCTCTGAGTTCCAATTTTTCATCTGTAAAATGGGAATGTTAAAAATAGCTTTTTTTTTTTTACACCTCTCAGACTTCTGAAAATCCAATTAAAATGTTGCCTCTTCCTTCAAAATATATCCAGAATCCAACAATTTGCCCCCCATCTTCACTGCTACCATGACCACTTCTTTCCTGGATTATTGCAATAGCAGCCTGACTGGTGTCCCTCTGTCCTTGCCACTCCAGCCCTGAACGCCATTCTGAATGGAACAACCAGAGTGATCCTGCTAAACGCAAGTCAGATATTAGTGGAACTTATTACTCTCCTTTTTCCCCCAGTGAATTCATTCATTCACTTGGAATTAAAGTCCAAATCTTCATGTTTACATGTCCCCCCATGATGTGCCTGCCCACATTACCACTCTGACCTCCTCATCTGGTCCTCTCAGATGCTCTTGCTCTAGCCTTGCAGGTTTTCTTGGTATTCTTCCTCAACCACACTAGGCACAATTTCACCTCCAAGATTGTTGCTCGCTGTTGCCTCTGTCAGGAATAGTCTTTATGCAGCGAGCTGCATAGCCCACACTCATACTTCTTTCAAGACTCTGCTCAAATGCTACCCTGTCAATGAAGTTTACAGTGACTATTCTATTTAAAATGGCAACTACTCTTTTCTGCATTTCAGACTCCCTTATCCTGCTGTACTTTTTCTGTTTTCCTTTCCATAGCACTACTCATTGTTTAAACATACTTATTTATAGAATGATCATATAACATTTTGCAAAAACTGGGATATTTTTGAAAATGAAAGCGGGTGCCATTAAATTATCCCAGGACAATAGATATAAACTTCGACTTAGTAATTTATAATGATTTTTACAAATGTTATGTTTCCCTTTGCTGGTTTTCACAAGAAAAAGGATCATTGAATGTTTTGTTGTTTACTTATTTATCTCATGTGCCAATAAAAATGCCTGACACATAGTAGATTATCAATAAATATTCTCGAGTGAATGAATAAATAAAAATAAAAAATAAATAAAACAAACAAAAAAAGATGTTTATGGCCAGGTGTGGTGGCTCACACCTGTAATCCCATCACTTTGGGAGGCCGAGGTGGGTGGATCACGAGTTCAGGAGTTTGAGACGAGCCTGGCCAACATGGTGAAACCCCTTCTGTACTAAAAATACAAAAAATTAGCTGGGCATGGTGGTGCGCACCTGTAATCCCAGCTACTGGAGAGGCTGAGGCAGGAGAATGGCCTGAACCCAGGAGGCAGAGGTTGCAGTGAGCCGAGATCATGCCAGTGCACTCCAGCCTGGGTGACAGAGCAAGACTCCGTCAAAAAAAAAAAAAAAAAAGATATTCATTATCTATAAAGTACTATATAGCTCTACATCTTAATTAATTTACTAATTTTTCTAAGGATATCTATATATGTTTATAGATACATATGGTGTGGAATATATATCTGAATATATGTGTGTATACACACACACACACACACACACACACACACACACACAGAGATATATATTTAATATCAGCGAATCCTCCCCACTTTACCCCATTTAATCCCTAGGATAGAGTAAAAGATAACTTTGCCATATAGTTTATGTATACTTTAAAATGCTAAAGGCTGATTTGAAAGATAAACATGATGTAGGGACAATTATTACAAGAAAGTTGAAAGGTGCTATTTGTTTAAAAACATTGCTTTTTTCCATGAGGGTACATGTCCCTGATGAGGGCTTACAGATGCTGACAGTCACCTCAAGGAATTGTTGATACAGCTGCACTGAAAATTAGCATGATGCATGTACGAGGCTGTGCAGTGGAAAGCAAGGTAATATTCTTTCCTACAGAAGAAAAGGGGCTGGGCACAGTGGCTTAGGCTGGGCGTGGTGGCTCATGCCTGTAATCCCAGCACTTTGGGAGGCCCAGGCGGGCGGATCACCTGAGGTCGGGAGTTCAAGACCAGCCTAACCAACATGGAGAAACCCCGTCTCTACTAAAAATACAAAATTAGCCGGATGTGGTGGCACATGCCTGTAATCCCAGGAGGCTGAGGCAAGAGAATCGCTTGAACCCAGGAGGTGGAGGTTGTGGTGAGCCGAGATCATGCCATTGCACTCCAGCCTGGGCAACAGGAGTGAAACTTCGTTTCAAAAAGAAAAAAGAAAAGGAAAGG
Organism: Homo sapiens; assembly: GCF_000001405.40. Lineage (NCBI taxonomy): Eukaryota > Metazoa > Chordata > Mammalia > Primates > Hominidae > Homo > Homo sapiens. The sequence goes on from NC_000023.11 coordinate 140,943,346, forward strand.
TACACTGTTAGTTGAGGAGTAGACAGGAAGCATGGAGGAATTGAGAGAGTTCCTGCAAAGGATGAGCCGCATGGAGTGGAAGTGGTATCTGGTAAGAAGACAATCAATTGGTAAGAGTTAAATTAATGGTTGAAGTAAATTAACCCTTGTCAGGCTATACAAAATTCTTGACAATTGGAAATAGCCATTTCTGTACTTGTACACACTATGCATCCACTCATCACTCCATCTACTCTATTTATTGACCTATTCTTGAATGAATTTTTGGCAGAAACCAACATACAATGTGCTATTATCAAAGTCAATGAGTGAACTGAATCCAAATGCAAAATGGTTTAAAGTCTACTTTGCTTACCCTGTAGTTTTGGAAATGCTTAGATAACAAGAGTGTGCAGTTTACTTATAAAGCCAAAGCAAAATCAATAGATAAGCTTTCATGCTTCCTTTCTCAGTTGATGATATCGATGGGAATGAATAAGCCAGAGTCTTGGCTTTTAACTAAATTTAAAAACAATAAAGCCTTATTGGGTGGGACTTTGTGGGCCTTTTATCTTCCTCCCCGCTTTGGTAAATCAGGTTTGGCTGAGTTGGTTTTCCAGGCATCCCACCCCAGCAACATCTGAAATATCTTTTCCATTTATAATGTTTTTCTTATAATCCAAGGATGTATCATAGAACAAAGGCAACAAAGTTTATTGGGTTCAGCTGGATCATGAAAAAAGACATTAGATTTTCTATTTAGGCATTTAGCAAATCATAGGAGAAATCAATATGCAAAGAAGTAAAACCTTTACAATTCCACTAATGGAAAAGAGAGAAAGACTGTTTTCTACCTTCTTTTGATTTCTTTTATGAGATTTCAGCCTTCTGATAGCCTTAGGAAACTGGCCTCTAGTTCAGATTCACGTTCAGCTTTTGTGGTTTGTATTGCCCAGAGTTGCGAAGTCAACTGTTTTGTTTAAATATTTTAAAAGTACCAAACTAGAAATACAAAGCCTGAGCAGAACTAGGCACATAGAAGGAACTCAATATATGTTTTAATTTAATGTGAGATGGTTGATATATTCTGTAAGCATATTCATCTGTCAATCTGTCTGATGCTAGGCAGCCTCCTAATATCTGAATAGCTAAAGAAGAGATACAAAGGTGTGAATACCACGGTCACAGACTCAAATATGCTAAAACATAACTTACTTTATTTTTATGTTAGTGAAAGCATTTTTTTTCCAAGTCTACCTTATTAGCAGTAGAAAACAACAATGACCACCACCATAGCAACAGGAATAAAATCTTTAATTTAGCTGCTTCCAGGTAAACTCAGTCCAAATCTGTGATGTATTAATTAATACAAATTAATAGTCTATCCACATTCAGATTTAAAACATCTCACATTTTTTCTCCCTTCTTCATCTTTTTGCACTTTCTTTTAGGCTTTTGAGCACGGTGATAATGTTGTTGGGAACTCGGCTTATGCTGCTGTTATATGAGGTTTTTGAGGAAAGGGCCTCGAAATGCTCTCTGCTTCTTATCTGTGTTGATCCTATTGGGCAATCCTACTCCAGTTGACCTTCTCTTGTATATCCATTATGCAAGCTTTTGCCTGAAAGTAACAAAAGTCCAGTAGTTCCTCAAAAAAAGGATATTTACTATTTAGTAGTAAGAAAATCCAGACACAGATGGCCCCAGGGTTGGTCTGGAAGCTCAATGACCCAGACTCTTATTATTTTTCTTCTCTGCCATTCTTTGCAGGTTGCTCTGTCAATTTTGTGCTGCCCACCTAAGGATCACAAAATAGTTGCTGCACATCCCAACATCACATAATCTTTCCTAGGCAGAAAGAAGTGGAGAAGAACCGCTATCAGTAGCTCTCCTCTTGTATATGCCTCAAGAAAGCAGCGGGTACCCAAAAACTTCCACTTAGGTCTTCTTGGCCAGATCTGAGTCACAGGTTATCACTTGCTGTGAAGAAGGCAAGGAAAGTAATGTTTTGAGCTTTAGGTTCTCTATAATGGGAGATGAGCCAGGGAGATAGCGTTGAGAATGGTATTTTGAGTGGCCGGCCTTCAATTTCTGCCATTATTAGTCTGGTTTTTGGTATAGGAAATGCACAGTAGTTCCTGAGAGTGTGATTGAGATGGTCTTTGAGAGAATGACTCGGTTGCATCAGTGTAAATTTTTTGATCCCTGAGGGGGACCTTTTGTGCGCAGGAAATGCTATTTGCAGTTACTTGGTTTTAAATTAATTTATCTAAAAACCACTTAAAAAGTAGTTATTTTTCTCACTTTTAAATGTAATTTAAAACTCTTAGTCTATTCCATAAATCCTGTGTATTTTATCAATCCCTTGCAAGGCAGCCTTTGATTAATGTTGGATCAACTCAAGCTGAACAGACTGAACTCTGCTTAATTAAAAGAACTTCTAAGTGTAAACCCAGATTCCTCAATTCTTTTTAGCATTTCAGAGTACATGTTAAAGTCTAATATATCAACAAAGAAACACTGCACTGAAATTGAACTTTAGATAGAATGGACCTAACAGACCATTATAGAACATCCTACTCAGCAACTGCAGAATATACATTCTTCTTATCAGCTCACGGAACACTCTCCAAGACAGACCATACGTTAGGCCACAAAACAAGTCTTAATGAATTTTTAAAAATTTGAAATTATACCAAGTATCTTCTCAGACCACTGCAGAATAAACCAACCAGAAATCAATTCTAAGAGGAACTCTCAAAACCACAGAAATACATGGAAATTAGACAACATACTCCTGAATGATCTTTAGGTCAGCAACGACATTAAGATGAAAATTTAAACAATTTCTGAAGCAGAGGAAAATGGAAACACAACATATCAAAATATCTGATTTTCTTTTTAAGCACTTCAATACCTGACCAGGCAAACTTATGATCCCAACAAACAGAGATTGTAAATTGCTTGAACAACTCATATATTGAATAATTTAAACTTGTAAATATAAAGAATCTCAAGTTTTCTCTTAAATATTCTAACACAATAAAAAGTAAATTTAGTCAAAATATTTTACATCCTTTAATGAAAAAATGACAAACTAATAAAACATTTTAAATGAGAATCTGTCTGTTCTCTCTGTTTAAACTGTTACTCTAAAATATGTCATATTCTCTTAAACATCAAAAGCACATTCAGTACCAACTGCACACACATTATTCTGAATTTCACATATTGGTATTCATACTATGGACTTTGTTCACTTCATTATATCTGTTTTTTATTCCAAACCTCCCTAAGATTTTTAAGGATACTTAGTTTCAAGGAGAGTAGCACATCATCAGGCCAGGCAAGCTGATTTTGTCATTACAAGGCAACTGAGATCACTTATGGGCCAGAGATTTGAGGGTAGGATGCAGTACAGAGTCAACAGCATTCCAGGGAGAGTCTATTTGTGTGCAGTTGTGTAAACTGAGCTTCTTGTTTTTGTCACTGTGGTGAGAGGAAATTCAGAGACCATGTCCTTTAGCTAGGGTTGGTTTTTTGTAAGATCAAGTTGTACCCTTACTTCCATCATTCTTCTGTCATCATTACCATCATTTGAATAGATGAGAGTCTTCAAACCCCCCATTCCCCAAATTCATAGCTAATGTCCTTGAACTGATTTCTACTACCTGAGTGAATTCAGGATTTTTTTTGTACTTTCCCATCGGAGCTACCATTCTTACAGAGATTGTTATGGTATCTGATTAGACTCTGCATACTTCTTTTACAGTTGTCTCCATGATCATAACCATGTATGGCCATTTCTACTCTGGCATGTGGTCATTATGTAACTACCTCTTCATCTGATTCTAAAGAGGGAGTCCTGGTTGCTGGGTTGGATGGAACTGTCCTTATCACTGCATCCATTGTTGCTTGTTTTTTCATCATAGCCATGGGACATTGGACATACCCACTATTTTTATCTGGCAACTTTTATTCTCCATTAGATACCCATGGAAACTCTGGTGCTGCCAAACTTGCAGGGGTCTGCAAGCAAAAAGACCCTTTTTGCCTAAGTCTCCCATATACATGATAGCCTATGTGCTTTGTCACAACAGGCAGGTACCTCTCTCCAAGGCTTGCTCTTCTTTCTTCCCCCAACCCGAATTCTGTGAAGGATGGTGACAGATCTTTGGCTTTCCCCTCTCAAATGCCCTTCTACTCTCCTCAGCTCAAAAGGTGGGGGTGAAACAGTATAGAGAATGCTGCGTGTCTGAATGCTCTTGCCTTTTGAACTTAGAGGCTGGACATTTTAATTTCTTTGTTTTTCTGGACCAATATGTCAACTTTCTTCTGGGTTAATTTTAGCTCCATTTCTCACAGAGGAATTTGTGTGTTGGGCAGGGGGGTGGTATATGGGAGAAGAAAAGGGCATCAGTTAAAGACTCATAGAATTACTTGGCAAGCCATAGGGGAAGACAGAAGAATTTCTGCCACATCTTCTAAGTAGGCCTATGATTTAATAGCTAAAGCAGCTATAAGGGGATCTTACAGTTTAGGATGAGAGTATCTTGCAGATTTATTGGAACCAAGGCCAGTGGCTTCTCTAAATGTAGCTGATTCCTATTCTTTCACGAGTTCTCCATATAAATGCCACTTCATTGAGGTACTCTTCACTGACCCCTCTGGCCAGGCAAAGTCCCCCTCTTATATATTCTCAAAGTTATCGTGATTTGTCTTTTAGCACAAATTGCACATTTGGTTTTAAAATTTGCCTTAACCAGTAGACTGTGATTTCTTAGGGTACCTGGACCTTGCCTCTCTTCTTTATAGCTCTCCTCTCCAGTGCCTGATACTATATTTGGCCCTCAGTATCTGCTGAACAAATATTGAATGTATTTATAATTGTTAAGTTTTTTTGGTGAGTGAAATACAGTAAACGTGAACAGTGGATTGTCATGTTTTGAATGTATGAGCTTGGGCAGTGGACTTTTGGTTACCACATTGAATTCTTGAACTTGCTGGGCAACTTTAATTTTCACCAAGTTTTTTAAAGGTCATGGGATTTAAGTGGAAGGCATGGTCTCGGGAGATGAGGACATGTCTTGGCATACACAGAATGTGGCATCCTCAGTTTCCAGGAAGGATGACTTTTTTTTTTATTTCTGTCAATCAAAAACACAATGTTATCTTCAGTGTTTAGTCAAATAGATTGAATGGAGTGATTTTACTTATCTGTTGAAATTTGTTAGTCGAGAAAGACTTTTATAAACTCTAAATGGGAATTGAGATGAATCTAAAGCTTCCTTTCATTTTGTAAATCAGGGGAATCTTCCTAGACTTATTTTCTCCCTGACATTCTTTTATATAATGCATTTGAGCAGACTAAAGATGAAACAGAGATTTTTTCATGTCTTTTGACCCTGAGACATTTATATGAGTCTTTTAAAACATGAATATTTTTGGCTCTAACAACTGCACCTTTGAAATGGCATGAAACGTACTGTTTAGAACTGCAAATATCACTGACATTTCTAAAGTGCGAACAGTGTTTAATAGCATGACAGAAAATTTATTGCTTCTGCAAGAACATAGATATTCTTTCAAAGTTGATGGTATTTAAGAGTTAAATAAGTAAGTGGAAAACTCACGACAGACTAGTCTATGTAACCAGAGGTAGGTATAATAATTAGGAGGATTGTGAAACTCTTAACGCTTCAGTAAACATGCCAAATATCTGTGGCAGCCTTCTGTTCTCTGAGCCCAGATTGCTGCTTTGTAGGTATGTATCAATCTTCACTACTTACTATGTTCAACCTTTCTGAATCTGTGATCGGGATCCATCTGTTCGACTACATTTATTAGTGTGTTTTCTTATGACATAAATCCTTCAAAAATTGTCATCTCCAAGTAGGGTCATGATACCTGCTGGGTTATATTTGTTCAAAACAATAATAGTATAATAGTCTTTAACCACAGAACACAGAAAGTAAAATATGCAAAACAAAAAGTTGTGTACATCTACCGAGGCCAGGGCTGCCTTGGGAGTAAACAGTGGTGCTCCTGACGGATTTGTCGGAAGGGATGGTAATTATGAAAGATGGTTGTGACTCAGGAGTAGCAGGCTAACCCTTGACTCAGAAAAAGGAGCTCGGGCATGTGAGCTCACTAAGCATTTCTGAGGCTTCCATCCTGGTGATACGCTTGATTAGTGTCCAGCCATAGAAAATAAAGTGGAGAGAAAAATGATTGCTTGCAAATGGCAGTGCACTGGGAGCTAACAGCCAGGGACTAGCACTGTTTTCATTAAGGAAAGAATTTGCTGATCACTTAAAGTTAGGAAAAGTGCTTTTTAAAATGTGGACAGATTTTGATTTTGAAAGATGTGATGCTCTATCACCCGCTACATTTTTCAATTTTTCATGCTGATCTGTCTCTATAGTTTTTGCCCTTACAGGTTCTTTTTCATCCTTTTTTATGTATTTTCAGAAAAGAAAATGGAAAAATAATTTTTTTTTTTTTTGAGATGGAGTCTTGCTCTGTCGCCCAGGCTGGAGTGCAGTGGCGCAATTTTGGCTCACTCCAACCTCTGCCTAATGCCTACTGGGTTCAAGTGATTCTCCTGCTTCAGCCTCCTGAGTAGCTGGGATTATAGGCACCTGCCACCATGCCAAGCTAATTTTTGTATTTTTAGAAGAGATGAGGTTTCACCATGTTGGTCAGGCTGGTCTCGAACTCCTGACCTCATCCTCTCAAAGTTTTGGGATTACAGGCGTGAGCCACCACTCCCGACTGGGAAAATAATTTCTACTTTTAAAATGACTTGAATATCTCCTTGAGGCTGGCTGTCTAACAGGCATGCATTTCCAGCAGTCCAATCTCATTTAAAAAGGCATAGAACACCAAATCTGGAAAGGACAGTTCTTTTATTTTACAGCTTAATTTTTTTCAACAAACATATTTTGAGTGCTTATAGATAAGCAAACTAGGGTTCAGAAAGGTTGATGACTTGGCCAAGTTCATATAATCAGTCCCATATTTCTTCTTTTATATTTTATACATATCAACTTTCATGTCACTGTTTACAAGTATTTTTAAATTTCTATTCCATCTTTTTTGTTTGTGCTATTAATTTACTCATCAATATTATTGTTATTTTGTATGTGTATGGATTAATCTCACGTTTAACAAAAGCTCACTATATTCTCTCACATCTCATATCTTCTGCTGTGATTATTTTCTTTTTACCTTAAGTTCATACTTTAGTAGTCACTGTAATGAAGCTACATATATGAACGTGCAGTGTATACACAGACACATACATGTATATGTATACATATAACAGCTCTGTATATGTATACATATAACAGCTCTATGATTCCTTCTCCTATTTTGCAAATGAATATTCATACTATTTATTCGTATTAATTCATCCTTTCATTTATTTATTTCATCCAACAGATAGCTTTATGTATGCGCCTACTCTGGGGTGAATACAGTTTCACTTTCTAGTGAAACAATGGTTAATAAAAATTACCATAGTTGTTTTTCTTATAGAACTTAACCTCTAATGGAGAAGGCAAACAGTAAAGAAATTATCACATAAATATGTAAGTGCAAACTGACAATAGAGAATAACAAAGGACTTCACATAAATCCAAGAGAGAGGATAGGGAAGCATGGTCTGGCAAGACTTCTTTGAGAAAAAGAAGTTTAAGTTGAAAACTAAAATTAGGCCAGGCGCTCACGCCTGTAATCCCAGCCCTTTGAGAGGCCGAGGCGGATGGATCACCTGAGGTCAGGAGTTCGAGACCAGCCTGACCAATATGGTGAAACCCCATCTCTACTAAAAATACAAAAATTAGCTGGGCATGGTGGTGCGTGCCTGTAATCCCAGCTACTTGGGAGGCTGAGGGAGGAGAATCGCTTGAACCTGGGAGGTGGAGGTTGCAGTGAGCCAAGATTGTGTCATTGCACTCCAGCCTGGGAGACGGAGCAAGACTCCACTTCAAAAAAAAAAAAAAAATTCCTTGACTCAGAAGTGGCATATATACTTCCATTTACAATCTAATGGCTAGAACTAATCACATGGCCAAGGCACATGTTGCAGAATCTTCTCAGATACAACCTGTCAATGCCAAAGATGGCCAGAAGCGCCACTGCAGGGAGCAAGTTGGGTTTAGTATTCATGAAGCAGGAGAGAATGCACACCGTAGGAACCATGAGGCCTCTCAGGAAGAGGGTGTTAAATATTACTTATTACAAGTTTAAGGATTAAGTTAGGTGATATGGAGAAGGGTTTAAGGAAGTATAACTTTCCTTTGGATTGGGTGTGTTAGAAGGCAGGGGTAATTTTATGGTTGGGTACCTTAGTAAATCTAATCTAGGAGTGAAGACTAGAATGGGCTAAGGCTGCAATTAGTGAAGAAGCAGTAATCACTTACATTGGTCAGGATCAGTGGATGCTTGATCATTTTTGTGACTTGCACAATGTTCATAATTTATTTGTATTTAAATGTGACTACGGCATGGTCTTGTTTTTGTCTTCATCCATCATGGTCACATTACAGAGTGGCCTTGTTTGATGTTGATGTTCCATGATATTGCTCATGGTCAAAAGGAGAATATCAAGGCCTTTCTGTGAGTGACAAGCCAGCTGCTAGCAACACCCAGGCCAAGCTGATAGGACCAGGATAGCTCGCTGATGTCAGGGCTGCTATTCTCTTTCTCTAACTCTGTACTGTAAAGGGCGGGACAAATTTTTGTGAACAGCTATTACCTCTTACATAGTAACCAGGAATTTAAAATGATGTACATCTGGCAGGCAGGTTTTGTGAATTTCTTCAGTAATACTCAGCTTATCCTGTAAAATTCTGTTTTGTGTCTTTCCCTACCACACCTCTTGCTAGATGCTAAAGTCTTCAATGAATGAGGTAGAGTGACAAAGAGTTGGTAAATGATTGCCATAAAGAGGGGGAGGGGCCGGCATAACTGGAAGACATGAGCCTCCAAGGAACTGGTTCTGTATTTTCCATAAGTGAAGTAGATGGAAATAATTGTCTGGAAGTGATGCTTGAGAAATATGGAGTGAAGGGAAGGCAGTGTCCTCACAGAACAGCCAGATTCAAATGAGGTTTTGGTGGTGAAACTATCAATTGACAAGTGGCTTGAGACCTTCTACTTAAAATGTGTCCCACTGATCAGCAGCATTGTCATCACCTGGGAGCTAAGTAGAAGTGCAGAATTTCAGGCTCCATCCCACACCCACAACATCAGAATGTGCATTTTAACAAGGAACCCAGGTAATTCAAATGCACATTACTGCTGGTGAAGCACTGGTTTAGAATTTAGAGGAACTCGCCAACATAGATTGGGAGTTCCAAAGGTCATAGTGGAAGGCTTTGGGGATAGGAATAGAGGCAAGAAGATTGAACAGAGTCATACAGCAACAAGAACACATACTTTCTTTACCCCTTCAGGCTGCCTTTCAACCTCCACACTTGCCTGCAACTCTCAGATATGACAGATCTTTCCCATGTCACTGCATTGAACAAAGTTACTTTAAGCAGTTTGTCCAAAATGATTGATTACAAAGGTGTTATTTTTTTCCCTTCTAATTTTCCCTACTTTCTCAATTTCTGACAATGTTCATGCTACTTTTATAATAGGACAAAGTAGTATAAAATATATATTAAGGAAATACGGAAGTGAAAAGGGGTTAAAATGTTAGGCCGTGCCATGATTTGCTATTCTTCAAGAACTGGCCTGTCAGCTGTTATCTGTCAGCTGACCCATTTACAACCTCCCATTAGTTAGAAATCAGTACTATCTCTAGAGATAATAATGAGACCTGTAGTGTCGACTGAAGTTTCAGAATTTTTCTCCTTGCTGTGACTTTTCCTATGTGATTTGGCTACCTCCCTGATGCAGAACCTATCTGAGGAAACCTCTGTTAATCATGTGGTCAGGGATAGCTCACCGATTCTGCCAGGGTGTGGGAGGGCTTAGTAAAAGCAATTTCTCTATATGTTTTTTTCTTTTATTGAGATGGAGTTTCGCTCTTGTTGCCCAGGCTGGAGTGCAATGGTGCGATCTCGGCTCACCACAACCTCCGCCTCCTGGGTTTAAGCCATTCTCCTGCCTCAGCCTCTCGAGTAGCTGGGATTGCAGGCATGCGCCACCATGCCCAGCTAATTCTGTATATTTTAGTAGAGATGGGGTTTATCCATGTTGGTCAGGCTGGTCTTGAACTCCCGACCTCAGGTGATCTGTCCACCTCGGCCTCCTAAAGTGCTGGGATTACAGGTGTGAGCCACCATGCCTGGCCAACAATTTCTATATTTACAGAAGGAGATGGTCACTTCTGTGACCATCCACGAAAAAATAACTGTTGGAAAACTTTTGGAAAGCCATCCATGAAACACAATTGTTTAGAGACGCTCATAGAATACTTTTATTCTCAGATGCTTTCAGTTATTGGAGCCATGTACCTACTACCAATTGGAGTCTTTTCATACTATTCAGAAAGACATTTCCTTATCCTGTAGCTCAAAATATATTTAGCCATCCTATGACTCAGAGTTACAGTTCCCTTCATCAGTTCCACCTATTCCGTCAGAAGCAGCTGAACTTCTTTAAAATTATAGAGTTTTCTATCATCCAGCTTGCAGAACTTAAAGAGAATCTTATCTCTTGACCCTTTCTCATACCTAACTTGTTCAAATACAGCACTATGAAGCTCCAAATGGCACAAAGTTTCTAACTTAAGTAGAGGTAAAGTGTGACTTTTCTTGTGGAGCGATGATTGTTAATCAGGCCAGATCTTGCCAGATTTCTGTAATGGGGATAAATAAAAATTGGGATAAATCCACCTGTGACGGGAAAGACAGTATCAGGTAAAATGCTGATATAAGACAGAGCTGGCTAGAGTTGACAAGATTATCTATTTCCAGTTTTTACATCATTCACTGTCAAAGACCCAGCGTCTTTCATTGGACAAATAATATTTCCCTGAAAATTATTTCTTTTTAATCCATTTATGTAAGAATAATCAATAGTTATACTAACTCTGTTTAATAAGCATTAATTCTGAAAAGAGTCCTGATCTGTGCTCCTACTTTTGTAATAAAAAATGTTTTTCTTACCAGTGTTTTTTAACATGTGGTCTAAAAATGTGTGTCTTTGGCCGGGCTGGACGTGGTGGCTCACACCTGTAATCCCAGCAGTTTGGGAGGCCGAGGCGGGTGGAACACGAGTTCAGCCATTCAAGACCAGCCTGGCCAACATAGTGAAACCCCGTATCTACTAAAAGTACAAAAAATTAGCTGGGCGTGGTGGCGGGCCCCTGTATTCCCAGCTACTCAGGATGTTGAGGCAGGAGAATCGCTTGAACCCAGGAGGCGGAGGTTGCGGTGAGCCGAGATCAAGCCACTGCACTCCAGCCTGGCGACAGAGCAAGACTCCATCTCAAAAAAAAAAAAAAATGTGTGTCTATGATAGCAGTCACTTGGGGTGCCTGTTAAAGATGCAGATTCCTGGGTTTTAACTCAAATCTACTTAAACAGATTTTCCAGGAAGAGGCCTGGTTATCTGTATATTTATTAAACACCTTGAGTAATTTTTTTTTTTTTTTGAGACAGGGTCTCACTCTGTCACCCAGGCTGGAGTGCAGTGGTGCAATCACTGCTCACTGCAGCCTCGACCTCCCCAGGCTCAGATGATCCTCCCACCTCAGCCTCCCAAGTAGCTGGAACAGCAGGTGTGTGATACCATGCCTTGCTAATTTTTGTATTTTTTTTTGTAGAGATGGGTTTTGTCATGTTTCCCAAGCTGGTCTTGAACTCCTGGGCTCAAGTGATCAGCCTGCCTTCGCCTCCCAAAGTGTGGCATTATAGGCATGAGCCTCTGTGCCTTGCCACCTTGACTAATTCTTAAAGTGCTTGAGAACTTATTAAGCACCTTGAGTAACTCTTATTATCAAGTTAGTTTAGACCGGGCGTGGTGGCTCACTCCCGTAATACCAGCGCTTTGGGAAGCTGAGGCGGGCAGATCACGAGGTCAGGAGTTCGAGACCAGCCTGGCCAACATGGTGAAACCCCGTCTCTACTAAAAATACAAAAATTAGCTGGGCATGGTGGTGGGTGCCTGTAATCCCAGCCACTCGGGAGGCTGAGGCGGGAGTGTCATTTGAACCTGGGAGGCAGAGGTTGCAGTGAGCCAAGATTGTGCCATTGCACTCCAGCCTGGGTGACAGGGCGAGGCTCCATCTCAAAAACAAAACAAAAAAAAAGAATGGTGGTGGTTTCTTGTTAAATATGCAAATTCTTAGGTCTCACTGACTCTGGGAGTGGGGCTTATCAACAGGGAACCACAGAATTTTTACTGAAGAACTATATCTTTAGCATTGACTGTTTACCTGATCCCAAAAGATAATTTCTGAAGTGCATCAGAAGTTCAGAAATATTTTCAGAAGGGCTCTTCAAGTTGAAAATGAAATATTTAAAAGCTTAAAATTATATTAAATTATATAAATGCTGGTGAATTTTACAGCCTAATAAACCCACACTTCAGAAATAGGTTGATAAACTATTTTAAAACATTGATAATATCTACATGGGAATTACAGAAAAATTAAGTAAAAGAACTAATGCAATATAATAACATAATAATTATGACAACAGATATTTTTCCAGCCCTTTACATTTTAGAGAAAGATTTACAAAGAATATTTTTACATAAGTCATCTTATTTTATCTTATAGCTACTGTGAAGCCTATATGCGTAGATCAGGTTTTATACTTCAAGAAGTTGGGGTTCAAGATGCAAAAGACAAGTAGCAGTCAGGAATAGAATTTGTCCTTTTTGCCTGAAGCTTCTTCTAATCTACATATGACCCAGTTCCCTGCTGTTGCTGTAGTTGCTTTCCTGAAGTCCACGGACTCTGCTGCTTGACAGCTGTCCTAGGAGCTGCTAAGCATGGTGTCTTACAATCAAACAACCATAACCAGGGCACTTCTAACTTTAAGGATATCCCATGCGTATATATCATAGCATTGCTGAGGCCAAAGAAAAGAGGTTCTGCTACTCTAGGTCTTCAGATAAGATAGCCTAGAAGAATTTTTCTGCACGTGATTCTACTTCCAAAGAATCCTCACCTTCATTTCTTCAAGCAGGAAATGTTCTGAGAGGGAGTCTGGCTTCACCACCAAATAATTATTATAAAATTGTTATTTTATGGACTCCTCTCAAATGGTTACTCGGAATTCAACCTTGTGTTGTCTTTTTCTATGTATTCTCTGCAAGGAATGGTGGAAGTTGGTGGGGCAGAGACACGTAGACAGTGACTTGGACATAACTCAACTGACTTGCTATTTTGTCTACTATTAATGCTCTTCAGAAAAAATAGAAATTTTGTGCATGGTATTTGAATATGACAAAAAACAGAGTGGTATCACCTTGCCAGATCTTCCGTCTTACATTTCAGAAACAGTACCACCTGTCTATATATTTTGGCTACATTTAAAAGATAATAATTGTCTACTGAAAAGAAAACAGCAATGACCTTGGGAAAAGAGTGTAGAAAAATGTTTGAGAGAAGAATGTTGTATATCTCACATAAATATTTCTAAGAAAATGTTTGGGCTGTGCACAGTGCCTCACGCCTGTAATCCCAGCATTTTGGGAGGCCGAGGTGGGTGGATCGCCTGAGGTCAGGAGTTCGAGACCAGCCTGTCCAACGTGGTGAAACCCCGGCTCTACTAAAAATGCAAAAAAAAAATTAGCTGGACGTGGTGGTGGGCGCCTACTCGGGAGGCCGAGGTAGGAGAATCGCTTGAATCCAGGTGACGGAGGTTGCAGTGAGCCGAGATAGTGCCACTGCACTCTCAACCTCAAATTGTTGTTTTTGTTTCCTGATCTGTAGCAACAGAGCAAGACTGGGCAACAGAGCGAGACTCTGTCTCACAAAAAAAAAAAAAAAGAAAAGAAAATGTTTGCTTTTTGATTAGATACTACATGTTTCTACCCACAGAAATCCTCAACCAGGTATGTATAGCCTTTCTACTTATGAATAGGTTACAGGCCCTAAAGGCTTTTCTCAAGGCCATTTGTTTCTAAGTTCAAAGTTACACTATAAAAGTGACTGCTAATAACAATTATTTGTGGTATCTGATATCACTCTTGCCTTGGAATAACAATAGTTTTATTCTAAGTATTAAAATAGGTACAGTCATCCCTTGGTATTGAGGCAGATTGGTTCCAGGACCCCCTTGGTTACCAAAATACAGGGATGTTCAACTCCCTGATATAAAATGGTGTAGCATTAGCGTATAATCTATGCACACATTTTTGTACATTTTAAATTATCTCTAGATTATTTGCAATACACAATACAATGTGAAGACTATGTAAACAGTCATTATACTTTATGATTTAGATAATAATGACAAGAGAAAAAGTCTGTACAAGTTAAGTATTTCCAATCCTCGGTTGGTTGAGCCTATGGATGCGGAAGCCATGGATAAGGAGGCCTGATTATTTCCTATAAGTAGATGTCGGTGAGGTTTCCTCAGGTATCTGTGGGCAAGAGAATAATTTAGAGGGAGAAATCCAGGAGTGACTTGTAAGTAATTAAATGTATCATTCTCAGATTGAGTTATTTTTCTCATTTGTGGCTTAACCCTTTTCCAAAAGGGGACGAAAAGGCAGAAATGTGTTGCAGTCACAGCTTTCCATTCCAGAAACTCCTCTGAGCAATGTTAGAAGTAACACTCACTAGGCAGGTTCAGGCTTGACAGAAGAGGGAGTGAGAATCGAACAAATAGGGGAAAGATGCAGCTATGTGGAGGCAAAGGCAGGAGTAATTTTTCACCCATGCAATGACAAGTAGTCAAACATTGGTTTAATTTGAGTTTGCTCTGTGAGGACAAAGCCTGTTTGGCCCTAAGTAAAACCTTTCCACTTTGAAAAACATTTTTTGGGGTCACTGCTACAGATCAGGAAACAAAAACAACAATTTGAGGTTGAGAGAGAATTATTACATGAGAAAATGTTTAAATTTTTATTTTATGAAGTATATGATTAAATGTGCTGACGTTATTTGTGAAAGTTGCCTCAGCTCAAGAAAAATACTAGGTACCTTAATAGAATATAAGAAAACATGGCTTAGATTTAGATACTGCAACAAATAAAATGAAAGAGCAGGAGTGTTTGCATGAAATGCTGCTAGGGAAATTCCTCTTGCCCAAAGTAATATTACAGAGGACTGAGGAAGCTATGATAATTGTCAGTGCTGATTATATCAGCATAGAAAAACAGTCTATTTTGATGGTGAATTCTTGCAGTTAATTACTTATACTTCCTTAGTAACTAATATTTTTATTTTAAGAGTTGATTTTCAACACTTACATTGTGAATATTTGATAGGGGCATGAGTTATGGGTTTAATTACCTTCATGACTTTTGAGAGTTGAATGCATTGGAATAAAAACTATAATTATTTATCACATGGAGTATACAGAAGCCTTTCTATTTATGAACAGGATCCAAGCTTTGAAAGGCTGTTCTTTAAGGCCTTTTGTTTCTATGTTCCAAGCTGCACTATAAAAATGACTGCTGGCCGTGTGTGGTGGCTCACGCCTGTAATCCCAGCAGTTTGGGAGGCCAAGGGGGGCGGATCACTTGAGGTCGGGAGTTCAAGACCAGCCTGACCAACATGGAGAAACCCCATCTCTACTAAAAATACAACAATTAGCGGGGTGTGGTAGTGCGCACCTGTAATCCCAGCTACTTGGGAGGCTGAGGTGGGAGAATCACATGAACTCGGGAGGCAGAGGTTGTGGTGAGCCAGGATGACACCACTGCACTCCAGCTTGGGCAACAAGAGTGAAACTCCGTCAAAAAGAAAAAAAAGAAAGAAAGAAAGAAGGAAGGAAGAAAGAGAGAGAAAGAAAGAAAGACTGCTAATGACATTTTCTGGTGGCATGCAGTTTTACCCATTTGTTCTGGCTTACGGCTGCTTCACATCTATTCAATTTGGTAATTCAAAACTTTGTTAGTAGTTTCTGTAACATGGCAGGAAGCACTGGATAGTGTGAGATCCAAATGCTTGTCCTGGTACCACTAGTGACTAGATTTGTAACTTTGAACTGGTCCCTCTATCTCATTGGCTCTCAGTTGATCCTCCGCATTCTGAGGGATCTGGACTAATTAATCTTGATTCAGGTTCTAGTTGAACTCCTCCTTAGGCTATAGATTAACGCTAAATCACACACATACATGTCACACTGTTTATATTGAAATATTTTAATGTAAATTACAGACAACATAAAAACTATGCAGTGGCATGGTTTTTGCTCTCCCTTTTTGTATCCTTTTTTGACAAATAGTTTTCCAGTTTTTTCTTGGTGTACTGGTCAACCCCCACTCCTCACTCCCACTACCCCACAAATAAAAACAGGTGGATATTCTGCCTAATGGTATTTATAACTCTAATTACATCACACTCCAAGGATGAGAGAAAAAATAAATAGTAATTGTTTAGAAGGACAGGGTCTACCTGGATGAATTTACTTAGCCATTTGCAGAACTTCCTATCTCTGGATTAGAGTGTATCAACCGACATAGTATTTTTACAGTAAACAAATAATTCCCTAGGATTAAAATTGCACTAAAAATTATGGATTAAAAATCACACTTAAGTTTGTATGCATACACTTTATATCATACTTGGTGCTATGGACCGAATGTTTCTGTCCCTCCAAAATTCATATATTGAAATCCTAATTCCAAATGTGGTGGTATTTGGAATGAAATCTTTGGGAGGCAATAAGATTGTGAGGATGGAGCTCTGATCATGGGATTAGTGTTCTTATAAGAGAAAGCTTGCCTCCTCTCTCTGCTTTTTGTCATGGAAGGATGCAATTAGAAGACAGCCAGCCATCTTTGAACCAGGAAATGGGCCCTCTGCAGACACCGGATCTGCTGGCACCTTGATTTAGACCTCCCAGCCTCCAGAACTGTGAGAAATAAATGTTGGTTGTTTTACCCAGTCTATGGCATTCTGTTATATTAACCTAAACGCTATGAATCTTGGTATCTTCACATTAAAACAGTGATTGTATCACAGAAGGTAGCATTATTTTGATTACACACAACTTTTTAATGGAAAGAATAGTTACTTTATTGGAATAAATTAAGTACTGCAGCTGACATCCACATGAGTAAACATAATAGATTGCGTTCCCTGAAAACAAACTCTGAGATGGAGAGTTAGGAGCAGGTTTATTGTTAAGTCCTCTTGGGACATCTACCTGCATGAAGGTGAGGAAGGCAGGATTGAGTAGAGGGAGAAGCTGGCCTCAGTTGAATAGGGGGAGAAGCTGATCTCAAGCAACCTTATAGAGAGTTCTGAAGCAGAGACAGACTTCAGAGTTGTTCCAAATTGAGGTAAGGGGGCTAAAGCTTTGCATGTAGTCTTCAGCCAGCCATTAGCCATGAGACAATCCTTGGGAGGAGGCATGAGGTTAGGTTGAGACAATGGCGTTCAGTCAAAAAGGATGACTAGTGAGGGACTTGGCTGTCAGCTATTAGCATTTGATGAATCCATCGGTCTTTCTTTTCCCCTCTAATAGCATATAAGCCAAGAAAATATGGGTGGAGCACAACAGTATTCACTCTTTACCCTGCTTTTTTTTTTTTTTTTTTTTTTTTGAGACAGAGTCTCGCTCTGTCGCCCAGGCTGGAGTGCAGTGGCATGATCTCGGCTCACTGCAACCTCCGACTCCTGGGTTCAAGCCATTCTCCTGCCTCAGCCTCCCCCATAGCTGGGATTACAGGCACGTGCCACCATGCCCGGCTAATTTTTTGTATTTTTTAGTACAGACGGGGTTTCACCATGTTGGCCAGGCTGATCTTGAACTCCTGACCTTGTGATCCGCCCACCTCGGCCTCCCAAAGCGCTGGGATTACAGGTGTGAGCCACTGCGCCCGGCCTACCCTGCTCTTTATAGTGTCCCTTATAGTAAGTTTGCCCCATCTACGAAAGTTTGTCCAGAAATCTGTCTTATTTCCTGGAGAACATTCTCAACATCAAGAAATGTTGGAATGGTTTCTCATCCACACAACTGACATTTTGGGCAAAACAGTTCTTTGTTGTTTTCCAGAGCATTTAAAAATGCTTAGTGGCATTCCAGTGTCTACTCATTAGATACAAGCAACACCCCAACCCCATTATTGAGACAGCCAAATGCCTAGGTAGATAAAAAGGGGTCCCCGAAGAATTCTGACCTGCCTCACAAGTGTTTACATCGATGCTTTTGTGCAGACGAGGGAACCTACCCGGGACTTGTCTGGGCATGCCCATAGTGGACTGCAGCCCAACATGGGCATTGGGGGAAGTGGGTAGAGTCACAGGGTATTTGTACCTTATGCAGGGGAGGACCCTGCTCTCTTCAGCTCCTGTGGTGACCTGGGATTCAATCTGTGAGGTGGAGGGCCTGTTAGGGGAACATCATCTCACTTTGTTGAGATTGTGTTTTCTTTGTTTCCTTTTTGCCCGATAAAATCCTGCTCTACTCAGCCTTCAATGTATCCGCATGCCTAATTTTTCCGGGTTGTGTAATAAGAACCCAGGTTTTAGCTGAACCAAGGAGCAAAGTACTACAACATTATGACAATAAAAATGACTTCAGAGATTGCCAAATATTTCTTGGGGAGAAACATTTCTTGATGTCGAGAACCAGTTAGGATCACTGAACTTCAAAGATGATTGACTCTCTAGGTAAGTCTGTTATGCCAAGGCCAAGGACCTAGTCAGGAAAACCTGGCAGTCCAACACATGAGATGGAGAAGCATGATTGTATGTCCTAAATATTTTTGATTCCTGGACTCCATTGAGCTCTCACAGACTGCAGAATGGACCCCAATTCTCTATTAAGAGCTAGCACTACCTCTGTGCCAGAAGACACTGCAGAGCCCTTGTCATTTCCTGGTTATCAGGCTGGTAACTAGGGTTATGTTACAATTTAATCCAACTGGACATGCAATGAGCATGATAACAGAGGTATGACACTATACCTCAAAGAAACTACAAGAAGTAGCCAGAATGTACAAACAGGAGCTGAGTGAATACCTGTGTGACTAGATGTTGAAGATGCTTGACTAAGGAGATTGGATCATAAAACTAGACAAGGAAGAGTTATTGACTTGGGAGCACTCTTCCAGAACACTGAATTTAATATCCATCTTAGTCCTTTCCAGCTGCTATGACAAAATATCAGAAACGGAGTGGCTGATAAACAACAGAAACTATTGCTCACAAGTTCTGGAGGGTGGGAAGTCCAAGATCAAGGCAAATTTGGCATCTGGTAAGGGCCTGTTTCCTGATTCATAGGTGATACCTTCTAGCTGTGTCCCCACATGGTGAAAAACAGGAGGGCCTATCTCTGAGACCTTTTTCATAAGGACACTAATCCCATTAACAAGGGCTCTACTCTCATGATCTAACCAACTCCCAAAGGCCCCACCCATTGGTGGTTAGGTTTTCAACATATGAATTTTGGGGAGCTCTGAAATTCAGTCCATGGTAACACCCTAGCAAGAACTTCAGGGAATGGTATAAACTCACTGCTTGGGAGCCCCCTAGAAACACAGATAAAGCAATGGCCCATTCTGAACAGTTTTACAATGGTAGATAGACAGCGAACAGAAAGATTAAATGGCTTAGGAGGGTGGAAATGCAGGACTGGATAGATGAGACCAGACCTACCAGAAGATTATAGTTCATGACAAAGCTATCAGGAATATGCTGGTGAGACAGGTAATGGTATCATTCAAAAGTTCAGTGGTGGTTTTCCTCTGTAGGCTATCACTGATGGTAGGAGAGGTTGTCATGGAGCCTGTTGATAGTAATGAGGAAGATGGGGTCATGATTCAATAGTGGCCAAATGGGAGGCTTAATAACCAGAAGCCGGGGAGTCATAATTACTGTAATAAACAGCCATGTCCTAGTGGCAGCCACGAGGGCTTGACCTCCGATGACTATGAAGAACACTAATAGAATATAGTGTCCCTAGGCATCACTAGAAACAATGAATGTACTACTTTATATATATATATATAATCAAAGAAAGGAAAGATTAATTAGTAGGAGGCTGAGAACATTACCTCAATAAAAACTCATGCTACCTTGTCCAGTTGTTGAATTTGAGCCAGATTTCAGACATAAAATCTACTGGCTGAAGAGTTGGCTAGATATCTGGAAAGAAGAAACCTGTAACACTATGGCAAGCATATACTGTGATGTTGCCTCTGATTCTTCCCTAAAAGGACCTCTGGCCATTTACTCTGGTAACTGTACACTAGGAAAAAAAGGAATAATGAGACACTTACAGGACTCATGGGCACAAGTTCTGATTTAATATTGATACCCAGAGACCCATATCATCATCATATCCCCTTTATTAGAAATGGGGGCACAGGGGGCCAGGTGATAAACAGGCACCTGGTCAAAATCTGGCTCATAGTGGGTCCAACAGGCCCATAGACTCACTTGATGATTACTTCTTCAGTCCCCAAAGATATAATTAGTACTGACATACTTCACAATTGGAGTATCTCCCATGCTGAGTTACTGGCCTATGGGGTAAAAGATTTCATAGTGGTCAAGATCAAATGTAGACTTTTGAGTCTTCCTTCTTCCCATCCAGCGTAGTAAATGAAAAACATTACAACCCAGGGGGAGGATACGGCAGATTCGTGCTAATCTTAAAGATCTAAAGGATACAGAATGGTTGGAGGCTATTATATTTCCATTTAATTGGGCGATCAGGATCCTGCAGAAACAAGATAAATCCTGAACAATGACTGAAGACTACTGCAAGCTCAACCAAGTAGCAGCCACAATTAATGCTGCTGTGTCAGCTGCGGTATCACTGATATTTCACAGGGGAAAAAAGGCCAGACTGATGTTAAATTGCTCTAGCATAGATGTATCATATGGTACACCAATATGATGTTTCTGAGGAAACAAATATTCAACCCATAGCACAAGGCTATAAAGGATTGTTCTCCAACTTTTCTGCACACAAGAATAGGCAGAGTGCTTCATATAAATGCAGATTTCTCGGTCCAAAAGTTTTGGAGCTTGTGGGAGGTGAAGCGTAAGATTGTGCATTTTAACGAGAAGCCCAGGTTATTCTAATACAGGTGTCTTCAGGCCACACATTGGAACACTGACCTAAAAGCAAGCTCTGAGACTTCACTTAGGGGATATCACTTGACCCCATTGCTAATTACCTCATCTTCTGAGTAAGGCTCATAATTCCTACCCTACCTACCTCAGAGAATTGTTGCCAATATTCTTAGGCAACTACTTGGGCTACTACATGGTTAAGTTTCTGGTAGCCC
The DNA here is from genome assembly GCF_000001405.40 of Homo sapiens. NCBI lineage: Eukaryota > Metazoa > Chordata > Mammalia > Primates > Hominidae > Homo > Homo sapiens. The sequence continues at coordinate 140,964,712 of NC_000023.11, forward strand.
ATTATTTATTATGATCCATTCAGTTTTTATAGGCACCTGGCTGATGAATTTAAATGGGGGTATGCAGCTGGACGCGGTGGCTCACTCCTGTAATCCCTCACTTTGGGAGGGCGAGGTGGGTGGATCACCTGAGGTCAAGAGTTCGAGACCAGCCTGGCCAATGTGGTGAAACCCCATCTCTACTAAAAATACAAAAATTAGCAGGACGTGGTTGTGCATGCCTGTAGTCCCAGCTACTTGGGAGGCTGGCCAGGAGAACTGCTCCAACCCGGGAAGCAGAGGTTGCAGTGAGCCGAGATCGTGCCATTACACTCCAGCCTGGGCAGCAGAGTGAGACACCATCTCAAAAAATAAATGAAGAAATAAATGGGGGTATGCTGGGGACCACCACCCTTGCATTTTTTAAGTCTTTGAGAGTGACACCAATTTATCATTTCTTGCATGAAATGAAATATTAATTTTTTTTAAGAGACGGAGTCTTGCTCTGTTGCCCAGGCTGGAGTGCAGTGGCGCGATCTCGGCTCACTGCAAGCTCCGTCTCCTGGGTTCACGCCATTCTCCTGCCTCAGCCTCCCGAGTAGCTGGGACTACAGGCGCCCGCCACCATGCCTGGCTAATTTTTGTATTTTTAGTAGAGATGGGGCTTCACCGTGTTAGCCAGGATGGTCTTGATCTCCTGACCTCGTGATCCACTCACCTCGGCTTCCCAAAGTGCTGGGATTACAGGCGTGAGCCACCGCACCGGCCCTGAAATATTGTTTTTAATTTACTATTTTGGAGAATAGGCTCCAGTGGTTGTGGGCAATTAGCAGTGAATGATGCAGCTGTCAATTATCTGCAGGTGATATTTCCAGTAGTTGTGGGATGGGTATGTAGAGGCCAAAAGGGAAAGCTTCCCCTTCACTCTCTGAAAGTTCACTGAAAAACCAATTCATAAAAGGCAGATTAATTGGAGAAAAGGTATACAGATTTATATAATGTGTACACACCAGAGCCTTTAGAATGAAGACTCAAAGATACAAGAAAAAATATCCATTTTTATGCTTCAGTTCAACACAGTATGTGTAACTGAGCAGCTTAGCAGCTTAACCTCAAAACATGTTATAAAACATTTTTTTCCTTTCCCCTTTCCTTCAGTTTTTTTCCTTTCCCTCCCCTCAGTTTCAAGATGTAGCTCTGAGATATACTTTACAGCCTCCAAATGTTTTCTTTCCTTCCATTTTCCACTTTATGCCCCCATGCCTTTTGCACATTCATTTACCTAGATCCTTGTTAAGCACACACCATACTCACTTATCTGGTCCTGTATTTCCTTACAAGCTTCACGGGTCGGATCCTAATATAGACCAGACACCTCCAGAATTCTCTCTCCAATAAAAGATTACTTCAAGGCCGGAACCCACTCTCGGCTAGAGATTAGCTGCAAGATTGACTGTAATTAATTTGTAACCTCGTTGGGCCACGATGGCCCCTACACCAGATGAAACAATAATTCAAGATGAGCCATCGGAACAAGACACATTGCCTGGCACCTCCTATCCCTGCCTTGCCTCTTCTGCATTCCAAACCCTTAAAAAAAAATATTCCTGCATTCCTTCCACAAATTGAAGACTGGAATTTTTTTCTGCCCTTCCCCTTGCTGGCACAGATAATAAAGTCTCACTCTCTTTTTATCATACCTTGTTATTATTTTGGTTTATTTCTACAAGTGGCAAGCAGCCGGGCCCTTTTGCTGGTTACATATGGACAGCCATGTAGAAATAGGATTGGACTGAAAGGTATGAGCTAATGATAATGGACTGGGTGGGGAAACCCCGCAGGACTTATCTATCTAGACTCTTCTTAGCCTCTCTGAGAATACATTCCTTCCTTCTGGGAGTGCGGCAGGGCCTTCTCTGGAACGGGGTTCTTTGACCTACAGTAAAACAAGGTAGGTCAAATGATTTCTTTATGGCTAGTTTTTACACAGAGAAGTGGAAAGAAATAGTAATATTTTTGGGTTTTATGGCTGGCTTTAAGGAAAAGGGGTTCTGGTTTCTATGACCCACCTTGGGGAGGAGGGACTCTAGTTTCTCTGGCTAGCCTTGGGGAGAATGGGGATGAGATACAGGAGGGCAGAAGGTCAGAGAAAAACTTTTGCTTCTGAGGCCATCATTTTGGAGTATTGTTTTCTGAACCCGAATAGGTTTAAGAACCCTTTTAAGAGGAGATCTGAGTGGAGAACCACAGTATCCACCAAAGTAACCAGTAGGGCCCATCAATGTGTGTATGGATTTATACGTGCATGCACACGCATGCGCCTACAGGTGCTTGTGTTTTAAGAGGACACTTTTCTTCTATGTGTGCAATCAAGATGTCACAGCCTTCAGAGTGGTTCTGACTTTCGATATAGTTTAGGTCACAGGTTATGGCACAAGGAGTGCTGCTCTTGAGAGATCAAGGAATATGCTGCTCTTACTCTCCAAGGGCCATTTCACAATAACACGGCTACTGTAAGTCCTTGTCCACTTTCACAAGTCTGGTAGCTGAGTACCAAGCTCTGTTGTTTGCTTTGACTTCTGGTGTAAATTGCTTGGCAGTTTCACTAGTATTATCTCAGTTGATCTTGGCAACCATTCTCTCAGGTAGGCAAAGAAGGAATTATGAGCTTTATTCAGCAGATGAGGAAATGAGGACTCAGAAAGGTAAAGTGATTTGTTCCAGGTCGAGTTTCAGAGCTTGCTTTTAAGTCAGTGTTTCAATGTGTGTGGCCTGAGAGGACACCTGGGTGAGAATCGCCTGAGCTTCTTGTTAAAATGTGCATTTTTTTTTTTTTGAGACGGAGTTTCATTCCTGTTGCCCAGGCTGGAGTGCAATGGCACAATCTTGGGTCACTGCAACCTCCACCTCCCGGGTTCAAGCGATTCTCCTGCCTCAGCCTCCCAAGTAGCTGGGATTACAGGGATGTGCCACCACACCTGGCTAATTTTGTATTTTTAGTAGAGATGAGGTTTCTCCATGTTGGTCAGGCTGATCTTAAAATCCCGACCTCAGGTGGTCCACCCGCCTCAGCCTCCCAAAGTGCTGGGATTACAGGGGTGAGCCACCGCACCTGGCCAAAATGTGCATTCTTAGGCCTCCCCTCCCATATGCCAACTCCAAAACGTTTGGACCAGGAAATTTGCGTTGATATAAAGCATCCTACTAATTCTTGTGCACAGCAAAATCAGAGAAAAATCCCTCTATCTTTGTTCTATGACCTGAATGTTTTTCCCCTCCAAAACTCAGGTTGAAACTTAATCTCCAATGGGTCAGTACTGAGAGGTGCATTCTTTAAGAAGTGATTGGGTAATGAGGTCTCTGCCTCAATGAATGGATTAATCCATTCATGGATAAATGGATTCCTGTGTTAATAAATTAATGGGTTATCACAAAAGTGGACTAGTGGCTTTATAAGAAAAGGAAGAAAAAAAAAAAAAAAAGAAAAGGAAGAGGCCAGGCACAGTGGCTCACACCTGCTATCCCAGCACTTTGGGAGGCCGAGGCGGGCAGATCACGAGGTCAGGAGTTTGAGACCAGCCTGACCAACATGGTGAAACCTCATCTCTACTAAAAATACAATTCTCCTGCCTCAGCCTCCTGAGCAGCTGGGCTAATTTGCCAGGCGTGGTGGCACGTGCCTGTAATCCCAGCTACTCAGGACGCTGAGGCAGGAGAATCACTTGAACCAAGGAGGCGGAGGTTGCAGTGAGCTGAGATTGTGCCACTGCACTTCAGCCTGGGCGACAGAGCGAGACTCCATCAAAAAAGAAAGGGCGGGCGGGCGGGCGGGCGGGCAGGCAGGCAGGCAAAGGGAGAGAGAACTGAGCTAGTATATTTAGCCTTCTCACCATAGAATGCTATGCAACACCTCAGTTCTCTGCAAAGCGTTCCCACCAGCATGAAGGCCTTACCCAGGTGCATCCACTTGACCCTGGTTTTCTGAGCCCCCATAACGGTAAGAAATAAATTTCTTTTCTTTATAAATTACCCAGTTTCAAGTACTCGGTTATAAGCAACAGCAAGTGGGCCAAGACACCTCACTACCCAAAACTTTTAGATATCATCTGAGAGCATGTTGGGAATGCAGAATCTCAGGCCTCCCTTTGAATTACTAAATCAGATCTGCATTTTTTTAAGACTTCAAGGTTGCTCTTATGCAAACCAAAATTTTAGAGCCATTGTTCTATGGTAGTGCTTCTCCAGCTTTAGAGTGCATCAGAATCAGCTGTACTGCTTGTTAAAAGTTTGCTGGGCCCTCCCCTCAGTTTCTGAATCTGAGCATCTGGAGTGGGGCTGGAGAATTCACATTTCTAACAAGTTACCAGGTGATGCTGATGCCATTGGGACAGAGATCACATTTTAAGAACTGCTGCTCCAGGACAGAGATTTTCAAATATTAGAACTCATTAGAATCACCCAGGGAGTTCTTAAAAGTAGCTAGATGCCGGCCGGGCACAGTGGCTGACGCCTGTAATCCCAGCACTTTGGGAGGCTGAGGCAGACGGATCACCTGAGGTCAGGAGTTCGAGACCAGCCTGGCTAACATGGTGAAACCCCGTTTCTATTAAAAATATAAAAAATTAGCTGGGCGTGGTGGTTCGTGCTTGTAATCCCAGCTACTCGGGAGGCTGAGGCAAGAGAATCACTTGAACCCGGGAGGCAGAGGTTGCAGTGAGCCGAGATCATGCCAATGGACTCCAGCTTGGGCAACAAGAGCGAAACTCTGTCTCAAAAAAAAAAAAAAAAAAGTAGCTCGATGCCTGGGCTGCACTCAGTGAATTAGATATCTGGAGATGGGGCACAGGCATCTAGATTTTTAAAACGTTCTGGGTGATTTTTATGTGCAGCAGGGTTGAAAACTTATGTTCTGTGGAAGCAGGACTTCATTCTAAGACCATGTGGGTTCCATTATGCCCTGCTGCCTATCTGCAAAACAGAAGCTGTGCAACCACCTTAAAGTGAAAAATATTAATTCAATTTATTGGTGTGTGAATACAGAATTCTTGTATGAAGGCTTCCCATCACCCCCCATTGATAGAAATATGAAGTAGAAGGCTATCTTTCTATTGGGTCGCTCTTTTCTCTTTCTGGTTCGTTATTTGAACACCTAACTTCCCACCTACAACTTGGATAAACTGTCAGTGCAATACATCTTGTTCCTTACATTTTACTCTTGTATTTGCAATTATTTTGTCTGATGACTTTGGCTTCAGTCCCGGACAGCCTGTTTGAGTGTTTAAATGAAAGGGTGTAGGTGTGCATTTCATATAATTCAGGACTGCCCTCTCACCCCCCTCCTCAGCCTCACCATTCACTGTTAAATAAAATTCATATTTCAAGGGCCTCAATTCCAAATTATTTGAAGAACTTCAATTGGTGATTACATTTAGAATTTTATTGACTCTAACAGTGCACGTATTTTCCTATGTTGATCCATAAAAATGTGTGTCGGCCAGGCACGCTGGCTCATGCCTATAATCCCAGCACTTTGGGAGGCCGAGGCGGGCGGATCACGAGGTCAGGAGATCAAGACCATCCTGGCTAACACCGTGAAACCAAGTCTCTGCTAAAAATACAAAAAATTAGCCGGGCATGGTGGCACACAACCGTAGTCCCAGCTACTCAGGAGGCTAAGGCAGGAGAATCACTTGAACCCAGAAAGCGGAGGTTGCAGAGACTGCGCCACTGCACTCCTGCCTGGGTGACAGAGTGAGACTCCGTCTCAAAAAAAAAAAAAAAAAGTTGTGTCTACAGTTTTTCCATAATATTTTTATATGCTATCCTAGGAGCTCCCAAATAATTTTGTAGGACGGGAAGACTTTCTTCAGAAGCACTGAGATCACAGGACCGTATGCACGTGTGTTGGGGTGTGGAGATAGGGAAAGGGGGCAGGAAGAAGTGTAGATTAGGAGTGCAGGAGGCCATGAGGCGAGACGTGGAGGAAACGATGACCCCATTCCCAGAGAAGGGTCAAGGAAGAGACGCTGCTGCAGTTGCTCTGTAACTGCGAAAGATTATTGAAAGCCCAAGTGAAAAAAGAAAAGAAAGAAAAGAAACAAACAAAAATATACAAGAAAATAAAATACAAGAAAGCCCAAGTTGGGGAGATCTAATAGCAGCCACTGGCTTAGAGAGCTACCAGTAAGACTTCGAGACCTACTGGCCTTCTACAACCTGGAAAACCTGACTCCCAGTCAATAGGCAGTGACATTGTTTGCTACATGCACCAGAAGTCATGTAACTGCAAAGTCTGACCTGTAGCTAATAATCTTTCTGTATGTGTGTGAAGCTGGATAAGTAACTTCCTTTTTTGAGAAGTTGGGAAGCTCTTGGGAAGAGCTTGAGTAGGCTATCACGAGACTCTCCAGCATAGTGGCTACTGCGGAAGAGCTGCTTAGTTTTGATTTTCATTAAGATAAGAATGCTGTGTCAAAGCCAGGCAACTCTCTCCTCCTCACTGTTTCAAGAGATCTGGAGAATTACAACATTACTGTCACTACATAATGAATGCCACTATCTTTCCCAGTTGCGTTATAAGGGGTGACAAAAAGAATCCGGGGATAATGCTGAAATGGCCTATACTCTGGCTAGTATGACAACAACAACAACAAAAAGACAAAGACTAGATTTATTTTTCTGTCATCTCCAGTCTTTGCATCTATGATTCCATTACTGGTGGCCACTGTGATCCTTTCAGACTAAACAGGATTGGATTATTATGCAAGATTGTTCTCAGAAATAAAACCTTTTTGAAACATGCTATGCAATTTTGGGAGCATAATTGCAACAAATATGATTATCCAGTCATCAGTTTCTGGTTTCATTATGGACCACATGAGGGCCAGATGTGTACACGCATGCAAAGATCTCTGGAGACTGATTTATTGTGGCAGTTCAACTGTTTACAGCTTGTACTTTGCAGAGCACTTGAAGGGATTTTCTTCAGAGAAAATTGACTCAATGCATTTGAACATGTTTTTGCTTGTGATTGGTTATGCAGTAGGGATTTCAAGCTCAATTTGGATAAGAATCTTACTCTTTGAGTTACTTCTTTAATCTGCCATTCAACTACAACTTGCTTGCAGTCTTCTGAGTGTCCTTCCGCTTACCTCTTCAACCATTTTTATCAATAAATACTTTAGAAAAACATTGGATTTTTGTTGAGCTGTGTTTATAATTTTTCATTTTCTGGTTTCCTCAGCTATAAAATGAGATTGATGAAAATGCTTATATATGAATGTGGCTGATGTATGTTCTATAAATATAATAAATAGCTAAAGCAATGTCAGTTTCAAAAAGCAATCCTTAGAAAATATTAAAATATACTCACTACATTTTTTCCCTACAATGCCAAATTGTGATTTCCTGGAGGAAAGAGTCCATGCCTTCTGTATCATTGGTACACATACAGGCACTGAATAAGATAGTTTGCACAAAAGTCACTCTGGAAATATAAACGAATGCATCTCTGCAACCTAATCTAAGTCAATTTACTGGTCAAACAGTTGTCAGAGTTTTGGGGTACATATCAGCAACTTTAGAAAATTAGAGGTACATGAGAGCTATATGTCTCCCCTCTATAACCTTGCTACCAGGTGGTATGTTATAATGAAAGCAAGTCTCTTGCCACATTCTGGTACATAGGTGAACACTTATTAATGAGCAGGCACAAACACTGTTGCATAACCTATTTCTGTAAATGGTTCCTAGTCTCTGTCCCTTTGGGAATCCTAGGCATTTAGGCAAAGCACTTAGCATGAAAGGTTTTTTGTGGGACAAAGATACAATATTATGAAGGCAGGGTCAGTAATCATGTTAGTAGGCTCAGGTGACAGAATTCCTCATACAGCAGCAGCATATAGATCACAAGGAACAGAGTTCTAGAATTAGGGTGCTACTTCTAATGTGTAAAGTTGCTGGTCTTTCCAGATTATCCAATTTTCTTCAGAAAAGTCTTGAGGTTAACTCTTTCTAGACAACCATAAATCCTCATGCTAACTAACCAACTTCGTGGTGCAAATTTAGAAAGCTGTATCTGGAAGGCTTGTAGTAGAGACCTTTGGAGTGAGGGCTTCTGAGATGGCTGAGATGGGATCCTTCAGATGCTAACTAATCACATCTGGGGTGCACATTCCTGATTAGGGCAATTCAAATGTAACTGTCAGAACATAGTATTTAGGAGAAAATTAATTCACATGCTGCCTATGCTGAAATTTCTAAAATAGAATTATAAAAAATATAAAAATGCTTCTCGTCCTTTGTCTCAAATATAGTCATGAATCACTTAATGATGGGAATACATTCTGAGAATTGTGTCATTGACTAATTTTGTTGTTTTGCAAGCATTATAGCATGAACTTACAAAAACCTAGGTGGTATAGCCTATTACACATCATCTCCAGCTCCATTATAATATTATTTGACCACCATTGTATATGTGGTTCATTGTTGACTGAAATGTCCTTATGTAGTGCACGACTGTATCCTCTGTAGCAACACTGTTCTTAGGATGGTTGATTCTGATGGTTTCTGTCTTTATAATTTGGGGGGAGGAGTCTCAGAACAAGTCTAAAGATGCCAGACTTCCTTCCCTATCCTGAGGTGGGTTTGTTTGGGATCCACTCTTCTTGACTCTTTTTAAAGGCAGAGTCTTATTGGCTCCTTGTGAGTTGCAGTTATGTTCATTGGAGACATTGCAAAACTAAAGCAAATTGCCTCAGTGATGCAAATTAAAAGACCAAAATGCCGGACAGAAAGTGAATAATATTATCTACAAGATGCATTTCTGTACTCTGACCAAGTTGTCTGCGGTCCCAGAAATGTCAATGAGAGGTCTGCGAACTATGGTTCTAGGGCCAAATCTGCAATTCAGCTTTTCTTTACTTTGTAAAGAAAGTTTATTGGAACATGGCCATGTCTGTTCATATATATATATATTGTCTAGATCTGCTTTCACATTATAACAGCAGAGTTGAATAGTTGAGACAGAGATGGTATGTGTCCTCCAATACGAAATATAGTTATTATTTGACTTTACGGAAAAAAATTTGCTGACTCCTGCTACAGATTGTAGTGGGGCAGTAAAAATATGCACTTGTGTCTCAATTTTGTCATCTTTAAATAAAGGTAGTAATATTACTTATCTCATAGGGTGTTGTAATGATAAGTGTTCATTAAACGTTAACTGTTAGAGGAAAGCACATAAACTTTGTTCAATATTCTCAGTGGATAGTTCTCTGGAAGACTCCTTCTTATGTGTGTCTACTGATTTTTCTTCATCTTCCTCTGCAGTACTGCAGGGAAAGACCATTGGTGTCACTTATGAAGACTTCCCACCGTCTCCATCAGGCATTGGAAGTCCCCTGCCCACCAACAGACCTGTGAGTGCCATTTGATATGATTTGAATGTTTGTTTCCGTCCAAAATTCATATATTGAAGCCTGTCCTCCAAGGTAATGGCATTAAGAGGTGTGGCCTTGGCCGGGCGCCATGGCTCATGCCTGTAATACCAGCACTTTGGGATACCAAGGTGGGTGGATCACAAGGTTAGGAGTTTGAGACCAGCCTGGCCAATATGGTAAAACCCTGTCTCTACTAAAAGTACAAAATTTAGCCAGACATGGTGGCAGCAGCCTATAGTCCCAGCTACTCGGGAGGCTGAGGCAGGAGAATCACTTGAACCTGGGAGACGGACGTTCCGGTGAACCAAGATCCTGAAACTGCACTCCAGACTGGGCAACAGAGCGAGACTCCGTCTCAAAAAGAAAGAAAAGAGGTGTGGCTTTTGGGATCTGATTAGGTCATGATGGCTCTGCCCTCATAAATAGGATTAGTGCCCTTATAAAAGGGCTTATGGGAGTCTGTTAGCCCTTTCTGTCATGTGATGATTCAGCAAGGTGTCATTTATGAAGCAAAGCAGGAGACTTGACCAGACACCAAATCTGCTGGCACCTTTATCTTGGGCTTTGCAGCTTCCAGAACTGTGAGGAATAGATTTTTATTCCGGTATATTACCCAATCTAAACTATTTTTGTTATGGCAGTCCAAATGGACTAAGACACCATTCACAGGCTTTCTCTCTTTCCCAAGGCCACATTGCAAAAGCATCTACTTTTATCGTGCCATCTTTCTCTATTACTTTTTCTCTTCTAACTGCTGATTCGGTTCCAACAGTGATTTACAACCTAGTTCATGGTCTGAGGAAATGGGTCAGTAATGCTGATATGGTTTAGATCTGTGTCCCCACCCAAATCTCAAACTGTAAACCCCATTGTTGGATGTGGGGCCTGCTGGGACGTGATTGGATCATGGAGGTGGATCCTTCTTCAATGGTTGAGCACCAACCACTCGGTGCTGTTTTTGTGACAGAGATCTGGTTGTTTAAAAGTGTGTGGCACCCCTCCCTCCACTCACTTTCTCTCTTGCTCCTGCTCTCTCACCATGTGATGTGGCTGCTCCCCCTTTGCCTTCTGCCATGATTGGAAGCTTCCTGAAGGCTCCCTAGAAGAAGCCACTATGCTTCCTGTATAGAACCATGAGCCAATTAAACCTTTTTTTAAAAAAATAAAAGATCCAGTTTCAGGTATTTCTTTATAGCAATGTGAGAACAGCCTAATACAAATGCAGACACAATTTTGACCTGTGGCAGATTAGAAATGTGTTAGAAGTTGTGACTTTTTTATATAGGTATTTTAGATCTTGACACTGTGTTGGGAGGGCAGGTGGGGGGAGTTCAATGCACCTAGTCAGGAGTTTGAACCTTCTTTTGATAGGGAATTCCAGGTTGTGGATGACGCAGACCTATTTCTGGAGCTGGGGCATGAGTGTAGTAATTAGAAGAGAAATGCTCTCTACAGATGTTGGCTTCCACAAGTAAAGGGCCAGTGGATGAACAGGGAGATGCTGCCAGTCTGTTTTACCTGGCACATGAATAAGCTTGCACAAGATTTGCTTGACTTTTCTCATGTTATCAGACCTCGTTACAGTCCAGACCAGTGGCCATAGCTCAACAGCAAGCTTGCAATTTTAGCAGACTTCATTTTCCAGTTTCGGCCAGTGCTTGAAAAATATTCATAGCTCAGAGAGATGTGCAATTTCATGAAGGATTCCAGGTTCTGCATACCAGCTCTTAAAAAAAAAGTGGTTAGTCAGTGAAAGTCAGACACTGAGATGGAGAGCAACTGAAGAGGTAAGAACTAAGCTGTTGATATTTTTGTAGGAAAAGCAAGTTTTTGAAGACCAGCCATACTGCAATGCATTGATAAGTGTTATTTAAACAGCATATGCTCTGCTGACCCATGAGTTGTCAGGGTTCCCATTCTCCTGTATTAGAGCAGTAAAAGGGCTGCTGACTCAGAGAATCTAAAAAAAAAAAAAAATCAACTAACTTATTTATTTCTTCACACTTCCCACTCCCCCACAGACTTTGCAAAACAGAATTTTATTGCTAAAGATAATTACTGTGTTCTTTCCAACCCTGCAGTCTATTCCCAGTGAAAAATCACTAGCCTCTGGCTGGGTCTGCGTCTTTTATTTTTCCTTTTGGAGGTACTTATCCCCAGTGAGGCCAGGGGGATTATGCTAGGAATAGTAATATCCAGAAAACAGAGGGCCATTAAAGCCTTTTTCACGTGTGACCAATAGGTAGCATCTGGTCAAGAATAGACCCTCTGCAAAATTCCAGCCTATGCTACATTTGTAATCTTTGTACAAGGAGTTGGCAGAAAAAATAGAGAATGCTAATTTTAGGTGTTTAATCATTTCAGGAGACCAATTTATATAAAACTAGCCCACAAAAAGAAAAGTCAAGGAATTGTAAAGAGGATGCTTATTTATTTTATATTTCATAGACCTGAGTTCTCAATTCTGATTGTACTTTCGTGGGAGGCCTGGAGGTGGATGTTGCTTTCCTGGCTGCACAGTCTGGTACTCTTAAGATGCACACTTAAGCCTCTTTTGGCTTCTCTTCCTCACAGCAGTTTGCCACTATTTCATGACTGCTCTTCTTTCCCGTACACTGCTTACCTTACCACTAAATTCTGTGTGGGTGAGAAAGTCCATGCTTAAAATAAGTAATAGGGATTAATTTTTTAGCTGAAAGATCATTCTCAGATAAATCTTTGGTTCTTTATCACAGCTATGTTGCTAACTAAAGTGATCTATTTCCTAACTCCATTTTTTTTCTTTGCATTGCAAAGCAATTTCACGGCACTAAAGCAGTTTGAAAAAGAAAAAAATAATGTTCTACTCTTAATCCCATGATCCAAAACAACTTCTTTTATTCATATTCTCTTCCAGGTAATGCCCACAAGCACATATCTTTTTTACAGTTGTAAACTTTGTGTGCATACAACTGTGTATTCTGTTTTTTATGCTATAGATTATGTTTTACACATTTTGGCCAATTGCTAGTCATGACAAATATATTTGACAACTGTGAAAAATGCTGTGGAACGGATGGGATACAGTATCCTTAACGGTTTCTCTACTATTAGTATACAATATTTTCCTCCCTTTTCTCCTCTTCCCTTCACCTTCTTCCTCTTCCTCCTTCTACTCCCTCATCCTCCTCCTTCCATCCACCTGTTCTTCCTTTCTCCCTCCTCCTCTTTCTTATTTTCCATCTTCTTTCCCTCTTCTTCTGTATCCTTCTCCTTTTCCTCTTCCTTATCTTCCTTATCCTCCTCTTGTTTCTGCTCCTCCCTGTTATTATAGATATAATAAAGAACTTTGCATGTATATTATATATGAATATATATACTTATAACAAGTCATAATTCATATATATGTGTATGTGTGTATATATACACATATGTAGGACATATGTGTATATATACACACATCAGTCGAGAACATAGGTTTCTTTTTTCCTTAGAGATGAACATATATGAGATATTAATAGAGAAAAAGAAACTTGAATTTTGTAATAGTCACCTAGATACAAAAACAATAGGAATGCATACAAATTAACTTTAGAAATGCCAAAGTAAATAATGAAATATAAGTATTGAATTATTTGAAATTTTAAGTTTCCTAAAAATGGTCCATATAATAAACAGAATATCATGGCTGGGTATGGTTGCTCATGCCTATAATCCCAGCACTCTGGGAGGCCAAGGTGGGCGGATCACCTGAGGTCAGTAGTTCGAGACCAGCCTGACCAACATGGTGAAACCGCGTGTCTACTAAAAATACAAAAATTAGCTGGGCGTGGTGGTGCATGCCTGTAATCCCAGCTACTCAGGAGGCTGAGGCAGGAGAATCGCTTGAACCCAGGAGGCGGAGATTGAAGTGAGCCGAGATTGCACCTTTGCACTCCAGCCTGCGTGACAGAGCAAGACTCCGTCTCAAATAAATAAATAAATAAAAATAAAAATAAATAAACAGAATATTGCAACTGATACAAAATTTGCTGTATTTGAAACACACTTCACCCTGTAATATTTATAAGCAAAATTCTGAAGCGTTGACAGTATCCAAAGCACTTTAAAAAGTGCATTTTACAAGTGTATCAACATTTTAAAAATATCATTAATAAAATGTAAAAAGAACATGCTGTAAAACGAGTCCGAGATTAACTGCAAAATACATGGAACATATTTTATTATTTCAGGTGTTCTAAACATAGGCAGAATTAGGTTTTAGGATTTAAATCTTCATTTCCTAAAAAGTTCTTAGGTTTTCTGCTTCACTATTTCAACTTTTAAGCTTGAAGTGTTCTTTGTAGTTGCTTCTGATACTTTTCACCTTTTGGGGGCCTCTGATAAAGTATGTGGCACAGAATGAGCAATGGCTCCATGTGGTGTTATAGAGAAAAAATTTAAAAGCAAAAAAGAACCCAATACTTTCTATTGAAGTTCCAGAGAAAGTTCCATGTGTTCCTGACGAAGATTTAAGTTTTTCCTCTAATAATTATCTTGTTCCTTCTCCCATTTCAAAATAGACTCACAGGTTTCATAGCAAGTGGCTTCTTCCTAATGCCATCCCAAACTCCTTGTCTGTAATGAAACTCTGCAGGGCTTCTTTTACAATTACCAGGGCACACATGCATTTCCACATTACTACTTGAAAACTGAGTTATTAAGAACACACTTTCTATTCACATCCAACATTCACAAAGACCCTGTAACCATCAACATCCCTTATGATGGTTTGAAGCTCTGGAGGAGTAGAGTGGCTTTAGTAGGTCTACTTTTATTTTACATTGGGTTTCTTCTGTCCCCAATACACTTAACCCCATTCATTACATTTTAAAGCAGCAAGTCCCTTAAAAATACACTTAGCCTGACAAATATTGGGAAAAATCTACTGTTAGTATCTCAACTCTTAAATTATTATCATCATTCTTCTTCTTTTTTTTTTTTTTTTTTTTTTTTTTGAGATGGAGTTTCACTCTTGTTGCCTAGGCTGGAGTGCAATGGCACAATCTCAGCTCACTGCAGCCTCCTCCACCTCCCGGATTTAAGCAATTCTCCTGCCTCAGCCTTCCGAGTAGCTGGGATTACAGGCATGCGCCACCACACCCGGCTAATTTTTGTATATTTAGTAGAGACGGGGTTTCACCACGTTGGCCAGGCTGGTCTTGAACTCCTGACCTCAGGTGATCCACCTGCCTTGGCCTCCCAAAGTGCTGGGATTACAGGCGTGAGCCACTGCGTCCGGCCACATCATTATTCTTATTCTTCACAGCATCCCCTTTATAGTGAAACAATGAACACATTTGTGAATCATTCATTCAATTGACTTTTTCCTTGACTATCCACTCGTTTAGGTTTTGCAATATTTTACATGAAGAAGAGTTTTGAATAACAGCATTGGCATACAACATCCTCAGGTGTTTGACTTTCTTTTTAAAAGTTGTATCCATTACACCTGCAGATTAGGGTTTGCAGTTTGCTATCAGGTTAGCCAAATATATTTTCTTATCTTACTAGTTCTTCAGGTTTAGTTCACAGCCTTATCAGGAAGCAAATTATCCTTGAATTTGGTATTCTCTGGAAAATCTGCTTTAAAAATACCTGAAGGTATTGGTTCTGAATGACATCTAAGAGGAATGGAGTGTTTTTCTTCAAAGTCAAAGTAATTTTGAATGTACCATATTTTTAACGAAAATAATAACAGGACCATCATTAATTCTCTGCAAATTATCTATGATTTCAAAAATTGCCATCACCTTTTGAAATCATCTACCATTTTCTTAATATGGGCTTTATTTAACCTGCACCCTATTTTGTGGGAACTTGCAAATTCTGTTGTCCTCAAGTCCAATAGCGATTGCAATGATACGGACAAGTGTTTCTGACGTTCAGGCCAAATGCCACCATGCTCTTGGAACACTGTTTAGCCGGCAATGTCTGCAGTGACTTTTGAAGTGCATGGCAATCATCTTCTTCTTACTTAGTTATTTTTATTCTTGGTAGCTGGCCTGCTGCTTACCGCAGAGGCTTGCCATTTGTTCAGGGTACAGCAGCCTTGAAGTAGTAGCCCAGATTGAGACACTCAGTGTGAGTTTGGTCTTAAGGATAGTGTGGGGTAGGCCTCAGGGAGCAAAGGAGCACTGAAGAAAGAGCTGGAGAAGCAGGACTGAGTTCCTGGGAGCTTAACTGGAACCCCAAAGTGGCCCAGGTGGAAGCCAAAGTGGAGAGATTACTGCAGCAGAGGTAGAAACTCATGTTCCTTCCCTCTTCCTTTGCCCCCTATTGCCAAGCCAAATATTGCATGATAGTCCCCTTTGCCTCTGGCTCCAACTAGGCATGACAGAATGACCTTCCTCTTCATTATTCTTCTTTTGCCTATTTGGACTCTCACTGCAGTTTGTAATTATAAATTTAAGGGTTATTTATTTGTTCATTTTTTCATTCCCTCACTACAGAGCAGGGATTGTGTGTCTGTTATTTGTCGCTGCATCCCCACCACGCGGCACAGTACCTGTCACAGAGGCACTTAATAAACATTTTATTAATGAATCACTCTTATAGTGCTTCGAAGTTGAACAACTGCATTTTATTGCAGTTTTATAACAATTTCACCTAATTATTTGACTTTTATGTACCTTACTTGATTTTTAGTTACATCCTGTTTTTTTTTTTTTTTTTTTTTTGAGACAGAGTCTCGCTTTGTTCCCCAGGCTGGAGTGCAGAGGCACGATCTCTACCACTGCAACCTCCACCTCCCGGGTTCAAGCAGTTCTCTGCATCAGCCTACCGAGTAGCTGGGATTACAGGCACCCACCAGCAACCGGGCTAACTTTTTTGTATTTTTAGCAGAGAAGGGGTTTCACCATCTTGGCCAGGCCGGTCTTGAACTCCTGACCTGGTGATCCACTCACCTCGGCCTCCCAAAGTGCTGAGATTATAGGCGTGAACCACAGTTCCTGGCCAATGCTTTTATTTTCAAATATTCTGCAAATGTTATATCTCAGTCATTGTATAAATTCTTTTTGTTTGTGCCTATATATTGTGTATATATAACATACACAAATGTATATAAAGTCTATAATATACAAATGCTATTTTAAAAAATAATAGTAACATGGCAACAAATATGCCTACAATCCAGTTTAAGAAATATTACCAGTGCATTTGAAGCTTCTTGCATGTTTGTTCCCAATCTCAGATGCCCCAGTCTCCACTCTGAGATACTGTTTTGAATTACTAATTATACTCATATCACCTGATAGGTGTTTATCACAAATGTCTGTATCTTTTCACTGTGGAGTTTTATTGCATTGAATGACTATTCCACTACCTATTTATCTTTTGTACTCTTTATGGACATCTAGGTTGCCATGCATTTTTTTCATTACAAACGGTGCTGCTACGAACATTCTTGTACATGCTTCCTGAGACACATATGCCAAAGCTTCTCTGGCATATACCTAAAACTGGAATTGTGTGCTTTTTATGTATGTTACCTTAAACTTAAGTAGGTTGTTTTTTTTGTGTGTGATGTCTACCTTTATCGATAAATAATGCCTGTATAAATTGTTTTACCACCAGTTTGCAAAAATAGTGATGTTTTAATTTTATCATTGTTCATTTCTAGTCTCAGAGTTGCAATATTTCTTTCCAAGGATCCTTGCTTTCTTTTAGTGAGAAATAATATTTCAAGACCATTCTCTGGGCATTCAGTATGTTGCCCTTATGTTGTCGCTCTTACGTTGATTATTGTTTTTAGGACATTTCAGTGGACAGAGCTAGGAAATATTATTTAAGGTAATTCACATTATGAGTTCACACTGATCTTCCAGTTAAAATTAGGATTATTTAAGTTTCAGTTAACCATTTTGATCTGTATTTCCTTTTGCTCATTGTACTAGTCTGTTCTCACACTGCTAATAAAACATACCCAAGACTGGGCAATTTATAAACAAAAGAGGTTTAACGGCCTCACAGTTCCACATGGCTGGGGAGGCCTCACAATCATGGCAGAAGGCAAGGAGGAGCAAGTCACATCTAATGTAAATGGTGACAGGCAAAGAGAGAGCTCATGCAGGGAAACGCCCCTTTATAAAACCACCAGATCTCGGGGAGACTGATTTACTATCACAAGAACAGAATGGGAAAGCACCACCCCTGTGATTCAATTACTTCCCACTGGGTCCCTCCCATGACATGTGAGAATTATGGGGGCTACAATTCAAGATGAGATTTGGGTGGGGACACAGCCAAATCCTGTTACTCATTTTGAAAAATCGACTTCCCAATGACACTAACATAGTTGTTTGTTTTATCCCATGATACATATGCTTGATTCTCAGAATAGAAATCTACATGTATCTTTATTAATATGATTTCTCAAAGTTTAATTTAATTATATATGTATTATATATAATTACTCAAAAAGACATTATATATTTATCTTTTATATTTTATATATGTATATTTATATATATACACATATACATATATATTATATATATATATATTTCCGTTTGAGTGATTTTTTATTTAAAGTCCCTTGGAATGATTCTTCTGTGTGCTGTCTTGCTACCAACTTATACATAGATTCATGTGTTTCATTCTGCTTTCAAATTTTAGAGACTGTCTTATTTGGATTTACCTTTTTAAATTATGTAAAATAATTATGTAAAGTGAAATCTATACATTAAGATATATTCATAAAAATATAATTTACATTTCTGTATCCTCCATCTTATTCCTTTTCTCCTTAGACACTTTTTCAGTTTTTAGTTTATACTTTCATTTAGAAGATATAAACTATGCCGGGTGCGGTGGCTCATACCTGTAATCCCAGCACTATGGGAGGCTGAGGTGGGCGTATCACTTGAGGTCGGAGTTCAAGACCAGCCTGACCAATATGGAGAACTCCTGACTCTACTAAAAATACAAAATTAGCCCGGCATGGTGGCAGGTGCCTGTAATCCCAGCTACTCGGGAGGCTGAGGCAGGAGAATCACTTGAACCTGGGAGGCGGAGGTTTTGGTGAGCCAAGATCGCGCCATCGCATGCCAGCCTGGGCAACAAGAGAGAAACTCCGTCCCCCCCCCAAAAAAAAGATATAAACTAATGCACATAAATAAGTTCCCTAGTATCCTCCAAAGGTGAAAAATGACTGTTTTTAAAATACCAGTATGAACCCATGGATTTGAACATATCGTATGGGTGTTAATCCATTGAAATTATTATTTTAATTGAAGCCCCAATTTTTTGGCACAACCTGTTATCTTTGACACCTTCCTTGATTTCTGGTATGACAAGATGCCGCTCCCCCTCTTTCTTAGCTGAACAGTGGCATAATATGCACACTTTCATTTACCTTATATAAATGTAATATAATCTACTCAAATAGTACCCTATTGATGAACATTTTGGTTGAGCCCAACTTTTTGCTATTATATATAATGCTGCAATGAATAACTCTGCACTTAGCCTTTCATATTTTTGCCAATTTTCCTTCCTAGAAATGTGATCTCTTAGTCAAAGCGTACATTGATACACAATTTTAGGCACAACGTTTTTTAAAAAGACCATTCTAGCGAGTGTAACCCATTTATTATCTTGTTGACCATACTGTTAGAATAGACTTTCTCATGATAGATGACCAATTTCACCTTTGGCCCTAGTGAAAATAGGGAAAACAGTTTAATCAGTCAGCAGGATTTGACTGATGTTGTGTCAGCCAGGATTTGCTCACTGGCTTTGTTTACTCAAAATTCTTTCCATCTAAGCTAATAAAGTCAACCTTTAGGCTAAAGCATGCCTTTAATACTCATTGGGAACTTGGGTGAATAGGGTATGTGAAATGTTACCACACAGTCTATATACCCTGTGTGGTATGTGGTTTTCTGAGAGAAGATGAAGCCCCACAGCCAGTCTGTTGGCAAATTTAAAAACAAAACAAAACAAAACAAACAAACAAAAAAACACTTCTTAGGCACTTAACAAATGAACCCTAGTTGTTTCCTCTCAGCTTGCTCCCTTTGCTTTTGCTTTTCCCAAATCCCCCATGGATAGCACCTTAATATACCACCTCTCTCTCATTCATTTATTCATTCAACAAATATTTATTGAGATAATTTCTATGCATGTCTACACTGGGATGTTATTTTTTCTCCAGGTTCATGTTACTTATTGCAGAGAATTCTAAAGTTTTTGCTTATGATCTTTTTAAACATTAACTTTAGATACAGAGTATTTGTCAATGAATTGCTAAGGGGCTCCCTCACCCCACCATAATACTGGCAGCAAAATGTAGGCTGCCTGCCTTACTGTTTACTTGGAAATGGCTTCTTTCTTGTTTGTGTGAGACTGTATCTCTTCATGTGGCTCACACTAATCTGGGCACTCAGTATCACCAGCGGCCAAGAAAAGGTTGTGGATAAGAATTTTCTGAGGTGAAATTTCTCAGGACTGCTTGTTGTTACAGAGAAGCCTTTATTGTGTCTCTAACAATTTCTACTATTTATTCATGAGGAAATAGAGACGGAGAAAAGTTTAATAACTTGCCTAAAAGAACACAGTAACTTACATAGCCTGGATTCAAACTCAGGTCTCTGACTCTAAATCCCATGATTTTCAATATTATAGTAAACTGACTCCTTGAAATCAGTTTGGTTTGTGTTTGGTTGCTATTTTACATGCTAACCAAGATCTAACTGGTCCTATGGGTTGAATAAATGAACTGTTTGTCTTGGAGAATAAGGCCCAGCTGAAGAATAGGGCTTTTCCAAAGCCACTTGATACTGGGTAGATGTTCAAGGCAGAATTATGTGTAATCCTCATTGCAGAGGTTGCAGGGCTAGGTATGAATTTTGACCCCCTGCTTTCCAGCTAGCAAAATCACAGTTAAAAATATTTTACTTTCAGCCAGCCCCTGAGGCTTGATTTCCTTTGTGGCCTGATTTGTGAGGTCATCTCCAAGTAATCAACTCTGCTTTTTCCATTTCTTCTCTTGGAGCAAGGTAAAGGTCTTACACACATATACCCTGCTGGGATAAACTATAAATAGCTAAAGGAATGGTGTTTATTAAGGAAAAGGGACACTATCACAAAACCTTATTTCTCTGTTATAGAAATATCTATGCTTTGAAGGTCAAACAAATTTCTATCACATACAGAGTTCAAATATATTAATGCTTGAGTTTCTTCATTAGTTCCTTCATGAGTAAAATGAACACAAAATTACATATGAAGTAATTTTAATAAGCACTCATAAAGTGCTTCATTGATTTATTTATCAAATATTCAATGTTCCTTCTAAGCTCTTAGAGTGATGCTGTATTAGTTTGCTAGGACTACCATAACAAAGTACCACAAATTGGGTAACTTAGAGCAACAGTAATTTATTTTTTCGCAGTTCTAGAAGTCAGAAATCCAAAATCAAGATGTCTTCAGGGTTGTGCTCCTTCAGGAGATAGTAGTGGAGTATCCTTCCTTGTCTCTTCTTAGCTTCTGGTCACATTGTGAGGTAGTGGAAGTTAGAACTTTAATGTATCTTTTTTAGTGGGGGCACCATTCAAACTATAACAGATGCCAAGATGAATAAAATACACTCCTTAGTTTCAAAATGATTCCTATATACTAGGAGAGATTGGCTGTACAGAAATAATTGCTCTGTAAAGCATCAGGCAGAGGTTTTAAGTGAAGGACCATGACAATTTCAAGGGGAAAGAGATTGCTTTAAATGGGGCGAATATGGAAGGCAAGATTGGAAGTCCCAAGTGTATAACATAGAGAACTATTTCCAGTGTAATGTAGAACTTTTTTTTTTAGACGGAGTTTCATTCTTGTTGCCCAGGCTGGAGTGCAATGGCGCGATCTCGGCTCACGGCAACCTCCGACTCCCGGGTTCAAGCGATTCTCCTGCCTCAGCCTCTCGAGTAGCTGAGATTACAGGCATGCACCACCACACCTGGCTAATTTTTTGTATTTTTAGTAGAGACAAGGTTTCTCTATGTTGGTCAGGCTGGTCTCGAAATCCCGACCTCAGGTGACCTGCCCGCCTCTGCCTCCCAAAGTTCTGGGATTATAGGCATGAGCCACCACGCCTGGCCTAGAAAATGTTTTAAAAGATATTGCAATAAATTTCTTTTTTTTGTTGTTTAGTCCATAGCTGGCATATCTCTGACCACCCCTGCCCCACAATAGTCCCTCTCTAGTTCTCTGACCCTGCCTTGCTTTTCATAATACTAAATACAACCTGACATATTATGTATTACTTGTTTATTTATCTACCTGTGGTAAAATATAAGACATATGAAAATAGGTCTCTTAGAAAAAGTCAAACTGTTTTTCCCTACCCTCTTACACAGTCACTCACAGTCAACACAGAGGACTCCACCTCTAGTCGTCAAAGTGTGTAAGAGAATTTTCCCCACACACCAAGAAATTCTCCAGTGGATACCAGCTGTGTGTCCTATAATTTAACTTAATTCTGACGCTATCTACCTTGAGATAGTGTCAGATCCCACAGGTTAAGGGCTCAGTCCCATAAGACTGCTCCCACTTCAGATATCAGTAGCAAGCTGCTGATGTCACCTATACTTCTGGCCGGCCAGCTATAAATTGGGGTTCCCAAAACCCTTCCCAAGGTTCAACTACTTTTCCCATATCACTCAGAAAAAACACTTTGCTTACATTGACCGATTTATCATAAACGATATTGCAAAGGATACAGATGAAGTGATGCATGCGACAAGGCATGTGAGAAGGGGTATAGAGCTTCCATGCCTGCTCTGGGCAGCCACCCACCTCCATGTGTCTAAAACCATCCAAAACCTCATCTAAGCCATCCAAAACCTCATCTAACAACCCTGTCCTTCTGGCTTTTTATGGAGGCTTCAATACTTAGGCATGATTGGCTACATCTTTGGCCACTGAGGATCAATTCAACATTTAGCCCCTCTCCCTCCCCGGAGCTGGGGGTCAGGTAGAGCTGAAAGTCCCAACTCTCTAATCATGCCTTGATGATCTTTCTGGTGACGCTCTAGCCATCTGTCATTTCATTAGCATACAAAAGATATTCTTATCACTTCAGAGATTCTAAGAGTCTTGGGAACTATGTTCCAGAAATCAAGGGCAGAGACGAATTATATATGTCTTATTACGTCACAATATTTTAAGGGCCCTTGTCTATCTTATATACTGTAGCATCTCTAGTGACTAGGCCACAGTGCCTGGCACATAGTAGGTGCTCAATAAATGATCAGTGACTGGACAAATGAATGATCAAGTGCATTGCTTAAAATGGCAACTTGTTTGATTGTTTATTTCACTTCCTTTTCTTGAGAAGGATCAGGAGGGTACAGTCACCTTGGACCCCAACAATTACCTACAGTGGTGAGCATGTGTCCTTATGCTATACCAAATTTCAGGATTGAAATTAAGACTGCTAAGAAATTAAGGTTTTAAAGAAGATGATAGGCCCTTCCATGGTGGCCAGACACTGTCCTGGTAGGTACAAGGAGAAACAATTTGGCTGCCAGGACTAATTTGTGTAATTTCATTTCTTTTTTGCGTCTTGGCCCTCCTTCATAGGTTAAAAGCCTACATTGCAGCAAACCCCTGCAATTTCCACAGCATGACAGTCAGAAGGAATTGCCTGGCCAGAAAGCTCTGCAGTACAACACAAATGGAGGAGTTTGCTGCACTGCAGTGCCGGCTCTTTCATTTCGCTGTCAGACAATGACACAATTATAAGCAATTACTTATTAGATGTTTGAAAACTATTGTAAAAAGCCAGCACCATTTGCCAAAAGTAATTTAATGAAATTGGGCATAATTGCACCCTGAACTAAATTTTTCTGATTGGCCCACAGTTAGATGACTCCCCGGAAATTATTTAGCAAATGAATGAATAAAATCACATAGATGAAATCTTTACCCATTTGATGGAAATGCATGATTTGGAGACAGAAGGCACAAATCTTTAATTATTTATGGTGAGATGTTTGACAAATGTGTAAGAAATAAACTATTTGCTTGATAAAACATAAAACAGTATTATAAAAGGAAATGAGATGTCTTAAGGATCTAGAGCCCATTTGATATTTTGACTGAAAGTTGAAAACAATTATAAATTTCAAATGTTGATTAATGGCTATCTCACATAGTTAATAAATATGAATAAAGGAATAAAGTAAGTTTTCACCAATTTGGATGAGGAAGCGTCTCCTAAATTCGTGAAAACTCTAATTCGTACGACAATATTGAATAAATGGAGTTTCTTTATTTTCTCATATGCCTAGTAGCTACATAGACCAACTATTTCCTCTTCCATAGGGCACATTATTTTCTCCAAATAAATGAGAATAATTTATAATGAAATACTTGAATTGTTTGTAAATTGATGCATGATTAAAGTAGGTTTTCTTTTCTTTTCCTTTTTTTGGAGATGGAGTCTCGCTCTGTTGCCCATGCGGGAGTGCAGTGGTGTGATCTCAGCTCACTGCAACCTCTGCCTCCTGGGTTCAAGTGATTCTCTTGCCTCAGCCTCCTGAGTAGCTGGGATTACAGGTGTGCACCACCATGCCCGGCTTATTATTATTATTATTTTGTATTTATAGTAGAGATCAGGTTTCACCATGTTGGTCAGGCTGGTCTCGAACTCCTGACCTCAGGTGATCTGCTCCCCTCGGTCTCCCAAAATGCTGGGATTATAGGCGTGAGCCACTGCACTCGGCCTAAAGTAGGTTTTCTGATGGAGTTTAAATATTCTTCTTCACTTTTGTTCATTAACACATTATTGGTTTAGCAATCCTATCCCTGTGTTTTCTTTTTTATCAGATGAATTTACTTTTTTAGTAAACACTTGTTTGTTATTTCTTTTAAAAAATCAAGCAATACAGAGGTGTACAACAAAGTAGGGGAGTCACCTCAAAGCCCATTACCCGGAAACAATAATAATTAACATTGGTGAATATCATTTCATATACCTCTTTTTGTAAATACACAAAGGGCTGAATGTCTGGGTAGTTTTATAAAAGTGATATTACACTGTATCTATTTTGAATTTTAAAGGAGTACATAAAATAACTTGAATTTAGTAAAAGAAAAAGTCGGAGTAAAATGGAAAAAATGTTGAAGTTAATAATAATTATTCAAGCTTTTTTTGTTTTGTAAGCTCTGTAAAAAAAATTTAGATAGTACTTGTTATTTTGTTAGTTATTTTGATTTTGACAAAGCTATTAGCATTGACTTCTAAAATCCTAACTCCCATGACTGCTTAATTTTAATTCTCTGTTCTAAAACATTCCGTGCTTGCCATTAGTTCTTTAGCCACAACTTCTCCATCTTTAAGTTCCATATTTTGATTAATCTGTTAGTTGAACTGATGGCATCACCAAGTAATGTTTTCAGATAGGACTCATGGAGTCCTTTGAATGCATGCATACTTGAAGAAGATTGTGTTTATATGCAAAGGACAACTTGACTAATGGGTATAGAATTATATGCCATGATTTTTCACCCTCTCAGGATTGCAGACATTGCTTTTTCTTCTTGCATTGAGTGTTGCACTTCTTTTTACCATAATTTCTTTAGTTATCTCTTGTCTGGTTAGATTTCATCATCAATTAATTTATATAAGAGCTCCTTATTACCAAGATAACTTTATGTTGAATGTTACTGTGGAGAAATCTGAAGCCAGCTTAATATACCTACTTTTCCTTTTGTAAGTGCCTTTTCCCCCTTGTCTGGATGACTGAAGAATTCCTGAAGGCAGTAGGCAATGGCTACCACTCTCAAGAGTTCAGTCTTGACTTTTTTTTTTTTTCTTTTGAGACGGAGTTTTGCTCTTGTTGCCCATGTTGGAGTGCAGTGGCACAATCTCAGCTCACTGCCACCTCCGCCTCCTGGGTTCAAGTGATTCTCCTGCCTCAGGCCTCCCGAGTAGCTGGGATTACAGGTTCCCACCACCATGCCTGGCTAATTTTTTTATATTTTTAGTAGAGACAGGGATTTCATCATGTTGGCCAGGTTGGTCTCGAACTCCTGACCTAAGGTGATCCACCTGCCTCAGCCTCCCAAAGTGCAGGGATTACAGGCATGAGCCACCACGCCCAGCCCGGTCCTGACTTTTCCCTGGGCTGTTCATCCATCCTTTCAGTCCAATTTTGACCACAGGATGGGTATTGGAAAGAATTTTCAGGCTTTTATTAACACTTTTTTTCTTTAATACTACCTCTGTGGGGTTATAGTTCGGTCAAATTTTTTGCTATCTCATACTAGAATATCAGGATTTTTTTTCCCATTGGCGGTCATTTTTTGAAAGTGTTTGGCAAAAGGCTGTATCCCTATGTTAATTTGCTGCTGGTATAGTCACTACCCTTCACGTTTTTATTGTTTAAAACATTTTTGTTGCTGTTTTTCATTGCATAAAATAATTTTTCTTCATTCTTCTGACTCATCTGGAAATAGAACACAGTAATGATTGTCCGAGTTTTTCCATTATTTTATTTTGAAGATTTTCAAACATATAGCAAAGACGAAAGAATTTAACAGTGAATAATTATATTTGATTGATCATCAATGTCTAGTCAAGAAACAGAAACCACATCAGAATTTTCAACAGGTAAGTTTAATAGAAAGAATTGATAACAAAGTAAAAGGTGATTAACTATGGGCAATACCCCACTTTTTACAGTAGCGGATAGCAATAAAAATGCCAGTACGAGCCGAAACTGTGCAAAACAATCTTAATATATGAGGAGTTATGATTGTTCTATGACATTTATAATTTTTTGTCAAAATATTTTAAAACTTTCTGTTATAAATTTATAGCAGAGTAAAAAATAGTAAATCTGATCTTTAAAACAATAGAAACATGGAGAGTTAAAGCATTTTATTTTTTTTTTATGTATTTATTTTTTTTGAGATGGAGTCTCACTCTATCACCTAGGCTGGAGTGCAGTGGCACGATCTCGCCTCACTGCAACCTCTGCCGCCCAGGTTCAAGCAATTCTCCTGCCTCAGCCTCCCAAGTAACTGGGATTACAGGCGACTGCCACTGCGCCCAGGTAATTTTTGTATTTTTAGTAGACACGGGGTGTCATCTTGGCCAGGCTGGTCCTGAACTCCTGACCTCGTGATCCACCTGCCTCGGCCTCCCAAAGTGCTGGGATTACAGGCGTGAGGCACCGCGCCAGGCCAAAGCATTTTATTTCTTTGAAAAATGTATAAACGATGATTTAAATAGTGCTTGCCTTCTTATGGAGAGAGCATTTGCAAATTGCTATGCTCCTTTGTAAGTTTGCATCATCTTTCAATATTGTATCCTTGGCACTTTCAACGTTGTCTAGTATCTTCAAGATTTCCTTTAATGTGTATTTTTTTTGCTGGTGTCACTTTCTCTGGAACATCTTCATTTTTGTGGTCACAACTTTTCACGTTTATGTTCATAATTTAATTCCTGTATTTCTAGGGTCTCTTGAATGGCATGGCAGTAGTATCAATGTTTCCATGGTTGGCTATTTCTTCTATAACTTCATATATTTTTTTCTAATTTCACATATAGCAATATTAATTTTTGTTCTTTTTCTTTCTTTTCTTTCTTTTTTTTTTCTTGAGACAGAGTTTCGCTCTTCTTGCCCAGGCTGGAGTGCAATGGTGCAATCTCGGCTCACTGCAACCTCCACCTCTCGGGTTCAAGCGATTCTCCTGCCTCAGCCTCCCAAGTAGCTGGGATTACAGGCACGTGCCACTACACCTGGCTAATTTTGTATTTTTAGTAAAGACAGGGTTTCACCATGTTGGCCAGGCTGGTCTCGAACTCCTGACCTCAGATGATCCACCCGCCTCGGCCTACGAAAGTGCTGAGATTACAGGCGTGAGTCACCATGCATGGCCTTGCAGCACTTTCATCTTTGTTGACCGTTTCTCCATTGACATCACATCTTTTAAAATGTCACATAAGTTCATATTACTGGGAAAGAAGGATTCAACACAACAACATGCTTTGTTGTGTGTCCATAAACTGAATAACAGACGTGCAGTGATCAATCATTGACAGATGTTCAAAGAAGTGACAAGATTGGTCAGTAATAACAACATGCATTTGTTACTTGTGGACTGAAGAACTACTAGCAAAGTTTATATTTTATGCAGTTAGTCACAGTTCTTATACACTTGTAACTAAAATTCAGACTGTTGTTGGGGAACTGATTTATTTAATTAGATGGTGGTATATTACATCCCTGCAAAGTAAGGGCTCTTTGTACTAGCAAATGTGAAAAAATATTTCTAATGTATATCAGAAGTTGAAGTTGCAAAATGAGGCTACCACCCTAGGCCTGAAGGAAAATTGAACCAGGAAGAAACTAACTAAAAGGAAGCTGAGCTCCCTACAAGCTGAGATTCAGATATTTGAGACGTCGTAACTGTGAAAAGGAGGATGACTTCAGCTGCTGTGGATAAAGAAGAAGATGACCCAGAACCATGAAAGAAGTTTATCCCTATGGTAAAAAAGGAAGTTGCTGGAGGCAAGAACAACTTGCCACCGTGGTGAACACTACAGGAATCAGCTGTATCTGAAATACTCACTGCTGCAGATACAAATTACAAACAGGGGGAAAAAAAAAAGGAAGTTATTTATTTCACATCCAGGCTTGCAGTCACCTTCCAGGACCCACGGTTGTCAGAGAAAGACAACAAGGATCCCATTTCAAAGCAGAGATTTAGTTGCAGAGTCCAGAGGAGAATCACAAAATTGGGCCAAGAAGAGTGGGCTTCGGACTATGAAGCAATAAATTACTGGCACACCCATTTCCCAGATTCCACCATTAACATTTTGTTACAGTTATTTTAACACATACCTATCCACTGGCCCATCCCTTTATCCATGCCTCGATTCCCCTTATTTTTGATGGATTTTAGATAGCAATATACTTCCTTCTAAATACTTCAGCATGCATAGTTAAGAATTTGATGTTTGATTTTTTCACTTTTATGTAAAATGGGTGTAAAATTAAATGCATAAATTTACTGATTTTTGCAAAATTCATATTTCTGTATAATCTTAACCCTATCAGCATATAACATATATCCATTGTCCCCAAAAGTTCTTTCATGCCTTTTTCCTAGTCAATCCCCTTCTGTACCTCCTCTACCTACACCCCCCTACCCCTGGGCACAAATGTTCTGATTTTTTTTTTCTGCTATAGATTAATTTTGCCTTTTGTGGAACTCCAAAGAGATGGAATCATAGGGTATGTACTCTTCTGTGTCTGAATTATTTCTCGCAGCATGATTTTGAAATGTATCCATATTGTTGGTCAATATCAATAGTTCATCCTTTTAGTATTCCATTGTATGGATATGACGGCGATTTTTTATTCATTCTCATATTACTAAACACCAGGGCTATTTCCAATTTTTGGCTATTGTGAATAAAGCTACTATAAACATTTTTATGTAATTTTTCTGACTTTTAAAAATGAGGTTAAATCTGTGCGTATGTGCGTGTTTTCTTACAACAACACTTTGTATGTGAGTGGGCATGAAGTGACCTGTATTCTAATGCAGGGACCATTATCCTTATTCTAAAATTTATTTTTTAAAATTATAATTTTTTTCTCTGCTTACCTATTAGGCTAGGAGACAGCAGTTGAACACAATCAATAGCAATTGGCTGAAGCAATGCTCCCCCTCACAACTTGATGTGTCTCCATAGACACTGCCTCATTTTGTTATTACTTCTCACTTGCTTTATTATTTTCCTGTTCAGTGTGTTATTAAATATACAAAACAACTATTGACAGACACAGGCATGGAAACTTTCTTTTTCTATTCCTTATTTTAATACTTCTAACAGTCATTCCCATACAATTATATACAAAATATCGTGGAATCTACTCTTAAAACAATAATTTTCGTATTTTTGTGTGGAAAAATACTTCATAATGACAGTCTTAAAATTTTGATTAGTGTGGTACATGCTCAAGCATTTTTATTTGGCAAACAGTTTAATCAAAATAGGGAAGTTTTGTCCATTTTCATTTCATAGACTGTTGGAAATTAATCAGTGATCTCTCAATAAAATTTTTAAAATATGTGTTAAACGGTGTAGAGAAGAATGAAATGAATTAGCTAACCATCTCCATGGTAACAGAGAATGGAACGGTGGGTGGCGGGAAAGCCTAGTAGTAATGAATGCAATACTATTTCTTAATGTTGGGAATATGATATGATCTATGCTTTTAAATAAAAGTTTATAAAAATTATTTGCATTATTTTTACTTAACATTTCTTTCTCATTTTGTTTCTGACTTGCACTAAATGTGACACAGCTGCATTACAGCATTTGTTTTAGCATATGGGCTAATGACAACTAACTATCAAATGTGTTGACTACCAAGTATTGAATACCAAATATAACATTTAATAACTTCAATAGTTCTCAATTCAGAACACATTGTCTCAGAAAAACAGGATTATAAAGGGGTTTGACTCTGAATCATACTTTAATTTAGATCTGCATAACATTTCACCTGGGCCACATACAACAGTCTTCTGTTTTCTCATTCAGTATTGTCTCCTTCTAAACAGCCTTGTGAGTCTTGTGAGTCAGTCTCGAGCGAAAACACAAATACTAGCTCCTCATTGTGGAAAGTAAGTCCTAGGCCTTTCGCATTTTGGCCCTACCTACTATTGCAGCCCTAACTTCCATCATACCTATGTGCTGCAGGTTTTCTTACTCCTGCCAGTTGAAGATCTTTACTCTTTCAGAAACACATTGCACTGTTTGCCCTCTCTGCCTTTGCATATCCTGCTCCCTGTATCCTAGATGGCTTTGCCTATTCTCTTTTCTGGGCCTTACTTTGGCCTGGATGAAATATTCTTTGTAAAAGGAAAATAAATCTTGGGGGCCCTAAATCACTGAGCTAAAGGGAAAAGCCGAGCTGGGAACTGCTTAGGGTAGACGAACCTCTCACTCTATTCAAAGTCATCCCTCTGACACTCACCTGAGACAAATGCATATCTGATTGCTTCCTCTTCCCTATTGTTTATGAAAAATACAGATTCACTGAGCCAGGCTAAATTGTGTATTCACTGGATGGCTGACAAAGACTCAAAATAATGCAATCTTTTGTCTTTTATCTACTTCTAACCTGGAAACCCCCACTTCGAGTTGTCTGGTCTTACTGGACTAAACCAATGTACATCTTACACATATTGATTGGTGTCTCATGTCTCCCTAAAATGTATAAAAGCAAACTGTACCCATGAGCACACTGGGCACATGTCTCAGTGAAATGGGAGGGTTCTCTCATCTCCCTCTCAAGATGTGCGACAGGCGTGTGGCTCCTCTGGCTGCCATGCATGTTCAAACCCCTCATGGGAAAGGGAACACACAGACAGGCAGGTGCAGAAGCTGGGGCAAGCACTCCTGGGCTCTAGACCCATGGCAGCATCCAGGGGTGGGTGCCTGTGAAGCCCAAAGCCCAAGTGGGTGTATATTACAGTGTGCTCTTTTAGCTTTGCCATCCACGGATGGCTTAAGTGTTAAACAGCTTAATGGACCCTCTGCCTTTTCACAAGGGCAGAAAGCCAGTGTGACAGCTTTCTGTATCCCAAACTCTTGTCCAGCATCCAGGAAAAATCAGGTCTCACATGGATTTGAAGGATGGTGAATGTGGAGGTTTTATTGAGTGGTCAGGGTGGCTCTCAGTGGGACGGATGGGGAGCTGAAAGGGAGACAGAGTCAGAAGATGATCTTTCCCTGGAGATTTGCTGTCCCCAGCTGAACTCCTCTCAATGTTCAGATGCTCCTTCTCTTCTCTCCTTCTCTGCCATTCTTCTGCTCTTCTGTTCCTCTGCTCGTCTGCTCATGGAGCCTAGGCTTTGGGGTTTATATAGGTACAGGATAGGGGGATGTGGTGGGTCCAAAGGCAACTTTTAGTCATGAAAACAGGAATGCCTGTTCCCATTTAGAGCCATGGGTTTCCAGGCTTGAGGGTAGCACTTTTGCTGGGGAACCACCCTCTTCTACCCAGTATTTCCTTGTCTCCTGTCTGTATCATCAGGACTTCCTGAGGCTGCGTCATGGGTGCATCCTTAACCTTGGCAAAATTAATTTTCAAAATTGACTGAGACCTGTCTCAGATATTTGGGGTTCACATTTGGGTAACCACAGAGGGATTCTGAGTGTAGGTGCCCCTGACCTTTCACAAATCTTCTACTGGTACTTGGTACCAGCTTGAGCTATCTTCATGGTTAAAACCAATAGGACAATTTGCTGAGGCCTGAAAGCCACCCCTCCAAAGAATCCCTGATCTCCAAAAATTTGGTTGCAATCTAAACTTTATTTTGCTGCACAACTCCTTTTCTGAAGATTTACCTGCTTTCAACAAGGAAGGCAAGTTCTCCTGCTTCCATCACAATGGAAGGCAGGTAATTCCCTTATGAGTTTGACCTTGCTCCCAGCACGGAAGATGAATCTGAGTTTTTTCCTGCTTCTAGGGTAATAGACAGCAGTCTTCAGCCTGAGACCCATCACTAGGTAAGTAGCTCAATAGGGGTTTTGTCTTGTCTAAAGTTAAGATTAACAACAAGCTGGTCTTAATTTCTCCTTACCATTAGAGTGCTCAGTAATCATATAAATTTTGTGATATTTTGTGTTTTTGCTTAACTTTTTTTTTTTTTTTTTTTTTTTGCCGTTGTTTGTTTCTGTTTTTGTTGTTTTGGTCTTTCTTTCTTCATTGGGAAACTATCCAACTTGATCAAATCTAAAGGAAAGTTCCAAATTATGAGGAACAAGGCCTCTGAAGTGGCTAAATTTCCACAAAAGGTGGGGAGGGCTTGGGAGGAAAAATGCTCAGCAAAAGAAAAAACAATAAAGATTTTTGATTTTGAGTACTTAAGGGGCTTTATGTACATAGCAAGGCCACTTTTTTGCTATCCAGGCCAAATTGAAAGAGCAACGCTGTTGCCCCATGCTGCAGTTTCATAGCTAAGGTTCTGCCTTCTTTTTTTTCCACAACAGCCTGGGTTTGCTTCCTAAATCAAGCCATTTCTGGTTTGATACTTGTTTCTTTTGAAACATCAGCAATTTTTCCTAGCTAAAATATGGTAATGAGATTCAGAAAGATTTTTTTAAAGGAGCTCAAGGGTTAAAAGTCAGCTTAATTAAAAGCTCACATCTGAGATGTGTGTGTGTGTGCATGTGTGCATTTGTATTAAAAGGCCTTTATTTTTTCCTCTGTTAGAAACAGATAATCGGTGTCGTGAAGAAAAGACAAAGGATCTCTCAGCAAGGCAATCTTTACTTTCTGCAGAAAGGGTGCCCCTCGCAGATCGAACAATCGTGACAGCACACTTGAACAAAGGAAAAGCAGACATATTTATCATTTACGTATTTGGGTCAGCCTTACTGCTCTGTCCTGCATCCATTGGCTGGAGCTGGACCCCACAGTCTTCAACTGATACCAAATCTGCTAATAACCTAAAACTTTCCTAAACAGGTAAGTGCAAGGGAGAACAAAGAAGAAAAAGAAGTTGCTTACTAAAGGTTTAAGGAAGCAATTAACATTTCAAAAAAGGAAGGGGCATAAGCTATGAGCTAAGACTTGCCTGGGCCTGTCCAGACATGCCTGAGTAAGCCAAAGCAACTAACTGGGCTCAAGTGTAAGAACTAGTAGTTGAGAGGAGGCTTTAGAGTAAGGAGCTATTATTTATAGTGTCTATTATTTTATTTTTAAACCAAGATGAATTTTGAAGAAAAACTTTACTACTTTCTACATCTTCTCTCCTAGGACCTTGTCTTTTTTTGAGCAAAAGTTTTTTTTTCTTCTCAGACGATGACATTCTGTTTTCTTCATCTACTTCTGCTGTCTCTCCTTTATTTTGCTACCCTCTGTTGCATGAGGGACGTAAAATAGTTTATAATTGCCTGCATTCCTTAAAGAAAATGGAGAAGATGCCACACTCCCTTTTGGGGAGAAACCTCTATTTTTCCCAAGAGTGTAAACACACAAGTTCATCTCAGATCTTAAGCTGCTTGCTTTTGTATTGTGTTACTTGATTTTTTGACTAAAACTGTTATTAGTTTATTCTTGGATTTTTAAGGAAGAAAGTAGCTTGAACACTTAGAAATGTCTTTGTTAAAAAAAAAAAAAAGGACACTGTAAAAGCATCACTTGGTGTAGCCTCATAGTAATTCTCCCTTTTTGGAGAACTAGGATTCAGTGTGGGCTCTGCCCAGAGCTCAGAGATCCAGTTAAAAGACAGGTAGTCCCTATCTAAATACAACTGGTCTCCTTATACAATCCTATAATATATTTCTACAATTTTGTGTTTGATTTGGCATCCATCTTCAATCTCCTTCTAACATCACCAGACTCTTTCTCTCTGTGCTTTGAGAAGCAAATTTCACTATCTGATTTTTTTTACCTAAGGGTTCCTTTAATATGCACATTTAGGGCTATCTAGCTGACAATTGCCTAGGGCAATAAAATAGGTTATGAAGAAATTGTAAATCTAAAATACAAGGAAAAAATAAAGGCCTTAGGAATTTATAAGATCTACTTCTATCTACATGTCTAATACATCTATGTATTTATGTGTCATGGATATGACATTTCACTACTAAAAATGTAGAAAAGAGCTCTAATTAATTGGCTTAACAAAGGCACTTAAATCTAATGCTTTTCAGAAAAATAGACTTTAAGCCAAATGCTTTTTCAAGTTCATGTGACTTAAGCAAATCTTCAATAAACAAGCTGGTTTTAAAAATTTTAGTGAAATTGAATTAGAAATGGCTTTGGAATTCTCAACATACATTATTTATCTCTGCTAGATGTCAACATTTGGCATAAGGGTTCTAAAGCTATGAATGCAGCTCAAATAAGAATTATCTTTGTTTATGTAAAATTTAGTAAGTAAGGAATTTAATATTGTTTGGTTAATGAAAATAGCTAAATCCTGAGTTATTGCCAAAAAAACAAAAACAAACAAACAAATAAACAAAAAAAGACCCTTTATCTAACCTTAATGTTCTTACTCAGGACAACCTGAAATTCACAGGTTATAAAAATGGTTAACAAGGACATAACTTTAAATGGTAACTATTACAGTTTTCATAAGTAATCTGGGTAAACTATTAGAAAATTAATTAATTACACAAATGTAACAGAATAAGTTCTTGTAGAATATCTTGTCATATAATTTAAAATCCAAAGTTATATTAAGCTAAATAGTAGATATTTATTACACGTCTGGGTCATTTCCAATTTTTTTAATTATAGGAAAACATTTTTCTGTAAAAAAGAAATGTGATCTTAAAGGAAAATACTTTTTGTCTAATTCGAAGCTTATCTAAAAGTTATTTATGAAATTAGGTAATCAGTGAATAAAAACAATGTGAAGGAAGTTATGAACAGGCATTTTTGGCACAAAAAGTTAAAAGGAAAATAATTTTATCTGAGCAAGAATCTTGTATGGTAAATTTTTGTTCTAAAATAAAATAACTGGTTATTTAAGAAAAAGGAAGCCTAGGCATGGTGGCTCATGCTTGTTAATTCCAGCATTTTGGGAGGCCGAGGTGGATGGATCACCTGAGGTCAGGAGGTCGAGACCAGCCTGGCCAACGTGGCAAATCCCTGTCTCTACTAAAAATACAAAAATTAGCCAGGTGTGGTGGCACGTGCCTGTAGTCCCAGCTACTCCGGAGGCTGAGGCAGGAGAATTGCTTGTACATGGGAGGCAGAGGTTGCAGGGAGCCGAGATGGCGCCACTGCACGACTCTAGCCTGGGCGACGGAGGAAGACTGTATCTCAAAGGAATAAAGAAAGAGGAAGGGATAAAACAGAAAGTCCAAGCTGTCATAAATGATTTGTATAAAGTTGTCTATAATTAAAGGGAAATTATTTATAATAGTCTTTCCAGATTTAGCTTATGATATTAAAAAAAACACTAAAAAAATTCATCAGAACAATAAAATTTTCTTAAGGAGTTGATTTACTCTTAATAAATTAAAAGATTTTAATTCTTTAAACCCAAAGTTTAACTTTTATCACATCTCACCATTTTCGGTTTACTCTCCTCTTTTAAAAGGTGAAAATAATAACTCTCTCTTTCAACTCATTTTCAGCTCATATAAGTTTCTTCTTTTTTTCTCTTGTGTTCTGTTTGTTGTGGCCTCATGCTAAAAATGTTTTTTTTTCTATTTCTTTTTTCTTTTCTTGAGGTGGGGTCTCACTCTGTCAGCCAGGCTGAGAGTGCAGTGGCACAATCTTGGCTCACTGCAACCTCCCCCTTCCAGGTTCAAGCAATTCTCCTGCCACCACGCCCGGCTAATTTTTGTATTTGTAGTAGAGACAGGGTTTCACCGTGTTGGCCAGGCTGGTCTCGAACTTCTGACCTCAAGTGATCCACCTGCTTCAGCCTCCCAAAGTGCTAGGATTACAGGCATGAGCCACTATGACAGGCCAAAAATTTTTTCTTCAAGGTCTAAAAAAGTGTTTTCTTCCATCTGTGTAACTTTCTGTATGTGCTTTTAAAGTCCTTGTGCCATTGAGTTATAGGGCTTTGACTTCTGGGTCTAAAAAGGACACCAAGTTCTGCTATATCTTAAACACTGACAGCAATTACAGCCTCATTTTCAGGCCCAGTAGAAGATGCTAATCAAAGTAAACTGCGTTCATGAGATGCAGGGCCAGAAATTAAAACTATTCAACTCCTCAAGGCCCAAGGACTATCGTGGAAGAGGTGGGCATGTGAGATTGTAAGGGCTGATATTAAGAGAAAAGTAGCTCAGTTTCTCTAGGAATTAACCATTAATATCAAAGGCACACTAAAGCAAAACCAGTATCTAGGTTGCTGTGTCAGTTTAACAAGGCTTTCTTGGAGCATTAACTCACTCCTTCATGCAAAATGATGAAGGTTACAAGGTTTATAGAAATTATATTTTATACTCAAGATGATTAAACTTTTATTATACAATTTCAAAAAAACAAACTTAATTTGCCGCATCCTGTTTTTAATTAGGGCTTATTGTTTGGGATATTAAGCCTCCTCTCTCAAAGAATAAAGATTTTCACCTTTTTTTTTTTTTGAAACATTTGAGTTACTGCTTTGGTTAAATGAATGACTTATTTTACAATGACCCATGACCCTATTTCGTGATATCAAGCATTTTAAACTTTTTATCTTTGACGAACTTTCCAAAGTCAAATTCTAACTTCATTCCTCATTAATTTTTTGATATGAGTCCTCTGAAGTCCAAAAGAGACATATTGGTCTTATTTGGTATAAAAATCATACAAGAAGCATCATCAAATATAAAATGGTGTTTGACTTTCTTTGGGCTGTATTTATAGAAATGTCATTGATATGTGCTCCAAAATTATGGGAAACTCTTATACTTCTGAAATAACTTGTGTATGTTATTAATTATAACTTTTATGTTAAATTCTTGTATGCTACAGAAGTAACCAAAATTTACTTGTCAATGGTGGTTTTAATAATGGCCGTCCTGGCTGGGTGTGGTGGCTCACGCCTGTAATCCCAGCACTTTGGAGGCCAAGGCAGGTGGATCACGAGGTCAGGAGTTCAAGACCAGCTTGGCCAAGATGGTGAGACCCCGTCTCTCCTAAAAATACAAAAATTAGCCGGGCGTGGTGGCACAGGCCTGTAATCCCAGCTACTCAGGAGGCTGAGCCAGAGAATCACTTAAACCCAGGAGGCAGAGGTTGCAGTGAGCTGAGATCATGCCACTGCACTCCAGCCTGGGCAACAACAGTGAAACTCCATTTGAAAAAAAGAAAAAAATATACACCCCTGATTTGAAACAAGACTAGGATACACGGTAAAGAATGTTTATTCACTAAAGTTTTGACAGACTGAAGGCCATTATTTCAGATTGGAGATAGGAAACTTAAAAGAACTACATGGACATTGGGTAAAAGAACATGGGTTGAAATTTGCCTGGCAGTAGCCCAAAAGTAAATGGTCTTCGAGGTGCATGTGAAGGAACTGTAGGAGGGAAATGGGATAATTCACATCTCCGCCAATAAATAAATGTAGCCACACTAGCGTGGGGGATTTGAGGTGAGACATCGAAAATACTAAGTCATGGTGAGGGCTGGAAGACAAAAGAATGAATCACTTAATAGGAATGGCTGTGGGGAAGGGCTTGAAGGAATCATCCTCTGACTTCCATGTGAACCGTGAACATTAAACATGGAGAAATGAGGAGCGGCGGCAGATCGGTTTGGGATGCATCTTCAGGGGATGCTGAAACAACAACAGCATTTGGTTTGCTCTACACCCCTGTCACCCCTCGCCCGCAAGCCCAGGGAGTGGTCAGCAGTGGGGCTTTGTGACGTCGAAGCCACCCTAGGGCTGCCATTGGCTGGGACACTGCCTGTATGATCAAACAAAGCTCAAGGGTGTGGCTTTGCCTTGTCACCAGGAGGGTATGCATAGGGAGGGCAAGAGCTCTGGGCCACTGCGAAGATTCAAAAGCTCCAAAAACCTACTGTAGACATCGAAGAACCAATATATACAATGGGCCAACAATCCAGTGTCCGCAGGCTGAAGAGGAGCGTCCCCTGTGAATCCAACGAGGCCAACGAGGCCAATGAGGCCAACAAGACGGTAAGATTGTTAGGTTCTGAAGTGAAGGCGAGGGTGAAAGAAAGACACACAGAGCGGGGGCGGCTCAAACAACAACACAGGAATATTGCAGACCATTGTGGAAGTGGGGGGCCCGCTTAATGCCAGAGCCCACCGCCGCTTACAACCTGGGGTGCTTGTAGGTAGGGGTGGGAGGGGCCTGGGCAGTATGGCTTGCTGCCCGGCAGGATATTGATAAGATGTTCTTATGATCAGGTGGTTTGGCCCTTTTTCTGGTGGAATATCATTGTGGTGTTCCTTAGAACGCTGCCAAGCAAGATATGATAGGGATGTTTCTTCAGTTGGGCCTTTGTCCGCCTTGCGGACAGGTGGTTAGGCAGGATGTTTCTCACGGCCTGAACCCCCATGGGATGTTTCACTTTGACCAAGGTCTGCAAAATAGCAAAGAACTGACAAAATGGTGCAGTTTGGACTCACAGGTGACCCTACCCACGCTCCTCTTCTTCTTCCCCATAGATCCCTACTCTGTGCTTCAACCTTCTTCTTCTCTGGATCAAACCCCTTCCTCAACCTGCATTCCTTCTTCTCATGAAGCCCCCTTGCTATCCAGTCTCTATCCTGTTCACCCAAAATAATGTCCTCCTGGCCTCTCCCTGTTTTCTTAACAGATGCCGGAGACCCCAACTGGGGACTCAGACCCGCAACCTGCTCCTAAAAAAATGAAAACATCTGAGTCCTCGACCATACTAGTGGTTCGCTACAGGAGGAACGTGAAAAGAACATCTCCAGAGGAACTGCTGAATGACCACGCCCGAGAGAACAGAATCAACCCCGACCAAATGGAGGAGGAGGAATTCATAGAAATAACGACTGAAAGACCTAAAAAGTAGCAAGAAGCTACATCCCTCAAACTTCGGCAATGAAAATAAAGTTTGAGAAGCTGATGGCTGTGTATATCTCTGCCTGTTTTCTGATGGTGGGGGGTGAAGGGAAGGGAAGAGGTAGGCATTTGAGAAGGGAGGGATATGAGGTCCTGTAGGGTTGGTGGACAGACCCACAGGTTGACAGTAAGCCAGACATTGTAAATAAGGCCTGGGGGAGGACTGATTCCTAAAGAAAATTTTCTTCTTAAAATTTTATCTCACAGGAAGTGGAGATGTGTATATGTTCACGCAACTGTACCCGGCAGCACATAGTTCTGCTGAATGGACATATCAAAGGTATTCCCATCCCCTTTCCATTTGATATTTTCCTAGGTTAGAAATATATGCTTTATAAAGCGTAAATGTTCTGTAAAACACAAAGCACAATACAAAAGAAGATAGTAGATGTAGGAGTAAGTAAACGGCAGGAAAGCATTGCATGTAATGAAATGATTGAAAAGCCAAATTTTAAAACAAAATGTACACTGCATCTTAAATATTTATGTTACTGTTTTAATAACCTCAGCAGTGTTTAATCAAGATAAGCATGCTTTAGAAATGTGTTGATATCCGCAAGTGTGAATAGTCAAAATCGCCACGACTTGGGAAAAGGAAAGTAAAACACTCTTAAGTATGAGGAGCTTTTTTCCATGGAATGTGAACTGCAAGGTGGTGAGAAGGGTTAGGTGTGATGTGGTGAGATCATTTTTAGGAGAGTGTGTCTATTATCGGCTTCCTAACACTTCCATTTTGCATGATAATTTCCTGAAATTCATCATTTAATTAAGGCTATAGATTTTGATTACCATGTGTCTTAAAATGTCAAACAGTATAATATTTATACTGAAAAAGAAAACTGCTTGGTGGATACACATCGGTTAGCGGGAAAAGACACCACAGGGATTCACCATGGAGTCACCCGTGGATGGGGTTTTAGTTTCTGTCTTTGAATTGACCTTCACATAGTGTCTACCTCTTGAGAGTTCAGGGGATGTTGGAGAGATCATTAGGTAAAACAAGAAGGTCTTCTCAGGATACATGAGGGAGTTAAATAAAAATGCAGGAGCAATTACAATTTCAGTTATTTGTAACTGTTCCTTGCTGTCATAACACTGTCATGGATAACATGAAAAAATAAAATATACTAAATATCAATAGACAAAAACCAGTTTGCTTTTCTCCAACCAAATACCTAAATACCTAGCACTGATTTCCAGAACAAAATCCCCCACGTACCATCTTTGGAATAAAAGAATATTCTTTCAAGTTGTCGGACCACAAGGTAAAAACAAAAAATCCCAATGCTTTTTTTCTTACTCTTTGATCTGTACAATTGAAGGTACTTCTCATTGCAAACTAATATTTCCACCCAGCACGTGACATTAAAGAATTTTTCATATTTAGGATAGTTAATACGGGATCACATTCTTTAGCCTTAGGCATTGCAGAGGAAAAGCAAACAAACAAAAACAAACCAAAACTAAGCTGAGAGAGGTGGAGCAAGAAAAGCAGAATAGAAGGCTGCCCAGATCAGCCCCCTCGCAAGGACACAAATTTAACAACTATCCACACAGTAGAAAACACCTCCATAAGAACCCAAAATCAGGGGAACTCTCATAGTACCTGGTGGTATCACTGAAAGAGGCACTGAAGAGTTAGAAGAAACAGTCTTAAATCGCTGACCCCGCCCCTTCCCTATCCTAGGCAGTGGCAGTATGGTGTAAAGAGCATCTCTGGAAGCTGGACGAGCAAGAGCAGAGCAGTTGTGGGTCGCTGAACTCGGTGCTGTCTCTTACAGGAGAAAGGAAAACCAGACCAAACTTAGCTGACTCCCATCTGGGAAGGGAGCATTGAAACCACCTCTAGCCAGAGGGAAATTACCCATCCCAGGAATCAGAACTTGAGTTTCTGCAAACCTTGCCACCAAGGGCTAAGAAACGGTTCCAGGTTTCTCAGACAACCTTAAAGGCAGTCTAGGCCATAAGATCTCTAACTCGTAGGTGAGTTCTAGCATAGAATTGGGCCCAGAGGCAGTGGATTGTGGCGGGTATGTGGAGGGGTGCACATGACCTCCTGAGATACCAGCTGGGGCAGCCAAGTGAGTGCTGGTGTCACCCCTGCCCTAGCCCCAGACTGCCCAGCTAGCGGCTCCATAAAAGACCCCCTCCTTCCACTTGAGGAGATGGAATAGTGAGGAGTGTTTTTTTTCTTGCATCTTGAATACCAGCTCAACTACAGCGGGACAGGGCACCGGTCGGGGTTGTGAAGCCCCTGCTCCAGGCACTCGCTCCTGGATAACATTTCTAGACACACCCTAGGCCAGAAAGAAACCTGCTGCCTTGAAAGAAATGAAAAGAGAACACCTATACACTGTTTATGGGAATGTAACTTAGTTCAGCCATTGTAGAAAGCAGTTTGGTGATTTCTGCAAGAACTTAGAAATACCATTCATCTCAGCAATCACATTACTGGATATATACCCAAAGGATATATATCATTCTACCATTAAGACATACGCATGCGTATGTTCTTGACAGCACTATTCACAATAGCAAAGATTTTGAATCAACCTAAAGGCCCATCAGCAGCAGACTGGATAAAGACAATGTGGTACATAAACAGCACGGAATACTATGCAGCCATAAAAAAACGAGATCATGTCTTTTGCAGCAACATGGATGGAGCTGGAGGCCATTACTCTAAGCGAACTCACGTGGGAACAGAAAATGGAATACCACCTTTTTCCATTTATAAGCAAGAGCTAAACATCGGTATACATGGACACAAAGAAGGGAACAACAGACACCCGTGTCTAC
This sequence comes from Homo sapiens, assembly GCF_000001405.40. Taxonomy (NCBI): domain Eukaryota; kingdom Metazoa; phylum Chordata; class Mammalia; order Primates; family Hominidae; genus Homo; species Homo sapiens. Next base: position 141,006,502 of record NC_000023.11, read on the forward strand.
TTGGGGGTAAAGGATGGGGAGGAGGGTGAGGGTTGAAAAGCTACCTATCAGCTATTATGCTGATTACCTGGGTGATGAAATAATCTGTACACCAAACCCGTGTGACACGCAACTTCCCTTTATAACGAGCCTGCACATGTACCCCTGAACCTAACATAAAAGTTAACAAAAATTTAAAAATAAAATAATAAAAAATTAAGAAGTCTCACAGAGGTAGAGCGTAGAATGGTGGTGACTAGGGGCTCGGTGGTGGTGGCTGGAAAGACATTGCTCAAAGGATACCAAATTTCTGTTAGACTGAAGGAATAAGCTGCAGAGATACACTGTACGACACGGTGACTACAGGTGATCATAATATGTTGTATTATTGATAAATGCTAAGAGAGTAGATGGTAAGTGTTCTCAATACAAAATGATAACTTTGTGGGATGATGCATATGTTAATTAGCTATATTTATTCATTCTACAATGTATATACTTCAAACATTAGATACATGATAGACACATTCCATTTTATCTGTTCAGTTTAAAATAATAAAAATAAAGAAGAAAGACATGTCCAAGTGTTCTGCCTGGGAAGATGGGCTTGAGAGAGTCTTACATAGTTAATCATGTACTATGTTTTTCTGTGCAGGACAGCAGAGGGAGAGGGGCTACCTGAGAGCAGCACATAGTCACTAAATGGCCTATAACAGCTCTACTTCCTTTCTTGAAGAATCAGAATGGTGAAAGAAACCAGTTTGATGTTTCTCATGCCCCTAAGAAGGACACTAAAGTGTTTTAAAGAGAGTTGGATCTGAAGGTGCCCTGTGGTTGGGCTTGAGGGATGACATGAAAATGTTCTGCATGAATCAGCCATTTAGGGCCAGATGGGATGATACGCATCTCAGGAGATGTTCGATGGATACAACATTGGGAAATTCTGAGATTCTGAATTGATTAAGTGTGAGACTCATGCATATTAAGTGCAATTACATAAAATGGCATTGCATTTCTCATTCGGCCAAGCATTGTAACCAGGTATATTCATGTGCCAGCTGTTTCAATAAAAAGTGGTATCTCTCACAACCATTTGCATTCCAATACAATTTTCTGAATGTAAGAGAAAGAGATATAGTTATAACCAAGGTGTTCATCAATGAGAATAGTTTGCATCTCATCTTCTCTATTCTGCAGAAAGGCCCTTGAAGAGCATATTGCATCATTTTCTTCATGGCCAAGAAAATCAAGAATCACTGATCTGGCCAGGTGCAGTGGCTCATGCCTGTAATCCCAGCACTTTGGGAGGCCGAGGCGGGCGGATCACCCGAGGTCAGGAGTTTGAGACGAACCTGGCCAACATGGTGAAACCCTGTCTCTGCTAAAATACAAAAAAAAAATTAGCTGGGCGTGGTGGCGGGCGCCTGTAATCCCAGCTACTGGGGAGGCTGAGGCAGGAGAATTGCTTGAATCCAGGCAGTGGAGGTTGCAGTGAGCCGAGATCGTGCCACTGCACTCCGGCTTGGGTGACAGAGCCAGACTCTGTCTCAAAACAACAAAAACAAAAACAAGAAATCACCGATCCATTTGAAAGTCAGCAAATATTTTGTCATTGACTAAATATGGACCCTAGAGAGTGATCCCCGTACACCACACTACAACTTAAGACTGATTCTATTTCTTAAGCATCCTTTGGAGGTCATCACGTTTTTGAACTCTTGTAATAACAGGGGACTTCAACGCATTTCAGACAGCAAACCTCGTCCTGTGTTATCTTATGCTCTGGGAGGAATCTCAAAGACAAGGAAGTAAGGAAGAAAGAAAGGAAGGAAGGGAGGGAGGGAGGAAGGAAGGGAGGGAGGGAAGGAGGGAGGGAGGGAGGGAGGAAAGGAGAAGAGGAGAGAAGAGAGGAGACGAGCTTAAACCTAAATTGGTAGAAAGCTTCACAAGTCTGAATACTTAACAAGTTAAATTAAGTAGCTAAAGATGTTTTTGAAAATCATCTGAGCAAACAAAAAATGATTCTGAAAAATATTTGGTAATGTAATAATGACAATGGGTTATTTCTTCTATCCTTGATCTCCTACAAATATATTTTAAGCCAGATCATGTTTTTCCTTTGATGAAAACTCCACAGAGTTTTCATCTTCATGAAAATAAAATCCAAATTCCTAATAAGGCCGTACATGATGTGGGCACCTATTACCTCTCTGACATTAATACTTATTCTTCTCGTGAATCACTCTGCTTCTATCACACTCCCCAATCTGTGACTCTTGTAACTCACCATGCATGTGATTCCTCTAACCTGCCATCCATATCAGGGTCTTTGCATACTTCTGCCTGGAAGCTTCTTCTCTAAAATATCCACTATGTATCCTAATTTTCTTTTCTTTTCTTTTTCTTTCCTTTTTTTTTTTTTTTTTTTTTGAGATGGAGCCTTGCTTTGTCGGCCAGCCTGGAGTGCACTGGTGCACTCTCGGCTCTCTGCAACCTCCACCTCCTGGTTTCAAGCAATTCTCCTGCCTCAGCCTCCTGAGTAGCTGAGATTACAGGCGCCTGCTACCACGGCTGGCTAATGTTTGTAGTTTTAGTATAGATGGGGTTTCATTGGTTGGCCAGGCTGGTCTTGAACTCCTGACCTCGTGATCCACCTGCCTTCGCCTCCCAAAGTGCTGAGATTACAATCGTGAGCCACCACGCCCAGCCTGTGTATCCGAATTTTCTTAAGGTCACTAGTCAGAAGTCACTTTATTGGAAAGGCTATCCTCCATTTAATGGTGAAGACGTTAAATGGTACTTGTACTTCTTTCCAAAAAAATGATACTTTTATCAGTTATTTTACTACAGTACCTGGAACATGTAAACTTGCAAGCAATATTTGGTGAATGAAATATTTGGTTAACCTGAATTTAGTATTGCAGTCTTCATTACTAGAAAGCATTTACATGTTTTAACTGTCAGGGAGCAACACTGGTAAGTGATTAATTCCCTATCAATAAAATGGATAGAGTACTATTCATGCTACATGTTCTCACAGTTGTGGCAAGGGTTATTAAATTGCCAACTGTAGTACTAAACTTATATTAATGTTGTACTCGTTAGTATTACTCTTGTTATGTTCAGAGGAAATATGGAATAAAAGTAAGATCATGGGCCTGGTTCAAATCTGAAATTCTGCTACGTCCTAGTCGGGTGATGTAGGTCAAGTTTCTTAACTCCTCTGAGTCTTAGATTCTTCGTATGAAAAATGGAAAAAATGCTAGCACCTACTTCTCAGGATTGTTTTGAAAAACAAATTAATTAATATATTTAAGCTTTTAGCACAGAGCCTAGTACATAGTGTATGTTCAGTAATTACAAACTATTACTAGTGAGTATAATAGGATGTGAAAATTCATGACATCAAACAACTAGAACCGAGATTTATATACACACACACACACACACACACACACGCAGACATATGTACACACACACACACACACACACACACACACACACATTTTTTTTTTGCAACAGAGTCTAGCTCTGTCGCCCAGGCTGGAGTGCAGTGGCGTGATCTCGGCTCACTGCAACCTCTGTCTCCCGGGGTCAAGCAATTCTTCTGTCTCAGCCTCCTGAGCAGCTGGGACTACAGGTGCGTGCCACCATGCCTGGGTAATTTTTTGTATTTTTAGTAGAGATGGGGTTTCACCATGTTAGCTAGGATGGTCTTGATCTCCTGACCGTGTGACCCACCTGCCTCACCCTCCCAAAGTGCTGGGATTACAGTGTGAGCCACCACGTCTGGCCAGATTTTTGCAATAGAGAAAGCACTGGACATCATTTTATCATAGAATATTAAAGCTGGAAGAGACCATAGGATCATAGGAACCCACAGTCTCTTGCAAGAATCCAGGTCTCCAAACTCAGAAACATGCTGATTGTTCCTTCCTGAAAATGCACATTAGGCATGGCATAGCTTTTGCAATCAGTGACGATACCAAGGCATCAGGGGCTAGAGGCTTAGGACATCACTGACAAAGCAGGAGTATTGCCATCTTGAACAAGCTCTGTCATTTTAAAATTCACCTTAATCAAAAACCGCCAAAATCCAAACGGCATCAGCCTAATGGCTAAGGTCAGCATGACCATAAACCGCAAATAACATCTCCAACCAGAAACATTCCAGACTCCTCCCCGACCAGAGACAAGCTAGCCCCAAGATAACCCCACCCTGGCCAGGAAGATGCCAGCCCCAAAATAACCTCCTCCCCTCCACCCAGAGGCGTGGTCTCGGCTCACTGCAACCTCTGCCTCCTGGGTTCAAGCGATTCTTCTGTCTCAGCCTGCCAAGTAGCTGGGACTACAGGCGCTTGCCTCCGCACCCGGCTGATTTTTCTATTTTTAGTAGAGACAGGATTTCACTATGTTGGCCCAGCTGGTCTCGGAACTCCTGACCTCAAGATCCGCCCACCTCGGCCTCCCAAAGTGCTGGGATTACAGGCGTGAGCCACCGTGCCCAGCCGCGTTTATGTTTTTCTCTTCATAAATTTTGTTTTCCTGGAAAAGGTTTTTTCCTGATCGACTAAATTACTTTTCTCCACTCTGTCTTGCCACTCTTGGTGCATGTATGAAAGACCCTGAAATGACTCCTGGTGGCCTGGGACTCCTTGGGAAAACAAAAAAGGTGCCACAAATCCCGTTTTGGGAAAAACCTCTGTTTTCCTTATGAAACCCCTAGACTTAAATAAGTACCTCTCAAAGATCTGTCTTTGTCTTCCAACTGTACTTGTTCATTAGGCCCTAGAAACTGTTTTCTTAGCCCTGTTCCTAAAAGGCCTCACCCGAAGGCCAATAATCCAATTGGAAAATTAGCAGAAAAAAAATCTTATAACTACTAAGTCTTCTTCTGATTGTCTGTGTGGCTATATATGTTTTATGTGTGCGATGTCTATTAAAAGAACTCTAATTAACTGGCCAAAAAAATAAGCACTTAAATCAAATATTTTTAAGGGAAAAGTAAAAGCTGTGGGACCTTTCAGTTCTCGTAATTTTAATCTTTAGAACTTACGGGTACAGCAAAGTTAAAAGTTGAGTTGAAAGTCGTTAAGAGGTGCCAGCGTACGTTTTTATTTGCATTTATTAATCAAGCAATTTCATACTTATGGCTGCAAAATACTATAAGGTGTCAACATTTGGCACAGAGGCTACAAAACGACAACTCAGCCCAAACAAAATAATCTTTGCTTGTGTAATTTTTTCAATAAATAAAGCATGAATATTGGTTTAACGAAGATAGCTATATCTTTAACTATTTAGTAAAATATGCTAACTTCCAACCTTGTGGCCTTAGGCAGTCTAGTCCACAGACATGAAGGAAATTTGTTTTGGGAAAGAACTGTTATCATCTTTAATATTAAAGAAAAGATAATTGGTATAAGAAAGAATCTCACATGGTAAATTTTTGTCCTAAAGTAAATTAACTGTTGTTTAAAAAAAGGGATGACTTTACAACAAGTCAGAAAGGTAAGGCATGTCAGAAATTGTCTGTGAAAGTCGTGAAGAATTTTATAAAAGGGAATTTGTGCAAGAAATGTCGCACAATTTAAAAGTAATTCGGCCTCCTGAATGCTGTATACAATTTCACTCTAACTCTTAGCTGTACAGCTTGCCTGCTTTGCAGCTGAATAAACCCTAGGACACATGGAGTTAAATGCTGGAATAAACCAGACCTTCTCCGCACTTCCGTCTGGGTCCTAGGCCCTACACCTAGTGCGTAATTAGATTCCCAGACTTACCAAGGTTTTCATCAAAAGTAAAGGTTGCTAAAACTTAGCAGTGTAACACGTATTTAAAACTACCGAAGAAATAGTTTATGAGCAAGGTGTGTAAGGAAAGTAAAATATACTTTTGGTAAAAAGATTATAAGGAGGCCTAAGAATGTGGATTTTTGCCTACATTAAAAGGTTAAAAAATTGTTTTAAAGGTTTAAGCAACTTTTGGAAGGTTAATTGTAAAGAAAATTTCGTGTGTGTACATACTGGCTAAAGTTAAAGGGGTATCATTCAGTTTTTCTGTAAATCGAGCATTAAAATAAAAGCACAATGGGTTTCTGTTAAAGCACTAACCTGCTCTTTAACAAAAAGTATAAACGGTTAAAAAGGGTCTATAAAAACCTTACCTTCCGGTCAAACATGAACATTGGGTAAATGCGTCTACAAGGTTTTATGAAAAATGGAGCTTAACATTAATAGCACACTAATACAATGGTAAAATTTGGCTTATTTGATATAAAATCATACAGGAAGCATTGTCAAATATAAAATGGTATTTGGCTTTCTTTGGGCTATAGTTGTATAAATATGCTATTGGGATGTGTTCCAAAGTTATGGCAGATTCCTATCATTCTAATATATCTTAGTGTACGTTATCACTAATAATTATAATTGTTTTGTTAAAATTATTGTGTGCCACAGAGGTAACGGATATCTTTGTCAACTGTGTCTTTAACTATGGCTACCCTAAAACTTTTTGTCATCCATAAACAATTGTTGTCTTGTTTTAGTCCTCTTCAAAGGGTGGTTTTCTAATCAGCTATAAAGCTCTGAATGCAGGTTTCTGATAAAAAGCAGGACAGGAATTAACTGCATAAACCAAACTAATAGGAAACTAATCTGTTTAACGTTTTGCTTAAAATATTGCTATCCCTTTGTTTTACCTTTCAAAGTCAAAGAAACTTTTTTTAAGCGATTAACAGCTTTTAACTGTTTAACTTTTAACTGTTAACTCCCATCAACAAAATTTGGAGGATACTTGTTTCTCTCTACCTGATTCTCTCCAAAATTTGGAAACTATCTATGAGTATTCTTAAGTTATGGCAATATAGTTATTTGCATAAATACAACAAGAATCTGTTTTCTTTTGTAACGGGACACGATTGGAAAAACTGGTTATTCTTACCAAGGCTTTAACTGGAATGGTGTGCTTTTCCTTTAAGGAATCCAGCTTTAACTTATAAAGCCAATAAAGCCCTTGAAAAACTGGCCTCATATTTTGTGTACACAGTCCCCGTACAGGGTTTGTGATCTGTGGTAAACAGAACATGTCACTTTCTAACAGGCCAGGAACCCTAAGTTATCTTGAAACATCAAGAGGAGAGGAATTCACCCAACTCATAGGTATTTAATGGTACAAATCCATGGCTGGGCTTGGCTTTAAAAAGTCTTTTATCTCAGATTGCTTCTACAAAACCAAATTCCACCAAAGCCCATTTAAAAGGCCTATGTAACAAATAATTATTCTTGCAGCACTGTATGCAAACAAGTAAGCCAAGTATCCTAAAGCAAACCTACCATAATTTGTCTTTTAATAAAAATGGGAAAGTGGAGAGAGGAAATTATGTTTCCAAAACTATGACACACCTCTTGTTAAATTCTAGAGTTGCCTGATGTTTTTCAGTTATTATTTGCTACTGTTTAATTAAATTCTAATTTTTCTGACTACAAGACTTCAAAATAAGCTGTGCTTTCTTAAAGCCCTATAAACTGGAAACTAGATGTTTCAGCAGGCACTGCCTCTAAGCCCCCTAACCCTCACAGGAGCAAATAAAGAAATAGGAAATCGTAAGCTAAAAATCATAAAAAATAAATAACCGAGAAAGAATTGCTCGTCTTACTCAGTCTCACCCCTACCTCACCAAACACTTTTGTCATTCCTATCTCTCCTTTCAAGCCAAATATTACAACTTTTTAATGGAAATTATTGACTACACCACCCTTGTGGAAACTGCTTTACTCACCCTACTATTTGCAGTAAAACTATATACTGTAGCACCCTCAGGGTAAAATGTCAGACAAAAACAATCTCAATTACTGTAGCATTTTGCTTAATTATTAGCCTCTTAGCAGGAATAACGCTTACTAACAGAAACTAACACATGGGCCTTTCCAAACATGTGCTTCTACCTCTCATTAGGTAAGGAATATTGTTTCTTTATCAACCAATCAGGCCTAGTAAAAAAACGCTGCTAAAACAAACATAAAGAAAAGGCTAAAAAGCTAAGGGAGTACCAAAACAACCAAATAAGTTCTTGGTTTGGGAACACAATCATAGCATGGGTCATCCTATTTCTGGGCCCTCTCCTAATAATATGCCTGGGGCTAATTTTCTTACCCTGCCTAATTAACCTTTCTCGGAAAATTTTAACTAACAGGATCACGGCCATTTCACAGACAACTACCCAAAAACATCTACAGACGGCATTGCTCCTACTGTCAACCCAAAAAACTCTCCGTCCCCTCGTCAGCAGGAAGTAATTTTCATTTCAGGGAGATCTTCCAATTTATTCACATACAGTTTCCCACGGTCACCACAAGAGCCCTTTGAATTTTTGCAGCTTTAGCCTGTAATGTCTCCTTTCAATTTTGGAGTTTATTTATCTCGATCTCTCCTTTTTCTTCCTTAGATTGGCTACAGGTTTCTCAATTTTGAATAGCTTTTTAAAAAAAACCCAACTTTTTGTTTCCTTGATAGTGTTTTGACTTTCTTCATTTTACTTTCATTTATTTCTGCTCTGGTCTTTTATTATTTCTTTTCTTCTACTGATTTGGGGTTCACTTTGAGCTTATTTTTCTGTTTTTTTAAGATGCGTCATGAATTATTTGCAGGTGTTCCTCTTTTTCAATGTAGGCACTTATAGCTATAAACTTCCCTCTTAATACTGCTTTTGCTGTATCCCATGGGTTTTGGTATGTTGTGTTTCCATGATCATTTATTTTGAGAAATTTTACAATTTAGTTTTTAATTTCTTCATTGACCTGTGGGTCATTCAGGAGCATATTTTTTTTTTAATTCTATGGATTTGTATAATTTTCAAAGTTCCCCTTGTTATTTTCGGGATTTTCTTTTTTTGTTTTTTGGTGGTCAGAGAAGGAGCTTGATATTATTTCAATTTATTTGAATGTTGATGTTTTAAGACTTGTTTTATGACCTAACATATATTCTAACCTTGAGAATGATCCACGTGCTGGGTAAAAGAAGGTGTATTTTGCAGTCCTTGGAAGAAGTGTTTTGTAAATGTCTGTTACATCCATTTGGTCTGTAATGTACATTAAGTGTGATGTTTCTGTGTTGATTTTATGTCTGGAAGAACTGTCCAATGCTGAAAGTAGGGTGTTGAAGCCCCCAGCCATTATGCTATTGGGACCTATCTCTCCCATTAGTTGTAATAGTGTTTCCTTTATATACCTTGGTGCTACAGACTTGGGTGCACATATATGTAAAGTTCTTATAGCCTTTTGTTGAACTGATCCCTTCATTATTATATAGTGACTTTTTTTCCTCTTACATTTTGTGTCTTGAAATCTATTTTGTTTGCTAGGAATATAGCTAATCCTGCTTCTTTCTGGTTCCATTCGCATGGAGCATCTCTTTCTATCCCTTTATTTTCAGTCTATGTGTGTCTTCAGAAGTGAAGTGTGTTTCTGGCAGGCAACAGATCAATGTGTCTTGTTTTTTCATACATTCAGCCAGTCTATGTCTTTTCATGGAAGAGTTTAGCCCATTTACATTCAATGTTACTATTGATAAGTAGGAACTTACTCCTGTCATTTTGATTTTTATGTTCAGATGTTTTTGTTATCTTATCTTCCTTCTTTCTTTCCTTTCCGTCTTTTCTTAGGATGATTTTTCTGTGGGTAGATGATTTAGTTCCTTGCCTTCGAATTTTTGTGTATATATTGCATGTTCTTTAGTTTCAGGTTACCTTGAGGCTTGCAAATAATATCTTATAAACCATTATTTTTAATCTGATATTTACTTAAGACGATTTTGACAAACAAACAGCAAACAAAAATAAAACTAATAAAGCTGCATCTTAACTTTGTCCCACCGCTAATTTTTTGTCATTTCTTTCTGTATCTCATTGTGTTGACTGTGTCTTGAAAAGTTGTGCTTTTACATTTTGATTGGTTTATCCTTTAGTCTTTCTACTTAGAATAAGAGCGGTTTACACACTACAGTCACTTTTTTATAATATTCTTTCTGTGTACTTACAATGACCACTGAGTTTTGTACCTTCCGTTGATAACTTATTGTTCACTACCGTCCTTTTCTTTCTGATTGAAATACTCCTTGTAACATTTCTTGCAGGACAGGGCTAGTGATGATGAAATCCCTCAGGTTTTGATTCTCTGGGCCCATTTTTATTTCTCCTTCATGTTTGAAGGATAGTTGTTGCAGATATATTATTCTAAGGTTAAAATTTTTTTCTTTCAGCACTTTAAATATGTCATGCCACTCTCTCCGGGCCTGTAAGGTTTCCACTGAAAAGTCTGCTGCCAGACATATTGGAGCTCCATTGGATGTTATTTGTTTCTCTTCTCTTGCTGCTTTAAGAAAAATTCTTTATCCTTGATTTTTGGGAGTTTCATTACTGAATAACTTGAAGCACCCTTCTTTCAGTTAAGTCTCCTTGGTGTTCTATAACATTCTTATACTTGGATATGTGTCTCTTTCTCTGGGTTTGGGAAGTTCTCTATTATAATCTCTTTGGAGAAACTTTCTACTCATATGTGTTTCTGTACCTCCTCCTTAAGGCCAATAACTCTTAGATATGTCCTTTTGAAGCTATTTTCTAGATCCTGCAGACATGCTTCATTGCTTTCTACTCGGTTTTTCTTTCGTCTTTTCTGACAAAAGACTATTTTCAAATAGCCTTTCTTCAAGCTTATTAATTCCATCTTCTGTTGATTGATTCTGCTATTAACAGAACTTGAGAGATTCCTCAGCCTATCACTTGCATTTTTCAGCTCTACAATCTCTGCTTGATTCATTTTCATTCTTTGAAACTTATTGTTAACTTTCTGTCTCGTTGATCTGTCTAATGTTGACAGTGGGTTGTTAAAGTCTCCCATTATTATTGTGTGGGAGTCTAGGTCCCTTTGTAGGTCTCTAAGGACTTCCTTTATGAATCTGGGTGCTCCTGTATTGGCTGCGTATATATTTAGGATAGTTAGCTCTTCTTGTTGAATTGATCCCTTTACCATTATGTAATGGCCTTCTTTGTCTCTTTTGATCTTTATTGGTTTAAAGTCTGTTTTATCAGACACTAGGATTGCAACCCCTGCCTTATTTTGTTTTCCATTGGCTTGGGAGATCTTCCTCCATCCCTTTATTTTCAGCCTATGTGTGTCTCTGCACGTGAGATGGGTTGCCTGAATACAGCACACTGATGGGTCTTGACTCTTTATCCAATTTGCCAGTCTGTGTCTTTTAATTGGAGCATTTAGCCCATTTACATTTAAGGTTAATATTGTTCTGTGTGAATTTGATCCTGTCGTTATGATGTTAGCTGGTTATTGTGCTCCTTAGTTGATGCAGTTTCTTCCTAGCTTCGATGGTCTTTACAGTTTGGCATGTTTTTGCAGTGGCTGGTACTGGTTGTTCCTTTCCATGTTCAGTGCTTCCTTCAAGAGCTCTTTCAGGGCAGGCCTGGTGGTGACAAAATCTCTCAGCATTTGCTTGTCTATAAAGGATTTTATGTCTCCTTCACTTATGAAGCTTAGTTTGGCTGGATATGAAATTCTGGTGAAAATTCTTTTCCTTAAGAATGTTGAATATTGGCCCCCACTCTCTTCTGGTTTGTAGAGTTCCTGCTGAGAGATCAGCTGTTAGTCTGACGGGCTTCCCTTTGTGGGTAACCCGACCTTTCTCTCTGGCTGCCCTTAACATTTTTTCCTTCATTTCAACTTTGGTGAATCTGACAATTATATGTCTTGGAGTTGCTCTTCTCGAGGAGTGTCTTTGTGGCGTTCTCCGCATTTCCTGAATTTGAATGTCGGCGTGCCTTGCTAGATTGGGGAAGTTCTCCTGGATAATATCCTGCAGAGTGGTTTCCAGCTTGGTTCCATTCTCCCCATCACTTTCAGGTACACCAATCAGACGCAGATTTGGTCTTTTCACATAATCCCGTATTTCGAGGAGGCTTTGTTCATTTCTTTTTATTCTTTTTCTCTAAACTGCTCTTCTCGCTTCATTTCACTCATGTGATCTTCCATCACTGATACCCTTTCTTCCAGTTGATCGCATTGGCTACTGAGGCTTCTGCATTCGTCATGTAGTTCTCGTGCCTTGGTTTTCAGCTCCATCAGGTCCTTTAAGGACTTCTCGGCATTGGTTATTCTAGTTAGCCATTCATCTATTTTTTTTCTCAAGGATTTTAACTTCTCTGCCATTGGTTCGAACTTCCTCCTTTAGCTCGGAGTAGTTTGATCGTCTGAAGCATTCTTCCTTCAACTCGACAAAGTCATTCTCCATGCAGCTTTGTTCTGCTGCTGGTGAGGAGCAGCGTTCCTTTGGAGGAGGAGAGGCACTCTGATTTTCAGAGTTTCCAGTTTTTCTGCTCTGTTTTTTCCCCATCTTTGTGGTTTTATCTACCTTTGGTCTTTGATGACGGTGACGAACAGAAGGTGTTTGGGGGGGATGTCCTTTCTGTTTGTTAGTTTTCCTTCTGGAATTGAACTCAGCTCTGCACCAAGTGGACCGAATAGACATCTACAGAACTCTCCACCCCAAATCAACAGGATATACATTCTTCTCAGCACCACATCGCTCTTATTCCAAAATTGACCACATAGTTGGAAGTCAAGCACTCCTCAGCAAATGGAAAAGAACAGAAATTATAACAAACTGTCTCTCAGACCACAGTGCAATCAAACTAGAACTCAGGATTCAGAAACTCACTCAAAACCACTCAACTACATGGAAACTGAACAACCTGCTCCTGAATGACTACTGGGTACATAACGAAATGAAGTCAGAAATAAAGATGTTCTTTGAAATCAACGAGAACAAAGACACAACATACCAGACTCTCTGGAACACACTCAAAGCAGTGTGTAGAGGGAAATTTATAGCACTAAATGCCCACAAGAGAACGCAGGAAAGATCTAAAATTGACACCCTAACATCACAATTAAAAGCACTAGAGAAGCAACAGCAAACACATTCAAAAGCTACCAGAAGGCAAGAAATAACTAAGATCAGAGCAGAACTGAAGGAAGTAGACATACAAAAAACCCTTCAAAAAAACCAATGAATCCAGGAGCTGGTTTTCTGAAAAGATCAACAAAATTCATAGACCGCTAGCAAGACAAACAAGGAAGAAAGAAGAATCAAATAGACACAATAAAAAACAATAAAGGGGATATCACCACCGATCCCACAGAAATACAAACTACCATCAGAGAATACTATAAACACCTCTATGCAAATAAACTAGAAAATCTAGAAGAAATGGATAAATTCTTCGACACATACAACATCCCAAGACTAAACCAGGAAGATGAATCTCTGAATAGACAAATCAAAGGATCTGAAATTGAGGCAATAATTAATAGCTTACCAACCAAAAAAAGTCCAGGACCAGATGGATTCACAACCGAATTCTACCAGAGGTACAAGAAGGAGCTGGTACCATTCCTTCTGAAACGATCCCAATCAACAGAAAAACAGGGAATCCTCCCTAACTCATTTGATGAGGGCAGCATCATCCTGATACCAAAGCCTGGCAGAGACACAACAAAAAAAGAGAATTTTAGACCAGTATCCCTGATGAACATCGATGCAAAAATCCTCAATAAAATACTAGCAAACCGAATCCAACAGCACATCAAAAAGCTTATCCACCATGATCAAGCGGGCTTCATCCCACGGATGCAAGGCTGCTTCAACATACGCAAATCAAGAAATGTAATCCAGCATATAAACAGAACCGATGAGACAAACCATATGATTATCTCAATAGATGCAGAAAAGGCCTTTCACAAAACTCAACAACCCTGCATGCTAAAAACTCTCAATAAATTAGGTATGGATGGGACGTATCTCAAAATAGCAACAGCTATCTATGACAAACCCACAGCCAATATCATACTGAATGGGCAAAAACCGGAAGCATTCCCTTTGAAAACTGGCACAAGACAGGGATGCCCTCTCTCACCACTCCTATTCAATATAGTGTTGGAAGTTCTGGCCAGGGCAATCGGGCAGGAGAAAGAAATAAAGGGTATTCATTTCGGAAAAGAGGAAGCCAAATCGTCCCTGTTTGCAGATGACATGATTGTATATCTAGAAAACCCCATCGTCTCAGCCCAAAATCTCCTGAAGCTGATAGGCAACTTCAGCAAAGTCTGAGGATACAAAATCAATATGCAAAAACCACAAGCATTCTTATAACACCAATAACGGACAAACAGAGATCCAAATCATGAGTGAACTCCCATTCACAATTGCTTCAAAGAGAATAAAATACCTAGGAATCCAACTTACAAGGGATGTGAGGGACCTCTTCAAGGAGAACTACAAACCACTGCTCAACGAAATAAAAGAGGATACAAACAAATGGAAGAACATTTCAAGTTTATGGGTAGGAAGAATCAATATCGTGAAAATGGCCATACTGCCCAAGGTAATTTATAGATTCAATGCCATCCCCATCAAGCTACCAATGACTTTCTTCACAGAATTGGAAAAAACTACTTTAAAGTTCATATGGAACCAAAAAAGAGCCCGCATCACCAAGTCAATCCTAAGTCAAAAGAACAAAGCTGGAGGCATCACGCTACCTGACTTCAAACTATACAAGGCTACATAAACCACAACAGCATGGTACTGGTACTAAAACGGAGATATAGACCAATGGAACAGAACAGAGCCCTCAGAAATAATGCCACATATCTACAACCATCTGATCTTTGACAAACCTGACAAAAACAAGAAATGGGGAAAGGATTCCCTATTTAATAAACGGTGCTGGGAAAAATGGCTAGCCATATGGAGAAAGCTGAAACTGGATCCCTTCCTTACACCTTATACAAAAATCAATTCAAGATGGATTAAAGACTTAAACGTCAGACCTAAAACCATAAAAACTCTAGAAGAAAACCTAGGCATTACCATTTAGGACATAGGCATGGGCAAGGACTTCATGTCTAAAACACCAAAAGCAATGGCAACAAATGACAAAATTGACAAATGGGATCTCATTAAACTAAAGAGCTTCTGCACAGCAAAAGAAACTACCATCAGAGTGAACAGGCAACCTACAAAAAATGGGAGAAAATTTTCGCAACCTACTCATCTGACAAAGGGCTCATATCCAGAATCTACAATGAACTCAAACAAATTTACAAGAAAAAAACAAACAACCCCATCAAAAAGTGGGCGACGGACATGAACAGACACTTCTCAAAAGAAGACATTTATGCAGCCAAAAAGCATGTGAAAAAATGCTTATCATCACTGGCCATCAGAGAAATGCAAATCAAAACCACAATGAGATACCATCTCACACCAGTTAGAATGGCGATCATTAAAAAGTCAGGAAACAACAGGTGCTGGAGAGGATGTGGAGAAATAGGAACACTTTCACACTGTTGGTGGGACTCTAACCTCGTTCAACCATTGTGGAAGTCAGTGTGGGGATTCCTCAGGGATCTAGAACTAGAAATACCATTTGACCCAGCCATCCCATTACTGGGTATATACCCAAAGGGCTATAAATCATGCTGCTATCGAGACACATGCACACGTATGTTTATTGCGGCACTATTCACAATAGCAAAGACTTGGAACCAAGCCAAATGTCCAACAACGATAGACTGCATTAAGAAAATGTGGCACATATACACCATGGAATACTATGCAGCCATAAAAAATGATGAGTTCATGTCCTTTGTAGGGTTTGCTGGAAACCATCATTCTCAGCAAACTATCGCAAGGACAGAAAACCAAACACCGCATGTTCCCACTCATACGTGGGAATTGAGCAATGAGAACGCATGGACACAGGAAGGGGAACATCACACACCGGGGCCTGTTGTGGGGTGGGGGGAGGGGGGAGGGATAGCATTTGGAGATATACCTAATGTTAAATGACGAGTTACTGGGTTCAGCTCACCAACATGGCACATATATACATATGTATCTAACCTGCACGTTGTGCACATGTTCTCTAAAACTTAAAGTACAATAAGAAAAAAAAAAGGTGAATCTATTTGCACCTAGAAATATGCTTCTTGGAGTATGACCGATGTCTTGACATTGTGCCCACAAAGGAAGAAATTTAATTAAGCACACCTATTTTTTCAGAGTGAATAATATTTATATAATCATAATAACATACACACTCATGGTTTTCTACCCATACAATCAACTAGCTATAGATTTTAAAAAGTACTTGAGAGTTACATAAATTTAGTGCTTACAGAGCCTCGGTGCTAGCAGCAGGCAAGGATGGGTACAGGAAGGACATAAAGAAAGAAGAAGGAAAGAAATACTGATACTTCATCCTACAAACCAGGGAGTTAAGAAAATCCGTTTCTTGTTGGTAGACAAGAAATGGAAGAAACACAGCCATACATCAGCAAAATTTTTATATACTTTAAAAACCAAATTGTCACTAATTGAAGCTAGATACTACAAATTAATATGTTCATTGCAATCCCCTGAGATACCACAAATAATATACGTAAAGAAACATTAAAATGGTACATTATAAAATGTCTATTTAACACAGAAGAAAAAAGTAGTCAATCAAGAGAGACACAAAAGAGACACCATGCAAACAGAAAGAAAATTTTTAAAATGGCAGACATAGATTCTATCTTATCAGCAATTTCCTTAAAGGTAAATGGATTAAATAACTCAATTAAGAGGCAGAGGTTTCTAGAACATATTTTAAATAGTCCAACTATATGCTGTGTACAACAGAGACACTTTAGATTCAAAGACACAAATGGATTGAAAGTAAAAGGATGGAAAATGATATTCCACGCAAACAGTAACAAAAGAACAATGAAGTGGCCATTGACAAAATAGATTAAAAGGCAAAATTTGTGGCTAGGGACAAATAAGGACATTTTATAAAGGTAAATGTGTTCATCTGTCAAGAATATGTGACGATTATGAAAATATTTGGACCTGGCCACAGAGCCCAAAAATAAATAAACCGAAAACTGACAAAATTGAAGATAGATATAGGACAACTCAGCTGTCATAACTGGAAACTTTAATGTACCACTTTCAATAACGTATAGACAAACAAAAATTTGTTGATTGCCTTCCTTATGTGAAGCACTATTCTAAGCCCTAGGAATACAACGGTAAAAAAAAATAAGAAAAAATAACATTTTTTGCTTTCAAAAAGCTTAAATCCTCATGGTGGTGTGCTATGGTTTTACTATTCATAGCACTTAACATCACTATACCACCTAGCTTAGATTTCATTTCTCTGGTTTGTTTTCTATCGCCCTTCATTGATTTTCTGTTGCTTATAACGTAATAATGAAAACGTGGTAATTTATAACGAAAATGACTTTCTTTCTTACAGTTATGGAGGCTTGGAAGTCCAAGTGGAGGGGCACATCTGGTGGGAGCCTTCTTGCTAGTGTGTTCTCTTTAACGAGTCCTGAGATGACCAAGGGCATTGCACGGCAAGAGGACTGAGTAGGCTAGCATGCTATACTCAGGTCTCTCTTCCTCTTATAAAGCTACCAGTTCCCCTCCCGTGATAACCCATTCATCCATTAACACATTAATCCATGAATGGATTAATCAATTCATGAGGCCGGAAGCCTCATAATCCAATCATATTAAAGAGGCCCCACCTCTCACCACCTTTCAATACTGCCACATTGGGGATAAAGTTTCTTTTTTATTTATTTATTTATTTTATTGGGGATAAAGTTTCAACATGGATTTATGGAGGTGACATTCAAACCATATCACAGCACCATGAGAATTTAAGCTTTTTCAAAGGAAAAAATGTTATGTTTTCTTATTTTTTTTTTACCGTTGTATTGCCAGGGCATAGAATAATGCTTCACGTAAAGAAGGCAATCAACAGATTTTTGTTAACTAAATACTATGGAATGAACTAATAAAACACAAGAAAAAATTCCCAAAGTTTTACAGTGTTTTGTTTTTGGAAAACACATCAGTCTATATTAAATAAAGCAATTGAGTATTTTATGATCATAAACATAGGACATAATATCATTGAGTAAAAAACTAAGAATGAGAATAAAAGAATTAGGAAAACTGGCAATATTTTTTAAACATAATGCAAAATATTTATTATAAAGAAGCTGAGGTTATCCATCATACTTTCTGATTCACCAAGATTGTGGAAAGAGAGTCACCTGTTCTGGTAAAAAAAATAAAAAAAAAAATTCTTAAAAAAAATAACCGTGCTGAAAAATAATTTCTAGAGTGCAGCTGTGCATGTTAACATGCCCTTGAAGCACTTACTTGACTGTTGGACGACTGGATTTCAGGAGGCTTGCTTGAAGTCCAGCATGTTTTTAGCCTGGCTTTGGCATAAGATAAAAAACAAGAGCTTTACTCAGGAAAAGCTGACTAAGCTATGCACCTCCTAACTACGCAAAATTGGAAGACTGACTTAACTTTGCTGAGCCTCACTTTCTTATTTATTAAATGGGCCATACTACCTATCCGTGAGAGTTTTGAAAAATAAAGTATCATTTAAAAATCTATGGCTGGGTGCGGTGGCTCATGCCTGTAATTCCAACACTGGGAGGCCGACGTGGGTGGATCACGAGGTCAAGAGATCAAGACCATCCTGGCCAACTTGGTGAAACCCCATCTCTACTAAAAATACAAAAATTAGCTGGGCATACTGGCTCATGCCTGTAGTCCCAGCTACTCAGGAGGCTGAGGCAGGAGAATCACTTGAACCCAGGAGGCGGAGGTTGCAGTGAGCTGAAATCGTGCCACTGCACTCCAGCCTGGGTGACAAACAGCAAGACTCTGTCGCAAAAAACTAAATACATAAATATCGGTCCTAGTTGAGACTCTGTCTCAAAAAATAAACAAACAAACAAAACCTAAATTTAGTAGGTGTTCATTAAACGACAGCCATTATGATTAGTTTTACATGATTATTTCATTGCTCACGATTATACACATGACTGGTTTCGGAGTATGCAGTATTATTCCCTTAATGGATCTGCATCTGTTATAATTAAGAAATGTTAGTTATCTAGCTACCAACACATACAAGTTATTTCATGAATAAGGACTGTTACCACTGTGGGGGAAGGCAGTTTTAAGTTTATGTCACAAGGTGACAACTTGAACAAAGTAATTCTCCTTGTGTCTAGGGATGTGGTATAAGATTTTCAAAAGGACAATTCTGTCTTGCTAAAACTTTTGAGAGTCTATTGACAGATTGGCAAAGTTAGTGATCAGAGTTTCCTACTTTGTATTTGAATTGAGATGCAGTTTAATTTAAATGTCATCCAAAATAAATTTTTTTTTTTTTGAGACAGAGTCTCACTCTGTTGCTCAGGCCGGAGTGCAGTGGTGCGATCTCGGCTCACTGCGACCTCTGCCTCCCTGGCTCAAGCGATTCTCCTGCCTCAGCCTCCCGAGTAGCTGGAATTATAGGCGCCCACCACCACGCCCAGCTAATTTTTGTATTTTTAGTAGAGATTGGGTTTCACCATGTGGGCCAGGCTGGTCTCCAACTCCTGACCTCAGGTGATCTGCCTGACTCGGCTTCCCAACAAAATAAATTCTTAAAAAGAGAACGACTTGCAATGATCCTATTTTGGCACATTATAATTACATCTTTCATATTACTCCTTCATTTCGATCTTCTCTCAGGTAGAAAAGTATAATTTATAAGTTTTCTGTCTTTTAAACAAAGACACAGTAATCACAAAGGGGGAAAAAATTTGAATCAAGGAATTAGCCAACTTACACCCCAAATAAACCTTATTTTTACTTTGTCAGACTACTGTCTTACTGCTCCCTTCACAGTAGCTCTCAGAGCAACAGTGTAAATGCAAAATAGGGTGTCGTCAAAGAGTGTGGGGTCCTGCTTAGAGTCTTTTACCACATGAGATATAGTGCCATCAAATGCCACGATCTTGCAGAAAAAGTCAACACAATCTGTTCCTGAAACATGCATCTTTTACAACCAAAACCACAGAGGGTATACGTGGTAAACAACCTAATTCTAATGGGGCAAAATGAAGATTTGGGGACAAACACCAGAATAAGCTGTCTTCAGTACTGGTCAGCAGGTTATTTTTATCCTAATTCAAAAAATTTAATTCACTTAACATTGACTGAGTTTGTCATGTACCAGGCAATATGCTAAGTAGGTGCATAGGGAGGATTTGGATAGGACACAGGTGGGCAGGGCTTGACCCTGGTTATCAAGAGACTTGCAGTCTGTTAAAAGATAGAAGCTTATCTTTTGGTTAACCGCTAAACATATTTGGCATATTCCAAGTTGTGTGTTATGCATTTATTCATAAAGTAACTAATCAGACTTTCAAAACAACACCAAGGAGTGGTTACTGCCCACGTTTTGTTTATGAGAAGATTGAGGACCCTGTGGCTAAAGCTTGATGCCACAGGTAACAGATCTAGTAAATGACAGAGCTGGAGTGTGCGTCCTGACCTTCACATTCTAAGTCCAAAAGCTATTTCCACTTTACCACACTTTCCTCCTTATATTTCATGTGTGAAGTGCTATAGGAGAATGATAACGCAATCTAAGAGTTTAAATAAGCCAATCTTTAATCAGAAGTTTTGCCCATCCTTCCTGGGAGAGTTATTTCAACTAGAACTTGTCGGGTAGGCATAATTTCAATAAACAGATGTGAGATGGAACAGAGGGGAGAAAACAGGCCTGTCAACTTGGGAATATCGAAAATGACAGCCGACTTTCGAGCGCAGAGACCCGTAAGGATGATGCCACCATTAACCATCATGGGAAACTCAACCAGGATAAGGCATAAAGCACTTGATATTTGTCAGGACTGCAGGATACCTGCTCCTCTATTTAAAAGATTAAATAATTCAAAGTCCCGTATTATCACATTTGTGCTAGACCCTACGGTATGGAGCTGGGAAAGAGATGAATAAATAGAACTTGCCTTTTACCTTTTAATTGTGTCTCTATCTTATTTATTAACTTTCAAAAGTAATGCATGCTTACTGTTTTTGAAAAAATAAACCTTACAAGATAAGAAAGTTTCAAAAAATTACATTCCTCGACCCCACGTCTACAGCGCAAACGTAATCAAATAGCCTAGTATGCACTCCTGCACTTCATTCGCCACCTCTTACAAACACATGCCAAAATACACACACACACATATGTAAACATTGAAAATCAATTGCATTGAGTTATACTTTATGTACAATAGAATGGAACTATTTAAGTGTACAGTTTGTCATTTTAACAAATTTTTACACCCATGCATTCACGCTGACAATCAAGATATAGAATATTTTCTCTACCTTAAAAATATTTTTGTGGCCCTTTGCTAGAAGTCCTCGCTATTTTCAGCCATATCATTGATCTATTTTTTCCAATAGATTAGTTTTACTTCTTGTACAATCTCATAAATAGGATTATACTACTTGTATACTTTTTTCCTCTGGCTTCTTTTACTTAGCATAATGTGTTTGATATCCATCTATATGTTGTATATAACAGTAGTTCGTTCCTTTGGATTCCTGAGTTGCACTCTATTGTATGAATATACCCCGATGATCCATTACCAGTTGATGGGCATTTGAGTTTATTCTAGATTATTAGCTATTGCAAATGAAATTCCTTGGAACATACATGTGCATGTATAGATGTTGCGGTATATTTTCATTTATGTTGGTGAGCCATAAAGTGAATGTATGTTTATTTTAATTTAAAATGCTAAACTTTTCTGAAAGCTATTATAAATTTTTACTTTCTCACCAGCAATTTATGAGCATTCTGGTTTGCTGCATATCCTCACCAATACTTGTAATTTTCTATCATTTGCCAGTTAGCAATACTACCAGGTGTGAAATAGTATCTCATTGCAAGTATAATGTGTATTTCTTCGATGATTAAAGACTGATAATTACACTTAATGTGTGCCTTGGCCATCTGCGTATCTTCTTTTGTGAAGTCACAAGTGTTTTCTCAGATAAGTGTATTGTGAATATTTTCTCCCAATGTGCCATTTCATTTTCTTAATAGTGACTTCTCAAAAGCAGGAACTTTTAATACTGATAAACCTAGTTTAACATTTTTATTTTCTTGTAGAGTTCACAATGTTGGTGTCCCACATTAGAAATCTTTGCCCTTTACAATGTCATAAACATTTATATTTCCTTCTAGGTCTATTTTTGGACCATCTCTTATCTTCCACTAATTTGTCTATCCTTATGTTAATACCATGCTGTCCTGATTATTTTAGCTTCATATTAAATCTTCAAATCATGTTGTTCATGTCCTGAAACTTTTCTTTTTTTCAGAATAATTTTGAATCGTTAAGTTCTTTTTATTTCCATATGAATTTTTTTATCTCAGTTTCTCAATTTCGATTAAAAAAAAGAACCTGCTGACATCTTAATAGATTGTATTGATCAATTTTAAAAAAACTTACATATTAACAATATTGACTTTTTCAATCCATGAACACAGTATAGCTGTCTATGTATTTAGTATTCATAAGTTTATTTCAGCAGTGTTTAATAATTTTACATGTACAGGTCTTACAAGCACATTTTAGTATATTTACCCATATATATATTTCATACTGTTACAAATGGCATTTTAAATTTTTTAATTTCTAATTCTCCATGCCTAGGATACAGGAATACATCTAATCTTATACACGGTGGCCTTTTGTCCTGTCATGTTGGTAAATTTACTTACCAGTTCTAGTAATTTTTTAAAAAGATAATTTAGGATAATCTATCTATCTATCTATCTATCTATCTATCTATCTATCTGTCTATCTAGAGAGATGTATTCTGTGAATACAGTTTTAATGTTCCTTTCAAAGCTGTATATATCTTACTTGTTTTCTCTTAACCAGAAGGAATTCAGTGTTAAATCATGAGCATGATGTTAGTTTGTTAGTTGGAGTAGTTTTTTCACAGATACAAGTTATCTGACTGAGAGTTTACTTTTCTACCCAGTTTTCTGAGAATTTTTATCATGAATATATAGTGAATTTTCTCACAAGCTTTTGCTGCATTTATTGAGATTTTTTTCTTCCTTCATTGGTTAATGAAGTACAAAGTTTGTTTTTCAAATGATAAATCAATCTCACATTACTGAGATAAAAAACATTTTGACAAGATGGATTATTCAGTTTGGAGATATTTTGAAGGACTTTTGTATTTGTGCTCATAAGGGAAGTTGTATTGTGATTTTCTTATCTAGTTAGGTTTCTGTTTAGATTGTGTATCACGGTGTATTCGTTTCCTATTGCTGCTTTGAAAAATTACCACAAACTCAATGGCTTAAACCAGTAAAATTACATTATTTTACAGTTCTGGAAGTCAGAAATCTAAAATGTGCCTTATAGGGCTAAAGGAGAGGTATCTGAAGGACTGCACTCCTCTGGAGGCTTTAGTGGGGAAGCCTTTTATGGGAGAAAGCTTTTTACAGATTCTAAAGATTGTCTGCAATTTTTGGCTTGTGGTCCTCTTCCAGCAATTACATCACTCCGCTCTCTGCTTCAGTTATCAAATCTCTTCTGACTCTCCTGCTTCCCTTTTCCCTTTAAAATAACCCTTATGATTACAGCGACCCCACAATCCAGGATAAATATTCCATTATAAGCATCTTAACTAATCACATCAGAAAAATTATTTTGATGTGTAAGGTAACATAGTCACAGGTTCTGGAGGTTAGGGCTTCGAAATTTTTGTGGAAGAAGCAAGCATTATTCTTCATACCACACTGATTGATGCTAGCTGATATGGTTTGGCTGTGTCCCCACCCAAATCTCATCCTGAAGTTCCATGTATTGTGGGAGGGACCTGGTGGGAGGTAACTGAATCATGGGAGCAGGTATTTCCTGTGCTCTTCTTTTGACAGTGAATAAGTCTCATGACATCTCTGATGGTTTTCTTTTTTATTTTTTTGACAGAGTCTCACTCTGTCGCCCAGGCTGGGGCGCAGTGGCGCAATCTCGGGTCACTGCAACCTCCGCCTTCCGGGTTCAAGCGATTCTCCTGCCTCAGCCTCCCTAGTAGCTGGAATTACAGGAACCCACCACCATGCCTGCCTAATTTTTATATTTTTAATAGAGACGGGGTTTCACTATGTTGGCCAGGCTGGTCTCAAACTCCTGACTTTAGGTCGTCCACCCGCCTTGGCCTCCCAAAGTGCTGGGATTATAGGCATGAGCCATGGTGCACCCGGCCTTGCTGATAGTTTTATAAGGTGGAGTTCCCCTGCACAAGCTCTCTCTTTGCCTGTTGCCATCTACGTTAAGATGTGACTTGCTCCTCCTTCCCTTCTGCAATGATTGTGAGGCCTCCCCAGCCATGTGGAACTGGAAGTTCATTAAACCCCTTTCCCTTTTGTAAATTGACCAGTCTCGGGTATGGGATTTTTTTTTTTTTTTTTTTGAGACTAAGTCTTGCTCTGAGGCCCAGGATGATGTCAGCTCACTGCAACCTCTGCGTCCCGGGACGAAGTGATTCTCCTGTCTCAGCCTCCCAAGTAGATGTGATTATAGGTGTGCACCAACACACCCAGCTGTTTTTTGTATTTTTAGTAGAGATGGGGTTTCACCATATTGGCCAGGCTGCTCTCGAACTCCTGACCTCAAGTGATCCACCTGCCTTGGCCTCCCAAAGTGCTGGGATTACAGGTGTGAGCCAAGCACCCAATCCAGGTATGTCTTTATTAGCAGTATGAAAATAAACTAATATAGTAAATTAGTACCAGTAGAGTGAGGTGCTGCTGAAAAGATACCCAAAAATGTGGAAGCTACTTTTGAACTGGGTAACAGGCAGAGGTTGGAACAGTTTGGAGGGCTCAGAAGAAGACAGGAAAATGTGGGAAAGTTTGGAACTTCCTAGAGACTTGTTGAATGGCTTTGCCCAAAATGCGGATGGTGAGATGGATGATAAAGTCCAGGCTGAGGTGGTCTCAGATGGATATGAGGAATTTGTTGGGAACTGGAGCAAAGGTGACTCTTGTTATGTTTTAGCAAAAAGGCGGCAGCATTTTGTTCCTGCCATAGAGATCTGTAGAACTCTGAACTTTATTGGGGGAACCCACCCCCAATATTTCCACGTAGGTTCTTCCTATTTTCCGTAAGTGTCGACCAGCTGAGAAATAAAGAGAAAGAGTACAAGAGAGGAATTTTACAGTTGGGCCGCCAGGGGTGACATCACATACCGGTAGGACCGTGATGCCCACCTGAGCCTCAAACCAGCAAGTTTTTTTATTAAGGATTTCAAAAGGGGAGGGGGTGTAAAACAGAGAGTAGGTACAAAGATCACATGATTCAAAAGGCAAAAAGTAGAACTACTAATAAGGGTCTAACAAAGATCACATGCTTCTGAGGGAACAGGACAAAGGGAAAAAGCAGAACCACTGATAAGGGTCCAACAAAGATCACAAGGCAAATGGCAAAAGCAGAACCACTGATGAGGGTCTATGTTCAGCGGTGCACGTACTGTCTTGATAAACATCTTAAACAAAAGAAAACAGGGTTCCAGAGCAGAGAACTGGTCTGACCACAAATTTACCAGGGTGGAGTTTTTTCCCCACCCTAGTAAGCCCGAGGGTACTGCAGGAGACCAGGACGAATCTCAGTCCTTAGCTCAACTGCATAAGACAGACATTCCCAGAGCGGCCGATTATAGACCTTCCCCCAGGAATGCATTCCTTTCCCAGGGTATTCATATTAATATTCCTTGCTAGGAAAAGAATTTAGCGATCTCTCCCCTACTTGCACGTCCATTTATAGGCTCTCTGCAAGAAGAAAAATATGGCTCTTTTTGCCCGACCACACAGGCAGTCAGACCTTATGGTTGTCTTCCCTTGTTCCCTAAAAATCACTGTTAATCTGTTCTTTTTTAAGGTGCACTGATTTCATATTGTTCAAACACACATGTTTTACAATCAATTTCTACAGTTAACACAACTATCACAGTGGTCCTGAGGTGACGTACATCCTCAACTTATGAAGATAACAGGATTAAGAGACTAAAGTAAGACAGCTTTTGAAATTATAAAAGTATTATTTGGGAACTGATGAATGTCCATGAAATCTTCACAATTTATGTTCCTCTGCCAGAGCTCCAGCCAGTCCCTCCATGCGGGGTCCCTGACTTCCTGCAAAAGAACCTGAGGGAGATGATTTAGGGTATCTGGCAGAAGAAATTTCTAAGCAGCAAAGCATTCAAGAGGTGACTTGGGTGCTGTTAAAGGCATTCAGTTTTATAAGGGAAGCGGAGCATACAACTTTGGAAAATTTTCAGCCTGACAATGGGACAGAAAATAAAATCCCAGCCAGGCACGGTGGCTCACACCTGTAATCCCAGCACTTTGGGAGGCCGAGGCAGTCGGATCACAAGGTCAGGCATTTGAGACCAGCCTGGCCAACATAGTGAAACCCCATCTCCACTAAAAATACAAAAAAATTAGTTGGGTGTGGTGGCACACGCCTGTAGTCCCAGCAACTCGGGAGGGTGAGGTGGGAGAATTGCTTGAAACTGGGAGGTGCAGATTGCAGTGAGCCGAGACCACGCCATTGCACTCCAGCCTGGGTGACAGAGTAAGACGCCACCTCAAAAAAAAAAAAAAAAAGAAAGAAAAAAAAAGAAAAGAAAAGAAAATCCCATTGGCTTAGGAGAAATTCAAGGCAGCTGCAGAAATTTGCATAAATAACAAGGAGCCGAATGTTAACCCCCAAGACAATGGGTAAAATGTCTCCAGGGCACGTCAGAGGTCTTCACGGCAGCCACTCTCATCATAGGCCTGGAGGCCTAGGAGGAAAACACGGTTTTATGGGCTGGGCCCAGGATCCCCTGGTGTGTGCAGCCTAGGTATTTGGTGGCCTGTGCCCCAGCTGCTCCACCTGTGGCTGAAAAGGGCCAACACAGAGCTCAGGCCGTGGCTTCAGAGGGTGCAAGCCCCAAGCCTTGGCAGTTTCCACATGCACTTGAGCCTGCAGGTGCACAGAAGTCAAGAATTGAGGTTTGGAAACCTACGCCTAGATTTCAGAAGATGTATGGAAATGCTTGGATGCCCGGGTAGAAGTTTGCTGGAGGGACAGGGCCCTCATGGAGAACCTCTTCTAGGGCAGTGCAGAAGGGAAACGTGGGGTCACGACCCTCACACAGGGTCTCTACTGAAGCACCACCTAGGGATAGCTGGGAAAAGAGGGCCACTGTCCTCCAGACCCCAGAATGGTAGCTCCTCCGACCACTTGCACCATATACCT
This sequence comes from Homo sapiens, assembly GCF_000001405.40. Classification (NCBI taxonomy): domain Eukaryota; kingdom Metazoa; phylum Chordata; class Mammalia; order Primates; family Hominidae; genus Homo; species Homo sapiens. The sequence goes on from NC_000023.11 coordinate 141,033,747, forward strand.
GGAAAAACAGCAGACACTCAACACCAGCCCATGAGAGCAGCCAGGAGGGAGGCTGTACCCTGCAAAGCCACAGGAATGAAGCTGCCTAAGACCATGGCAACCTACCTCTTCTATCAGTGTGACCTGGATGTGAGACATGGAGTCAAAGGAGATAATTCTGGAATTTTAAAATTTGACTGCCCCGCTGGATTTCAGACTTGCATGGTACCTGTAGCCCCTTAGTTTTGTCTAATGTCTCCCACTTGGAATGGCTGTATCTACTCAATGCCTGTACCCTCATTGTATCTAGGAAGTAACGAACTTCCTTTTGATTTTACAGGCTTATAGGCACAAAGGACTTGCCTTGTCTCAGATGAGACTTTGAACTTTTGACTGTGGACTTTTGAGTTAATGCTGAAATGAGATAAGACTTTGGGGGACTGTTTGGAAGGCATGATTGGTTTTGAAATGTGAGGAGGACATGAGATTTGAGAGGGTCCAGGGACACAATGATATGGTTTGGCTGTGTCCCCACACAAATCTCATGTTTAATTCTTATGTGATGTTGGAGGGACCTGGTGGGAGGTAACTGAATCACAGGGACAGGTCTTTCCCATGCTGTTCTCATGATAGTGAATAAGTATCATGAGATCTGATGGTTTCATAAGGGGGAGTTGCCCTGTACAAGCTCTCTCCTTACCTGCCATCATCCACGTAACATGTGACTCTCCCCTCCTTGCCTTCTGCCATAATTGTGAGACCTCCCCAGCCACATGGAACCGTAAGGCCATTAAACCTCTTTCTTTTGGAAATTGCCCACTCTTGGGTATGTCTTTACTAGCAGTGTGAAAATGACTAATACACCAGCCTTATGAAATAAAATTAGAACTGTTTCCCCAAACCTTTTTTTCTTTTTTCTTAGTTCTTTTTTGGTTGTAAGAGACAGCATCTCAGTATATCTCCAAGGTTGCTCTTGAACTCCTGGGCTCAAGCAATCCTCCTGCCTCAGCCCCCAAGTTGCTAGGACTATAGGCATATGTCACCACCCCTGGTTCCCTGACCTTTCGTTTCTGAAATAATTCACATATGATTTTTGCATGACTTCTATTTTAACATTTGATAAGATCACCAGTATAGTTACCTTGTCTTGGAGTTTTCTTTGTGGCAACGGGATTCATTTTGAACTCAATTACTTTCATGTGAATATGGATCCTCAGCGTTCATGTTTGGGATTGTAGTTGTTTGCAAAGTTGTGTCTATCAAAGCAGTTGTCCCTTCAATCTACGTTACAAATGTATTGTCATAATCTTGTTTGGAATGTGTTTAAATATTTTAATGACTACAGGATATATAGTCACATTCTCCTTTGCACTCCTTATATTTATAATTTGTGTCTTCTATATTTTTCTCCTGATCATTGAAAAAAAATTCTTCTAAACTTACACGACATAATCATGATCTCAAGCCCCTTCAATTTGTGTAGCTCCAAAACTTGTATAGTACCCATCATTTTCCTTCAATCTGAAAAACTTCCTTTAACATTTCTGATGTTTCAGGACTGCTGGTATAAAATTATCTCTGCTTTTGATTTGTGTTTCTGAAAATGTCTATATCTTAACTCCAAAATTTTTTTATTTGATACAGAAATCTACATTGATAGCTGGATTTGTTTAATGCTTTACAAGTTTCGTTAAAGAGTTTTCTGGCTTTATAATTTCTGACAAGAAGTCTGTAATAATTCTTTTTATTCCTCTACATGTAACACATCTTTCTTTGTTCTGTTTTTAACTTCATTTGCCATCTCCTGTTTTATAAATTTTACTATGATACATTTGGTTTGGTTTTCTTTGTGTTTACTCTCCTGTGTTTTATTGAACTCCTTGGTTCTATGAATTTAGCTTTTAACCACATTTACGAAATGTCCATTATGTCCATATATATATGTATATATACACACACACATACACTTTAGATGGAGTCTCGCTCTGTTGCCCAGGCTGGAGTGTATTGGTGCAATCCCGGCTCACTGCAACCTCCGCCTCCTGGGTTCAAGTGATTCTCCTGCCTCAGCCTCCCCAGTAGCAGGGACTACAGGTGTGTGCCACCATGCCTGGCTACTTTTTTGTACTTTTAGTAGAGATGGGGTTTCACCGTGTTAGCCAGGATGGTCTTGATCTCCTGACCTTGTGATCCATCCACCCTGACCTCCCAAAGTGTGAGCCAACACACCTCGCCTCCAATAATTTTTCTAATCTTGTCTCTCTTTTCATTCTTGATCTTTTAATATACATATACAGAATCATGTAGTATTATTCTACTGGTCACTAGTGCTTTTGTTAATTTTTTTTTTTTTTTTTTTTTGAAATGGAGTCTCGCTCTATCACCAGGCTGGACTGCAGTGGTGTGATCTCGGCTCGCTCCAACCTCCGCCTCCCGGGTTCAAGCAATTCTCCTGCCTCAGCCTCCCGAGGAGCTGGGACTACAGGCACGCACCACCACGGCCAGCTAATTTTTGTATTTTTAGTAGAGATGGGGTTTCACCATGTTGGCCAGGATGGTCTCGATCTCTTGACCGCGTCATCTGCCCGCCTCAGCCTCCCCAAGTGCTGGGATTATGTGCGTGAGCCACCGTGCCTGGCCTGTTAATATTTAATAAACATTTCAGAATAGTTTCAGATTTACTGCAAAGACATGAATATAGTATAGTAACTTCCCACATAAGAAAATCTCATACCTCGTTTTTTTATTATTAACATCTTACACTAGTATAGTGCATTTCCCAATACTAATAGCCAATATTCATACAATATTATTAACTAAAGTCCTTGTATTACTCAGTATGCCTTAGGTTTTACCTGTTGCTGCTTTCTGATCCTGTGCAAGATACCATATTACATCTACTCCTCAAGTCTCCTTAGGCTCCTCTTGGCTGTGACAGCTTTTCAGATTGTCCTTACTTTTTATGACCCTGACAGAGCTTTGAGAGGTACTAGTGAGGTGTTTTATAGAGCATCCTTCAGTTGGGATATGTCTGGTGATACTCGTATTATTAGACTAACATTATGAGATTTGGGGCAGAATCTCACAGAGGCAAACTATTTTCCTTGTCATATTATATCAGGGTTACATGATATCGCATGACAAACTGCTGAGGATATTAGGCTTAATCACGTCGTCAAACCAGCGTATGACAGGTTTCTCCACTGTAAAGGTACTCCTTGTTTTCCATACATTGCTTTTTCAAAGCAAATCATTAAGTGAAGCCAATACTAAAAAGAGAGGGGGATTAAACACCACTTGTTGGATTAGGGAGTATCAACATAAAATATCTGAAATTCTTCTATATGGATTTCTCTATTCTCCATTATTTGTTTTTTTTCCAATAATTAATTTATATCACTATAAAATCCCAGATACTTATTGTATGCTTTGGAATAAAATTTAATATTGCCTCATTAATTTTCTTCCTCAAATTATTTCAACTTTGGCCATTGTGTGCTCTTTCAGTTGGCTCCTGTGTCCTTTTGATATGCTCTCATTTTTCTGTTTTTAAAAATTTCTTTACTTTCTGGTACCGTAAGAAGCTTCAGGCTCATCTTATGTACTGCCTGCCCTAGTTCTAGAAACAGCCATTTCTTCAGGCATTCCTATTTTGTTTTTCTCTTTAATTAGATAATCATATTAGAAACCTAGACCTGGGTCCTAGCTTTGTTGGTTGTCAATGGGTTGCCATTGTTTTTAGGCTCTCGCAGTTGACAAAGCAAGAAAACATAGGTATGTGTACTAGGCTGTGTATATCAGCCTATCTATAAATATTTCTGTATGTATGCTACGTTAAACATGACTTTATATTGATGTCTTCAGCTCTAATCCATTACTACATGCATCATTCTAGTTTTCTGCCTCATTTGTCTACAACCTTTCATTCTAACTGTGAGAAACTAGGCTCCCACAGTCCATCATTTATTTGCTCACTTGGTTAGCTGCAGTGTCAATGTATACTGGTTTCAGAATTGTTAACCCATGTTCCCATGGGAAGCAATGTTATACTACAGAATGCAGTGTTTATGTGAGCTCCTTTTACATTTAATCTCCTAAGCTCATTTCCACCTTTTCTCCTAACCTCCCCGGTAAGATGATTTAATAGATTTGTAAATCAGTCATATTCTATTGTCACAGTCTGAATTTTCTATCTTTGCTTCAGTTTAAGTAATTCCCATATCTTTTATTTTGCAGTGTCTACTGTGATAGTAATTACACACACTTCGCTTTCAGTATCAGATGGCATATGTTTCAGCTCAAAAATTCCATGTTTTGTCTTCCATTACTCTCATTACAGTATTTTAATAACTATTTTAGGCTGGGCCTGGTGGCTCACGCCTGTAATCCAGCACTTTGAGAGGCCAAGGCAGGTGGATCACCAGAGGTCAAGAGTTGGAGACCAGCCTGCCCAACATGGCGAAACCCCGTCTCTACTAAAACTACAAAAAAATAGCTGGCCTGGTAGCAGGCACCTGCAATCCCAGCTACTTGGGAGACTGAGACAGGAGACTAGCTTGAACCCGGGAGGCAGAGGTTGCAGTGAGCCGAGATCGGGCCACTGTAGTCCAGCCTGGGTGACCAGAGTGAAACTCCATCTCAAAAACAAAAACAAAAACAAAAAAAAACTATTTTAAAGCTTTGCCAGCCAATCTAATTATCTCTGATTTCCTCCAGGTTATGGGTCACAATTTGCTGTTGCGCTGCTTGTTTTTTTGTTTGTTTGTTTGTTTGTTTTGTTTCGTTGCTGTTGTTGCTAGGCAATAAACTGAAGATCAGCTTAATCTTTTTGGATACTAATTTTAAAGTTCGTTTATTAAGTGTCACTAGGCTATACCTAGAATAGCCTTTACTCTTGGGATACTTTAGCCTTCTGGTGCCTACTGAGTGCTTAGAGCATTAAGTGGCGTTTCTCTATTTCACTGGTGGGGTATTAAAGATGTTTCAGTCCTATGTGGTAGGAAATTTTGAAAAGCAGTCTTTGACAGCCAGCAACTGGTCAGACACTCATAGCTAGGCCTCAGTGCTATTAGAAGCTGGGCTGCCACTCACAGCTAAGCCATATTATTCTCTTGGTGAAGACGGACAATTTCACAGAACACCAATTTCAGACCATGATAAAGTAAGATAAAATAAGGTCATCTCATAATTTTGTCTGAGGACAGACACAAATAAGATCGCTGTGCAATGCAAAAACTGCAAAATATCCCACTTACCTGCTAATTTGAGTGACTGCTACTTGTTTTCCCAATTACAGCTTTATATTTGTTCTAGCCTGCCCTCCTTTTATACAAATTCTACTCAGATACCCAGTTGTAGAATTGCTCCCGTTTCCTGACAGCAGTTAATCTAGACAAAACTCCCTCTTCCTCAGACCCTTTACCAAATTACCCAGCCAAAGCCCAAATCCTATAAGAAGTTCTTTCTAAGACTCTATATCTGAGTTGTCAGGTACTTACACAACTTTTCCTGCCAATATAAACAACCAGAAAACATATTGGAAACAACTTATTTTCTAATCTAGACAAAGGGCAGTGCGGGATTATGATCACTAAAAGAAGGAAAACAAACGAGATGGTGTTTATTCTCCTTCACCGCAACGAGTGAGTAATAAACCCAAATTCTTAAACAACAACTGTGTTCTTGTAGGGCAGTGACAGTGAGCTCTGAAAAATTTTCAGTTGATGATTCCCAGGCACTCGTTCTTTCTCTTGCCTCACGGGACTCACCCTGCAAATGTGTTGATTAGTAGTGAAGGATTCAAAGGGCCCACAGAAAGATTTCTGGAGCTTTTTTTCTGCATAGCTCCCTCCTCTCTCTATTATTCTGCTATAAAATTCCAATTCATTTCAAATACCTAAATTCTGATTTCTATCTTTTCAATTTCGTGAAACAAAAGTCTCTCTTACTTGAATTCTTTCTGTGTCATCGTTCTAAAATTCCTTCCTGATAGGAAGCTGGAGTGATTGTAGAGCTCACCTCTTTGTTTCTCTTAGTGAACACAGTGCTATACTGCCCATTATCCTGATTAATGAAAACATCTGTTTCAAATATTTGTTCTCATTTTCTGGTTGTTCACGTTGGGAGAGAACATGGACAGAAGTGGAAGTTAGTAAACAATAATGTATTACATAGCTTCGAACAACTCAAAAGAGGTCATTGAACGTTCCTAACATAAATAAATGATAAATGTTGGAGATGATGGATATGCTAATTACCCGAATCTGATCACTACACATTGTACATATCAAAGCATCACTATGTACTGCATAAATATGTACAGGTATTATTTATCAATTACAAAAATTAATTTAAAAATTTAATCATACCATATATATTTCTTTGCTATTTTCAATCCCCACCTCACCCCTTTGTAAACATATCAAAGATATACTATAGATGAAATTCTACTTTACTTTATTTAATATCTGGTTAATATTTTAGAGGTTATATTCACTCATATGTATATAATCAACGCATTTTTAATGAACATTTCTTCCAATATATATGTCTGCGCATGTGGTATCTTGTTATCCCTATACATAATGTTGCATTATTTTATTAATTCTTATGTCCATATGCTCAACAAAATTATTGAGATGCTACTATATGCTAGGCACTATGTATTAAAATGGTTATGGCTTCTGTTGCTGTAGCTATGAAATGAAAAGAAAAAAAGCAATGACTTTGGCTACTTCTGAGAAATGTACTTTAATTTTCCCAAGTGGAATTTCTTAACGCTTATCAGAATCCTAGTTTATAGAATCAGGTAGATCCACTTTACATATCTGCAAAATATCTTATTTATTTCTCTCACAAATGCATTTTTAAAGTTTATATGCAAGCTGTGATTGTATAAGTGTAATTTTAAATAACTTTTTTGATGACAAGATTATAATCAGGTGAGTCAAAGCCGCTTGCTACATACATTTCATTTTCTAATATGCTATTTAAGGCAGGGTACTGATGTAACCAATGGGCTAGAGATAGTTTTAGGCAGCAGGTGGTATGTGGTTACATTTTAAAAATGAACAAAAACAGAAGTAAAAATCCTTAAAATGTTTGATTGAAGAAATACAATCATAGAGTTTCTTACTAGTCAATAGCTTCGCACTTTGGGATGAGAACAGGATATCAAGAACCAGAAAAGAGTTATAGCCTTTTCTTCCCTCTTGGTAATTTCTTGTCTGTGCTACCTAAGGAGGGGAGAAGGTAGGCTTACCGGAAGGGTGTATTAGTCCATTCTCATGCTGCTATAAAGGACTGTCTGAGACTGGGTAATTTATAAAGAAAATAGGTTTCATTGACTCACAGTTCTACGTGGCTGGGGAGGTCTCAGGAACCTGACAATCACGGCAGAAGGGGAAGCGAACATTTCCTTCTTCACATGATGGCAGGAAGGAGAAGTGCCCAACAAAAGGGGGAAACGCCTCTTATAAAACCATCAAATATCATGAGAACTCGCTCACTATCAGGAGAACAGCAGCATGGGGGTAACTGGCACTATGATTAAATTACCTCCCACCGGGTCTCTCCGACAACACATGGGGATTATGGCAACTACTACAATTCAAGATGAGATTTCGGTGGGAACTCAGCAAAACCATATCAAAGGGTAACTAAAACCTGTTATTATTGGGAAACATTTTTTTTTCTACCTAGAAAAGGAAGAGCAAAGGCAAAGGTATTTAATGTGAAACTGGTTTTGAATCATGAACAACAATCATAATACAGTGTTTACTGTATTCGAAATGCTACTCTTTATGACTTCTCTTTTCACTCATTATGGTTTTTACTTATTCTAGTAATTAAAAAATCAGGACTTTAGAAAAAAATGGAAAGAAGAATATTTGACTAGAACAATATTAGATTTCCTTTTCGGTTAACTTTTTGCAATCCGATTTCCTTTCTAATTTATTAAATCCTTATTATGTACTGTTTGTTATATATTGGGAGTGAAAATATGTTTTAAAATGAAGGGAGGCAACAAGTAGAGAAGAAATTAGTAAAATCCATTCTTGGCTCAGGCATCTTAAAATACCAAGTCAGCAATACAAATAGGCTTTCATTTTCAAGCATTTACCAAGCTATCCATAGCTTTTTAAGTACTATTATATTTCATCCTAAAGAGGGTTCTATGAGGTTAAGTACTTTCATTATTCCTGATTCACACATGAGGAGATGGAGGCTTAGAGAAGTCAGGTAGCTTGCCTAAGCTTACACAGCTAGTAAAAGGTAAAGCTAAGTTTCAAACCCAGGTCGGTGTGAATACTTCATTTTCATTTTTTTCCTATGATTTTCTACTGTTTTAATTATACAGAGTTCTTTGTAAAGTCCTTAACCTTTTTAGAGGTAATTTTTTTTTCTTATGGTTAGCTTCAATTGGATGTTCATAGGTAAGACATTTTACAAAATATGTATGACTTTTGGCCCTATAACAATGCTTTGACTCCATGACTTTAGAGGATGTCTCCCTAGCCTTCCTGTTTTCTCACAAAGTTAATGAGATGAGGTGGGCAAGGCACATGGTAGGAGCCAGAAGATTCCCCTTAATCTAAGCGCTGCCTCCGATTGCCCTGGTGCTCTTGGTTGATATTTGACTTTACTCTGCCGAGGGGCAAGGAAGAAGCACTTATTACACAAAGATAAATGATCAGATGTTTCTCAAAGTCTGACTTTGGATCATTTCCAGACTTCTGAAGAGGTTTATTTATTCTGACTATTTTTGCCAGTGTTCTTACCGCTTTTATGAGGAAATGATTTCAAAAGTCCTTGTTTTGCCATTTTACTTAACACAGTTAACAGATTTGTTACTTTTCAAATTTAAAGAAAAAATACTCTCACTTATAAATATTACCATAACAATGTTAAATAAAATATTAGAAATTGAATTATGCAGAGTTTTAAAATAAATAATACACTAGGGCCATGTAATGTTTGATGAGGAAATTAAAATAATCATCCTATATTTGAAAATTAAAAATAGAATCAACCATATTCACGTGACTGTAGTAGGTAGTTTTTTAAATGTCCTCCAGTGGTCCCTATCTCTTAGTATTTATGCCCTTGCGTAATCCCCTTCTGCGATAGTTAATTTAAAGGTCAACTTGACTCGGTTAAGGGATGCCCAGAAAGCTGGTAAAACTTTATTTCTGAGTATGTCTGTGAGGGTGTTTCCTGAAGTGATTAGTATTTCAATCAGTAGACTGAGTAAAGAAGATCTTCACTCACCAATGTGGGTAGACATCATTTAATATGTTGAGAGATAAAACAGAATCAAAAGGCAGAGGAATGGAGAATTCTTTCTGCTTGAGCTGAAACATCCATCTTCTCCTACCCTTAGAAGTTGGAGCTCCTTGTTCTTGGGCCTTTAGACTCAGACTAAATTACACCACTGGCTTTCCTGGTTCTCCAACTTTCGGACATCAGATGGTGAAACTTAGGCTTCACAAATGCATGAGTAAGTTCCCATTCTCCGTCTCCCTCTCTCTCTCCCTCTCCCTCCCTCTCCCTCCCTCTCTCTCTCTCTCTCTCTCTCTTTCTCTTTCTCTCTCTCAATCTCTGTCTGTCCATCCATCCTACTGGTTCTGTTTCTCTGGAGAACCCTGACTAATTACAAGTCTCTTTCTGTGTGAGCTGAACCCATGGATTTCCTTCTAATAAGTAGAATAAGGCATGAGTGACGGCGTATCAGTTGCAAATGACATGACAAAAGACTTTGCCTGTTATGTTACTGGTACTCTTACTGACACTCTATTTTGCCCTCTCACCTGCACGTACTGATGAAACCAGCTGCCTTGATGTATGCTGAACAATGGAAAAACCCACTTCCCAACAAGCACAGAATTATTTCCTCCCCCAGCTCATCCATAAAATGACTGCAACCTTGACTGGATCCTGTCAAAATCCCTGAGTCAGAGGAACCACATAAGCCACATGCAGATTGTTGACCTACAGAAACTGTTAAGGTAATTCAGGTTTTTCTTTTAAGCCTAAATATTAGAGTAATTGTTTACACAGTGATATATAATGCAATGATAACTGGAAAATTATATAATGATATTTACTGCTGTCATCACTGCATTGAGTTTTAACTGAAAGAACATAGTAAATTAAGACTAGGATACATACTTCCTCAATGACAATGACAATCCCAAATCAACAGCTGAAACTATATTTAAAAGTAAACTCTATAGGATCCTCAATTGACATCAGGACATGAATTATTCAAGGTACTGGGTGAAATAGAATACCATTTGAAAAGAAAAGAATGTCACATCATGCACCGAAAGAAATAAAAATAGGTTAAATAATTTCTGAAAATAAAATTATAAAAGTGGGAAAAGGAAATACTGGTAAATATTCATACAATCTTCAGTTTGGAAACTCTTTTAAATACAACACCAACCAAGGTCAAAAACCTTAAAGAAAAATATTAATATATCTGGCTACACAAAATTGTAAATTTTAGGATGTCATAAAAATACATTAAAATTTTAAAAGAAAATTAATCAATTGTAAAAAATTTGTCGAAAATGCTAGGTGTGAAGGTTCCAAGATGGCCAAATAGGAACAGCTCCAGTCTACAGCTCCCAGCACGAGTGACTCAGAAGACAGGTGATTTCTGCATTTCCAACGGAGATATCGGGTTCATCTCACTGGGGCGTGTCAGACTGTGGGTGCAGCCCATGGAGCATGAGCCCAAGCAGGGCAGGGCATCGCCTCACCCGGGAAGCGCAAGGGGTCGGGGAATTCCCTTTCCTATCCAAGGGATGCCATGACAGACGGTACCTGGAAAACCGGGACACGCTCACCCTAATACTACGCTTTTCCAACAGTCATAGCAAACAGCACACCAGGAGATCATATCCCACGCCTGGCTTGGAGGGTCCCACACCCACGGAGCCTCACTCACTCATAGCACAGTAATCTGAGATCGAACTGCAAGGCAGCAGCGAGGCTAGGGGAAGGGCGTCCACCATTAATGAGGCTTGAGTAGGTAAACAAAGCAGCTGGGAAGCTCGAACTGGGTGGAGCCCACCGCAGCTCAAGGAGGCCTACCTGCCTCTGTAGACTCCACCTCTGGGGGCAGGGCATAGCAGAACAAAAGGCAGCGCAAATTTCTACAGACTTAAAAGTCCCTGTCTGACAGCTTTGAAGAGAGCAGTGGTGCCCCCAGCATGGAATTTGAGATCTGAGAATGGACAGACTGCCTCCTCAAGTGGGTCCCCGACCCCCGAGTAGACTAACTGGGAGGCACCTCCCAGTAGGGGCCAACTGACACCTCATACGGCTGGGTGCCCCTCTAAGACAAAACTTCCAGAGGAAGGATCAGGCGGCAACATTTGCCGTTCTGCAATATTTGGTGTTCTGCGGCCTCGGCTGGTGATACCCAGGCAAACGGGGTCTGGAGTGGACCTCCAGGAAACTCCAACAGACCTGCAGGTCAGGGTCCTGACTGTTAGAAGGAAAACTAACAAACACAAAGGACATCCACACCAAAACCCCATCTGTACGTCACTATCATCAAAGACCAAAGGTAGATAAAACCACAAAGATGGGGAGAAACCAGAGCAGAAAAGCTGAAAATTCTAAAACTCAGAGGGAGCCTCTTCTCCTCCAAAGGAATGCAGCTCTTCGCCAGCAACACAACACGGCTGGACGGAGAATGTGCATGCACAAGCTTCAGTAGCTGATTCGATCAAGTAGAAGAAATGGTGTCAGCGATTGAAGATCAAATGCATGAAAGGAAGCGAGAAGACAACTTTAGAGAAGAAAGAGTAAAAAGAAACGAACAAAGCCTCCAAGAAATATGGGACTATGTGAAAAGACCAAATCTACGTCTGATTGGTGTACCTGAAAGTGACGGGGAGGATGGAACCAAGTTGGAAAACACTCTGCAGGATATTATCCGGGAGAACGTCCCCAACCTAGCAAGGCAGGCCAACATTCAAATTCAGGAAATACAGAGAACGCCACAAAGATACTCCTCGAGAAGAGCAACTCCAAGACACATAATTGTCAGATTCACCAAAGTTGAAATGAAGGAAAAAATATTAAGGGCAGCCAGAGAGAAAGGTCTGCTTACCCACAAAGGGAAGCCCATCAGACTAACAGCGGATCTCTCGGCAGAAACTCTACAAAAGCCAGAAGAGAGTGGGGGCCGATATTCAACATTCTTAAAGAAAAAATTTTCAACGCAGTATCTCATCTCCAGCCAAACTAAGCTTCGTAAGTAAAGGAGAAACAAAATCCTTTACAGACAAGGAAATGCTAAGAGATTTTGTCACCACCAGGCCTCCCTTACAAGAGCTCCTGAAGCAAACACTGAACATGGAAAGGAACGACCGGTACCAGCCACTGCAAAAATATGCCAAGCTGTAAAGACCTTCGAGGCTAGGAAGAAACTGCATCAACTAACGAGCAAAATAACCAGCTAGCATCATAATGACAGGATCAAATTCACACATAACAATATTAACCTTAAATGGAAATGGGCTAAATGCTGCAATTCAAAGACACAGACTGACAAATTGGATGAAGAGTCAAGACCCATCACTGTGCTGTATGCAGAAGACACATCTCACGTGCAGAGACACACATAGGCTCAAAAGAAAGGGATGGAGGAAGATCTACCAAGCAAATGGAAAGCAAAAAAAAAAGCAGCGGTTGCAATCCTAGTCTCTGATAAAACAGACTTTAAACCAACAAAGATCAAAAGAGACAAAGAGGGCCATTACATAACGGGAAAGGGATCAATTCAACAAGAAGAGCTAACTATCCTAAATATATATGCACCCAATACAAGAACACCCAGATTCATAAAGCAAGCCCTTAGAGACCTACAAAGAGACTTAGACTCCCACACAATAATAATGGAAGACTTTAATACCCCACTGTCAACATTAGACAGATCAATGAGACAGAAAGTTAACAAGGATATCCGGGAATTGAACTCAGCTCTGCACCAAGCGGACCGAATAGACATCTACAGAACTCTCCACGCCAAATCAACAGAATATACGTTCTGCTCAGCACCACATCACACTTATTCCAAAATTGACCACATAGTTGGAAGTCAAGCACTCCTAGGCAAACGTAAAACAACAGAAATTATAACAAACTGTCTCTCAGACCACAGTGCAATCAAACTGGAACTCGGGATTGAGAAACTCACTCAAAACCGCTCAACTACATGGAAACTGAACAACCTGCTCCTGAATGACTACTGGGGGTACATAACGAAATGCAGCCAGAAATACAGATGTTCTTTGAAATCAACGAGAACAAAGACACAACATACCAGAATCTCTGGGACACATTCAAAGCAGCGTGTAGAGGAAAATTTATAGCACTAAATGCCCACAAGAGAAAGCAGGAAAGATCTAAAACTGACACCCTAACATCACAATTAAAAGAACTAGAGAAGCAACAGCAAACACATTCAAAAGCTAGCAGAAGGCAAGAAATAACTAAGATCACAACAGAAGTGAAGGAGATAGAGACACCAAAAACCCTTCAACAAATCAATGAATCCAGCACCTGGTTTTCTGAAAAGATCAACACAATTGATAGACCGCTAGCAAGACTAATAAAGAAGGAAAGAGACAAGAATCAAATAGATGCAATCAAAAATGATAAAGGGGATATCACCACTGATCCCACAGAAATGCAAACTACCATCAGAGAATACTATAAACACCTCTACACAAATAAACGAGACAATCTAGAAGAAATGGATAAATTACTGGACATATACAACCTCCTAAGACTAGACCAGGAAGAAGTTGAATACCTAAATAGATGAATAACAGGCTCTGAAATTGAGGCAATAATGAACAGCCTACCAGCTAAAAAAGTCCAGAACCAGACAGACTCACAGCTGAATTCTACCAGAGGTACAAAGAGGAGCTGGTACCATTCCTTCTGAAAATATTCCAATTAACAGAAAAAGAGGGAATCCTCCCTAACTCATTTTATGAGGCCAGCATCATCCTGACACCAAAGCCTGGCAGAGACTCAACAAAAAAAAAGAGAATTTTAGACCAATATGCCTGATGAACATAGATGCAAAAATCCTCAATAAAATATTGGCAAATGGAATCCAGCAGCACATCAAAAAGCTTATCCACCATCATCAAGTTGGCTTCGTCCCTGGGATGCAAGCCTGCTTCAATGTACCCAAATCAATAAACGTAATCCAAAGACAAAAACCACATGATTATCTCAATAGATGCAGAAAAGGCCTTCGACAAAATTCAACAACTCTTCATGCTAAAAACTCTCAATAAACTAGGTATTGATGGGACGTATCTCAAAATAATAAGAGCTATTTATGACAAACCCACAGCCAATATAATACTGAATGGGGAAAACCTGGAAGCATTCCCTTTGAAAACTGGCACAAGACAGGGATGCCCTCTCTCACCACTCCTATTCAACATAGTATTGGAAGTTCTGGCCAGGGCGATCAGGCAGCAGATAGAAATAAAGGGTATTCAATTAGGAAAAGAGGAAGTCAAATTGTCCTTGTTTGCAGAGGACATGATTGTATATTTAGAAAACCCCATCGTCTCGGCCTCCAATCTCCCTAAGCTGATAAGCAACTTCAGCAAAATCTCAGGATACGAAATCAATTTGCAAAAATCACAAGCACGCCTATACACCAATAACAGGCAGAGAGCCAAATCACGAGTGAACTCCCATTCACAACTGCTTCAAAGAGAATAAAATACCTAGAAATCCAACTTACAAGGGATGTGAAGGACCTCTTCAAGGAGAACTACAAACCACTGCTCAATGAAATAAAAGAGGACACAAACAAATGGAAAAACATTACAGGCTCATGGATAGGAAGAATCAACATCGAGAAAACGGCCATACTGCCCAAGGTAATTTATAGATTCAGTGCCATCCCCATCAAGCTACCAATGACCTTCTTCACAGAATTGGAAAAAACTACTTTAAAGTTCACATGGAACCAAAAAAGAGCCCGCATTGCCAAGTCAATCCTAAGTCAAAAGAACAAAGCTGGAGGCATCACGCTACCTGACTTCAAACTATATTACAAGATGACAGTAACCAAAATAGCATGGTACAGGTACCAAAACAGAGATACAGACCAATGGAACAGAACAGAGCCCTCAGAAATAATACCACACATCTACAACCATCTGATCTTTGACAAACCTGACACAAAACAAGAAATGGGGAAAGGATTCCCTATTTAATAAATGGTGCTGGGAAAACTGGCTAGCCATATGGAGAAAGCTGAAACTGCATCCCTTTCTTACACCTAATATGAAAATGAATTCAAGATGGATTAAAGACTTAAATGTTAGACCCAAAAAACCATAAAAACCCTAGAAGAAAACCTAGGCAATACCATTCAGGACATAGGTATGGGCAAGGACTTCATGACTAAAATACCAAAAGCAATGGCAACAAAAGCCAAACTTGACAAATGGGATCTAATTAAACTAAAGAGCTTCTCGTCTGCACAACAGAAGAAACTACCATCAGAGTGAACAGGCAACCTACAGAATGGGAGAAAATTTTTACAATCTACCCGTCTGACAAAGGCCTAATGTCCAGTATCTACAAAGAACTTAAACAAATTTACAAGAAAAAAATCAAACAACCCCATCAAAAAGGGGGCAATGGAGATGAACAGACACTTCTCAAAAGAAGACATTTATGCAGCCAAAAGACACACGAAAAAATGCTCATCATCACTGGCCGTCAGAGAAACGCAAATCAGAACCACAATGAGATACCATCTCACACCAGTTAGCATGGCGATCATTCAAAAGTCAGGGAACAACAGGTGCTAGAGAGGATGTGGAGAAATAGGAACACTTTTACACTGTTGGTGGGACTGTAAACTAGTTCAACCGTTGTGGAAGACAGTGTGGCTATTCCTCAAGGATCTAGAACTAGAAATACCATTTGACCCAGCCATCCCATTACTGGGTACATACCCAAAGGATTATAAATCATGCTATAAAGACACATGCACACGTATGTTTATTGCGGCATTATTCACAATAGCAAAGACTTGGAACCAACCCAAATGTCCATCGATGATAGACTGGATTAAGAAAATGTGGCACATATACACCATGGAATACTATGCAGCCATAAAAAATGATGCGTTCATGTCCTTTGTAGGGACATGAATGAAGCTGGAAACCATCATTCTCAGCAAACTGTTGCAAGAACAGAAAACCAAACACCACATGTTCTCACTCATAGGTGGGAACTGAACAATGAGAACACTTGGACACAGGATGGGGAACATCACACACTGGGGCCTGTCAGCGGGTGGGGAGAGGGGGAAGGGATAGCATTAGCAGATATACCTAATGTAAATGAGGAGTTAATGGGTACAGCACACCAACATGGCACATGTATACATATGTAACACACTTGCACGTTGTGCACATGTACCCTAGAACTTAAAGTATAAGAAAATAATAATAATAATTAGAGGAAGACACAAACACACACACAGAAAAACAAAAAAAACCAAATACTAGTTTGTTAATACCTTCAAAACACATTTCCTGTGGTTTTTTTTTTTTTTTTTTTGAGACGGAGTTTCGCTCCTGTTGCCCAGGCTGGAGTGCAATGGCGCGATCTTGGCTCACCGCAACCTCTGCCTCCCGGGTTCACGTGTTTCTCCTGCCTCAGCCCCGAGTAGCTGGGATTACAGGCATGTGCCACCATGGAAGGCTAATTTTGTATTTTTAGTAGAGACGAGGCTTTTCCATGTTGGTCAGGCTGGTCTCAACTCCTGACCTCAGGTGATCCACCCGCCTCAGCCTCCCAAAGTGCTGGGATTACAGGCGTGAGCCACCACGCCCAGCCCAGAATACATTTTCAAATCAAATAATGTCCAATATCATTTTTTTTAAACAAGGTCTCCCTCTGTTGCTCACGCTGGCGTGCAGTGGTGCGATCTCAGCTCACTGCGGCCTCACCTCCAGGGCTTATGAAATCCTTCCACCTCAGTCTCTGAGCAGCTGAGGCTACAGGTGCATGCCACCATGCCCAGCTAATTATGTGTAGTGGTTGTTATTATTATTATTATTATTATTATTATTATTATTATTATTTTTGTAGAAACAAGGTCTCACTATGTTGCCTAGGTTCTTCTGGAACTTCTTAGCTCAAGAGATCCTCCTGCCTCAGCCTCCCAAAGTGCTGGGATTACAGGTGTGTGCCACCATCTCCAGCCTAAGATAATTTTAGAAGAAGATTAATGAGAGGAAGTTATATCCTACCAGATATTAAAACCTTATAATCATGTATTTAACGAGGTAATTACACAAGTATATGTAGATGTAAAGATGTGCCATAGGGAGTGCTCACAAAGATTCTATGTGTTTCCCTATATTTTATAGCCTGTTTTATAATCAGATTGAGATGGTCTCAAAATTGACTAGCTCTGGGCAGTGAACCGGGTGCAGAAAACATACACATCATTTTAAGGTTGAGGCAGTTATGCCCTCATGTGGCTTCTTCATTCTCTTCTTCTGTCACAGTGACCTTGACAACCATGAGTTGACAAGGAAATGAACAAGATGGAGGAAGCCTGGCTCCATAAGGTATTGGACGGAAGAGTCTCTGCTCACCCAGATAGAAGTTTCATTCATCAGAAAACAAACCTTTGTTATGTTAAATCACTGAGATTTTATTTTGTGATTGTCGTGGAGTCAGCACAGCCTAGCATTACTCTTACGAATACAAACGCCAATAAAAAGATATTAGTATTTATCTACTGTTAAAAATAAACTAGTAGAAAGAGAATGTACTATTCACTAAATGGAAAACTATTTTAACCATTTCCACAACAAACTGTAGGCAAACTAGGAAAATGTACAATTTTTAAAGTATGCATAAAAGAGCTATCAAAACTAATAACTATATAGGAAAGATTTCTTTTTTAGTTCACTTTCTTTTTCTTCTACCAACTTTGTGTCTTTTTCTTCTTTCCTTTTTTTTTTATCTTTTTGAGACGAATGCTCGCTCTGTCACCAGGCTGGAGCGCAGTGGCGCGATCTCAGCTCACTGCAACCTCTGCCTCCCAGGTTCAAGCAATTCTCCTGCCTCAGCCTCCCGAGTAGCTGGGATTACAGGCACATGCCACCACGCCCAGCTCATTTTTGTATTTTCAGTAGAGACAGGGCTTCAGCATGTTGGCCAGGTTGGTCCCGAACTCTTGACCTCAGGTGATCCACCCGCCTCGGCATCCCAAAGTGCTAGGATTACAGGCGTGAGCCACCGTTATATCTTTTTATGCAATGATTGCTAATTCCTATGCATTTATGCAATGCCTTCCTATGGTAGATAGCAATGATGGCCATATTATTTTACCCCTTCCTGAATCTACCCTTACATGATTTTGCTTTTCCTCTTATGACTTGCTTTGGCCAATAGAATGCAATAGAGTTTCAACGTGTCCATTCCAAGCCTAGTTTTCCATGACTCGTTGTGTGCATCCTCTTGCTTGCTGTTGCCCTCTGCTGTTAACTTGAAAACATGCCCAAGCTAACACGCTTGTCTCAGAAAAAGAATAAGAGACGAGGAGCAGAGCCCGTCATCAGGTATGTGAGCAAGCTCAGGTAAACCCAGAGTACATCAACTGAACCTCACAGACACATGAGAAATTATTGGGTATTGTTACATGCCACTGGTTTTACAGTAGTTGGTTACACAGCAATATTGTGGAAGTAGATAATTGATACTTATTCCACAAGAAAACCTGGGCACAATGATACTTTATAGGGATTATACTCTTACAATACATGTACAAAGAGATAATTTTATGGGTATTATCCGTTCATTGGAGGAAGGAGGATGTCCGCCAGAGTGAGATTTTATTGCCACAGCCTCTTCAGCATGCAATTTCAGAACATATAGAATCAATTTCTCAGTTTACTGACTGCTGAGTAAGACCTTGGGAGAAATTAAGACTAGAAATGAGGGCGGGATAAATATTTCACTTCAGGCTGGTGGGTTTCTCAAGCAGCAAAGTGTTTCAAATCTGCTGCCAATAGCAGTTTTTTTTTCAGTACT
Organism: Homo sapiens; assembly: GCF_000001405.40. Taxonomy (NCBI): domain Eukaryota; kingdom Metazoa; phylum Chordata; class Mammalia; order Primates; family Hominidae; genus Homo; species Homo sapiens. The sequence continues at coordinate 141,052,845 of NC_000023.11, forward strand.
GTTAGTAGAAACTCTTCCCATCTTCTGGCAAAAGGTTGGATGTTAGCTTTACTTTGAATTATGTTAAGGATTCCATCCCCTCTCTGAATCTCTCTTGTATTTTGGTGTGAACATAGGAGATGCTGAGAATGCAGGATGACTGCCTTAAATTGGAAGCCTCAGATTATGGCACTCATGAGGAAACGGTTGAATAAAAATAATTCAGATGGGAGGGACTGGGCAAGAATCTTCTCTAGATGGAGGGTGCAAAAATGGGAAGACGGGAATCTACATGGAAACTACAAAGAAATTAAGGGAACAGAAATACATCTGCTCTTCAGGATAAACAACAAATCAAAGAATATGAAATAATACTGTTTTAATCAGAAGATATTCATAATGGAGGACCTGAACTCATCCGTATTTGGCTAAATCCCAAACTCAGGAACTCAGTCCAAGGAACACCATAGAAATGCAATTAATATAACTGCATTTCTCTATTTTTTAAATTGGTATTCAAAACATTCTTTTCAATGATCCTGCAACTGTGCGATTTTCAATCCCCATGTCTGACCATGCCATGTCCTTGCTCAAAATCATTCATTTCCTCCAGTGCTTATAAAATAATGCCCACAACTCTTTTTTTTTAAAATGTTTTCCAGTTTTTTTTATATTTTGGTGGGTACACAGTAGTTGTGTATATTTATAGAGTACATGAGATGTTTTGATACAGGCATGCAATGTGAAATAAGCACATCATGGAGAACAGGGCACATCACGGAGACCAGGGTATCGATCTTCTGAAACATTTAGACCTTGAGTTACAAATAATCCAATTACACTCCTTAACTTATTTCAAAATGTGCAATTAAATTATTATTGACTGTAGTCATCCTATCATGCTATCAAATAGTAGGTTTTATTTACTTTTTCTATTTTGTGTACCCATTAACAATCCCAGCCTCCACCATCATCCCCCACTACCCTTTCCAGCCTCTGTTAACCACCTTTCTACTCTCTATGCCCATGATTTTAATTCATTTGACTTTTAGATCCCACAAATCAGTGAGAACATGCAATGTCTGTCTTTCTGTGCCTAGCTTATTTTGCTGAACATAATGATCTCCAGTTCCATCGATGTTGTTCCAAATGACTGGATCTCATTCTTTTTTATGGCTGAATAGAACTCCCCTGAGTCTATGTACCACATTTTCTTTCTCCATTCATCTGTTGATGGACACAGGTTGCTTCCAAATCTTAGCTATTGTACATAGTGTTGCAACAAACACAGTAGTGCAGATATCTCTTCAATATACTGATCTCCCTTTTTTTGGGTGTGTATACCCAGCAGTGGGATTGCTGGATCATACGGTACCTCATTTTAGTTTTTTGAGAAACCTCCAAACTGTTCTCCATAGTGATTGTGCTAATTTATATTCCCACCAATAGTGTGGAAGGGTTCCCTTTTCTCCATATCCTCGCCAGCATTTGTTATTGCCTGTCCTTTTGATGTAAGTCATTTTAACTGGGGTGAGAAATCTCACTGTAGATTTGATTTGCATTTCTCTGATGATCAATGATGTTCAGCACCTTTTCAAATGCCTATTTGCCATAGTATGTCTTACGAGAAATGTCTATTCAAATATTTTGCCCATTCTTCTATCAAATTATTACATTTTTTTCCCTACAGAGTTATTTGAGCATCTTACATATTCTGGATATTAATCCCTTGTCAGACGGGTACTTTGAAAATAATTTATCCCAGTCTGTGGGTTGTTTCTTTACTTTTTTTACTGTATCCATGTTGCCCAGGACAGGTCCGGAAATGCCATTCAAGAGTCAAGTCCCAGGCCAGGCACAGTGGCTCATGCCTATAATCCCAGCACTTTGGAAGGCTGAGGCAGGTGGATTGCTTGAGCTCAGGAGTTCAAGAGCAGCCTGGGCAACATGGTGAAACCCCCTCTCTACCAAAAATACAAAAACTTAGCTGGGTGAGATGGTGCGCATCTGTGGTCCCAGCTACTTGGGAGGCTGAAGTTGGAGGATCGCTTGAGCCCGGGGCAGAGGTCGCAGTAAGCTGAGATCATATCACTGCACTCCAGCCTGGGTGATAGAGTGAGGAGTGAGACTCTACCTCAAAAAAAAAAAAAAAAATTCAAAGATTCAAGTCCTGGAATGGGGGGCCCTAGGAGCCCACTTGGCTCTCTAACCCCCTATATTGGTGCTGGTACCTAAAGTGCAAGACAAGGTCCCCTCTGCCTTTCCCTCTGCACTTCTCAAGCAGAAGGAGTTTTGTCCCATAGCCACCACAACTAGTAATATGCTGAGTCTTACCTAAAGCCAGCAAGTCTCAGAGGCTCACCAAGGCCCTAAACATAGTACCTGGGTATCACTGTTCATTATTCAGGGCCCAAGGGCTCTTCAATTAGCAAATAATGAATGCTGTCAGGACCGGGTCCTTTGTTTCAAGGTAGCTTGTTCCCTTCCGGTCCAAGTGTGCTTAGAAATGTCATCTGGGGCTAGAGCCTGGAACAGGGGCCTCTTGATTCCGACCATTGCCCTGTCTTGCTGTGGCTGAGCTGGTATCCCAGATGCAAGCCAAAGTCCTACTCACTCTTCCTTGTCTTCTCTTCAAGTGGAAGGAAGGGGTCTCTTTCGAAGTTGAGCTGTGCAGCCTGGGGTCAGGGGAGTGGCGATGCCAACACCCCCTTGCCTGCCCCAGCTGATGTCTTGGTATGCTGCGTGTCTCTCTAGTCCACAGTCTCTGGGCCTAATTCAAGACTACGACTTGGCTATGAGTTGCAGACCTTATGGATTAGACTGCCTTTCATGTTTACTTAGGGACCAAGAGCAGTTTGGCTTTCAGTGGTGAGGCTTCCGAGCACTCGAGTTCAGAGAGCTGGGATTGGCGATTCCCCTCTGGCTAGAGCTAGTGTAAATGCTCCTTCTGTGTCATCTGAGTTTGGTCTAGTTTTCCTTCCTGATTTAACAGGATGCCACTTAGTTCAATGCCTCACAGTTGCTGTGTTCTCCTTCTCAGCTCCCAGAAAGTCTCTCTGTACCATGCAGCTGCTACCCAGGGTGGAAGAGGGGTCACGTAGGCGATTCTGGACATTTTTTTCTATCTCTTCATTGCCTCTTTCAGCCATATGAAGTTAAGCCAGGTACTATGAGTGCCCATCTAATTTTTGGTTCTTATAAAGGTGTTTTTATCTGTGTAGTGGTGGTTAACCTGATGTCCTTGTGCAGGGGACGAATGGTGGAGCCTTCTATTCTGCAATCTTGCTCCACCTCTCCCTGTCGACAGCTCTTGCCATCACATTGTGCATCTTTCACATCTGCAGTATTTCCCATTAGAGTTCCCTTGAAACTCTAAAGTAATTTTACAAAGTTCATTTTACTAATCCTGACTGAGTATCAATTCAAATGGGAGTATCAGCTGTCCCACTAACTTGGCTCCTACTTTTGCCTTATTCCCTTTCTTACATTCTTCCTTCTGCCTTTAATGCTTTACTCGCTTCTCTTTCTTCCCATGTTCAAGTATTTCCTGAAGCTTTCCTTCATGCCTCTAGCCTGTCTTCTCTGAATTCTACTGGCACTTCTTATATGTTCTTTGTTTTGAAGTTGTTATTTGTATCTGTATGTGGCATCTACTCCTGAACTATTAGCTTCTTTCCAGTTTTGCTCTTGTTGCCCAGGCTGGAGTATAATGACGCGATCTTGGCTCACCACGACCTCTGCCTCCCGGATTCAAGTGATTCTCCTGCCTCAGCCTCCCGAGTAGCTGGGATTACAGGCGCCCACCACCACACCACGCCCAGCTAATTTTTGTATTTTTAGTAGAGACGGGGTTTCACCATGTTGGCCAGGCTGGTCTCAAACTCCTGACCTCGTGATCCACCCACCTTGGCCTCCCGAAGTTCTGGGATTACAGGCTTGAGCCACCGAGCCCGGCCTATTAGCTTCTTAGTGAAAGGAACTAAGTGTGAAAAAGTCAAAGAATTCGTTAATGTACAGAAACAAGCAATTTGTACTCCTTGAGGAGCTCAAAGTACTCAACAGCGTTTCCAGTCCTCTCCATCGTTACGGGAAACAGATGAGAGAACGTGGCTTTGGGGAACATGCATAGGCGAATAAACATAATGGGGCTTGAAACACGAATGAAGAGGAAAAATAAAGTGTGTTGAATGATCTCCTTAAAAGACTCCTTTCTTTCTTGGTACCTTCTACCCAGCCTAGTTCCTCTTTATCTCCCATTTGAAAGCATGGGTGCCAGATTAGAACTTTCTCTCACATAGGTCAGCAGAAACACATAGAGTATTATTAGATGGATTCCATGGAGTAATAAACTAAGGCCCCAAGTTATGACAGGTTCTCCATGTCACCTGGTCATATTGTAACCGAGCGAGTTATAGAGAAATGCCACACTACAAGATTAATTCACGAGTCCTTTATTGCCGGCGACTGAGACACAGCTAGAGCTCAAAATTCTCTCGGCCCCGAAGAAGGAGCTAGATTTCTTTTGATACCTTGGTCTAAATAGGGGAGGGGGAGTTTAGCCGAAGCGATTTTTACAGAAGCAGAACAGGCAAAAAGTTAAAAAGATTAATGGTTACAGAAACAGTTACAGAAAAATAAACAGTTCCAGGTGCAGGGGCTTAAACTATCACAGAGAGATAATGCAGGGGCTTCGGGTACCACCCACCGAGCGCATCCCCAGGAGCTGCTGGTTCAGTTTGCCTCTATCTCTTATCAGTAAGTGCATTCCTGGACGTGCTTGGAGTCAGCTTGCACTAGTTATGTCCTTGAGGGAGGGGGATAAGGGGGACTGCGAGTGAAGAAACAAAAATGGAGTCTGTCCAGCTCTCTCAGCTAAGAGAGACAATCAGGTTAAAATAAGGTAAGGCATCACAGTAAGCCATCACTATGCCTCAAAGCCCTCATCTTCTCATCTGAACCGAGACTCTTCATGTGAGAAGCTGGGTATATTCTAATGCAAAATCAAAGTTAAAATTCCAAGAAGGGTGATAATCAAAGAGTTTAATTTTGTAGACAGGGGAGAGAGAAAACTGAGAGATGAGAATATTTTATTTATTAGATAAGGATGACAGAAGAGTGGTTCTTTGCAGGTTCCAGAAACCTACGTTAGCATATTCAAGAAAAAGAATAATCAGCATCAGAGGGTAGACACATGCAAAATAAAATCCTGACTAAAGCAGCAGCTTATTTGCCACTTTAGAAATGGACATTCTAACTGCCTAGTAGACCAGCAACACAGAGTCGCATAACAGTACCACAGTATGTCTGAGCTGAAAATTATTCAGTCATCACATTAAACCTTCTCATTTTATGATGGAAAAAAAAATGAGGTAAGGAGGCCGAGCGCAGTGCGGTGGCCCACGCCTGTAATCCCAGCACTTTGGGAGGCCGAGGCGGGCAGATCACCTGAGGTCAGGAGTTCGAGATCAGCCTGGCCAACATGGCAAAACCCCATCTCTACTAAAAATACAAAAATTAGCCAGGTGTGGTGGTGGCCGCCTGTAATCTCACCTACTGGGGAGGCTGAGGCAGGGAGAATTGCTTGAACCCGGGAGGCGGAGGTTGCGGTGAGCCGAGACCACACCATTGCACTCCAGCCTGGGCGAGAGAGCAAGATTCTGTCCACCCCCGCCCCCCCAAAAAAAAAAAATGACATAAGGAAAGAGGATGTGTTTTGTGCAAGATCGCAGAGCTAGTTGGGGCGGAGTTGGAAATAAAACTCGTTATTTCTGAATCTCAAGCCAATGAATTACAACGGTAAGTCATTACTAATTCGATAAACATTTATGGAGCACTAAATATGAGTCAAACACAATAAGTCACAAATAGTCAAATGTGACCTGGGGCCTGCCTACAGCACACTGACACTGGCATTTTTCTGACGGAGGACCAGCAGCTGACTAGCTTTTCTGGAGTAGCCCAAGTCTTTCTTGAAATCCTCTCTAACAGAGATAATAACAGCAAAAAGCTTCTTATCAACTGGTCCTTTAAATCATTTAAAAATCTATTTTCTCTATCCAAGTGCTGATTCATAGAAATATAACATAAGCTAGTTATTTCATTTAGAGTTTCCTAATAGCCATAATAAAAACATAAAATAGTTGAGATTATTTTAATTCATGTTTGATTTAACCCAATATATCTAACATATTGTCATTTCCTATGTATTTGATATACAATGTATTAACGTCATATTATCCATTATCTTATTTGTACTAAGTCTTCAAAATCCAGCATGCATGTTACATTTGCAGCACATTCCTATTGCAACTGGCCACGTGACAAATGTGCAATCGTTTGCGGCCAGTTGCTACTATAGTAGACGACACAGCTTCATATCATCTATTACGTTAGTCCCTGGTGTATTTCTGAACAAGCAATTAAAATGCAACCAAAACATGTTATATTTATAAAACATATTATATTTAACACAGTAAATTACAACAGGTGGAAAATTCCTTTTCAGATAGATTCTTAGGAACTTCAATTAAGTGTACTTCTTTCTTTAGTTATTCTATGTCATGCCTGAACATGCTAGGTCACTGGAAAGCTTAAATGAAAAGAAGCAAGAAGAACATTAAAGTAAAATGTTATATGAAACCCCGGAAATTTTTAGTGATTTGTGGTCTTCACTTATTCCAAGTCTTTAGAATTGAGATTAAACATTATCTTCTCAGTGGTAAGTCAGAACAGAGAACAACACGAATGGAGCCACTTCTCTGGTAACACATCAGGGAATCATCTGTCCATTTAAATTACGGGTTTTTTTCTATATCACTGTCAAGACTAGATTTTCATAAAAGGAAGATCATTTTACATGGAAGGAATTGCTAAACAGGCTAGAGGTTCGAAATCCATTACCTATTCATCACCTAGTTAATAGATGTTCATCCTCTATAACCTTCAAGAAACTCTGCCACAAAATTCAAAGGCAACATACAGGTCATATTTCTGAACCTAGTGCTACAAAATATGGCTGGACAATATTACAGAATCCTCCAAATTAAAACTTTCTAGAAAATCCAAAATCTATGGTCACACTAGCTCTAAGTCAATGAAATGCTACAGTAAATTTTGGATCCCAGGAAAAAGCAGCCTAACATTATAGTAGCTACCAGAAGGTACTTTCTGCAAAATTGTTAAACACCGTCCTCTTAGGGGTCCATTTTTCTATCACTCTAAAGAATAAATGCTTTGGGGAAAATGAGCTATTTTTATGGTTTGCCTGTGTCTCCACCCAAATCTCATCTTGAATTGTAGCTCCCATACTTTTTTTTTCTTTTTTTTCTTTGAGATGGAGTCTCGCTCTGTCACCCAGGCTGGAGTGCAGTGGCACAATCTCAGCTCACTGCAACATCCGTCTCCCAGGTTCAAGCGATTCTCCTGCCTCCGCCTACTGAGTAGCTGGGATTACAGGCACGTGCCACCACACCTGGCTAACTTTCGTATTTTTAGTAGAGACGGAATTTTGCCACGTTGGCCAGGCTGGTCTCGAACTCCTGACCTCAGGTGATCCGCCCGCCTTGGCCTCCCAAAGTGCTGGGGTGAGCCACCGCACCCAGCCAGCTTCCATCATTTCTACGTGTTGTGGGAGGGAGCCAGTGGGAGATAATTGAATCACGGGGGCTGTTTCCCCCATACTGTTCTCATAGAGATCTGACGGTTTTATAAGGAGTCTTCCCTTTTGCTTGATTCTCATATGCTCTTTGCCTGCCACCATGTAAGATGTCCCTTTGCTCTTCCTTCATCTTCCACCATGATTGTGAGGCCTCCCCAGCCATGTGGAGCTGTGAGTCCATTCAACCTCTTTCCTTTATAAATTACCAAGTCTCAGGTCTGTCTTTATTAAAAAGATGAGAATAGACTAATACTGGTATGAACACTGGATATTTCATTATTTTTTGTTTTCATTTATGTTGCTTCCTGCATTGACACTTGACAAAGTATCACTTTTCTTTTCCTGAAGAGTTGTAAAATATTTTATTTCATTTCCAGCTCTCTGGGGGTAAAAAAAATATTACTTTACCTCTATTTTGCCTGCAATTTAAAACTCTCCTGCTCTAATTATTAAGAAGATAAACAATTAAAGTTTATATGTAATTTAGTTTATGATAACTGAAATCATATGGGTTTTAAGGCAATGTCAGGAAATTTATTTTCTCAGAAGTTTATTTAATTTATTTATTTTTAGATGGAGTCTCGATCTGCATCCCAGGCTGCAGTGCAGTGGCACAATCTCGGCTCAGCACAACCTCCGCTTCCCGGGTTCAAGCGATTCCTGCCTCAGCCTCCCGAGTAGCTGGGATTACAGGCACCCGCCACCATGCCCAACTAATTTTTGTATTTTTAGTAGAGATTAAAATTTCTACTATGTTGTTTCACCATGTTGGCCAGGCTGGTCTCGAACTCCTGACCTCAGGTGATCCGCCCGCCTCGGCTGCCCAAAGTGCTGGAATAACAGGCATGAGCCACCACGCCTGGCCCCAGAAGTTTACTTTCAAATAGTGTTATCTTCAAGTTTCCAAATATGAGTGTCTGCAGTTGTTTGGGGGCAGAAAACTGTCAATCACAAATTCTACAAATACTTACTACTATGACCTGGAGGCATTTACAAATTGGAGGGGTTATGTGAGGAATTGTTGATGGAATCAGGAAAAAGGCTGTGGGAAGATGCCGCCTTTAACATATATCTGTGCAACCCTCACCTCCCAATTCTAATCCAACTACAAGTCTACTCTATTTACGAGATTGCCGCTGAGGCAGAAAGATCTATGAAACTCCAAGACTATAAAAACTAAGCCCCGTGTGTGCTGGGGTCCTCACAAAATTAGAGGATGACTGTGTAGCTATCTGCTGAGACTAGAGCTTCATGATCTGCCAGTCAGGGGTGAGAAGCTGCTAGAAAGAGTTTAGCCAGAGAATATCTGTGAGTCCTCCTGCAGGATGGGAAGTGGTGTCCCTAGCTCCCACTGTGCTACGGAAGTTTATAAGATGCTTTGAGCCTTCTATACGCCTAATGGGACAGAGTGGAAATTTTTGCAACTGAGACCAGAGGGCAGAAATACATTATACGAGTATCGCCACAGAGGACTAGTGACCTGCACAGGGATAAAGACTACCATGCCACATGACACAATCACGATTACCAGTGCTTAAGGTACCGTATAGCTTGATCTGAGCTCTGATAATAAATATATCCATGACTAAGCAAAGGAAAGTAAGAATTCCTTTAAGACGACCCATTGTCAAGTAAAGAATGAAAAAGCAAGAGAACAAGTTACTAGTGAAATGAAGCTGCTGGCAGAGATGGATGACAATAAAAATACGTTAATAAAAAAACACTTAAAGAAATTCAGCCAGGCACAGTGGCTCACGCCTGTAATCCCAACACCTTGGGAGGCCGAGGTGGGCGGATCACAAGGTCAGGAGTTCGAGACCAGCCTGGCCAACATGGTGAAACCTCGTCTCTACTAACGAAATGCAAAAATTAGCCCGGCATGGTAGCGTGTGCCTGTAATCCCACCTACTCGGGAGGCTGAGGCAGGAGAATTGCTTGAACCCGGGAGGCAGAGGTTGCAGTGAGCCGAGATCACACCACTGCACTCCAGCCTGCGCAGCAGAGCAAGACTCTGTTCCCCCCCCAAAAAAAAAACAAAGAAATTCAATTACGGCATTAAAAGATTCTGAAAAATAAAAATATCAGTTGTGAATTAAAACATTTAAACGATGAAATGAGACGGGATAATACTTCCCAAACACAAATTACATCCTTGGAAGATCAAGTAGAAGAAAAATCTCAAAAGATAAATGATGATGGGAAAACTTCACCTCCACATGCAAAAAAATAAGACTAGGTCCCTACATCTCATCATATACAAAGATCAACTCAAAATGGATTAAAGGCTTAAATGCAAGACCTGAAACTGTGGAACTACTAGAAGAAAACAGTGAAAACGCTTCAGGACATTGGTCTAGGCAACGATTTTTTGGATAAGAACTCAAAAGCACAGGCAACAACGGCAAAAACAGACTAACGGGATTAAGTCAAACTCAAAAGCTTCTGCACAGGAAAAGAAACAATCAACAGAGCAAAGCTACAACCTACAGAATGGGAGAAATACTTGCAAACAATGTTCTGATAAGGGATATAATGTATATCTGGAATTTATAAGGAATTCAAAGAATTCAGTAACAAAAAAATAAATACTTTGATTTAAAAATGGGCAAAATATCTGAATAGACATTTCTCACAAGAAAACATACAAATGACCAACAGGTATATGAAAAAATGCTGAACGTTACACTAATTATTAGGGAAATGCAAATCAGAATCACAATAAGATCATCTCACACCTTTTAGAATGGCTATTATGAAAAAGACCAAAAAACCCCACAAATGTTGGTGTCTATGTGGTGAAAGGCGACCTTTTATATGCTGCTGATGAGCGTGTAAATTAGTACAGCCATTACGGCCAATAGTATAAAGGTTCTCCAAAATGTTACAAATGGAACTACTGTATGATCCAGCAATCCCAGTACTGGGTATATATCCAAAGGAGATAGAATCATTATGTCCAAGACATACCTGCATTCTCATGTTTATTGCAGTACCATTTACAGTAGCCAAGATATAGAATCAACCTAAGTGTTCATCAGTGAATGAATGCATAAAGAAAATGTGGTGCATGTACACAATGGAATACTATTCAACCATAACAAATAACAAAAACCTGTCTTTTGCAACAACACGGATGAACCTAGAGGACATTATTTTAAGTGAAATAAGCCAGACACAGATGGACAAATACTGCATAACCTCACTTATATGTGGAATCTTAAAAACGCTGATCTCATAAAAGTAGAGAGCAGTTACCAGTTGCTGAGGAGGGTACTGGGGAGGAGAGATAGGGTGAGGTTGGTCAATGAGTATGTCACAGTTAGCCAGGAGAAAAACGTTCTGGTACTTTATAGTGCACCATGGTGAATACAGTTAGCAATAACGTGTTGTATATTTCAAAATAGCTAGAAAAGAGGATTTTGAATATTCTTATCACAAAAAAAATGGTTAAGATTACGGATATGCTAATTACCCTGATTTTACTTCTTTTATTTCCTTTTGTCTTTTCTTTTTTTTTTTTGAGACAGTCTCTCGCTCTGTCACCAGGCTGGAGTGCAGTGGTGCAATCTTGGCTGACTGTAACCTCTGCGTCCCGGGTTCAAGTGATTCTCCTGCCTCAGCCTCTCGAGTAACTGGGACTACAGGCGCGTGCCACCACGCCCAGCTGATTTTTGTATTTTCAGTAGAGACGGGGTTTCACCATGTTGGCCAGGATGGTCTCAATCTCTTGACCTCCTGATCTGCCTGCCTTGGCCTCCCAAAATGCTGGGATTACAGGAGTGAGCCACCGGGCTCGGCCCCCGATTTGATTTCTAAACAATGTATACATGTATTGAAACATTACATTGTACTTCACAAATATGTACAATTACATGTCCATTAAAAATAAAACAAAACTAAAGTAATATGTAAATCTGGCTAGAAAAGCTGAGGAACTTTGAGCATAGACCCTGAAATTAATAGGGGTTCCAGAAAGAGAAAAATCAACAGATGAAGAAGTAATCATTAAGGAAATAATTGAACAGAGTGAACCTATTGAAAATAACATGGGGGTTTCCAGAAGGGACTCATTAAGGAATATACAGCTAGGTATATCCTGATCTTAAAAAAAAATAGAAAATGAGTATAGCATCTGGAGAGGGAAGTAACTTTTTAAAAAATTAAATTAATACTGGACTTGTCATCTGTAATACCAAAAACTAGAAGTTGGAGGCTAAGGGGCAAACCACTGTGAAAAAAACAAAGTGTGACCCCCAAATCCAGGCAAGATATACATAGTGCCCATAGATCTCTTTGAGTAATATTTTCAAGAAAAGACTAATGGACACCGATCAAACATCTAATAAACTCTGCCAAAGCCTTAAGAGAGGAAACAATGATGAAAGGAAAGAAACAGAGGTGACAATAAATACTGAAATATAGATAAGTAAATCTAAATGCAATATGCCATTGTGACTGTGAATGTGTAGTATACATGAAAGAGAAAAGATACACTACAGAAGAAATCTAATCACAACCTGGAACTAAAAATATTATCGCAGGAAAGTTGAAGGGAGGATAACAATAGGAGCAAAATCCAAATTCCAAACCAGGTGAAAGATGGGAAAGAAGGAAAAAAATAAACGAAAATAGAAGGATAAATAGAAAACATAGACTATGATGACAGATATAAGTCCCAATATGACACTAACTATAATAAATGTAAATAGATTAAACTCTAGAACCAGTTTCCACAAACTGTGACCTGAGGGCCCAACAGAATATAAAATTTCATAGGGACCCCACCTGTTTACATATTGTCTATAAATGTTTTCATCCTATAATGGCAGAGTTGAGTAGTTGGAAAACATACCATATGGCCCACAATGCTGAAAATATTTCACTATCTGGCCTTGTACAGAGGAAGCTTACAACATCTGTTTTAGAATCATAAAAAGAGATTCAATGATTGGATTATTTTAAGAAACACATATATGCCAAGATATTATCTAGAGCAAATGCATTTAGAGCAAAAAGATATAGTGATTCAAAAATAAAAATACAGGAAAATGTAAACTGAGCAAATGTGAACCAGAAAAAAAAGCAGAGGTAAAAACTTTTCATTTCAAGAAAAGGTCATTATGTACCAGTAAATGGTCAAGAGATCGAGGGAAATACACAATGACTATGAGCATGTATGCACTCAGTAATATAGCTTTGAAATAAAGCATGAGGCTGAACTATGCAGCCAAATAATTAAGTTGATAAATGTACTTGGGAGATTTTAATGCACCCCTCTCAGACACTGGTAGTTCAAGCAGATAAAACTTAAACGAGTGTAATCAACTGTAGATTTGTTTACATTTAAAATTTATATTCGGCAAACGAAATACATACTTCATTTTATTTTTTTATTTTTAAGACGGAGTTTCGCTCCTGTTGCCCAGGCTGAAATGCAATGGTGAGATCTCGGCTCACTGAAACCTCCGCCTCCCAGGTTGAACCGATTCTCCTGCCTCAGCCTCCCAAGTAGCTGGAATTACAGACACGCGCCACCACGGCCAGCTAATTTTTCTATTTTTAGTAGACATGGGGTTTTCACCATGTTGATCAGGCTGGATGGTCTTGAACTCCTGACCTCAGGTCATCCACCCATCTCAGCCTCTCAAAGCTCTGGGATTACAGGCTTGAGCCACCGTGCCCGGTCTCATTTTCAAGCACACAAGGAATATTCTCATTAACTATACTAGGCTGTTTCACAGTATGTATCAAATGCCTTAAAATTACACAAATCCTTTAAACCAGCAACTTCTCTTTCAGGCACTTACCTTAGGGAACTAATCAGACTTGCACATAAATATATTTTCACATAACGTTCATTGCAACATTGTTTATATTAGAAATAGATTGGTAGTAACCCACGGTCACACAACAGAGCAGTGATTAGATAAATCACTGGTGCACTCACATGCAGTTCTAACAGCCAGGAATGCCCTTTCTTGGACATGAATAAAAAATTGCTAGTTCCCATATAGGCACAGACAAAGGGCCATTGTATAACCTGATGCACAGACCCAGATGAATGAAAATGCTATGCTTGCGAATAAATGTGAAAGAACAACTATTTTAGGACCCGGAATTGTAACGCTAAGCCTTAGTAATGAACGGTACTTCTTGAGTCGCAAAAGTATTCACTTTTGGGCTAGTATATGATGCTTTGGGGCACTTATGTGACCCTTTAAGCAGAGGTCAAAATAAAAGCCTACAAACTCTTTTGCTCAGGACACCACGGATCTAACAAATTCCTGCCAATGGACAGAAAAGGGACATTCAGAAGCTACCCTACCTCAGATATGTCCTGTGCGTATCTGTTCTCTTACCTTTTTTAGCTTGACAAAACTTAGGAGGAGAAGTCATAGGTATCCATACCTTTCATTTTCAGCATTCCTCACATCTGGTCTGATCTTTGTCCAGCACCTAAGGCATAATTACACCAAAAATGATAAATCCATTAAGAGTAATGTTAGACAAATCTTGAATTCTTATAGCAAAAGTTTATTATGATATATCCAAAAAGCAATCACTAAATAGCATTACAGAATGAGACACCATTAAATTACAGCTATCCTTTGGACACATACATAGAAAAAATAACTAGAAAATGTATACCAGCTTGTTCACAGTTCTCCAGAACTGAGATTATAATTAGTTCACTTCTTTTTAGTCTTATGTATTTGCTACATTGAGAGCAATTAATATGTATTACTTTGGTAATCAGAAAAATTGATGTTATTTCACAAATTAAACAACAATGAATGCCATAAAATTAATGTGTAATAGTTCATATGGTAGTTCTTAATTAGCCCACTTTTTTCAACAATACGCTGGAAAATTCCCACTGAGTTTGATGGGAATCATAAAGCCCGTGGGCGAGGGGAAGAACGGATTCAATTTCTGTTTCTAATGCTAGCGTAATAGATAACTTCTAATTTTGGACTCTAAAACTAAGATACATTGAATTTATATCTAGGAATGTAATTCATATAAATGTTTACATACATAAAATTAAAACCCTAATTTTAAACATACAAATAATTAACAATAATTTAGGACAGCTCATTTAAAATCCTTAGGATTAAATCTCTGAATTTAAATAAAGAAAATATTATTTCCATGATTACATTGTTTTCCTGGGAAATACAACATAGTTCCTACAATGGGAAAAAACAGTGACCTGGATCTGCTAAACATCTCACTGTGAGTTGGACAAGTCAGATTTATCTCCAAATCCTGCATCTGAATACAACTATGCATTTATATCTTTATACATACATTATCTATTTATTTATGTTTCTACAGAGCAGTCTTCTAAAATACACCGCTATTTCAAAGTTTATTCACTGAGCAGGTTCTATTTTCTTCATGTATGACGTGAGACAGTTGGAATAAATGATCTCTGATGATTGCTTAAATGGGGCAATTGTCACCCTACAGACACAGCAGCTCTATGAAGGAATCTGTGTTGATATAAAGCCATCCAGGTTTTATACAGAGATTCACAGATCTAACTTAAGAACAAATTTGTCCCCATAAAGAAACCTTCTTTGCCAATCTGACCCAATGACCACACTGAAACGTCCCGGCAATGATAAAGCACACCCAGGCTTACCCATAGGAATGCCTCCTGCTCCACAGAAACTGAATTCCTTTAAAGAATTCCTATAATCTCCTGCCATTTGTAATCTCTCCAATATGTGAAAGGGTTTCTCAGTCACCATGCAATTAAAGGTCCTCCTACACATCCAGATGTACTCATTCACATCATCATTTCACATTTTGGTTTTATAGGTTAATTTATACAAAGGTCTCACTTGCAAGTAAAGGAATGCATTCTACTGGTTTTCAGAAGTATCTAAAGGCTGCAACTACTTACCGCTTTCCATAATGCTATCAAAATACACTAGGTTTATTTATTATTTCTGCAAAGCAAATCTAAAACTGAAATCCACAAAAATACGGCCAGTTCATTTAAATAGCATTAAAATTCCTCGTTGTATCTAGGTGAATACTATAATGGTTAATCCTATACTATCACTGTCACAGCAACACAATTAACATTTTTTTCATTTAAAATGTTTTGGAGAACAAAAGATGAATGCTTCCAAGTTAATTAATGCTCAAATAATTATTTTAAAAATTAAATCAGAATTTCTAACACTGCATCTCAGTCACATTATCATTTAGTGAATTCAACACGAGTTACAGCACCCCTATGACTATTCCATGAACTAATAAATGATCATCTACTTTAGTTTTTTTTTTACCATGAAAGCTAAAATGTATATTTTTATCCCTTTTGCATGTGATTTTTCTTTTAGCTCATTCCCATAAATGAACTCTTTAATCCACCATTGTTTCACACATAATCTAATTTGGGTAATATAGTTCTCTATTTCTTTATCTTAGGATTCATACTACCACATTATTTCTTTAATTGTGTAACTGACTGTAATGCATTTATTACAAGAGTTAAATGTTACTATAATGATAGTTACTGCATTATTAGATGATTTCTAATAGTTAAGTAAAACATTTCTTGATTGCCAAACATTAATTTTATTAGGAATGTAAATTTTTCTAGTGTAATCATTTACTGATACAGCTTTAAAGGCACCAACATGTCTCTGGCAAATATTGGAACACATACGGTCATGGACTTTAGCTATTGGTAAAAGTCAAGTACCACAGAGTACTATAAAATAACCCTTTGAAGCCAAGTCCTTGATGCTGTTTCACGGACTCTATGAAATCACATCAGACTACAGTTAGATATCTTGCTCTGCTACGTAATTTTACGGGTTGATAAGTCTTGCGCCTCGTTCTTTGTGTGTAATTCCTCATGACCTGGCCAGCGACAAAGAAACCGTGTAATGCTAAGCCATTATCACTGGCTAGATAGATTAGATTCAGCCTTCAGTAGGCCAGATGCTGTTGCGATAGCCACCGTTACAGGGAAAATCTCTTTAAACCAAAAATCAAAGCTTCATCCAAACCCTACTTGTTTCAAATAATCTGGGTAAAATCAAATATAATATTTATCAAATGCTAGGAGTGTGGCAGACACAAAATATACTGCCCAGCTCCCACTTCAAGGAAGGACTTGCTGCCCATCTGCAGGAAGTGTGGTTCAGCACACAGCCTCTAGCTGTCAACTCCTGCAGGGTCTGCCTCAGCCGCAGAGTCACCTGGCTCAAGGTAACACCCACAGAAGCCTACATCTGGCATCTGAACAGGTGGCTTTATAGCCATAAAGCCTACACCATTCCAGGCCAATGCCCGGTATCACTGATGCACAACGCTTTCTCAAGAGCTGCCAGTAAGGCTGAATGAGGCTTTGTTGCGCCTGCATAGAAGTTCCACCTCTTTCTCTGCCCAATCCTGCTTCAGCCTCCTCCCTCTCACAGCTGTTGATCCTTAATAAATATTTGACACCCCATACACTCAACCTCAATGTCTGTTTTTGAGATCCCAACCTCCAGCAACATATCAGGTGGTATGTATTTGTATGTGTTTGTGCGTTGTAAATGTCAAATTCTGTTAATGGCATCAAGACAAACTAAACTTCCCTTCACTGCAAAGCAACTAAAAACCATGTATAACCTATTTTTAAAACTTTTCAAATGTATCATCCATCCAAAAAATGAGGAAAATCCTTAGAGGCCAAAAAATGAAGCTAAAATCTAAGTACTGCTCCACGTAGAGCACCTGATAGGAACTAACATGACTCCGCCAAGGAATTTATAACTGGCCAAGTCCCTATGTAAAGACGTCAGGAACAGGTAAATATACTGCGGTAGCCTCTGTAACTATTCACTAAATGTTCCAGTGTTGCTCCTTTAGTCTTCTTCCCTGTAGAAGGATACATCCCACTCCAAATGAAATCAGGAGAGCCCACGGGACTCACTTGGGCTAGTGAAATGTGGAAGTGATATGTGTCTTTTCCGGGCAGAAGGTTTAAGAGAGTGGTTCACTTTGTCTCCTTTCTCTCTGCCATGAAGACTGACAGTATTCCAGAAAGAAGATACTCCCTCAGCTTGTTTTCTGAAGTAAAGATGACATAGCATAGCAGCTGGGCGCGGTGGTTCACGCCTGTAATCCCAGCACTTTGGGTGGCTGAGGCGGGCGGATCACCTGAGGTCAGGAGTTCAAAACCAGCCTGACCAACTTGGTGAAACCCTGTCTGTATTAAAAATACAGAAATTAGCCAGGCATGGTGGTGGGCGTCTGTAATCCCAGCTACTTGGGAGGCTGAGGCAGGAGAATCACTTTAACTACAGCTACTTTAACCTCAGCTACTTGGGAGGCAGAGGTTGTAGTGACCCTAGATCGCACTACTGCACTCCAGCCTGGGCGACAGAACGAGACTTCGTCTCAAAAAAATGACATAGCACCGAGAAATAGCCAATCCACAGTAGACTTGTAGCATGAGTGAAAAGTAGATATTTATAATTACATGTATCCAAAATGTAGGATACATTTGTTACTCAAGCAAAACCTTGTGAATCTTAAATTTAATTTTATTCAGCATCTACTTAAATGTTATCTCATCTAGTCCTCAAATCAACCTTATTAGGCAAATAACTATTCTAGTTGGTGCTTTCATTTGCGAACAACAGACACCGAGTCTGGTAATATAAGCAGAAAAACAATTCGTTAGAGAGATAACACATTGTTCTTAGAGTCCATGAGAAGAGCAGAGAGTCAGGTGAAGAATATATGGCAATAGTCAAGGGAGGAAGAGCTCACCCAGAATCACCCCAGAGAAGCAGTTTTCTTAGGGTCCCACTGGAAGCACTGTCACTTCTCAATACTGTCACACTACTGGACTCTAGCCTCTGCCACAAACACTGCAAATAAGTGTTGACTTTCTCTACATCTTAGTATACCTCCTAAAGTGTCAGAGCTCCTGGCAGAAGCGTCCACATGGCTATGCTCGTCCCCTGGGTCTATGCCAACAACTTGAAGTTAAGAATATCTGCCCCTCATTCAGTTTCCAAGTAAAAGGTAAGGCCCTGACTCACATTTCTCTCTGGATTACCCCCAATGTTATTTAGATACTATGAAGACAAAAGTGATTGATATAGTATTTTCAGAAAAAAAAGTTGAGAAAATTGAACCTTGGAGAATTTAAGTCACCAATTCAAAATCACACACCAAGAATGACTTGTATCAGTCAGAATGCTTACAGCTGCAAGTAACCAAAATCCACAACTCAAGCAATGAGGCGTATGTTATCACACACAAAAGGTATTTCGAGTGAAGTGAAGGCTTCTGGGTGGACTGGATCAACTCTTTAATGATGTAATTAGTTCATGTAATTTCTTAGCCCTCCTGTCCACATTTTCAGCTTCGTATTAATAATGCTAGTACCCCTCATGGTTATATGATACCTGCAAGAGCCATCAAAGCTATGCACGTCTTTGTTCATTTTCTACCAGAGAAATTCTATCACCCTATTTATACCTTCTTTCTTGCTGAGCCAAATTACATCACATCTTCATCCCTAGACATTGCCACATACTGATTAGCTTAAGCTTGGCTTCCTGAAATAATTGCTGGCAAGAGGAAAGGCATTATTATGATTGATTAGTTTATCATTTATTCTGAAGCTGAAGATAAGGGCACCTTTTTTTCAATTACATGAGCTTCATGAAGGAAGGCAAATGCCTTAAGAAAATTACGGTTCTCTTAAGAAGAAAGAAGGGGGAAATGGATAATCTGTAGGCAAACAACAACCATGTTCTGCGTCCTTCTAATACATACATCTTTAAAAGTGTCCACACCTACATGAAATTCCTTCAAGTGTCCCTAAAGAGAGGCTCCCTAAAGTTTCTTCTGGGTAATGCACTCAACTCAAGTCCATAATCTCTAAGTGATGCATCAGTGATCCAAGACTAAATAGTATTATACTAACCCCAAACACATTTATGTATCCATGATGCAGGAAAAACAAGGCAACATTAATAAAAGTGATTATTTTAGACCATCCTGGCCAACATGGTGAAACCCCGTCTCTACTAGAAACACAAAAATTAGCTGTGCATGACGGCACCCACCGATAATTCCAGCTACTCGGGAGGCTGAGGCAGGAGAATCGCTTGAACCCGGGAGGCAGAGGATGCAGTGAGCCAAGATCGCGCCAATGCACTCCAGCCTGGTGACAAGAGTGAGACTCTGTCTCAATAAAAAAAAAAGTTATTATTTTTGGGAAATGACAGGAGGGAAAATAAAGTGATAATGCTTTACAATACAATATAATCTGTTAGACAGCAATAGAGAGGATGTTCTGTCCTAGAAGTGAATTGAGTTTCCTGATCACCCAAGCTGGCTTCCCCTGGTTCTGTTCTGGGAGTATCCCTCATCAGCATTTCCCCAAAGTCAGAGGCAGGATAATCATTTTCCAGATTATTCCTCATAAGAGGCTTCACTGCTTTAGTAGTCTGCTTTGTATTGGTATAAGCATACAGACAAAGGGATCAAGGTTGTTGGCTAGGATTTTTGTTTCTTGGGCAGTAAAGCACACATAAATTAACAGCCTATTTACTTTTAATCCATTCTACTGGCTAGGAACTCCAGCCAGAGATCTTGTCAAACCACGGGCTTGGAATCTGACAATATCACGTTCCTTGCTAGAGCTTTCAAAGTGCTACATTCAGCTTCTGTTTAGCTATTAGACGACATTTATGAAGACAGGAAGAAGAGCTACCATACTCCAACATCCAAAATTTCCTCTACTAATACATTCTACATAGGAACATGATGATTCCCAGTGTAAAATGCCTAGTAGTTTAACAAAATGCTTTTTAATCGTACGAAGCAACATGTGCCAAATATTTACAATTCATTTCATTCATTTAATGATAACCTATTGAACACTTAGAGCCTAAAGTAGCTATTGGTACAGTAAGGCTACATAACACATAAGTATAATATCTCAGAGGTAGACAAAAATACTCATTTTTCTCATCCATGGGTCTTCAAAGTCAATGAGGGCAGAATAAATTCAGGCTGAAAACTGAATATAGGTGTGCTTCACTATGTGTCTCATTCCGGTATATAGGTTGAAGCAGTCGCAACTAGACAGGGCATCTTTTTTTTTTTTCTCTCACAGCAATGGCAGTAGACGAGACAAGCCCAGCATTAAAGGTACTTCAAAGGTACATTTCAACTCTCTTCTCAGATCATGATAATCTCCTCTAGAAACACTTTCAAAGACATACCCAGAAGTAATGTTTAATTTGAGATCTCGGTACCAGGTGACCCAATCAACTTGACATATAAAATTAACCATTACATCATCCAACTATCATAAGGCCATGGCAGGGAAATGTATGTATAATACCAGTACTACAAGTGACTGAATAATTATGACAATTTAATCTACCACATCTGCTGCATCCCAAGAGTTGTTACAAACACTGAGGATAGAGCAGTGCTCAAAACAGGCAAAGCCACAACGCTGCTGGGTTTTAACTTGCAGTTGTGGAAACATGAAAACAATGAGCACAACCCCAGGTGTATTTATAAAATGTTACGCAATGTTAAAAATGTTCATAGTAGACCAGGTGCAATGGCTGACGCTTGTAATCCCAGCACTTTGGGAGGCCGAGGCGGGTGGAACACCTGAGGTCAGGAAGTCGAGACCAGCCTGAACGACATGGAGAAACCCCATCTCTACTTAAAATACAAAATTAGCCGGGCATGGTGGCGCATGCCTGTGATCCCAGCTACTCCGGAGGCTGAGGCAGGAGAATCACTTGAACCCGGGAGCCGCAGGTTGCAGTGAGCCGATATCGCACCACTGCCCTCCAGCCTGGGCAACAGGAGCGAAACTCCATCTCAAAAAAAAAAAAAATGTTAATGGTAGAATCGATGGTGGGTAGACAGTGAAATGTTTGAAAAAGCGACGCAGGTTAAGGGGTTTATAAAGTGGATGTGTTTTTGACATTTTGGATGGGGTGGTCAGGGAAGCATCTATGAAGAGCTTACATTTGAGCAGAGATCTGACAGATGGGAGGGATGGATCCAAACTGAAATCTGGGAGGAAAGATTTCCAAGCAGTTGGTAGAGCAAGCTGAAAGGGCTTTAAGATGAAACATGACCTGCTGTGTTTTAGGACAGCAAGAAAGCCAGCACAGCTTAGAAGACTGGTGGGGGATGAGCCCAGAGCGTTAAGCAGTTGTGTGATCACACAGGGCCTTGCGGCAATAAAAAGAACTTTGAAGTTCATTTAAAATAGTATGGGTAATGTGACAATGTTTTAATATAAATAGATGTGAACATTTTAATTTATTAATAAGGGAACCAATAGGGAAGAAAGAAAAGAGAGTTCCAAGAGTATTTGACAAGCAAGAATTTATATAGTCAAGGCGAAAAAAAAATGCCTATGTAAGACTTCTAAGTTAGATATATGGTTGTATGCTTTTCTACAGGAAAAGAAAACCATAGCAGTTTGGGTATTAACTTTCCCAGCAGACTACACAATTCTAACACCTTATCAATTTCTTGGTTAACCTCTAACTTCACAGGGTTCCAAACTGACTTCACTGTTAATAGCTGTGGATGCTTATTAGCCAAATTTTGACAAGGCTGCCATCAGATGAGAATGTGTGTCAGAGGAATGTCAGATGAGAATCAATCAGGCTTCTTAGGACATATTATAACATGATATTAACATATCAGGTCATTCCTATTTTGTGATTTTTCCAAGTTTTGGATAAAGCCTTCTTTCACAAAGACACTGGAGGGAGTACGATATAGTTTGGATGTTTGTCCCCTCCAAATTTCACATTGAAATGTGACCCCCAGTGTTGGACATGGGGCCTGGTGGGAGGTGTTTGGGTCATAAGAGTGGATCCCTCATGAATGGCTTGGTACCCTACCCATGGTTCTCATTCTATCAATTCACGTGAGAGCTAGCTGCTTAAAAAGAGCCCAGAACCTTCTCCTCTCTCTCTCTTGCTCCCTCTCTCACCACGTGGCATGCCTATTTCCACTTCACCTTCTGCCATGAATACAAGTTTCCTGATGCCTCATCAGAAGCTGAGGGTGCTGCTGTGATGCTTGTACAGTCTGCAGAATTGGGAGCCAAATAAACCTCTTTTATTTACCAATTACCCAGTCTCGGGTATTCCTTTTTAGCAACACAAAACAGACTAATACAGAACAGAATGTTGATATTATATGACTTCTTTTTAAAAATAATTTCTTTTGCTGTTATGTGGTGAAGAGATTGCAAGATGCAACCATCAAAGTAGAATCACCACTTAGGAGCGTCTTACAGGAATTCTGATGAGAAACAATGGCAACTTGGACTAAGACACTGTCGGTGCAGATGGAAAAAAGCATAGAGATCCATAAGAAATTTGGTTGTTGAGTTTGCAGGAATTGATGATATGTGCCTTTGTCAACATATCCCCTCTTCAGACCATAAACATTACTAGTAGTTTGTAAGGCTCATCACTAGTGGGGAGAGAGGCAAGCTCCAAAATAACCCCTTTCCCTGATTTGTTTGCAACGTTACTGGTAATTTGTCTTTCCAAGTTCAATGTCAGTACTCCATTTTTCCTGTTACATAGCTAAAGTCTTCAGGGACAGCCAAAAGCAATGTCTTCTCTCCAGTAATGTCGAGAAACATGTCTTAATCGCATCACTCCAGCAATTCTCCCCTCTATCTAGCATTGCTCTTTTCCCACTCTTCTAGGTCAATATCATCAGATACAACTATGCTATTATTTCTATCATCTTAAGAAAAACTTGACTTGATCCCACTTCTTTGTTCAGCTTCACCCCCATTTCTGTCCTTCTCTGAAAAACAAAAGTCTTAGAAAGTATTGTCTATATTCTGTTTCTAATTCATTTTAAACCCAAATAAAGCTTGAGCTCCCACCATTCCAATAAAACTGCTCTTGTCAAAGTCACAAGTAAATAAATTGAATTGAAATAAAATGAATTAAAACCTACTCTTTCTATTCTGAGGCCTCACGTTATTAAAGTTAGCAACGGCATTTCAACAAGTTGGTCATATTCCCTTCTCTGATAGGCTTTCTTCATGTAGCTTCCAGAATACCACACACTTGGATTTCTTCCCAACACTCTTTCCACTGCTTCTTGGTTCCCTTTCAAGGTTCCTTGTTATTTCCGAGGCTTCTAAATGGCAGAGCGTTTCTGGCCCTTAAAGAGTCTCTCTACATTCATATATTTGATAGTCTCTTTGTATCCTGGCCAAAATACCATCTACATGCTGCTGTCTCCAAAATATATGTTTCCAAACTAGATCCCTTCTCTGAACTTTATATGTATACCTTTATATTCTATATATAACAATATTCTTATATATAAATATTCTTATATATTCTTGGCTGGGCGCGGTGGCTCACGCCTGTAATCTCAGCACTTTGGGAGGCCGAGGCAGGTGATCATGAGGTCAGGAGATCGAGACCATCCTGGCTAACACGGTGAAACCCCGTCTCTACTAAAAATACAAAAAATTAGCTGGGCATGGTAGCACACTCCTATAATCCCAGCTACTCGAGAAGCTAAAGCAGGAGAATCGCTTGAACCCGGAAGGCGGAGGTTGCAGTGAGCCGAGATTGTGCCACTGCACTCCAGCCTTCCAGCCTGGGCAACAGAGGGAGACTCCATCTTAAAAAAAAAAAAAAAAAAAAAAAAAAAAAAGTGGTCAATAGACATGAACAGATATTTTTCAGAAGAAGACATACAAATGGCCAACAAACATGAAAAAAGGCTCACCACCACTAATCATCAGAGAAATGCAAATTAAAATAACAATGAGTTGCCATCTCACAACAGTCTGAATGGCTATTACTAAAAAGTCAAAAAACAACAGACCTTGGTGTGGATGTATAGAAAATGGAACACGTACTCTGTTGGCGAGAATGCAAATTTGTACAGCTTCTTTGGGAAACAGTATGGATATTTCTCAAAGAACTAATAATAGAACTACCATTCAATCTAGCAATCCCACTACTTGGTACCTACCCAAAGGAAAAGAAACAGTGATATCAAAAAGATTCCTGCACTCGAATGTTTATCGCAGCCCTATTTGCAACAGCAAAGTCATGGAATCAGCGAGTGCCCATCAATGGATGATTGGATAAAGCAAATGTGAGAGAGATATATATGTGCGTTATATGTATATATATCTATGTGTGTATATATGTGTGTGTGTGTGTGTGTGTGTGTGTGTGTGTGTGTGTGTGTATACGGAGCACTACTCAGCTATAAAAAAGAATGAGATGGCCAGGTGTGGTGGCTCACGCCTGTAATCCCAGCACTTGGGGAGGCTGAGGCAGGTGAATCACCTGAGGTTAGGAGTTCGAGACCAGCCTGGCCAACATAGTGAAACCCGTCTCTACTAAAAATACAAAACATTAGCTGGGTGTGGTGGCAGGTGCCTGTAATCCCAGCTACTCGGGAGGCTGAGGCAAGATAAATCGCTTGAACACGGGAGACAGAGGTTGCAGTGAGCCGAGATCGCACCACTGCACTGCAGCCTGGGCAACAAGAGCGAAACTCTTGAAAGAAAGAAAGAAAAGAAAATGAAATCATGTCTCTTGCAGCAACATGAATGAAACTGAAAATTTATTATCTTAAGTGAAATAACTCAGAAACAAATAAAATATTGCATGTTCTCACTTATAAGTGGGAGCTAAATAATGTGTACACATAGATATGGAGGGTGGAATAATAGATATTGGAAACTTGGAAATGTAGGAGGCTTTGAGGGAGATGAGAAACTACGTAATGGGTACAATGTACACTATTAGGGTGATGGTTACATTAAAAGCCCAGACCTCACCACTATACAATATAGTAAGATAACAATACCACATTAGTACCCCCTAAATATGTACAAATTTTTAAAAGGCCTAGTTAACATCTCAACTAAAATATCTAATAGTAATAATAACAATAGTAACAACCGATGCTTGTGTGGTGCCATTAATGACTGAGTCTTCCTGTTCTCTCAAAATTAATATGTTGAGATCCTAACCCCTGATGTGATGGTATTAAAAGAGACTTTTCAGATGTAATTAGGTCATGAAGACACACTCATCAATGAGATTTATGCCTTTACATAAAGATGCAAAACAGTTGCTTCTTCTCTCTCTGCTCTCTGCCATTTGCATATTCAGTGAGAAGTTGACAGTCTGCAACAGGAAAGAGGGCCCTCACCAGAACCTGACCATGCCAGCACCTTGATCTTGGACCTTCAGCTTCCAGAAATGTGAAATAAAAGTCTATTGTTTATAAACTGCCCAGCGTGTGCTAATTTCTTATAGTTAAGCTAGGTTCTTCTTATTTGCCAGACTTTATCATAAGCACTTTAAAAAATATATTAATTCAATTCTCACAAAAACCTATGATGTGTTGCATTAGCTCGTTTTCACACTGCTGATAGACATACCCGAGACTGGGAAGAAAAAGAGGTTTCATTGAACTTAACAGTTCCACATGGCTGGGGAGGCCACACCTGTATTCCCAGCACTTTGGGAGGCCGAGGCAGGTGGATTACCTGAGGTCAGGAGTTCGAGACCAGCCTGGCTAACATGGTGAATCCCCGTTTCTATTAAAAATACAAAAAAATTAGCCGGGCGTGGTGGTGTGCGCCTGTAATCCCAGGTACTCGGGAGGCTGAGGCAGAAGAATCGCTTGAACCCGGAAGGCAGAGGTTGCAGTGAGCCGAGATTGCACCACTGCACTCCAGCTTGGGCAACAAGAGCGAAACTCCGTCTCTCTCTATATATATACACATATATATATATACACACACATACATATGTATGTATATACAACACACATATATATATAGACATATACACACACACACACACACACACACACACAATTAGAGTCACCATTTACTCCCTACCACCTCACAAAACCCACATGTGGTTCATCAACAAATCTGACATTTCCACAACCTCCACATTTCCACAACCTCCACTGCTGCCATTTTGATCCCAAAGACCTCAGCTTTCATCTAGAACACTGCCAATAGTATCCTAACTTTTCCCCTCCCCCTCCTTCCATTTTGCCTCTCCTGCATCAAACTCTCCAGTGGATTTTCATCTCACTCACCGTAGAAGTTCCAGTCCTTACAATAGTCTATAAGGTTCTACATGATCTTCCTCTATATATTTCTCATTTCATTTCATCCTACTCTCCTGCTCACTCATTATGATCCAGCCATACTAGCCTCCTAGCTATTCCTTAAAAACATCAGGCTTGCTTGTGCTTCACGGTTGTTGCAATCGCTGTTCCTTCCGTATGCCTAAAATGCTATCGTTTAGATATCTGCACAGTTCACTTCCTCACTTCCTTCAGGCCTTTACTCAAATGTCGTTTTCCTAGTGAAGTTTCCTTGGCCACCCTATCTAAACTTAAACTCTGCCCAACCGCTGCACAATCTCTCCTCGTGCTTTTTTTTTTTTAATTTTTCTGTTTCTCATTTATTGCCTATATCCTTCTATTAAAAGGTAAGTTCTATGAGAGTAAGGATTTCTATCTGTTTTCTTTGCTGCTGTATCCTCCGTGTCTAGAACAGTATTTGGCACATAGCTGGCACTCAATAAATATTTGTTGAAACAAATAAATGAATGAAATCAAGTAAGTAATTTTTAACAGGGAATCTCAGGTGAGGTAAGGTATCCCTTGGTTGATGGGTATGTATTATCCAAGGTGTCTTTCTCTTAAACAATCTTCAGATTCCTCTCTCATTTCAGCCATGTGAATCACACTTCTATAGGCCCTCACTGACCTGGAAGTAAATTTATGAAGTAGATTGCCATCACCAATAGGCCAAATTTGATCTGCATAGAGTTAACTGGCGTAAGTAATCGTGGTTATTACATAACTTGGTTAAGTTTTCTCTCTTTTTTGAGACAGAGTCTCACTCTGTCGCCAGGCTGGACTGCGGTGGTGTGATCTCGGCTCACTGCAACCTCCACCTCCCGGGTTCAAGCGATTCTCCTGCCTCAGCCTCCCGAGTAGCTGGCACTACAGGCGCGCACCACCATGCCCAGCTAATTTTTGTATTTTTAGTAGAGACGGGTTTCACCATGTTGGCCAGGATGGTCTCCATCCCCTGACCTCGTGATGCACCCACCTCAGCCTCCCAAAGTGCCGGGATTACAGCGTGAGCCACCGTGCCTGGCTAAGTCTTTTTCTTATAAGGACTTTCCCAGCAAATATCCTTGTAGCTTCTAGATTGGAAAAACACAGGCCTCAGATACATACCAGTGAGTTTCTTGTACCCTGTGGTAGGTATTCTTTTAAAATTCACAGTCAACTAGTGTGAGGACTCTAAGGGGAAAGCTCCTTTCTTTTAAAGTTTTTAAACCTCTGCATTTAAAAAAAAATTAACTTAAGGAAAAATCCTCGTTCAACTTTAATTGTTAACATGGACTACTGATAAAAAAGGAATGAAAAAATATTCTCTTCTTATCAATCCCTTAATTCTATGAAGAGATTTCCAGCTGAAACCCTTTCTGGCACCTGAGCTTCATGGGTAGAGGAACTTTAATTGAACTCTAAAAGATGGAGCCTCTGTAGAAAGTATGAATATTTTGGTACACATCTTCATGAGCCATTTGCTCAACAGTATTTTTCTTAATGGAGACATTCAAATATTACATTTGCTATTAACATCAATGGAATTCAGTTATACCTTTTAAATAAATACATGTTATAGAGTACCTAGTTTAACTAGGAATTGGCATGAAAGAAAATCTGTTGCAATTTTAAGACCGGTGTTCCGAGCATTTTATAGAAATATCTGTATTAAGACACTGCATTGCCCCATTATTTGAGCTGGCACTTTGGTCTTACCTGGAAGACACATAACTGACACAGAGATCATTCTGTGATTATCAGACAGTGACTGCTGTAAAACAGTAAGTGAGGTATTTTTTTCTCAGCTCCAGCGTTATTAGCCTTAGACAACTCAGATACAGCAGTAACTGCTGATCCAGCTATAAAGTGTGAAGGGAAATGAAGCCTGTGATCTCTGGGAGAGTCTGATTCTCCCATTTCCTGCCATTAGCAAAAGTAAGTTTTATTAAATACAGAGTTATTTAGTAAATGGGGACACCAAGTAGGCTTTAAAGTTGCTTCTAAAGTGTGCTTATACTGGTTATTCATTTCAAAGTAAGTTGGAAGAACCGAGGGGAAAATAGTATTCCAGAAACTTTTACCTCCATCTACATGACTTTGGATTGACTGGACACATTTTGCATACAAATGGAGATTCCTAATATTCTTACCCCAGAGGATCAAGTCCAAACCCATATGGTACAGAAGGAATTGTAAGTAGAAAATATAAGATGACATAATTCCAAATATACAAAATGAAAATAAATGTTGATTATATTTGCCTATTTAACAAGAAAGATAGTAATATTTGAATCTAAAAATCTAGCTATTTACTACTTACAAGAAATTCACTTTAAAAAAAAAAAAGCAACAAACACCAGAAAGGTTGAAATAATTAAAACGACATAAAAAGATATATGAGGCAAGAGATCGTGCCACTGCACTCCAGCCTGGGCGACAGAGTGAGACTTCGTCTCAAAAAAAAAAAGAAAGAAAAAGATATATGAGGCAAATAATTAAGTTGGTACATCGACAATCAATATTAATATGAAAATAAGTTGAATTCAAAGAAAAAAATACTAAATATATGACGAAGTATACTTCATCATGATAGAAACGATAATCCACCCAGCCCACCTAGCTCGAATTTGTGAAAACTGAACAGCATGACCCAAAAACACATGAAACAAAACTTGAAGAAAACACAAAAAGAAACCACTAAGGTAGTTTTAACATGAATTTCTTTTCAAAACTCAACAATTAAAATATCAAATTATAAAAATTATTTGAACAATGCCATGAATATGCTTGATCTAACGTGTGTGTTCATGCATGTATGTGCATGTGTGTAGAAAAAGAGACGAAAAGGAGAAAATAGAGAGAGACATAAGAAGAAAAGTGTTTTTTTTTTTTTCACGCACACAGTGAACATTTACAAAAATTGACTGTGCTCTGGGTCAGAGGTCTGCGAATTTTTTCTGTATACAATCAGATACGTGGCTGGGCGCGGTGGCTCACGCCTGTAATCCCAGCACTTTGGAAGGCCAAGGCAGACAGATCACGACATCAGGAGATCAAGACCATCCTGGCTAACACGGTGAAACCCCGGACTCTACTAAAAACACAAAAAATTAGCCGGGTGTGGTGGCACATGCCTGTAATCCCAGCTACTCGAGAGGCTGAGGCAGGAGAATCGCTTGAACCCGGGAGGTGGAGGTTGCAGTGAGCCGAGATGGCGCCACTGCACTCCAGCCTGGGAGACAGAGCGAAACTCAGTCGCAAAAAAAGAAAAAAAATCAGATATGTAGTAGGCTCTGTGGGTTATAAGGTCTCTGTTTTACAAATATTCAACTCTGCCAATACAGTACAAAAGCAGCCACAGATAATACCCACACGAATGAGCGTGGCTGTGTGCCAACAACTCTTTACTTATAAAAATTTGCCAATGTGACTGTTTCACCTCATAAAAAATTTTCAGCTTGGTCACAATGGCTCACGCCTGTTATCCCAACACTTTGGGAGGCCAAGAAAGATGGATTGCTTGAGCTCAGGAGTTGAGACCAACCTGGGTACCATGGCAAAACCTCATCTCTGCCAAAAAAAAGAACAAAAATTAAAGATTAGCTGGGCATGGTGGCATGTGCCTGTAGTCCCAGCTACTCACAAGGCTGAGGCAGGAGAATTGCTTGAGCCTTGGAGGTGGAGGCTACAGTGAGCTGTGATCACACCACTGCACTCCAGCTGTGGCAACCGAATAAGACCCTGTCTCAAAAAAAAAAATCTAAATAAATTTAAAGAATTTACATCTTAGGCCTCATTTACACACACACACAATACACACACACACACACACACACAAAGAAAGTAGAAGTCAGAAATTAAAAGATGAGTTTACATTTTTAGAAATTAGCAAATTGCTCTCATATTACTCACATATTAGAAAAAGCATCATACTGGAATTTACAAAATATTTTAAACTAAATAATAAAAACCCACACATAAAATGTGTGGCTCTTTTCTTTCAATTAGATGTAAAAGGATGGAAGAAGTTTTTTCAAGAGATTAATAAATTTGTTAATCTCCCAATAAAACTGAAAACAAAATAAGAGAACATACAAATTCCCAATGTCACGAAACAAAGAGGAACAGCACTAAGAGACAGGACTAGCTGGATTTCCTAGACCGACTAAGAGTTCCTAAGCCTAGCTGACGAAGGTGACTGCACTCACCTTTAAACACCGGGCTTGTAACTCAGCTCACACCCGACCAATCAGGTAGTAAAGAGAGCTCACTAAAGTACCAATTAGGCTAAAAACAGGAGGTAAAGAAATACCAAATCATCTATCGCCTGAGAGCACTGGGGGAGGGACAATGATTGGGATATAAACCCCAGGCATTCAAGCCAGGAGTGGGCAACCCCCTTGGGTCCCCTCCGGTTGTATGGGAACTCTGTTTTCACTCTATTAAACCTTGCAACTGCACACTCTTCTCGTCCATGTTTGTTCCGGCTTTCGCTCACCGTTCACCACCGCCGAAAGCCGTCCGTCCACCAACGCCGAAGGCCGTCCGTCCACCACCGCCGAAGGCCGTCCGTCCACCACCGCCGAAGGCCGTCCGTCCACCAACGCCGAAGGCCGTCCGTCCACCACCGCCGAAGGCCGTCGTCCACCACCGCCGAAGGCCGTCCGTCCACCACCGCTCAACACCCTCCGTCCACCACCGCTGAACGCCGCCCTCGCAGACCCGCCATTGACTTCCACTCCTCCAGATCCAGCAGGGTGTCCTCTGCCCTTCTGATCAGTGAGGCGCCCAAAGGGGCTCGCCATTGTTCCTGTGCAGCTAAGTGCCGGGGTTGGTCCTAATCTACCTGAACGCTGGTCGCTGGTTTCCACGCTTCTCTTCCATAACCCCGGGCTTTTAACAGAACTGTACGGATCACCGCGTGGCCCAAGGTTCCCTTCCTTGGAATCCGTGAGGCCAAGAACCCCAGGTCAGAGAGCAAGAGGCTTGCCGCCATCTTGGTAGCTCTGGACGCAAAGACACGCCCATAACAGCACTACCGGCCCTACTGAAAGTGAAATAATACTAATGGAATATGAGAGCAAGCTGGTCGTGCACGGTGGCTCACGCCTGTAATCCCAGCACTTTGGGAGGCCAAGGCGGGCGGATCACCTGAGGTCAGGAGTCTGAGACCAGCCTGACCAACATGGTAAAACCCCGTCTCTACTAAAACTACAAAAGTAGCCAGGCGTGGTAGCGCGCACCTGTATTCCCAGCTACTTGGGAGGCTGAGGCAGGAGAATCACTTGACCCAGGGAGGTGGAGGTTGCAGTGAGCAGAGATCATGCCACTGCACTGTAGCCTGGGCAACGACAGTGAAACTCTGTCTCAAGAAAAAGAAAAAAAAATGAGAGCAACTTTATGCCAATAAATTTGAAAATTCAGACTCAATAAAAAAATTACTTGAAAAATACAACTTACAAAAACTAATATAAGAATGAATTGAGATATACAAATATACAAACAGCCCAAAATCTGTTAAAAATTGAACTTTTAAAGGTTATATATGTTATATTATGTATATGTAATTTAACTCCCCTCCACAAAAAGACTCCAATGTTTTCACTAGTGACTTCTGACATATTTAAAGAAATAATACCTAATTTACATAAATTCTTTCAAAAACAGGAGAAAGAAATGTTCCTCAACTCATTGTATGAGACTAGCAAATCCCTGATATCAAAATCTATCAAAGATATTATTAGAAAAGAAAACTAAAGATCAATATACCTCATGAATGCAGGCACGAAAATCATTAAAACATTAGCCAACAAAATCAAGTACATAAAATCAAGTAAACAAAAGGGTAATTTATCATGACTGTGCTAAGTGTCCCCAAGTCCAAAAACCAGCCTTGGTGATTCACTAGAAGGACTTACAGGACTGACTCAGGATATAGACGTTGTATTCATGCCTAAGATGTAATAAAATGAAATGATATAAAGCAAAATCAGCAAGGAGAAAAGGTATGGAGGGAACCAGGAATAAGTTTCCAAGTCTTCTCCTGGGAGAGTCACATAGGACGCACTTACTTCTTGCAGCAACAAGCTGTAACAAAATGTGTGAAATGTTTTCTACCAGACAATTTCTTTAAAGACTCAGTGTTTATTAGAGGTTGATTATGTGGTGACTTTCTGCCTAGGGCATACCAAAATTCCAGTCCCCCGAAAGTAAAGTAGGTGTTCAGTATAAACCACATTGTACGGTTTAAGCACAGTAAGCCACTCTTATCAGTTCGTTTGGGGAGAAGTCTCCCAAAATCCAAGTTACCGGACACCATCCAATGGCCAAACTTGCAAGCAAGCCTTTCTAATATCTAGGCCTACAATATTAACATTTTTCTGAACAATGACCAACTGAGTTTTATTCTGAGAATAAAAAGAAAATGTTTTAACAATTAAAGTCCAACCAGTGTATTTCACCATCTTAACAAAATAATCCAAATAAAGAACATCTGATTGTTTGAATAGATGCAGTAAAACTACTTGGCAAAATTCAACATTCTTGATAATCTAGTTATAGACAGTAATTTCCTCATTCCAATAAAAATCATCTATAAAAACTTATGGCTAGTATCATACTTATTGTGAAATTGTAAACAGTTTGCATAAGACTTCCAAAGAGGAAATGGTTTTACAGGCAGTCCTAGACAGAGCAATAAAGCAAGAATATTAAATAAAAGGTCGACATTTTAGTATGAAAAGAGTTAAAACTTTATTAGCAGACGACACGGTCAGTTGCACAGAAAATTCCATGTAATATACAAAACAACTAGTAAAATTAAAAAGTTAATCTAGCAAATTTACAGCATACAAAGTTGACGTAAAAAGACTATTGTTTATGTACCAGCAACCAAAATTGCAAAATAAACTTAAAATACCACTTTCATAATATTCAAAAGCAGAAAATGCTTAGAAATGAATTTAATAAGTATCTAAAACTTCCACACTAAAAACTGTAAGACAGCATTGAGAGAAATTAAAGAAGACCTAAATAAAAAGAGACATGTGCTATGTTCATCAATTGGATTACTTAATATTGTTTACATGCCTGTTCTCTCTAATTTAATTTATACATTCGTCATGATCTCAGTGAAATCACAGCAGAATTTTTTAGTGGAAAACGAAAAGTTGGGGAGCAAGATGGCAGAATAGACAGTTCTACCAGTCATCCACCTCACAAAGACATCAGGTAAACAATTATCTACACACAAAAAAAGCACATTCAGAAGAACCAAAAATCAAGTAAGCACTCACTATGAAAGGAAAATAAATCTTGGAACCCCCAAATCACTACACTAAAGGGAAAAGTCAAGCTGTGGACTGCTTCCGGCAAACCTACCTCCCATTCTATTCAAAGTCATCCCTCTGCTCACTGAGATAAATGCATATCTGATTTCCTTCTTTGGAAAGGCTTATCAGAAACTCAAAAGAATGCAACCATTTGTCTCTCACATACCTATGACCTGGAAGCCGCGTCCCCACTTCGAGTTGTCTTACCTTTCCAGGCAAAACCAGTGGACATCTTACATATATTAGTTGATGTCTCATGTCTCCCTAAAAATATATAAAACCAAACTGTAGCCGTGCGTGGTGGCTCACGCCTGTAATCCCAGCACTGTGGGAGGGCTGAGGTGGGCGGATCACGAGGTCAGGAGTTCGAGACCAGCCTGACCAACATGGTGAAACCCTGTCTCCACTAAATATACAATAATTAGCTGGGCCTGGTGGCGTGTGCCTGTAATCCCAGCTAGTCAGGAGACTGAGGCAGGAGAATCGCTCGAACCCGGGAGGTGGAGATTGCAGTGAGCCAAGATCACACCACTGCACTCCAGCCTGGGCGACGAGAGCAAAACTCCGTCTCAAAAAAAAAAAAAAAACACACAACAGAAAAACCAAGCTGTGCCCCGACCACCTTGGGCACATGGGCACATGTTGCCAGGACCTCCTGAGGCTGTGTCACGGGCGCACGTCCTTAACTTTGACAAGATAAACTTGCTAAATTGACTGAGACTTGTCTCAGATACTTGGGGTTTACACAGAATACATGGTTTTAATTTCAAATTGCTGAAAGAGTCACTGAAGAGGTAAGAAAAAGTGCCTGGAATCACCAATGCCACTTCTCCCTCATCCCTCAGCAGCAGTGGTGTGGTGTGGGGAGCATTTCCGTGTGCAGGAGAGAGGGATAGTGCAGCAATTGTGAAGCACTGTAGCTCCTGCCCTGTAATAGCATAACATAAAACCAGACCAAATTCAGCTGATGCCTGCCCACAGAGGGAGCATTTAAACCAGCCCAGCCAGAGGGAAATCACTGATTCTTTTGTTACCAGAAAGGGGTCCCGATCCAGACTCCAAGAGAGGGTTCTTGGATCTGGTGCAAGAAATAATTCAGGCCGAGTCCATAGAGTACAGTGAAAGCAAGTTGAAGAAAGTGAAGGAATAAAAGAATGGCTACTCCATAGACAGAGCAGCCCGGAGGGCTCTGGTTGCCCATTTTTACGGTTATTTCATGACTATATGCTAAGCAAGGGGTGGCTTATTCATACCTCGCCTTTTACACCATATAGGGTAACTTCCTGACGTTGCCATGGCATTTGTATACTGTCATGGCACTGTCGGAAGTGTAGCAGTGAGGACGACAAGACGTCACTCTATCGACATCTTGGTATTGGCGGGTTTGGTTGGCTTCTTTAAAACTGCAACCTGTTTTATCAGCGAGGCCTTTATGACCTGTGTCTTGTGCCGACCTCCTAGCTCATCCTGTGACTTAGAATGCCTACCCATCTGGAAATGCAGCCCAGTAGGTTTCAGCCTCATTTTACCTAGCTCCTACTCAAGATAGAATTGCTCTGGTTCAAACGCCTCTGACACCAGTGGTCTAAACATGAGTTCCTGCAAGCCTCATCACTGCGGGACAAAGTGCCCTGGGGCTCTAAGTAAATTTGAATGGTAGTTTAGACCACAAGGACTGCAACTTTTCCGTGAAACCTAGTGCTGAACTGGGCCCAGAACCAGTGGACGTGACCCACCCAGCAAACAGCTGGAGCTTCTTTCTTTCTTTCTTTCTTTCTTTTTTTTTTTTTTTGAGACGGAGTTTCACTCTTGTTGCCCAGGGTGGAATGCAATGGCGCGACTTCGGCTCACTGCAACCTCCGCCTCCCAGGTACAAACGATTCTCCTGTCTCAGCCTCCCAAGTAGCTCGCATTACAGGCATGTGTCACCACGCCTAGCTAATTATTTTGTATTTAGTAGAGATGGGGTTTCACCATGTGAGGCTGGTTGTGAACTCCTGACCTCAGGTGATCCGCCTGCCTCGGCCTCCCAAAGTGCTGGAATGGCAGGCGTACACCACCGAGTACGGCCTTCAGCTACAGTTTCTAAGGAAGTGCTGGCATCACTGCTCCCCTAACCCCAAGCTGCACAGCTCATGGTTCTAAAATACACCCCTTCCTTCCACTAAAGGGGAGGAGAGGAAATAGTTGGGAGGACTTTGTTTTGCATCTTGGAAACCAGCTCAGCCATAGCCGGATAGGGCACCAGTCAGAATCATGAGACTCCCTTTCCAGGCACTAGCTCCTAGATGATATTTCTAGATGCACCCTGGGCCAGAAGGGAACCTGCTGGCTTGAAGGAAAGAATGCAGTCCTGGCAGCATTCATCACCTGCTAACTGATGAGCCAAAAGTGCAAGCAGGTGAAGCAAAATTAAACAAGTGGTACTACATCAAACTGAAAAGCTTGATGTAGAAAGGACACAATCAACAGAGTGAAAGACAACCTACATAATGGAAGAAAATGTTTCCAAACCATACTCCTGACAAACGATTCATGTCCAAATATATTAGGAACTCCTACAACTCAATAGCAAAAGAAAAAAAAAACACACACACACACACAAAAAACCTGGACAGTGGAGCTGAATAGGCATTTCTTCAAAGAAGACATACAAATGGCCAAAAAATGGATTAAAAGATCCTTAATATCACTAATCATAAAAGCAATGCAAATCAAGACCACAAGGAGATATTAACTCACGCTTTTAGGATAGCTGTAATTAAAAAATCAAAAGATAACAAGTGGGGCAATGATGTCGAGAAATTGAGAACCTGTAAACTCTTGGTGGGAATGTGAAATAGGGCAGCCACTATGGAAAGCAGTGTGATG
Source organism: Homo sapiens (assembly GCF_000001405.40). Classification (NCBI taxonomy): domain Eukaryota; kingdom Metazoa; phylum Chordata; class Mammalia; order Primates; family Hominidae; genus Homo; species Homo sapiens. The sequence goes on from NC_000023.11 coordinate 141,089,859, forward strand.
GTTCCTCAAAAAAATTAATAATAGAAAAACCTAAATGTCTGTCAGTCGATGAATGAATAAGAAAAATATATATGCATTCAGTGGAATATATTATTTAGCCATGAAATCCTGCCATATGCTACGACATAAATAATCCTGAAGGATGTTATGCTAAGTGAAATACATCAGTCACAGAAGGGCAGTTACTTCGTGTTTCTACTTATATGAGATATCTAAGATAATCAAACCCATAAAAACAAAGAGGGCCGGGCGCGGTGGCTCACGCCTGTAATCCCAGCACTTTGGGAGGCCGAGGCGGGCAGATCAAGATGTCAGGAGATCAAGACCATCCTGGCTAACATGGTGAAACCCCGTCTGTACTAAAAATACAGAAATTAGCTGGGTGTGGTGGTGCGCGCCTGTAGTCCCAGCTACTCGGGAGGCTGAGGCAGGAGAATTGCTTGAACCCGGGAGGCGGAGGTTGCAGTGAGCCGAGATTGCACCACTGCACTCCAGCCTGGCAACAGAGCAAGACTCCACCTCAAAAAATAAAAAAAATAATAAAACAAAGAGTAGAATGGTGGTTTCCAGGGTCTGCTGGAAGGAAAAAAATGCATGGTCACTGGTATACTTTCTCAGGTTCCTCTCTCAATTATATTTAAATCTATACTTCTTTGGGGCAGCTCTTTCTTCTACCTTGGGTTGGTACATTAAAATGTTTCTTAGATTTTGCTAATATCGAACTTGGCTATCTTAAGTTTCCTCTGCTATATTTGGGTTATTTCAGAGTGGAGAAGGTAGAAATGCCCATTACTCTCCCATTTTCAAGCATCAAGTCCCTTTAAAAAATGTATTTAATGACATAAACCTAATTAGACATTCTGGTTCTTTTAAAACAAAATGAGGAACCATTTTAAGAAGTATACAGTTTGGTGGTGTTATCGTATTCAGAGTTGCGCAGCTCACAACACTAATTCCCAAATATTTTAATCACTCTAAAAAGAAACTCCAGACTCATCAGGAGACACTCGTTATTCTTCACCTTAGCTCCTGGCAACCACTAATTCATTTTGTGGCTCTGTGGATTTGCCTGTCGGAATATTTCATATCAATGGAATCAGACGATTCATACAATTTGTGGCCTTATGTGTCAGGGGGCTGTTTTCATTTAGCGTGATGTTCTTGAAGTTCCTCCATGTTGTAGCAAAATTAATACAATTAATTGTATTAATTAATTGAATTGTATGAATACGATTAATTTTTTTATTGTGTTAAGAACACTCAACATGAGATCTACCATCTTAACAAATATTAAAGTGCACAGTACAATATTATTAACTGTAGGCACCATGCTGTAAGCAGAGGTTTAGAACTTACTCACTTTGCCTAACTGAAACATTATACCCATTGAACAGCAACTTCCATTCATCTGGTGCTCAGCTGCAGCTTACAAATGTTGCAGAATTAATGTCCCGAGCACCCAACTTCCAAGGATGGTGGGAGGGAGTAAGAAGGTAATTGCCCCAGCCACCTTATCTTTCAGAGGGACAATTCTGAGGTATGCCCTACACAATTCCTTTAAAGATTCCCAGTGAGACTCAGTCTCAGTCGCCCACACCAACAACAAGCTCAGTAATGCACCCTCCATTCACTTTTCTTCTCTGTCTTACTCTCCCTGCTCCCATACTCGGAAGACTAATGACCACCTCTCGAACTTCCTGCACCCGTTCTTGCACTCATTCTTAGAATGAAAAGAAAAGGACAAATACTCTGCGTTGTAAATATCCCTAGAGCAGCCAATGTCTTTATTGACATAGGGGAAAATGAAGCTTCAAAAGAAAAAAAAAATACACTCATACACACATCAACACACATACACATACATGCACACACGTGCAAAATTCTGAATATTAAGGAAAATTCCTACCATCCCCAAACTCTTCCCATGCACTTTCCGTAGATAGATAGATGGGAATTATTTGGCCCAGAAAAGCCTTTTTTCAATCAAAAAGGTGCTCAAAACAGGGCAGGCACAAATAAATAAAAAGTACCCTATGAGGGCCGGGAGGGGTGGCTCACACCTGTAATCCCAGCACTTCAGGAGGCCGAGGCGGGTGAATCACCTGAGGTCAGGAGTTCAAGACCAGCCTGACCAACATGGTGAAACCCCGTCTCTACTAAAAATACAAAAAGTTAGCTGGATGTGATGATGAATGCCTGTAATCTCAGCTACTCAGGAGGCTGAGGCAGGAGAATCGCTTGAACCTGGGAGGTGGAGGTCGCGGTGAGCCAAGATCGTGCCACTGCACTCCAGCCTGGGGTACAGAACGAGACTCCGTCTCAAAAAAAGGCACCCTATGAGAAACAAAGGTGAATAGAACAGAAAAAAAAATGTCAGAAAAATAATACCCACTGCTAAAGTTTGCCACAGGAAAGATTAAAAATTTCACCAATGTCCACGTTCTATAACGGAAGCCAAGGTTATTTGGACCAACCTGTATTAGTTCATTGTCACGCTGCTGATAAAGACATACCCGAAACTGGGAAGAAAAGGAGGTTTAATTGGACTTACAGTTCCACATGGCTGGGGAGGCCTCAGATTCATGGCGTAGGACCAAAGGCTCTTCTTACGTGGCGGTGCCAAGAGGGAATGAGGAAGAAGCAAAAGCGGAAACCCCTGATAAACCCAGCAGATCTCCTGAGACTTATGCAGTATCACAAGAATAGCACGAGAAAGACCAGCCCCCATGATTCAATTACCTCCCCCTGGGTCCCCCTCCCACAACATGGTAGGAATTCTGGGAGATACAATTGAAGTTGAGATTTGAATGGAGACACAGCCAAACCATATCACCTCCCAAACAATTGAAAATTCTGAATGGAAGAAACATTAATTGTATCCAAAACTGATGGGCCAGGAAGGAACTATCAGCCTCCTATCTCTAGACAGACAGTAGTCAAGGCCCAGGGCGTACTTATGAAAAGAGTTTAATAGCCGACTCTCTCCAGATGGATCTGGGATTCCACAGGACTGTATCTTCATGTTAAGGGTGAAACAGAAGGAAACCCGTCCCTATTTCCAAACTCAAGGAACTTTCGCAGAAGTTGTCTTGGAGCTCAGCAGAACAAGGAGGAAAACAGAAAAAAATTTGTGTCCGTGAGAAGTCATGACACAGGCTGGCTATCACAGATTGTCAAGCCATCTCCGTATTGCTTGGGTATTACGGAAAATCTCAAAACATAAATTTGTGTGTGTGTTGTCCCAGAGTAGCAGGATCTGGCAGAAACAAATTTCAACCCAACCCTCAAAGAATCCACATGAATCTTTTTACATTTGGGATTTTACCATTTGTTTTATGAATGAGAATGGACTTTAGTTTTAATATCTGTTTCTATACTCAATTTCTGTGGTGTTGGTATCAAAGTTCTGCTCGCCTCATAGAATAAGTTTAGGATTTTCCCTTTTTTATTTTATAGAATCCTTCATATATATTGAAATGCTCTGTCTGGGGACAAAAATCTGGGCCTACTGTTTTATCTGTAGGAACAATCCTTTATTTCCTTTAACATTTATGAGACTATTCAGATTACATACTTCTTATTTCAATTTTACTAAGTTATACATTTATAAAAATCTGTGTATTTGATCTAGGCTTTCAAATTTGTAGCATAAAGTGTTAATCATATTTTCTTATTAGCTTCTTAATCTATACTCTGTCTGTAGTTATGTATCTTTTTAATTCTTACTTTTATTTGTGCTTTCTCTCTTTTTTTCTTAACTTCCCTGAGGTTTGCGCCTTTTATTATATTTCTCCAACAACCAAATTTTAGCTTTGTATGTTTTACTAATTTTCTCTACATCATTATCCCCTCACTTTAGTTTTTCAGAATTAATTCTGTTGTTTCTTTTCTAATTCTTTATTTAAATATGTAGTACATTAATTTTCAAGTTGTAGAAACATTCAAGTCTATAAACTCCTATTGTAATATCACTTTTACTGCTACTCACACATTTACTCTGTAATATTTTCAATATCATTAAGTTCTAAGTACTTTTAAATTTATATTATGGTAATCCATGAATTGCCGAGAAATATTTATGTTATTGATTTTGTTGTTGAATTTCAACTTAATTTTATTTTAATTTGTGCTAACTCAATTGAAAATTCCTTACTAATTTTTTAAATCTCATATCAAGACTTTTATTCACATCAATTGTTGTGCAAATGCTCTCACCTTGAAGAACACTCTCTTGTAAGCTGCTTCCCTGCAACAGTCTTGACTGGTTGCCCTCTAGGCCTGATTCAATTTTCTCATCCTAGGATTTTCCATCACTACACTTTTAAGAATTTCTCTTTCTCTTGTGTTGTGTCTCCTATTTTCCGCATTCCACATCTTCATCTTTCTTGGTTTACTTCTTCCTTTTGGTAGGAAAAACATCTCTAGTAGCTTCCTAAGAAAAGGTTCACAGGGAGACAAAATTTTAGAGATCTCATATGTCTGAAAAGTGTATGTTTTCTACTTGTACATTTGATTTTAGTCTATGTGGGAATAGAAACGTACGCCAGAAATCATTTTCCTTTAGAATTTTCAAAGCATAACTCCATTGCGTTCTGGTTTATAGTGATGGTGTCAAATTATTATTATTATTATTTTTTGAGACGGTGTTTCACTCTCGTTGCCCAGGCTGGAGTGCAGTGGCGCGACCTTGGCTCACCACAAACTCCGCCTCCCGGGTTCAAGTGATGCTCCTGCCTCAGCCTCCCGAATAGCTGGGATTACAGGCAAACGCCACCACACCCTGCTAATTTTGTGTTTTTGGCAGAGACAGGGTTTCTCTATGTTGGTCAGGCTGGTCTCGAACTGACCTCCGGTGATCCGCCCACCTCGGCCTCCCAAAGTGCTGGGATTACAGGCACGAGCCACCACGCCTGGCTGGTGTTGAACATTTTTAAGCCATCTGATTCCTCGTTCTTTCTCCCTTAACTATTTTTACCCCTCTGGAAACTTATACAATTTTCTCTTTGTTGTCAGTGTCCTGAAATTGTACACTGATATATCTTGACACAAGTCTATTTTCATCTATTTTGCGAGGTGCTAGCCTTTTAATCTATAAATAAGCATCCTTAAGTTCTGAGACTTTTTATTGAATTATTTTGCTAACGATTTAGTCCCCTTTCTTTTACGTATTTATTTTCTTTCTATAACTCATATAATTAAAATGTTGGAAGAAATTATCTTGGAGAAGAAGATAGCGCCACACTGATTCTATCTGTGTCAAACTATCACAGCTCAAGATTTTCATATTTTATTAAGGAGAATTGTATTTCTTGGCATTCACATTGTTACCTAAAGAAGGGCAATGACTGGTTAAACACTGAAATGTATGAGTAATAGTTAGAAGATGCAAGCACTGTATCCTCCAGAACTTTAGCATATGAAAACCTTTAAATTCCAGGCAAGTTGATTTAAGCTTCAACATTCTCCCAGCTAAAATGAATCTATTTGTGCTACGTTCTGAGATCAAAGGTGAATAAGACATTGTTTCTGCCTTCGGTGATATCTCAGTCCAAAGGGAGACAAGTAAATATGATATAAAAAGAGAGATATCTAGGCCGGGCGCGGTGGCTCACGTCTGTAATCCCAGCACTTTGGGAGGCCAAGGTGGGTGGATCGTGAGGTCAGGACATCGAGGCCATCCTGGCTAACACGGTAAAACCCCGTTTCTACTAAAAATACAAAAAATTAGCTGGGCGTGGTGGTACACGCCTGTAGTCCCAGCTACTTGGGAGGCTGAGGCAGGAGAATCACTTGAACCTGGGAGGCAGAGGTTGCAGTGAGCCGAGATCATGCCACTGCACTCCAGCCTGGGCGACAGAACGAGACTCCATCTCAAAAAAAAAAAAGAGAGACAGAGATATGTAAAGTTCTATAAAAACTGAGAAGAGGGACAGAATATCTGTGACAGATAACTTGGTTGGGGCAGTTGGAAACAAGGAGGTCTCAGTGTATGCTTTCACTGTGTCACATTTGATTATAGGCAGAAACAAATGAATCTTAACATTTAAGGGTCACAGACCCTTTTAAGGATGTAATGAAATTTATAATGATTCTTTCAATAAAAAATTATATAACAAACATACACATATATTTTGCTTACTAACTCAGAATGTGCATCATCAAGAACTCTGGGTATAGGAGAATGAGTAGCAATGTTTCAGGCAGACAAGAAGGGAAGGGGAGTCCACACAGAGGAAACAGCATGTGCAGGAGCCTGGAGACACAAAAGCTTGTGCATTATTGGAATCAAGGTGACTATAACATAATTCAGGGTGATTGGAGCATAAACTGGAAGATTAACCAGTCATGGTATAAGATGAAAATAGAAGGCTGGGCCTGGTGGCTCATGCCTATAATCCTACACTTTGGGAGGCCGAGGCCTCCCTCAGGTAGATCCCTCAGGTGGGCCTCCCTCAGGTAGATCACCTGAGGTCAAGAGTTTGAGACCAGCCTGGCCAAAATGGTGAAACTCAGTCTCTACTAAAAATACAAAAATTAGCCGGGCATGGTGGCAGGCGCCTGTAATGCCAGCTACTCAGGAGGCTGAGGCAAGAGAATCACTTGAACCCGGGAGGCGGAGGTTGTGGTGAGCTGAGATGGCGCCATTGCCCTCCAGCCTGGACAAAAGAGTGAAACTCCGTCTAAAAAAACAAACAAAGCAGTGGCTCACGCCTATATTCCCAGCACCTTGGGAGGCCGAGGTGGGCGGATTACCTGAGGTCAGGAGTTCGAGACCAGCCTGACCAACACGGAGAAACCCTGTCTCTACTAAAAATACAAAATTAGCCAGGCGTGGTGGTGGCACATGCCTGTAATCCCAGCTACTCGGGAGGCTGAAGCAGGAGAAGCGCTTGAACCCGGAAGGCGGAGGTTGCGGAAAGCCGAGATCGCACCATTGCACTCCAGCCTGGGCAACAAGAGCAAAACTCCATCTCAGAAAAAAAAAAAAAAGTAGAAAATATAAGATAAGAAGATAGCCAGGGATAAAGCATGAACTATCTCAAATGTCAGTCATGCACTTTGTTTACTCAGAGACAAGACCATGATTGATTACAATTATACACGTCATGTCAACCCTCTTCTAACTGTTAACAGATATAGCTGGAACAGCTAGTACCCAATGGAATACTAATTAACATTCTGACTGTAGGGTTTCACTGGCATTCACTACAGGTGTTGAGTGTGGAGTGCTCAAACCTCAAACTTACAGCTTCATGAAAGAAAAATCAACGTTAGAATGAAACACAAAGCCCCTCAACAACTACATCAATTATTTTATTCCTGAATAACTTACAGCAGAATGGCAATCTTCAATTAGTAGAAACGGTTCTCAACCATAGAAACAACTTAGATTTACCTGGGGAGTTTACAAAAAGCATACCACGTGGGAGATCTATCCCAGACCAATTAAATCAGAATTTATGGGGATCGATGGATCCTGGACATCTGAATTTTGGAAAGCTTGACAGATAACTTTAATGCGCATTCAAAATTGAGAGCTTCTATGTCAAGAAAAATAATCCATGAAAGTAAGTTCCTATCTACTCATCTGCCCTTAATTATACTACACTGTTCTCATGCAGCATGATACAAGTCAAAATTATTAATTTTTTTCTGAGATGGAGTCTAGCTCTGTCGCCCAGACTGGAGTGCAGTGGCACCATCTTAGCTCACTGCAACCTCCGCCTCCCGGGTTCAAGGCATTCTCCTGCCTCAGCCTCCTAAGTAGTTGGGATTATAGGCGCCCACTACCACGCCCAGCTAATTTTTGTATTTTTAGTAGAGACGGGGTTTCACTGTGTTGGCCAGGCTGGTCTCGAGCTCCTGACCTCGTGATCTGCCCGCCTTGGCCTCTCAAAATGCTGGGATTACAGGCGTGAGCCACCGCACCCGGCCAAAATTTGTATTTTTAAATATTCAAAAATATATGTGGTAAGGCGCAGTGGCTCATGCCTGTAATCCCATCGCTCTGGGAGGCCGAGGTGGGTGGATCACTTGAACTGAGGAGTTCAAGACCAGCTTGAAAATATGGTGAAACCCTGTCTCTACAAACACTACAAACATTAGCCGGGCCTGGCGGTGCGTGCCTGTGGGCCCAGCTACTCAGGAAGGTAAGGCGAGAGGACTGCTGGGGAGGATCACTTGAGCTCAGGAAGCTGAGGCTGCAGTGCACAGAGATGGAGCCACTGCACTCCAGTCCAGTCTGGGCAACAAAGTGAGTGTGTGTATATATATATATATATATATATATATATATATATATATATATATATACACACACACACAGATTTGGCCACTTTAATTCCTCTGCAATGGAAGTCTGAGCAGCATGCTTGAGGGTCAATATCAGGACCTGCAGGCAGCCAGCCTGTGCTAGAAATGTTCAGAGTGGGTTTTTTCACATACACTTTCATCTTCTGAGTGTACTGCCTGAGGCTATTGTTCTCTTCATATCTTGCAGATCTTTCTGGGGAAAAGGCCGCATGCATCAGCAGTTTTTTTGCTAAGGGTCTTGTAATTAATTGGATGACCTTTCAGTCAAAGAATTTCTAAGGACAAGATTTCTCCTATTTTGGCTCAGGAAACTGCAGGCATCAGTTGCACAACAATATTTAACATTAGCACAGCTAATAAGTCATATCCGTTGCATTAAACAAAATGTACAGAACTTAATATTTTTAGTTACACCCAAACACTAGATAGGGTTTGCAATTAATCATTTTTACATTCTATATTCTGTTTGACACTGATTGTACAACTTCAAGAAGAGGGTCACACAATGATTTATTCAGTAAATATGTATAGAGCTTGTGTGTATCAAAAACTGTGCTAAGTGCTGAAATTAGAAAACATACCATGTACCTGCCCTCAACATGTTGTCATTCTATTAAATGGTGTAATAACACAACACTGAGTCATAAAAGTTTCGAAAGAGAAGTTCACACAAAAAAAGAGCTAGGCAAATGCGTCTGACATTATATATCACTTATAGCTGGTATCAGTTAAAGCCAGGTCTTCAAGGCCCATGAATGCCAGGATAGAAAACTTAGAACAAACTGTCTACACAAAGGGGAGTTTGTTTTATTTGGTTTTGTTTTTCATAGGAAAATAAGATCAGAGTTTCAGGAAGGGTATAAGACTAACTGCAATATATAGGATGGATTGAAGATCAACAAGAGAAGACAGAAGGTGAGTTATGAGTTTTATTAAATGGTTAAACTAATAGATGATGGTGGCCTGGGCAAGGAAAGCGGAAGCAAGGACTGGAAGAAAGAGACAGATGCGAGAATCATTGCAAAGATAAAGTAAAAAAGTCTTGGCATGAGTTTTCAAGTTGGGGCTAGTAAAAAATATTGTGGGATTCTTGGCATTCATCTATCCATCAAATTATTCAACGAGTCTTTATTAAAAAAACTACTATGCAACAAGCACTGTGCTGGGTTCTGGAGGTACAGCAATGAATATGGGATTCATAGTCCCTGAACTTCATAAAGCTTTATGTACAGGGAGAGACAGATAATAAATAAAAGACACAAGCAGTTGTAAATGCTGTGAAGGAAATTTTGGGATGCTGCAAGAGAGTAACAGACAGCAGTGATGGTTAGTGTAATGGACAGAACTACTGTATATTGATATTGGGTACTAAGTGAAGCTTTCTCCAAGGAAGTCTTATTTGATATATCAGAAAGAGCAAGCATTGAAAAAGAGGAAAAAAAAAAACAGCTGCCAAGGCTCAAAAATAGGACAATTTTGGCATAGTTCTGTGTTTGAAGAACAGAGAGTTGCCAATGTGCAGAATAATGCCGAGAATTTGAGTAAGAGGAAAATGATAAAGTAACCAGTGGTTTTAATAGTGCAGATGGTAATGCTGACCTCGATAAAAGCAGTTCCAGTGGAATGAGAACAAAACCAAATTGAACTGAACTGAAAAGTAAGTGGGAAGAAATGAGGGAAGTGGCTACAGTGTGTTTAGTGGAGAAAACAAATGAGGGGGTAGGTGGCAGGGGGATACACAACGGGGAGAATTCTAGTTTGTAAAAGTGATATAAGAATTTAGATCACAATCGCACATGTATACTGAGCTGGCAGAGAGGGAGAGATTAACGTACATGAGAAAATAAAATTGAGAGCAGTGGATTGTGGTTTCCAGCACCAACAGTTCACTCTCACCTTGCCTTTGAGTTGGATAAATGGCTGAAAGCTGATTCTTTTTCAAGGTTGGTTTCTATTTGGGAGAGAAGGGAGTACGGAACAAAATGAAAATTGTAAACTGCATAGAAAAATAAGGATACTGAGTACCGTAGAGGAAGAAAAGAGCTCAGGAACAACAAGATCCTGGTCCTCAAACCGAATGCTGCCTACTTTCTAATCTAGCTTCACATCACCCCTACTCCAGTTCCCAAAAGAACAATGATTGTTTCATTTAATCTAACCAAGAGCACTTTATACATCCCACCATATACATCTGTCATCTCAAAGAAGAAAGAGTATTTTAGGACTAAAAATAAAAAGAATGTAATATTAAGATTAAAATCAAATAACAAATCTAGCTTCATTGAAAACCTGTCTATACTGTTTTCTTATTTTTCTTTTAATTCTGCCATGGATTAGTGAAAATATTATCCCAGTCTTGTGTCTGTCTAGAAATCAGTATTGGGAAATCGCTAGACTGATTGCCTTATGAAATCGCTTCCAATTCAAATTCTATGATTCAGTTAATAATTACAAAACATATCATATTTGAAGTAAAATAATTTCCTTTTTATCTTCCATTCAATGATCTTATAAATAACTCTTCGCCAAGTCACCTTTGCAGTTCTCTCAGCTATAGGGATCTAAAGCAACATTTTGACACCCTCATCAGTTTCAAGGGCCTATTCTCCCAACTTTTCAGAGAGCCAAGAGCATTTACCATAAACATATCTCTCAGCACAAAAGATAATAGCTGGTTCAACTGTTCTCTGTCAGCCTGAATGTTGGTGAAGACCTCAGTAATCACACTCCACTCTGCACAAATCCAAAATCACAAATGCAGATTAATTTATGAGAACAGAAGGAAGGAATTGAAAGAAAAAAAAGGCTGTCTTGCTGGAAGAAAGAAAAACACAAAAGAAGTCCCACTGGCTAGCTCATTTGGATATTTTTATTTCTAAAGTGTTCAAGCATCCTGATATTTTTTCAGCACTCTTAAAGAGACAATTAAATATTATATCAAATAGGATATTTAAAAAGATGACTTAAGTTATAACAAGCGGACTCTAAATACCAGAATGACCACTGGCTTACTAAGACCTCTGATCTGCAGGCCTGTGCCTGATGATGCCTTTCTAATTGCAACGGCATGGGCCTGGAGCAAAGTTTATTTTACTGCAAGGTCTACTTTATTGAATTTACTGCCTGTCCTAATTCTATGTATTTCCGATTAGCTGGCCTTCAAAGCTGATGTTAGTAGAAGGAAACTGTTTTCTGACATGCTAACATTTTAAAGCTAATAGGTTTTTAATAAGCAATTGAGTTTGCAGCATTCTGCTCCTGTTATGTTTTATTGGCTTTTGTGCTTTAATTTGGTATGTGTGTTTTGGCATAACTCCAATGGCAGGTGCAATTTTAAAAATGGAATCAATTAGATTCACTGTGATGTCTGATAAAAGCATTCCAAGCTTAGCTTTTCAAACAAAATGCTAGGCTTGCCTCTTTCCAGAGTCCTGCAAAGAAAATGTATTGATTCCATAGGGCTTTCTCTACTGTAGCTTTTTGAAATTTCGTTCTCACTCTTCAAATGTCCAAATCCACAATCCCTTAAACAGCTTTTATTGAGAACCACAACCTCATCTCCTCCTCTTTCGAAGCGATTAAGTCCATCTAGCAGGAGAGCCCGAGTACAGTTTATTTTCCTCTTTAAAATCTCTCTCTAGTGCTTTCTACAGTACTGCCAATTAATAGGGGCTTAAGAAATCTTTGTTAAATGATAGGTTGAATGAATTTGTCGTCTCTTCTCTTTTCTCTGACTTGCGGTAAGAGAAATTTCTTTTTTTCTAAGACTAAACCTTGTCAATGATGTAGAATTTATCTGATTCTTTCCACTCATGCCTTCTTCAAGACTTTGATTCATATGATGTATTTCTTCTTAGTTTGTCTTTGGTCTTCATTTCTTCATTGGCCACTTAGTGGCTTCCTATTAACACAGACAAATGTCTTAGTTTTGTTAAACGGCCTAAAGGGAATGGTGACTGGGACAAGGTATCTGCGTTGGAATACTAGGTTGGGTAGCAATATTCTGTTGCTTTATATCTGCGTGGCGGAAATAAAACCATACACTTTTGTCGTGTGCTTTCCATATCTGAGTTTTATCTTAAAATAAAAAGGTAAAAATAAAAACAACAAAAAAGAAACACGTTGAGGACAAGAGGTTGATTAAGGCTGAACCAAATTAAAATAGAGACGAGACCGGAAGAATCTCTTAGAAGAAAAACACAGTTAGGCCTCAGAAGTGACTTCAACCTTGCTTGATTTGCAAACATAAGCAAAACTTAACTTGAGCTATTTCTCAATGTTTATATCACAGAGAAACAGAATGTAAACTCAACCAATCAGAAGCAGTTAACAAACTTATAGAATTAGGACTTTCCAATGGGATAGATCAAATGAGGCAACTGTATAACTGTAACCAATCAAACACCATCTGCTTTACTTCCGTGTCTGTTTTATAAAATTCTCCCCATTGTTTTCCCTTGATGGAGCTCCCGAATGGCTTCTAGTTTGGAGCTGTACAATTCAGGGAATATTTTTTGCTCAAACTCTTTAAAAAATGGTATTGTGCCTCAGTTTACCTTTTAACATTAGGAATATTACTCATTGACTTGACAAGGTGAACAATTTCTAAAGACTAGATAGCAACTCCTTTTGTAAGTCAAGCAATTTCCAATGCTTTGTTTTCAACAAAATTGAATGACTTGCAATTGTCATGTACATAGTTTTTGGTATGTAATTCATGAAGAATTCAAAGAATTGAGTGAAATTGCTGTAAAAAAAAAAATCCTTCTTCCATTCCTATATACATATGCATGGAAACAAAGTCTATTTTTGACAAAGAAAAAAATCAAAATAGAATTAATAATGGACCCTCTCTTATTCTAGCAATTAGTAATAGTTATCTATGTCTACAAGAATGAATGGGAGTAAATGAGAGGGGAACAGGAACAATATGGGCCATCTCATTAAGAAATGTAGTTTTTTTTTTTTTTTTGAGACGGAGTTTTGCTCCTGTTGACCAGGCTGGAGTGCAATGGCGCGATCTTGGCTCACCGCAACCTCCGCCTCCCAGGTTCAAGCGATTCTCCTGCCTCAGCCTCCCGAGTAGCTGGGATTACTGGCATGTGCCACCACGCCCAGCTAATTTTGTATTTTTAGTAGAGATGGGGTTTCTCCATGTTGGTCGGGCTGGTCTCGAAATCCCGACCTCAGGTGATCTGCCCGCCTCAGTCTCCCAAAGTGCTGGGATTACAGGCATGAGCCACCACGCCCGGCCAAGAAATGTATTTTCAATAAATATTAACATTGTATGTTTAGCAATTATTTTCCAAAAAAAACCTAACATACTCTTTTCAATCAATTTTATGTTGCTGTTAATTGAAACCTGCAAGTATGAAAATTATCAAAACAATAAGGGTGGTTATTTTTCTGTATTGTTGCATTACATGTGGTTTTTTTACTTTCTTCTTTGTACTTTTTGTATTTTTAAATCTTACAATAGGCACATATTTTTCACTGAATAAAGCAATAACCTATTAAAGGTATTAAAAAATACTTTCCCTTGAAAACACCTCCCTAAAGCTATTTATCTTCTTTCTTTTTTGCTTATCTCCTTTTCATCATTATTCAGTCATCTCATTTTCTCCAAGAATCCTGCCCCTACTACTCCACGGAAAATATACTCTTCAAGGTCAACCTTATCATTACAAAATCTTCAGTCTTTACTTCCCTTGACAGCTCTCCCAACATTCAGTATAGTCAACTTGTTTGAGCCTTGCGAAATGTGTCCCTTGGCTATTCATTCCCTTTTTTTTTTCCCTTTCTGCTCGCATGTTCTCTCTCTCTTTGGCTTTATTATGTCATCTGCTAGTTGCGAAATGTAAACCCCAGCCTAAATATTTAGGACACTACTAGCTATGTGTCTCCAGGCCATTATATCATGGTTGAATGACTTTCCAGTCTGCATTCACCATTCAGAGTGTTCTTTGACCTTGAGCCATAGTTCTGTAACTGCCATTTTCACTAGGATATCTTGACACCACCTTAAACCCAACATGTCTAAAACCACATCTGTTGCTCCAAGTCAGGTTTCCCTGTAGACCATACTTGTTCTGCCACAGAACTAGGTCATAACTTCATTGCTTTTGCAAAAGCCTTTGGCCAAAAACAAGAAAAAGTCACAAAGTGATCTTTAGCTACAGTAAAAAGATGAAAACAGAACACACAGAAAGTCTGAATACAAGAATATTTATTTTTAGAGCTGATTTCATAAAAGAAAGCAGACCAATATATCATTATGTCAGTTTAAGCATAGCCATAAAAGTAAATTTGGCTTCAAATTTGGAGTCAGTCAGTCTCTGGAGAGAAATGTGTTCATTACCAATATTAGCAGCACTTTATCCTCCAAGTCATTTGGATTAAAAACCATGGGGAGGTACAATTCTCTGTTTTTTAACCCTCCTATTCAGCCGTTTGCCTACTCTTGTCAAGTATTTTGGAATGTCTTTTGTGGTTCATTACATTTGCACTCCCACAAAATACCTAATTCAGGTCATGTTCACCTTACGTTAAGATGTTACAACACTCAAACTCTTTTAACTGACAGACTTCACCTCCATTGTCTTCCATGTTCTGTTCCTGTTTGTATAAATTCAACCTGCTTTAAAAATTATATCTGGTACTTGATGACTATAAGATAGAGACTGTAAACCTGAGTATTCAAGGCGTATAAAATCTGATCGGAAACCACCCTCCAATCTAAACCTCAACTATATTCCTTCACAAACTATGTCTAATCAGCTTTTGATAAATGCTATGTATGATGTGGGATATGATGAAGTTTCTCTTCAAATAACCTGATCAATCTTTTATTCTTTAATTCATAGTACCCTCCTCCCTTCTTTTTTCTTTTTTCTCCTTATTTCCTTTTTGCCTTTATTAGATGCCCAGGCACGCCACAGTACCAGGCGTTATCAGTACCAGCTCACATTCCTTTCCTTATTTGGAAAGAGGACTAACTTTCTAGCTCATTACAGCCACCCCTTCCCCTTTCCTCTCTGCTTTCTTTTACCTGCCCACCTTGTCTAAAAAAAAATCAAATGTTTAGCCAACCGGGATTAGTTTAGATTGTATGACCCGACCCCAGCCAATGGGGAAAGGGTGCAGGGGCAGGACTTGCATCAGGAATAAAGGCTCTGGTGCCCCTTTGTTCAGGTGTGTTCTCATGGCGACTGGCCAAGGAGGCACCTCACTGCACAGAAGTAAAATGGCTTTGCTAAGAATCCTTTGTTCGACTGTTCGATTTCCTTAGAATTTTGAGTGTTATTCCCAACAGTTCGAAATAAAAATGGTGGACACACAGTAAAACAAAAAAAATGCATATTGGAAGCAGAGGTGAGGTGCAATCTAGTGAAAGTAGCAAATAAGTAGAGAGCCTAAGACAAATGTTTAGGGGTTGAATAAAGTAGGAGCCAGTAAAGGAGAGTGAGAAAGAGAATTCAGTGAGGTAGGAAGAAAACAAAGTTCAATGTGAAGTTATAAAAGACAGGGGAAGATGATGTTCAAACAAAGAGAGAATGACCAACTGTTTAAGAGTGGTAGGTCACCGTTAAATTGGAAATATGGAAGTCGCTGATGACCTTGACAAAAGCAAGATCAATGGAGTGGACAGATTGAAATCAGGAGTGGTTTAAGGAGCGATAGGAATTTTGAGAAAAAGAAACAGTGAGTATCAACAACTCTTTTTTCTTTTTTTCTTTTTTTAGATGGAGTCTCACTCTGTAGCCCAGGCTGGAGTGCAATGGCATGATCTCAGCTCATTGCAGCCTCTGCCTCTCAGATTCAAGCAATTCTCCTGCCTCAGCCTCCTGAGTAGCTGGGACTACAGGCGCACGCCGCCATGCCTGGCTATTTTTTTTTTTTTTTTTTTTGTATTTTTAGTAGAGACAGGGTTTCACCGTGTTGGTCAGGATGGTCTTGATCTCCTGACCTCGTGATACGCCCACCTCGGCCTCCCAAAGTGCTGGAATTACAGGCGTGAGCCACCGCCCCCAGCCAACAACTCTTATAACAGGTTTCGCAGTGAGGAGAGCAGATAAATTAGACTATAGATGAGATTTAGGGTGAATACAGTTTTTCATTATTTTATTTTGAAGATAGTAGTTATTTTAACACATTTGGGTGTTAACAGACATGATCCAATAGAGGAGAAACTGATGTTGCAAGAGAAAGATGGTGCAACTGAAAGAGCAAAATCCTTGGGGAGGTGAAAGAGAATGGGACCCAGTGCAATTGTGGAGGGACTGCCCCTTCATAGGAACAGGGACACTTTTTTGGTTTGAAATAAAGAAAAGGGGTATATTAACATGAGGCTTGGAGATATCACAGTCAAAAGATGGAGCAGACCTCTTTCCATGGCTTCCTTCGATTTTCTCAGTGAGGTATACAACTGGAAATAAGGGGATTGGGACAGGTGGGTATATGAAGTTTAAGGAAAGGGAACATATGAAAATGAGTTCTCAGACAGTGAAAAAGTGAACTTGCTATAGAAAAACAGTTGAAATTCCAGGAAGTATTGAGACCTGACTTGAGTTTTGAGAGCATTAAAGTTAAACCAGGGTGCCTGATGATTTGATTTTCTCCAGCTATGAAGAAATGGTAATTAATGTGCAAGGCAAAAATGGGACCCAACTTCATGAGTTCCGACTCTAAGACCAATATTCTTTGTACTATACTATATTAATGGTATTTTATTTTAAATTCACTAGAAAAATCACAGCTCAGGTTATAATTGAGTAAGATATTTTCTTCAAATTAAAAAATATATATCCAAGTGGAGTATGAGCAACCATACCTATGGAAATACATTGAAGAAGCTTACAACAGGAAGCCATTTGCAGCCTGTATGCCGATCAGCATACATTTCCTCCTGTAAATATTGCAAAACGTCCATATGCTCATGTTGCAAAAGCCCTCTTGGAGCCTTGTAATCAGGCCAGTGGACCATATTGTTAGGCACAATCTAACCTCTTTCATTCTTGGCCCCAAACAAAGGACAGCAGGCTGATAGAGCTAGAAGAGCTAATTAGCACCCCATTCATCTTGCCTTATGCTTAGAATGCCTAAAGGAAGCTTCCTGTTTCTGGCTGATGATAAAACAGAATCAGTCTCTTTTGCTTTCTGATTTGAGTCATTTATCAATCATCATTCCGCAGACACACTGAGAAGCAAAGAATGTATACACATATACATGCTTATGTTTAAAATGTTTTATAGGGGGGTATATATGTCTTTTAGCAGGTGTGTATGTGTGTGCTTGGCACCATAATAGAATGAAAAGAAAAGTGGGAGGGGTTGAGGGAAGTGGAGTCTGGAAACTGAGTACAGCTATTCCTGAAGAGACAGAATGGTGTAAAGTTAAAAGCATCGACTCTGGAGTCAAACTTCTTGGCCTGAATCCTGGCTCTGACACTTACTAGCCACAGGGCCCTGGCCAAATTACTTACCTTTTCTGGACCTCAGTCACCAATTTGTAACATACAAATAATAGTAGTACTTAAAATAAAAGGTTGTTGAAAGAATTAAATGAGTTGATGTTTGGAACTCTAGTATTTACCAGCTGGTGATCCTGGGAACATCATTTAAACTCTTAAGGTTCCATTTCCTTATCAGTAAAACTTACCTCCAAAGTGTCCTCTACTTTTGCAATTTTTTTCCTATCACAAGATTTTACATTTTCTGGTATTTTGGCAACAGATTCATGGTTAAATAAATACTGTATTAGTTACAAAATTTCCTCAAAATTCTGTTACCTATACCAATGTCCTCATCAGCGGCCAGACACATTTATGACCATTAATGTCTGATTCAAGAATGACATATGTTGGCCGGGCGCAGTGGCTCAAGCCTGTAATTCTAGCACTTTGGGAGGCCGAGGCAGGCAGATCACGAGGTCAGGAGTTCAAGACCAGCCTGGCCAATATGGTGAAACCCCGTCTCTACTAAAGATACAAAAACAAAACAAAAAAAAAATTAGCCGGGTGTGGTGGTGTGTGCCTGTAATCCCAGCTACTCAAGAGGCTGAGACAGGAGAATGGCTTGAACCCGGGAGGCGGAGGTTGCAGGGAGCCAAGATCGCGCCATTGCACTCCAGCCTGGGCGACACAGTGAGACTCTGTCTCAAAAAAAAAAAAAAATGTCATATGTTAACCTGAAAAGCAGATGTGTCTTCCTAAGAATATATCTACATTAATATCCAATTTGGTTTGCAGTTCTTGAGGCCTTATCAATGGAATCCCAAAAGGCGTAGGACTAATGAAGCTCAGTCTATGTAGTGGAGTGCATAGAAGATGCCTCATCTACAAAGCTCAGAGGAATTATAGAATTGTCACTATCAACAGGCAGCTCTTTGTCTCCCTGTCATGTGTCTCCCTATACTTACTTCATAATAAGGGTAGTCCTATGTCTTGCTCACTCTGCATTCTCATGCCCAGAACAGAGTCTCTGACACTAAATGGAAACCATCATTCTCAGCAAACTATCGCAAGGACAAAAAACCAAACACCGCATGTTCTCACTCATAGGTGGGAATTGAACAATGAGAACACTTGGACACAGGAAGGGGAACATCACACACCGGGGCCTGTTGTGGGGTGGGGGGAGGGGGGAGGGATAGCATTAGGAGATATACCTAATGTAAATGACGAGTTAATGGGTGCAGCACACCAACAGGGCACATGTATACATATGTAACAAAGCTGCACGTTGTGCACATGTACCCTAGAACTTAAAGTATAATAAAAAATATATATACATTAAAAAAATTGTGTGAAAAGTGAATGAGGAAATGAATGAAGAAAAGGCTCACTTGACTATTTGTCTCATCTTTCATCTACCTTGCAGCCAATTCTCATTATCCAAAACCTTTTAAGTAATGCTATAATAAACATTTATTCTGACAACATAGAAGAAGAATAATGGATATGCTTGAGTAATCAATTCCTGAGCAATATTCAGAAGGCTCACAAGAAATATCTGATTATTTACAATGCCTAAAGTACCATCTTTGCCTACGGCATAAAATGTTGCTTCTTATAACAATTTTGGTGCCCCCCCCATCACTCACTTCATACACAATACACGGGGGCAAGTGCACACACACACACACACACACACACACAATTAATTTCTTCAGTAAAGACTTCACTTCCGTAGTGATAAAAGACACATTGCTAAAATGGTAAGGAAGAAAGCAAAACAACAAAATGCTGTTTCATACTTAAGGTTCTGGGCTTTTGTGTTCCATATGGTAACTGAGCTTGCAACATAGCAAATACAGATTCCAAAAGATCTTTTTATCCCTCTATTTTGTGATTTGTGCAGCCAAGCATGTTAGAAAGAATAAGTAACCAGAACAAAGAGCTGACAGGCAAACAGAGAGCAATCTTCCATCAGTGAAGAGAACACTTTCCTCAGGCTCCAAGATTATTATTATTTTTTTCTTTTTTAAACCTATACTGCTGGGCAGAACAAACATAAGAACACAGAACCCAATCACAACAGGTGAAATCATGATGAAATAAGACCCTGAATCTTGCTTAGAAAGAAGATGGTCAACATACTATAAACAAGGGTGGGAGGTAAATCCACAAGAATAATTTGCATATGAAAAGTCTGGAAATTATTTTTTAATAGACTTTTGTGGCTTAACTTCACTTAACCATAATCTCATAAACACCCAGGAGTCATTAACTTTGCAAATTGTTTGGAGGACTCTGAGGAGTTAATCCCGGAAGATAGCATGATGTACCAAAAAATCATTTACTAGAATTTTTTATTATTACAAAGAAGCAAAAAGAAATAAAATAGAAAACAGTTTCCATGAAGTATAGAGGATGCTAGACTAGGAGTCAAAAAACCTGGAGTCCATCTCCACCTAAAGTAAAAGAATTCTCCTTCTCTGTGCTTTCTGTTTCCCATGAATAAATAAGGGGTGATGAAAGGAGATGTGAGTTTAATCAGTTCCATCCAAGCTCAACCATTACTATTTTGAAAGTCTTTCCTATTTACAGAACTTTAGCTTTAGTTTACAAAAAGCTCCCTCATTGAATCCTTACCACAACAGTGTTAAGATAAGAGTTCTTATCTCCATTTACAAATAAGGAAGCAAAAACTTAGAGTGATTAACACATTTCCCCAAAATCCTCCTTCTAGAATGTTGTAAATCCAGTTCTCATATCAAATACAATGCTCTTCAAGGATCCTATACTGACTCCCTGATACAATTTATCCGAATATACATAGTATCTCTCAAAACTTAAACTAGTATGTGACCTACACGGAATGGGGCTTTAAAACAGTAATGGATTTCATCGGACTGGAAATGACTCATTCTAATAAAATATAAGGGTCGGGAAGATGTTGATCAAAGGATACAAAATTTCAGCTAGATAGGAAGGATTAGTTTAAGAGATCTATTTTGCAGACAGCATGGTGGCTGTGGTTAATAAAAACATTATATTCTTGCACGTTGCTAAGAAAATAGATTTTAAATGTTCTTACCACAAAAAAGATAAATATGTGAAGCAATGTATATGTGAATTAGCTAGATTTAGCCATCCTACAATATATACATGTTTCAAAACAATATGATGTACACAATAAATATATACAATTTTTACTCATCAATTAAAATAAATAAATGTTTAAAAATGAAATAAAATAAAAATAAAAAGCAGTTGGACTATATACCACAATGTTTTCATATTATTATTTGAAAGCCCTCTAGCTAAAGACTATCAGGAACACACTATAGTTGAACAAATCGGGTTTATTACTCATTACAGTAGGAGAGAATATACATCATAGAGAACTATTTTTATCAATTATGGGGGCATCTCAGTAGGAAGATAATAAAAGGATTTGTTATAGTGTTTGGATTTGTATTAGGTGATTTGCGGGAGATTTTGAGGAAGCAGAATTTTTCTCTGGGTTGAATACTCTCGGGAAGTCGGGGTAATATGATGATCAGGTATCTTAATACACCTTATCTATTGTGAGGGCAGTCTAAAGCAAGGGTAGACTTGTAATTGGTAAAAGAAAAAAACCCAGCAACTTATATTATTCAGAATAGTGAGATAACTGGTCATTCTTGTGACTTGCACAATGTCCATGTTCTGTCTGTGTTCAGACATGATTGCAGAGCGGTCTTGTTTTCGCCTTCATCCGTCATGGTCACACAGCGGCCTCATTTAATGCTGATGTTCCTGATAGAGTAATACCAAGGCCTAGCTGTGAGTGCCAAGCCAGCTCCTAGCAACAACTGGGCATAGCTTGTGAATGTCAGAAGCTGTTTTTCTCTTTCTCAAAACCAGTTAAACATTTAGTTCAGTGATTTGTCCTGCAGCTGGTGGATGAGATGGAATTTTCAAAAGCGGAAAAAAATAGAACAAGGTATGTTCTTTCTCAAAAGACATGTTTTCCAGCACTATTTCTATACGGCAAATTATTTCTTATACAAAGTTAAAATATAAAGAAGAGATTAGGAGAAAATACTTGTGATATGTATAACAAACAAATGACTATACAAATTTTTTCTATAAATAAAAAATCAAACAACCCAATAGAAAAATATGGCAACAATTCACAGATTAATAACTACAAATAGATAACAAAAGATATTCAACTTTACTATTCGTAAAGTAAATATAAATTAAAACAAAGAAGCAATTTTCTTCCATTGGATTGACAACAAAAATCATGAGGGAATAGGAAATCCTAATACTGTTAGAACAAAGTACAAGTACTTTGCAGGATATTTTGGCAATTTCTAGCAAACTTTAAAATGCTCATTAAATTTTTAAGAATTTTCCTTTTAGAAATGCTACACATGTGCACGAAAACATATGATTCAAAAATGTTCATTGTAACATTTGTTAAACAGAAAAACTGGTGAAAAACATTTGTACATCAATAGAGAAATACCTACATTTAAAAATGATGTATCCATACTATGAAGTTATATGCAGACAATTAAAATATTGACATAGATATGTATGGCAAATATAGAGGAAAAACAAAGATACAGAATTAGACAAGAAAATTAATTTACAAAAGTACTTAATATCTCATTTATGTCAAAATATTTATGTAGGCCAAACGCAGCAGCTCATGCCTGCAATCCCAACGTTTTGGGAGGCTGAGGCAGGAGGATTGCCTGAGTCCAGGAATTCGAGACCAGCCAGGGCAACACAGTGAGAACTCTTCTCTACAAAAAAAAAAAAAAAAAAAAAAAAAAAAAGAGCCAGGTGTGGTGACTCATGCCTGTAGTCCCAGCTACTCAGGAGGCTGAGGTGGGAGAATTGCTTGAGCCTGGGAGGTTGAGGCTGCAGAGAGCTGAGAATATGCCACTGCACTGCAGCCTGGGCGACAGAGCAAGACCCTGTTTAAAAAATATATAATTATGTATTTTTAATATTTGCATATATGTATATGACTATATTATGAATCTTTGTATATATATTTAAATGAATATAAAATTATCTGTAAGTGAGCATACCAATTGCAAGCTGTTTCCTTTGAGGACCAGTAATTCAGTTGAATTTTGGGAGAATAGAGGGTGGAGAGAATGGTAGAAATGCAAGTTTTTCTGTATATACATCTGCACTGCTTGAAATTTTTATAAGAAAATATTATTTTCATAATAAAAAGTTATATAATAATATATTCTTTTTTTTTTTTTTCGAGACGGAGTTTCACTCTTGTTGCCCAGGCTGGAGTGCAATGGCGTGATCTCAGCTCACCACAACCTCTGCCTCCCGAGTTCAAGTGATTCTCCTCCCTCAGCCTCCTGAGTAGCTGGGATTACGGGCATGTGTCACCACGCCCAGCTAATTTTGTATTTTTAGTAGAGACGGGGTTTCTCCATGTTGATCAGGCTGGTCTCGAACTCCTGACCTCAGGCGATCCACCTGCCTTGGCCTCCCAAAGTGCTGGGATTACAGGCATGAGCCACCATGCCCGGCCAATAATGTATTCTCTTAGGAACTGTCTAGCTGAGATGGGGTAACTTGTAATGGAGTTATCTTCCTGGCAGAAACAACTAAAAACACTGGACTATATACATATATATATATATAAATGTTTTTTAAGCGTTAGAAATTAGGTAGTGTGAGAAAATAATTCCTTACAGAGGGAAAACAAAGTGAACCCTTACGATTGTCCTGGCTTACTGTCTGAAAGGAGACTTCAGGCTACATCATAGAAAGGGAGAACTCAGGCCGGCCGCGGTGGCTCACACCTGTAATCCCATAGCATTTTGGGAGGCCAAGGTGGGGGGATCACAAGGTCAGGAGAGCGAGACAATCCTGGCTAACACGGTGAAACCCCGTCTCCCCTAAAAATCCAAAAATTAGCCAGGTGTGGGGGCACACGCCTGTAGTCCCAGCTACTCAGGAGGCTGAGGCAGGAGAATTGCTTGAACCCTGGAGACGGAGGTTGCAGTGAGCTGAGATCTGGCCACTGCACTCCAGCCTGGGCGACAGAGCAAGACTCCATCTCAAAATAAACAAATAAGTAAATAAATAAAATAAAAAGAAACGGAGAACCTAAATGGAATCCAGTGGCCTCCCTAAGTTGAGAAGACAGAGCTAGGAGTCCAAAAAGGGAAATACAGCTACAATTTTCAGGGAAGAATACAAGAGAAAAGAAAGCTGCACAAAAAATAAGATAACTGCAGCGATTTGTTGAAGGTCCTTCTCAGCTTTAGTTGAGCATGAATCAGTGCATGAATGTGAGGAAACTAACTGAAGCTGGAGAAGCAACTATCTGTAAACAGCAGAAAAAAACAATTCTTAGAGCTCAAACATTTCTTTTTCCCACAAGTCAGAGTGAAAAGCCTTGTATTTCACATGATATTAGGTAGGTTCGTCAGAGGGTATCGCCACAGTAGTGGAAGAAAAATAGTCCTAGATTAATAGCTAGTCTGGTTCTGTCTAATGAAGTTTACAAACAAGCCTTGAAAGAATCAATGTTTTTTTTTTCCAAGTAAATTTAAAGCATCTCAGATTTAAGTGTGAAAATAATATTAGGAGAAGAAAAACACCACCAAAAAGGTAAAATCCACATTGTCTGACATCAAATAAAAAGTTACCAATCACGCATGAAGGAAAGAAAATAAGAGCAGAAAAGCCATTCAATAGAAAGAGACCAGAAAATGGCACCTATAGAATGAGTAGACAAGAACATTAAAACGGCTACAGACGGCTGGGTGCAGTGGCTCATGCCTGTAATCCCAGCACTTTGGGAGGCTGAGGCGGGCAGATCACGAGGTCAGGAGATCGAGACCATCCGGGCTAACACGGTGAAACCCCGTCCCTACTAAAAACACAAAACATTAGCCGGGCGTGGTGGCAGGCGCCTGTAGTCCCAGCTACTCGAGAGGCTGAGGCAGGAGAATCGCTTGAACCCAGGAGGGGGTTTCAGTGAGCCAAGGTAGTGCCACTGCACTCCAGCCTCGGCAACAAAGCAAGACTCCATCTCAAAAAAAAAAAAAAAAAAAGCTACAGGTATTCTAACTATATTATATATGTTCAATAAATAAGAGGAAAGGTTGAACATGTTAAGTAAACATATGAAAGATATAAAACATACCAAAATCAAACTTCTATGGATATAAATTACAGGTCTGAAATGAAAAATAAACTGAATGGGATATATAGCAGATTAGACACTGAGAAGAAAATACCAACACTACAGGTTGAATTTTGTTCCCCCAAATTAATATGTTGAAGTTTCAACCCCCAGTGCTGTAGAATGTCACATTATTTTAATACAAGGTTCTTGTAGAAGTAATGAGCTAAGATGAAGTAATTAGGGCAAGACTTAATCCAATACTACTGGCCTTTTAATAAAAAGGGGAAATTTGGACATAGACCCAGTGAGAATGTCACATAAAAACAAAGGCAGAGATTGGAATGATGCTTCTGAAAGCCAAGAAATGCCAGTGTCCGCCAGAAAATCACTGATTTAGCTAGGCAAGAGACATGGTAGATTCTGAGAGGCCTCCGAAGAAACCGACCCTGTCAACACCTTGATAATAAACTTACAGCCTCCAGAGCTGTGAGCAAATACATGATGTATAAGCCACTCAGTTTGTGGTATTTTATTATGGCCACCTTAGCAAATTAAAGCTACCTGTAACATTGAAAACATTAGAAGAGTAATTTCCACATTAAATGCAAAGAGGAAACATTATTTCAAAACAAAGCTAGAATACCTGTATAATATGATCCGGTAGCTTTCAGAGGCAAGAATATCACATGCAAAATGAGGGACACTGTAAACTGATAAAGGGAGAATTGACCAAGGAAATATAAGAATTTAAATATTTAATATTTAGGTATCCAAAATAACACTGCTTCAAAGTCAACATTGAATAAAATAGCAAAACTTAAAGGAGAAATGGGCAAATTCACAATTATAGTCAAATATGCCAACATTCTTCTTTTAATAAATGATAAAAGATGCAGACAAAAAATCAGTAAAATATACAGACTTGAAAAACAATATCAAACAACTTGACTTAACTGACTTTGGTAGAACACATGACACAACAACAGTAGAATACACAGTGTTTTCAAGCACACACAGAACATTTACCAAGATAAACCAGATAGAGGATCATTAAACAAGTCGAATAAATGTAAAATGATTGAAGCCATACAAAGTACATTCTCTGACCACAATGAAATTGAACTAGGAATTAATATCAGAAAAAAATGTCTAAGAAGTTCCCAAGTAATTTAATACTAAATAGCATAGTTCTGGAGAGGATATGGATCAAGGAAAGAATAAGATACAATTAGAAAATATTTTGAACTAAATGAGAATGAAAAGACAAACTACCAAAATTTGTGGGACCCAGATTTAAAAATATTTGGAGGTAAATTCATAGCACTAAAATTTCTACATCATAAAAGATTGGTCTCGGCCGGGTGTATTGGCTCACACCTGTAATCCCATCACTTTGGGAGGCCAAGGCCAGTGGATCACTTGAGGTCAGCATTTCGAGACCAGCCTAGCCAACATGGTGAAACCCCATCCCTACTAAAAATACAAAAATTAGCCAGGCATGGTGGTGCACGCCTGTAATCCCAGCTACTCGGGAGGCTGGGGCAAGAGAATCGCTTGAATCTAGGAGGCAGAGGTTGCAGTGAATGGAGATCGTGCCACTGCACTCCAGCCTGGGCAACAGAGTGAGACAAAAAAGACTGGTCTCATAACAATGGCCTTAGCTTCTATATTTAGAAAATAAGACAAAAGAGCAAATTAAATCCAAAATAAACAGAATAAAGAAAATAATAAAACTGAAGCAAAAATGAATGAAATAGAAAACAAAAATATACTAAGGAAAATCAATGTAATGAAAAGGTAGTTCATTGAAATGATTAATATAACTGATAAACCTCTAGCCAGATCAATCTGGAAAAAACATACACATTAGGAATGCTAGAGGTGCCATCACTAAAGTTCCACATCTATTAAGTGGATAACAATTGAATGTCATAAAAACCTTTATGCAAATAAATGCAACAACTGAAATGAACGACAAATACCTTGAAAAGACAAGCTACCAATGCTAACACAAAAATAAATAGATAACCCGAATACTATATCTAAAAACAGAAATGAAATTTTTAAATAAAACTTTCACACAAAGAAAATTTCTGGCCAGATGACTTTGCATAAGAATTCTAACGAATATCAAAAGAAGAAATAATACCAAATCTGCACAAAATCTTCTAGAAAAGTAAAAGGAGAGAATGCTTTCTAATTCATTATACAAGCCCAACATTACCTTGATGCCAAAGCTAGACAAAGAAATTACAAGAAAATCACAAACTAATGTCCCCCATGAACAAATTCAAAAATTTCTAACCAATTTTTACTAAAATGAATAGTTTACAGAATGGATAACATATCCATAGCCAAGTGAGTTTTATGTAATGTTGAATTAACTTTAGAAAAATAGTATCATTAACAATTAACAGACTATAAAAGAAAACATGATCATCTTAATAGACACACAAAAAGCACTTGACAAAATCCAACATCCATTCTTTTTTTTTTTTTTTTTTAATTTTTTTTTTTTTATTATACTCTAAGTTTTAGGGTACATGTGCACATTGTGCAGGTTAGTTACATATGTATACATGTGCCATGCTGGTGCGCTGCACCCACTAACGTGTCATCTAGCATTAGGTATATCTCCCAATGCTATCCCTCCCCCCTCCCCCGACCCCACCACAGTCCCCAGAGTGTGATATTCCCCTTCCTGTGTCCATGTGATCTCATTGTTCAATTCCCACCTATGAGTGAGAATATGCGGTGTTTGGTTTTTTGTTCTTGCGATAGTTTACTGAGAATGATGGTTTCCAATTTCATCCATGTCCCTACAAAGGACATGAACTCATCATTTTTTATGGCTGCATAGTATTCCATGGCGTATATGTGCCACATTTTCTTAATCCAGTCTATCATTGTTGGACATTTGGGTTGGTTCCAAGTCTTTGCTATTGTGAATAGTGCCGCAATAAACATACGTGTGCATGTGTCTTTATAGCAGCATGATTTATAGTCCTTTGGGTATATACCCAGTAATGGGATGGCTGGGTCAAATGGTATTTCTAGTTCTAGATCCCTGAGGAATCGTCACACTGACTTCCACAATGGTTGAACTAGTTTACAGTCCCACCAACAGTGTAAAAGTGTTCCTATTTCTCCACATCCTCTCCAGCACCTGTTGTTTCCTGACTTTTTAATGATTGCCATTCTAACTGGTGTGAGATGATATCTCATAGTGGTTTTGATTTGCATTTCTCAAAAAAATATGGAACGCTTCACGAATTTGCGTGTCATCCTTGCGCAGGGGCCATGCTAATCTTCTCTGTATCGTTCCAATTTTAGTATATGTGCTGCCGAAGCGAGCACCCAACATCCATTCTTGATAAAACCTCTCTCTTAGCAAATTAGCATTAGAAAGGTAATTCTCCCTTCTGATAAAAGGCATCTATAATAAACCTTCAACAGCATACTTAATGATAAAAGGTTGAATGCTTTCCCAAGATAAGGAAAAAACAAAGATATTAGTGCTGACTACTTGTCTTCAATGTTGTATTAGAGGTTCTAGCCAATGTAATAATGGAAGAAAAAGACATAAAATCTTTCCAGAATGAAAAAAGTAACAGTGCTTATTAATAGACAACAATATCATCTAAATTTTAAAAAAATGTTACAATCTACAAAAAATTTTCTAGAACTAATAAGTGAATTTATCAAGGTTGTGGAATCTAAGATCAGTATAAAAAATGATATCTCTATATGCTAGCAGTAAAAATTATAAATTAAAATTTTAAAACTGCCACTAACAAAAATATAAAATATTTAATAATAAATTTGACAAAAATATGCAAGAACTGTAGAGCAGAAACAACAAAGTATTGTAAAGAGAAATTAAAGAAAACCTAAATAAATTGAAGCATATTACCATATATAATATGATAGGGGAAATATCATATATTCATATAGCATATGAACAGTGGAAAGGGTTAATAGGTCCCTTTTGGGTTCAAAAGGGGCTTATTGAGGGTTTGATGGCTGAATATTGTTATAATTTCAAATCTTCCCCCCAAATTATTAATAGAATCAATGTAATCTCAATCAGAAACCTAGCAGGCTTAAGAAAAAAGACAAGCCAGTTATAGAATATATGTGGAAATACAAAGGAATCAGAATATCCATTAAAAATTTAAAAGTAAAAACAGAAATGAAGAACTAACATTATCAACATTAGCTGATTTATAGACTTGTTTTTAAAAAATGGTTATCAAGACAGACAGATATATCAATGGAATAGAATATTGAGTCCAGAAATTGACCCACACAAAAATGGTCTGTTGATTTTTGACAAAGGCCTATGTAAAATTTGGTGGGAAAGGATAGTCATTTCAACAAATTGTGCTAGAAAAATTAGATATTCATATGTAAAATAATGATTATAATAAACTTCAATCCATACCTTATACCATATATAAAAATTTACTCAAGATGGAACTTAGATTTAGATGTCACATCTAAAACTATAAAATTTCTAGAAGAAAATGTCAGACAACATCTTCATGAATCTGGATTTGGCATAGATTTCTTAAATACAACATAAAAAATCCAAAATATGAAAGAAAAAGTCGATAACTATCTTAGTCTATTTGTGCTGCTATACAAAATAATTTAGACTGAGTAGTTTATAAAGAAAATAAATTAACCTTTTGTAATTCCAGAGGCTGGGAAGTCCAAGATCAAGATACCAGCAGGCTTGGTGTGTAGTGAGGGTTGCACACTTTGTCTAAGATATTACCTTGTTGCTGCATCTTCAAAGGGGAGAAATGTTGTATTCACATGTAGAAGAAAAGCAAAAAGGGCTTAAGTTAGTTCCTTCCTGCCCTTTTATAATGATCTGCCCTCCTGACTTAATCACTTCCCAAAAGGCCTCACCTTTTAATATCACCACCATGGGGATGAAGTTTCAACATGTGAATTTTGGAAGGGACACATTCAAACCATAGCATTCCACCACTGATGGCCCGAAATTCATGTTCTCCTCACTTACAAAATACATTAATTCCATCCCAAAAGTGTTAACTCATTCCAGCATAACCTTTAAAGTTTATATCCAAAGTCTCATCTAGAACATGCAAATATTATCTAAATCAGATATGGGTGATACTCAAGGTGTGATTCATTCGGAGTCAAATTTGCCTCCAACTGTGAGCCTGTGATATCAAACCAGTTATATGCATCCAAAATACCATGGCGAGACAGTCATGGGATAGGCATTCCCATTCCAAAAGATAAAACTAGGCAAGAGAAAAGGGGTAATAGGTTGCTTTTGGGTTCAAGACAAAACAGGACAAACAATATTAAATCTTAAGGCCTGAGAATAATATCATTTGACTCCATGTCCCACTTTCCAGACACTCATGAGTGAAGGTTGATTCCCCAAGCCTCCAAAAAACTTTGCCCCTTTGGATTTGTTGGGTGCAGCCCATGCCACAGCTCTTAGGGTTTGATTTCATGTACCTGGAGCTCTCCCAGGCTGGCATTGCAGACTGGTGGCTGTGCAGGTCTGGGGTCTTGGAGGTGGCCTTCCCCCAATAACCCCAGTAAATACTGCCCTAGTGGGGGCTCTCTGCAGTATCCATGACCTCTCAGCTCCACTGGGCATTTCCCCAGTGGAGATCTGCTGTGGTAGCCCTGACCCCATGGCTCAACTGGGCATTGCCCTAGTGGGGGCACTGATGTGGTCAGGCTTCATGTCCCCACCTAAATCTCATCTTGAATTGTAATCCCCATAATCCCCACACCCTGGTCAAGGGTGGGACCAGATGGAAGTAATTGAATCATGGGGGCATTTGATAATGAGTGAGTTATCAGGAGATCTGATGGTTTTATAAGGGGCTTGATGTGGTTTGGTTTTGTCCCCACCCAAATCTCATATTTAATTGTAGTTCCCATTATCTTCATGTGTCATAGGAGGGACCCAGTGAGCAGTAATTTAATCATGGGAGCGGTTACCTCCATATTGTTCTTGTGATAGTGAGTGAGTTCCCACGAGATCTCTTGGTTTTATAAGGGGCTTTTCAAAACCCCTTTGCTTAGGACTTTTCCTTCCTGCTGCCATGTGAAAAAGGACATGTTTGCTTCCCCTTCCATCATGATTGTAAGTTTCCTGATGCCTCCCCAGCCCTGTAGAACTGTGAGTCAATTAAAACTCTTTCCTTTATAAATATTACCGAGTCTCAGGTATGTCTTTATTAGCAGTGTGAGAATGGACTAATACAGGGCTCTTACCCCTTCACTCAGCACTTCTTCCTGCTGCCTTGTGAGAAAGTGCCTTGCTTCCTCTTTGCCTTCCTCCATGAT
Source organism: Homo sapiens (assembly GCF_000001405.40). Taxonomy (NCBI): domain Eukaryota; kingdom Metazoa; phylum Chordata; class Mammalia; order Primates; family Hominidae; genus Homo; species Homo sapiens. The sequence goes on from NC_000023.11 coordinate 141,121,125, forward strand.
TGTAAGTTTCCTGAGACCTCCCCATCCATGCTGAACTGTGAGTCAATTAAACCTATTTCCTTTGTAAATTATCCAATCTCAGGCAGTTCTTTATAGCAATATGAAAACAGACTAATGCAGGCATTCTGCAGTGGCCCTGATCCTGCAGTAGTTCTCTGATTGGACCCCAAGTTTCTCTGAGGCATTCATTGAAATTTAGGAGGTATCCATGCCTCCACAGCTCATTCGCTCTGGGTGACTGCAAAGTAAGCACCACGTGAATGCTGTCAACGTTTATATAGCCTGTACCTTCCAGAGAAGCTGCCCTTGCTGCAACTAGGCCCACTTGAGCCACAGCTGAGACTGCTGCGGAGCACTGCACTGGAATAGGGGAAGCAGAGACTTGAGGTGGCCTTAGGCAGCAAACTCTGAGGATCTTCAGGCTTCCCAGGACCCTGCCTTGAAACCATTCTGCCCTCAAGCAACTAGCTCTCTGTGGCTGTGATGAGAGTGGTAGCCTGGAAGATCTCTGAATTGCCTTCAGGGTCATTCCTCCATTGTTTTGATAAAAGGAATCAGGCTTCTTCCTATCTATACTAATCTCCTCATCAAATGGTCACTTGGCCACACCCTTGGTTTTCTCTCCTAAACACCGGTTTTTATTCTTTACTCGGCGAGGTTGACAATTTTCCAAATCTTCACATTCTTCTTCCTTTTTGATTATAAATTCTATCTTTAATGTGTTTCTCTTTTACTGCATTTTACTATAAGCAGCTGGGCCACACCATAGAGCACCCTGAACAATTTGCTTAGATATTTCTTTCACCAAATATTCTAGTTCATCACTCTTAAATCCCGCCTTCCACAAAGCAGAACGTGGATACAACTCAGCCAAGTACTTTGCCACTTTGTAACAAGGATGGCTTCTTCTCTAGTTTCCAGTAAGATATTCTTCATTTCCATCTGAGACCTCATCAGGATGGCCTTTACTGTCCATATTTTTATGAACATTCTGTTCATGACCACTTAGGTAATCTCTAAGACTGAGCCTTTCTCTACAGCTCTCCTCTTCTAAGCTCTCACCAGAATTGCCCTTAACATTCTGTCCATGGCAATCCAAGCTTTTTCTAGCCTGCACCTTAAAACTCTTCCAACCTCTACCCAGTTCCAAAGCCACATTCACATTTTTAGGTATTTGTTAGAGCAGCACACTTACTTGTCAATACCAATTTCTGTCTTAGTTTGTGCCGCTATGGAGTACCTTAGACTGAGTAATTTACAGTTCAGGAGGCCAGGAAGTTCAATATCAACACACAAGCAGGTTAGGTATCTGGTGAGTGCTGCTCTCTATTTCTAAGATGGCACCCTGTAACTGCATCTTCCAGAGGGGAAGAATGCTGTGTCCTCACCTGGCAGAAGAGCAGAACACTGGTCTTCTATGGCTTTTTCTTGAACATTTCAAGCTGCTTCATACAACAAGGCTGTTGAACTTGGCTATCTCCTCTGCCCAGAACACTCTTCCTCCAGATATTTACTTAACAAATTCCTTATGTCATTCAAATGTCATCTCTGTGTAGAAGCACTGTTCACACCCATTCCTTATGCCAACTCTCTATTCTCTTTTCTTTTATTCACAGAACAAATTGAAATTATATATTTGTTGGCTTCTGATTTGGAAGCTATGTGAAGGCAGAAACATTTGGTTAGTTTTATTCACTGCAAAATCACCCAGTGCCTAGAAGAGTACTTCACAAGTGGGAATCTCTCATGAAACACTTGTTGAGTGATTGTGTGACTGATTGTGGACTAACTTATACTAAAAGTGAAAATAAATAAAATATTAGCTCTTAAGGCAAAAAGATGTTCAGGCAAGGAGTGCCGAGTGAATCTGAGCACGGAGCTATTGCAGCCAACTAGAGAAACGGAGAAACTTGGAAGCTTGGAAGTTATAGATAAGGAAATACCAAAGAAGAGTTTGAAGATTACAGATTAATCCAGTATCTTAGGACTAGAAGAGAATGTGAATATTTGTCTTAAGAAGAGATGGTGGCCGGGCGCGGTGGCTCACGCCTGTAATCCCAGCACTTTGGGAGGCCGAGGCGGGTGGATCATGAGGTCAGGAGATCGAGACCATCCTGGCTAACAAGGTGAAACCCCGTCTCTACTAAAAATACAAAAAATTAGCCGGGCGCGGTGGCGGGCGCCTGTAGTCCCAGCTACTCGGGAGGCTGAGGCAGGAGAATGGCGTGAACCCGGGAAGCGGAGCTTGCAGTGAGCTGAGATTGCGCCACTGCAGTCCGCAGTCCGGCCTGGGCGACAGAGCGAGACTCCGTCTCAAAAAAAAAAAAAAAAAAAAAAAAAAAAAGAAGAGATGGTGAGTGGGAAAGTGATGTAATTAGATATGTTCCATGCATATCATAATTATTGTATGTAATTATTGGTATTAGTGCCTTAATTTACTCTTTGATAGGCCTAGGTTCTACCCTTTCCCCATCAGTTTTCTTCTGAGTTCCCAATCTACTAGGTAGTTGAACAGGTAAAATCTGTTTATTTAACTTCATATTAATCTATTCCTATGTAATGTGTATATGTATCATGTGTGTATATATTATATAATCTATATGTATACATTTCTACTAAGCTTATGTTCAATGTTAGCAGTAGTTTCTTTTTCTCCAGTCCTTAATAAAGTAATTAATATTCTGATGAAAACAGAGTTAAGATACTTATGTTAGGCTGGGCGTGGTGGCTCACGCCTGTAATCCCAGCACTTTGGGAGGCTGAGGTGAGCAGATCACGAGGTCAGGAGTTTGAGACCAACCTGGCCAACATAGTGAAACCCCATCTCTACTAAAAAATACAAAAAAATTAGCTGGATGTAGTGGCAGGCACCTGTAATCCCAGCTACTCGTGAGGCTGAGGCAGAAGAATCGCTTCAACCCAGGAGGCGGAGGTTGCAGTGATCTGACATTGTGCCATTGCACTCCAGCCCAGCAGACAGTGCGAGACTCCTCAAAAAAAAAAAAACAAAAAAAAACATACTTAGATTAACATGTTAAGTATTGTTAAGTTTTATGATTTCATTATCTCCTTAAAAAGTTTTTTTTCCAGAAATCATGGGGACAAATAAATACAAATTATTTCACTTCTGCCATGATGTATATTGCTGGCATTGATTGTATTCTATTTCTTTTTTTTTTTTTTTTAAGATAGGGTCTCACTGTCACCCAGGCTGGAGTGCAGTGGCATGATCTGGGCTCACTGCCACCGCCACCTTCCAGGCTCAAGCCATCCTCCCACCTCAGACTCCTGAGTAGCTGGAACTGCATACAGATGCGCACCAAAATGCCCAGCAAATTTTTGTATTTTTGATAGAGATGGGCTGTTGCCCAGGCTGGCCTTGAACCCCTGAGCTCATGCAATCTGCCTGCTTTGGCCTCTAAAAGTGCTGGGATTACAGGCATGAGCTACTGCGCCCGGCCAGTTATATTCTTTTGCAAACATATTATTGAGGACAATTAAAAAAAAACAAAAACAAAGCAAAAATCCATATATATATTTTAAAGTTCTCTAATTTTTTATTTTAAAGTTATTATATTTTAAATGATAAATGTACCCATAGACTTAGTGCAAAGAAAAACATTATATTTTCCCCTCAGTATAACATATTGAAAATATAAATAAACAATAAAGCACAAGGCGAAAACAAGCAGGAAAATAGCATTTAAAAATGCATATAAATAAATGTTATCTTCACTGATATCTTCGTTTATACCCATAAGCTACTACAAAATTATTTTTAAATCTACGTTGCCTTTAAAAAAGGAAACAATTCAGCCTGTCTTTTAAAAATCTCCACAAATATATTTGCAAATAAGTTTGAAGATATTTCCCAGATGTTTTTCATGTGATGTTTTTTCTTTCAGACACAGAAAGCAAATGAGCATTTTCACAGAAACTTGTTTTTTAATAAATTGGTGGCTGATTGTGCAGGTGTGTGAATGAATTTTGAGAGGCTCCCAGCATTCCTGGGGGCTCATCCTTCAGAGGATAGATTATGGGGTAGAAGCACAGGGTTGGGGGCCTCTGACTCCCATTTAAATGCCAAAAATGTGAAAGTACCTCTCTGATTTGCCTAGAGCCATCCATATAAGAATTTAGGCTATAAAAAAAATCTAAAGACCAGGTGTGGTGGCTCACGCTTGTAATCCCAACACTTAGGGAGACTGAGGCGGGTGGATCACGAGGTCAGGAGTTTGAGATCTGTCTGGCCAACATGGTGAAACCCCGTCTCTACTAAAGATACAAAAAATCAGTTGGGTGTGGTGGCATGTGCCTGTAATCCCAGTTTCTCAAGAGGCTGAGGCAGGAGAATTGCTTGAACCCTGGAGGTGGAGGTTGCAGTGAGCCGAGATCGTGCCATTGCACTCCAGCCTGGATGATAAGGGGAGACTCCACCTCAAAAAAAAAAAAAAAATCTAAAATGAGCCAAATGTTATTGCTATTTTTATATGACCCAGCACTAAGTAATGCTCAGAATGTTTTGTCCTCTAAGTTTTAATAGGCAATGTTTCTTCTAGACAAATATCCAGAAATATTTTTTAAATAAAGCTTGGGGAGAGGTTTACAAAGCACCCATACAAAGCCATTTTAATATTTTGGAAGAGAACAAGCTATATAACATTTATATTGAATTCAAGGTAATTTTTAAGTAATGAAGTGTCTTACCTCATTTTATTCCAGTCCCCTCGTTTTACAGATTTTACAGCATAGAGAAGAGAAAAAACTTCTGGCAATTCATACTGCCAGATAATGAGAAAACTAGTAGTGGAAACCAGGTCTCCTGCCCATGAACTCACCAAGCCCCATCCCTTGATCTTTTCACTATACCACTCAGTTTACTTTCGGATTCAAAGTAGAAAAATATAGTGGAAATGTGTATAAGATAGTTTCTTGATTTTTTTAACTAATTATTCCATTTAAGCCTAGGAAGAGAAGAAGGAGCATTTTATTTTATAGTTAATAAACTAAAACATACATTTTTCTTAACTAGAAAGGCAGAAACTAAGTTGACAAGTCCTGTGCACAGTATCATTTTCAAGCATATCTCTGATGAAAAAAAAAATTGAAAGCAACACAAACAACTGTTACATGAAGCGTATAACAAATTGGTAAATGCTTTTGATCCTTTGAGCAGGAAGGGACAATTGAGTAGATAACCACCATACAACTGTGGGAAAATGCTCACTGCTCTTTATTCTGGGAAGCTACTTTCTGCATGCAAACACAAAAGGAAAGTAAAATAAATTAAGCAACTCATCCACTTATAGCTAAGCTGAAAACATGTAGTATATAGTTTATAGATGACAGTGTGAAGTGTGAAGTCAAGCACTACCAGAAGAGAGCCAGCTAACTATATCAGGGGAGAGAAATGGGATGAGCAAGATGTCTTGAAAAGCACTGTGGGCTACAAACTATAATAGATTCAGTGAGGTCAAGTGCAGTTTTCCAGGACTTGGACTTGGCTTCAGAACTCAAATGTACAAGATGGGAAGTGGTGGCTTACCAGTAATACATTCAAATAAGACTTGGGGGTTTGAGTTGACAGTTAATATAAATCAATTAGAGTTAAAAATCATATAATCTTAGGGACATATACACTGAAATATGATAACCGTAATAGGAGAAATTCTAGTTCCACTCCACTCAGTGCAGTCACAGGTAAATTACCTAATTTCCATGTGCCTCAATTTCCTTATTGTCCAAATGGGGATTCAAATGCCTCATTCCTAGTCATGTTGTAAGGATTAAATTAATTAATACAAGTAAAGTGCTTGGCACACTACTTGATACTCAATAAAGGCTAGCTTCCATTATTATTATTATTATTATTCAGCTTACTCTAAGACACTGAACTCAGTGATGCATTTTTTAAAAAGGGATAAACTAGTAAGTATTCAACAGAATGTGATCACAAAGTGACCGAAAACCCCCTCAGAATCTCATCATATAAGGATAACTTATGGGAACCAGCATGCTTAACATGAAGAAAAGATGACTTCGATTATTATGGAAACTGTCACTACATATCAGAAAGGCTGTTTTGTGGACGAGGAGGCAGATTTGTTCTCTGAGGCTCAAGGCAGAGGGTAGAAACTACAAGGAAACAAGATCTGGTTTAATACAAGCAAGACTGTTATGATCAACAGAATTATCCACAGATGGAGTGGGCTGTCTCAGGAGGCTGACAGTTGAAGCATTAGTTGAATGTTTGGCTAAGATTTTGAAGACAGGGTTTACACATCAGATGGTTGGGTAGGACTAAATGACAGCTAAAATTCTGTTCTTTCCAGACATGAGTTCCTATAATTCTATAACCATTCTCCAAGGACACTTTGGTGGTCAAGCCAGTCTAGTAACATTGACCCTAAAATTTGTCTGGGGGAAGAAGCTTGCCATTATCACACAACTATTAGCAGTTTACAGTGTAACACTGTGACAATGGCTAACCAGATTAACCACAGAGCCAAATACTTAAGACTGCAGAATATGGCAATCCACAGGGGGAAGAAAAAGATCACAAATGTAGGCAAAGCTGCCCAACCTCCTCCAAGGATCAGAGAAATGCACATTGTATTTTGGCTGGGTGCAGTGGCTCACGCCTGTAATACCAGCACTTTGGGAGACTGAGGTGGGCAGATCACCTGAGGTCAGGAGTTCGAGACCAGCCTGACCAACATGGAGAAACCTCGTCACTACTAAAAATACAAAATTAGCCGGGTGTGGTGGTGCATGCCTGTAATCCCAACTACTCGGGGGTCTGAGGCAGGAGAATCACTTGAACCTGGGAGGCGGAGGTTGCGGTGAGTCAAGATGGCGCCATTGCACTCCAGCCTGGGCAACAAGAGCGAGACTCCATCTCAAAAATAAATAAATAAATAAAATAAAATAAAATAATATTTTAATTGCTAATGTTTTCAAAGTTAGATGATATTAAAGGCTGAAGAAGAGGTTGTGCGTGGTGGCTCACTCCTGTACTCCCAGCATTTTGGGAGGCCGAGGTGGGTGGATCACCTGAGGTCAGGAGTTCAAGACCAGCCTGGCCAACATATTGAAATCCCATCTCTACTAAAAACACAAAAATTAGCCGAGCGTGGTGTTGGATGCCTGTAATCCCAGCTACTCGGAAGGCTGAGGCAGGAGAATCACTTGAACCCGGGAGGTGGAGGTTGCAGTGAGCCAAGATCGTGCCATTGCACTCCAGCCTGGGTGACAGAGCAAGACTCCCGTCTCCAAAAAAAAAAAAAAAAAACAGACTGAAGAAGATATGAACAAAGAGAAACCGTCATGAATTGAATGTGGAAATGTAAACTGGTATTCCTTGCTTTCTGTCTTGGAAGACTCACACAAAGCAATTATGGACAGGGCTTCCCATATTAGCCTTGTTTGTTATAATGAACAACCTCAAACTATCCAGATATCTATCAATAAGTAAACAAAATGTAGTAGACTAATACCACAGACTGGCTCACTTTTGCACCAACTTAATATTTGCACTGACTTGGAAGATCTGCAAGACTTATAGTTAAATGATAAAAGGAAGCTGCACAACAATGTGTGCATTATGTGACAATTTTGGTTAAAAATACAAGTAAAGACAGTGCAAACTAAATATTTCTATAGAAATATCTGTATTTATGTAAATTCATAGAAAAACTCCTAAGGGATACACACAACACTGTTGGGGAGGGAAGAGGGTTTCCTCAGCAGTCAAAAGTACTGTAGTTTAATATGTAATTCTTGGAATTTTTAAAACAAGAACTTTCTATGTTTTATTTGTTTAATTAAAAATAATTATTTAAAGCAGACCAGACATGGTGGCTCACGCCTGTAATTCCAGCACTTTGGGAGGCCAAGGCAGGATGATCACAAGGTCAGGAGTTCAAGACCAGCCTGGCCAAGAGACCAGCCTGGCCAATATGGTGAAACCCTGTCTCTAGTAGAAATACAAAAATTAGCTGGTCATGGTGGCAGGAGCCTGTAATCCCAGCTACTCCAGAGTCTGATGCAGGAGAATTGCTTGAACCTGGGAGGTGGAGGTTGCAGTGAGCCGAAGATCATGCCATTGCACTCCAGCCTGGGGGACAGAGCGAGACTCTGAATCAAAAAATAAATACATAAAATAAAATAAAATGAATACTTGAACTGAAAATGAGAGAAGGCCAGGCGCGGTGGCTCATGCCTGTAATCCCAGCACTTTGGGAGGCTGAGGCAGGTGGATCATGAGGTCAAGAGTTCAAGACCAGCCTGGCCAAGATGGTGAAACCCCATCTCTACTAAAAACACAAAAATTAGCCAGGCGTGGTGGCGGGCGCCTGTAATCCCAGCTACTCAGGAGGCTGAGGCAGATAATTGCCTGAACCTGGGAGGCGGAGGTTGCAGTGAGCCGAGATCACGCCACTGCAGTGCAGCCTGGGCAACAGAGCGAGACTCTGTCTCAGAAAAAAAAAAAAGAAAATGAGAGAAAACTAGAGCTGATGATGACACTAGAGATCATTAATCCAGCGACCTCATTTTACAAGCGAAGAAAACGGAGGCTTAGCATTGCATTCAATTTGTTCAAAGTTCTACAGTTATTTAAGGAGCTAGAACTAAAGAACAGTTGTGTAAGAAGAAAGCATAGGCCTTGGGGTCAAGAAGCCTGGATCTGGGCCTTAACCATGCATTAGGTATATGGTTTTAAGAAGCACACAGTCTCTGATTCTGTTTCCTCTTCTGTACAACTGGGGGTTGTTTATTCATGAATCATTTAGTTGCAAGGAACAGAAACCCAATTTAAGCTAACCGCGGCAAAAGGGAAATATGTCACCTTAAAAAAGAAAAGTGGAAGAGACCTCAGGCACAACTACATCCAGGGATGCAAATAATGTCTTCAAGATCACTTATATTCTCTCTAAATATCGCTATTCATGTGTTCATTTATGCTGTTCCATTGAAAAACCATGTGGTTCTTGTTAAACATTCTATCACAATACCTTGCACTCCCTTATGACTGGGGAGAAGATATATCCCCACCAAAAAGGATTCTCATAGCAAAAGAATAGAGAAATAAATTGGATGGGTATAAACAAAACAATTCACTGCCTTAATCATCTCATAGGACAAACAGAAGGAGCAAACAAGGAAACATAAGAGATGGTAGTGCAATGGCCGGGCGCGGTGGCTCACGCCTGTAATCCCAGCACTTTTGGAGGCCGAGGCGGGCGGATCACAAGGTCAGGAGATCGAGACCATCCTGGCTAACACGGTGAAACCCCATCTCTACTAAAAATACAAAAAAATTAGCTGGGCGTGGTGGCGGGCGCCTGTAGTCCCAGCTACTCGGGAGGCTGAGGCAGGAGAATGGCGTGAACCCAGGAGGCGGAGCTTGCAGTGAGCCAAGATCACGCCACTGCACTCCAGCCTGGGCAACAGAGTGAGACTCCGTCTCAAAAAAAAAAAAAAAAGAGATGGTAGTGCAAACACTATGTAACACAGTACCAACAAGATGACGTACTAATGCAAGTTTCTAAACTCCTGTCGACACCAGTCACCTGTAATTTCCACTCTTCCATGTTGTAGCTTTGTTGTCAAACTTTGGTGTAATAAATTATCATTACTGATGTGCTCTCTCTGATCCTCTTTCCCTCACAATCTTTGTGCAATTATTTTCCCTACTTTGTCAATGCACCATGATGGCCATTGCATTTCTGTTAAAACAGTTAGGAAACGTTCACTACAAAATGTTCCTACTTCAAAGCTTTGGAAGTAGAAGAGGAAGACTATGCAGATTGGTAAATATTAACAGCAACAGCAACATTAAGAGAAGTTACCAGACTGGAACTTTGTTTCTAAAATAATGACACTGAGAAAAATATTCTCTTTTTTTTTGTTTTTTTTTTTGAGACGGAGTCTAGCTCTGTTGCCCAGGCTAGAGTGCAGTGGCGCAATCTCAGCTCACTGCAACCTCCACCTCCCAGGTTCAAGCGATTCTCCTGCCACAGCCTCCCGAGTAGCTGGGATTACAGGTACCCACCACCATGCCCAGCTAATTTTATATTTTTAGTAGACATGAGGGCTCACTGTGTTGGCCAGGTTGGTCTTGAACTCCTGACCTCATGATCTTCCCACCTCGGACTCCCAAAGTGCTGGGATTACAAGCGTGAGCCACCATGCCTGGCCGGAAAATATTCTTAAAACTCTACCTTCTCCTGTCTTTGCTGCTATCACTATACCTTTCCATTATCTGAGGGAATTGTCATGAACAATAATCAGCATATGCAACAAATATAAGTGGTTTGAAACTTCTCCAAGAAGAAAACTCACAAAGACCTAGGAGCCTTTATTTATTTATTTATTTATTTTATTTTTTTGAGATGGAGTCTTGCTATGTGGCCCAGGCTGGAGTGCAGTGGCACAATCTCAGCTCACTGCAGCCTCTGCCTCCTGGGTTCAAGTGATTCTCCTGTCTCAGCCTCCCGAGGAGCAGGGATTGCAAGCATGCACCACCACACCCAGCTAATTTTTGTATTTTTAGCAGAGACGGGGTTTTGCCATGTTGGCCAGGCTGGTCTCGAACTCCTGACCTCAGGTGATCCACCCACCTCGGCCTCCCATAGTGCTAGGATTACAGGCGTGAGCCACTGCGCCTGGCCAGGAGCCTTTATTTTTGTCTCTCCATTTGTGCACTAAACACTAGCTAAAATACTGAGCCACTTAGCTATATTCTCCCAATTACTTCTTTCTTATCTAATATTCCTCAGCTATTTCCATTCTGAGTGAGCATAAAGACAAGAGATAAAGCCTTAAACTATGGTGTTCTAACCCCTATAACTGAAAAGTATCAACACTACAATTTTTTTTTTCAGGCACATTCTAGTATTTTATTTTATTTTTCTTTGAGATGGAGTCTCACTCTGTCACCCAGGCTGGAGTGCAATGGTGCAATCTCAGCTCATTGCAACCTCCGCTTCCCGGGCTCGAGCAATTCTTCTGCCTCAGCCTCCCAAGTAGCTGGGATTCCAGGCACATGCCACAGCGCCCAGCTAATTTTTGTATCATTCTAGTATTTTAAACGTTTAGTGTCAGTTGCTATTAGTATAACATGTTGAAAATATTTTAAAAAATTAAAGGGAGCTCAAAAGACTGTAACTAGAATGATAGGAAGTCCAAAGCCAACATGCTAACTTTAATTTCTTAGTCTTATTTTCTATTTTCTGTAACTGCCTTCCCTTCCGAGTTGAAAATAACTTTCTAGTGCTTATCCAGTCTGTCAAAAATGACAATAACAGGAATAGTAGAAATTTGCAGAATCTGAAACCTTAAAAATAACTTATGCTTCATCAGCTCATTGATCTTCATAGCAAGATTCCATGAGTTAGTGAGGGAGGGTTTATTTTTCCTATTTCAAGAAGCGGAAATTGAGGTTCATATAGCTGAGTGATTTGGGTAAAGTAACGGGCCTAGTAAATGCAAGAGCCGGACCTTAGCTCCCAACCTAGAGTTTTTTTCTATGACATCATCATATGGTTCAACAAATGTTTGAATATCCATTATGCACAGAAAATTGAGAGACATAAATGGTATTGAATATATATGGATTTGCCATATATTCCTCGGAACCTAAGGGGCACAGTTTAAATGGCAGAATGTGCTGAAAAATAAACAGTAAAAGTTAAAAACAGTTTATCTTGTTCACTAGAGCTTGCCTAGTGCCTAAAATACACCTAACACACAGTAGGTACTCAATGAATATATATATATAAAATATTTGAATAATTAATAAATGAGAAGCCATATAAAGATCAAAGTAACAATAAATATAAAATGTCATGGTGCCAAGTGTATAAGTGCTTGGGAGACTGCCATTCCTCAAAATCTTCCTTAAAAGAGACTATGCATATAACACGTAAACAGTACAGACTTAGGGTCCAACAGAATGCCGTTTAAGATCTGTGGGACCTTGGGAAAGTTTTTGAATCTCTTGAATGTTGATTCATTCCTTTATTCAACAGACACTGTAACACACTGTCAGGGAATAATAATGATAATAGGCTCAATGTGTTGTTATGATGATGAAATGGAAGAAGATGTATAAAGTGATTAAGACATAGTAAGCACTCAATATGCAGTAGCTTTTATTCGTATTATTATATCTTCCAATATTCACTTTCCTGAGACACCCCAGACAAACAACTAAGGTGACAGAATGAGCTCACTATTGTGTCCTCTCAATTCCAGAGCAATTAAACAAAAACACACAATCAGAAACCAAGTGAAGGTTTGAAATTGGATCAAACAAACCAGTTTTACCGGTGTAGGATAGGGGATTTCTTGACCTGGCACCAGCCACTGTTACTAGACGAGACAGAGTCATCACAACAGAATGTTGTACGTAAAAGGAAGAAAACTTTTTTTCTTTTTTTGAAACGGAGTTTCGCTCTTTGTTGCCCAGGCTGGAGTGCAGTGGCAGCCATCTCGGCTCACTGCAACCTCCGCCTCCTGGGTTCAAGCAATTCTTTTGTCTCAGCCTCCCAAGTAGCTGGGATTACAGGTGCCCACCACCACGCTCAGCTAATTTTTGTATTTTTAGTAGAGACGGGGTTTTACCATGTTGGCCAGGCTGGTCTTGAACTCTCCTGACCTCAGGTGATCCGCCCACCTCGGCCTCCCAAAGTGCTGGGATTACAGGCATGAGCCACCACGCTTGGCCGGAAGACAACATTTTTACAAGGAAAAGTTTGGCAGGAGATGGGAAAATTTAGCTTGAGGAAGAGGAGACTGGAGGGCAGGAGTGAGGAGAAATTGGTGAGGATGGAACAGATAATATGTGAGTTGTTTTCAAGGGCTGTTTAACAGGGAGAGAACCTAGAATTATTCGTGATTACCCCCAAGGAGGGCATTTCTGAGTGACAGACTCATGAAGGAAAAGTTAGAAGAGAAATTATAAAAACCCAATAAATGGAATTCAAAAATTATAGTCTATATTGTCTTAATTTGGGGCAGCAGGTGAAGTGGAGGGAGGGGTGGTAATTCCTTTGAAAGCAACTTGAATAAGAAATAGCATAATGATGATATTTATGATGGCACTTCATAGCTTTCTTCATATTCACGTATATCTTACCATTCAGCCTACAAAAAATAATGTAAATATTATTTTACATTAAATGTAATTGCTACACAAATATGTTTTTCTTAAGCAACCCATAACAAAAATTCAGTTATTTTCTTTCACTGCATCATTAACCCTTCACTTTCCCACCAATAGAGCAGACAGTTAGTAAAAGCTTTTTCTATGCATTGCAAATCTTATCTGAGCATCTCTGTCCCTAGCATAAAAGCACCTGTAGAAAATTAACAGCTTTAGAAAACTGTAGAGGAAATAAAATCTGAAGGATAAGTAAGATAAAGTCTTCTAACACAGGGGAACATGTCATAAACAAGCCACATCAATACTCCTCATTAATCAGTGAGAAAGGACAAATGCTAATTTAACATGCAGCAGCAGAGGTTGCTTTAAACATGGCTTTCAAATGTCTTTTATTTCCTAAAGATGCTTATGATATCAAATATCAAAAAACATAAGCTACGTATCGCATCCAGTGAAAAGCTAAGAACAATTTATTACAAAAGGATTTTGGTGGTAAGAAAAATATTGGGATTATTCACACTCCTGAGGCATTTTTGATAAAATTATTCTATTGGTATATAAAGTATATTAACCTTGATGACGGCAAATTTTGATGTGAAACCCAAATAAGAGATCTATAACTGTTCAGGACTCCAACTTGGAATCTTACATTAGACATCACTGTTTCAGATGTATTTCTCTATCTTGGGTATATTATTTAAAGGCAAACATTAGGTAGAATATTAAAACTTTCTGATAACAATGAAATGTCTTGAGATTATGACCTGAAATATTCTCAAGGCCATTTTATAGCTTCATTCATCTCAAGGCATATTTGTTGAACTCAAAGGAAGTACTCAGGAAGTGCTTAGTACTAAATACCACATAGAAGTGAAGAATTTGGGTCGGGTGCAGTAGCTCACACCTGTAATCCCAGCACTTTGGGAGGCCGAGGTGGGCCGATCACTTGAGGTCGGGAGTTCGAGACCAGCCTGACTGACATGGAAAAACCCCGCTCCACTAAAAATACAAAATTAGCCAGGCGTGGTGGCGCATGCCTGTAATCCCAGCTACTCGGCAGGCTGAGGTAGAAGAATCGCTTGAACCTGAGAGGCAGATGTTGTGGTGAACACAGATCATGTCATTGCACTCCAGTCTGGGCAATAAGAGTGAAACTCAATCTCAAAAACAAAACAAAAAGAAGTGAAGAATGTATGTGTCTAGATCCTGAGGAGTGCTAATGTAATCTGAAATAAGCACAACATGGATAGGTTTGAGAACTGTCGTACTATGATGAATTTCATAACAGAGGTACAATAAATTAAGTTCTGTCATATGTTCTGTGAAGCTAAATTCAAATCACAAGCCAATAATTGTGAAGAAAAGTTGTTGAAGATGCTGACAATAAATATTTTGCTAAGAAATATATAATATCCAGTTAGAAAAGAAAACTCGTATGCAGAAGTTTAATGGATGCATGAACACTTAAATTTTAACATTGACATCCAACTTACTTTGCAAAACAAAATGACTGATTTTCTTAAAATTACATCAACTATACAATTAGTAGTTTTAGTATTTAAAAATACAAATTTCACACACTAACTGGATTCTCTGCTGCACACATTTCAAGATATAAAATAGAGTCATTTTGCTTTCAGTCCTGGATCATTTGTCTAATGAGGATCATCATGAGACATAAGTGGTTGTCACATTACATGCACTACTGGGAAAATCGTTGGATAGTCCAGTCCAAAGACAGATATTCTATAACAGAGACCTAAGTTATTGTTATTGATAATTACCCGGAAAGAATATCATCGTTTAAGCCTTATTTGATTTTCCTAGATATCACTCTATCACTCTAAGTTATCTCTCAATAACTTGTTATGCTCATTTCCGTTGAACCATGAGAAGCAGTTGAGCATAGCGTTTATGAGAATTGACTTTGGAATCAAACATCCCTAGGTTCCAACTCATACTCTGATATCTATCAGTTGTGTGACCTTTGTAAAAGTTACTTTATTCTTAGAACCCATATTTCCTCCCCAGCAAAATATGAACAAGGATAGCACCTGCCAAAAGAAGATTTTGAAAGGATTAAATGAGATAATGAAGGTAAAATGCTTAATGCAGTGTCTGATTCATGGAAACATTTAACGAATAGAAACTATATTTATAATTAATAACAAGTGATTTTGTATGCTCTCTAAGCAAGAGAAGCTGAAACACTGAAAGATACAGCTTGCTCAAGTCTAGTTCCTATAGCTTATAAAGACATGGAGTCAGTAATTCCTGTATGAACTTAGAGTTCCATTAGAGTCACTTCAACCTAGAGGAAATCATGTAATGAGGGTGTTATTACATATTGGCCATTTGGTTCATTTCTCTGGGTATATAAGGAGAAAGAAGCCTAGGGTTATTATGTAGCAGGTACCGTCTATGGTTTACTACCAATCTCTCTCTCTCTTTCTATATACCTCTTTCCCTATGTGTGTGTGTGTATATATATAGATATATATATATATATATACACACACATACATATATTCTTAATTGATTATAAGTAAAACCTATCAAATGAAAATAAAAAATCTCTTAAACATACAGTTTAACATCAAATTTTATTCAGTAGGTTTAGATACTATTATTTATAAAAGAAAAGTTCTTCACCCTGGCTTTAAGAAGAAATTAAAGGTCATAGAATTATACTTCTGTATACGAAATTCACAAACACACAACTAATAGCTACCCTATATACCAGGAACTATGCTAAGTGTTTTACATGCATTATCTTATTTAATTTTCACAGCTCGACTTGGTAGATACCATGGACACATTTTGAAGAAAAGGAAACTGAAGCTCACAGAAGTGAAGGGACTCGCAAAAGATCCTATTGCTGTGAAGTGCTGGGGCCACAACTTGAAGAGAAGCTGTCTAGTTTTAAGGCCCAACTTTTAAAATTCTATATGAATAATGTTTCTCAAAGAATAAGATAATGAAAGATTAAGAACATCCAAATATATGCTGAGGGGTGAGAATGAGGTGGCAAGGAAACTTTTTTTGTAAGGAAGTTTAGGAGAAAATCCACGTGACCTTAGGTAAGGTGAAGAGTTTCTATATTTTTAACATTGATTTTTATTTTATTTTGAGATAGAGTCTCATTCACTCTGTCACCCAGGCTGGAGAGTAATGGCACAATCTTGGCTTACTGCAACTTCTGCCTCCTAGGTTCAAGCCATTCTCCTGCCTCAGCTTCCCAAGTAGCTGGGATTACAGGCGCATGCCACCATGTCCAGATAATTTTTTGTATCTTTAGTAGAAATGGGGTTTCACCATGTTGGCCAGGCAGTTCTCGAACTCCTGATCTCAAGTGATCCTCCCGCCTTGGCCTCCCAAAGTGCTGGAATTACAGGCGTGAGCCACCTCGCCCGGCCTAAGGTGAAGAGTTTCTATATGCAATATCAAAAGCATGATCCATGAAAAATATTGATGTTAGATTTTATTAAAATTAAAAACTTTTGTTCACAAAAGATACTGTTAAGAGGGTGAAAGGCATTCCACAGAGTGGAATAAAATATTTACAAAATACATATCTGATAAAAAAACTTGTATCCAAGGAGATAAAGAACTTTGAAAACTCAACAATCACAAAGAAATCAACCTTCTCCAAACAATGGTCTAAATATCACAACAGCCAACCAACCAAAGAAGATTTACAGATAGAAAAGGACCATATGAGAAGAAGCTCAATATAATTTTTCACTTGGGAAATGCAAATTATAGTGTGATACCACTACACAGCTACTGGCTACTAGAATGCATAAAATCTAAAACACAATAGCAATTGCTGGTGAGGATGAGGCACAACAGGAACTTGCATTTATTGCCAGTGTGGATGCAAAATGGTAGAGTCACTTTGAAAGATAGTTTGGTAATCTCTTTCAAAGCTAAACAAGATTCATCAGTTGTGCTCCTAAGTATTTACTCAATTCACTTGAAAATCTGTGTTCCCACAAAAGCATATATGTGAAGGTTTATTCATACTCACACAAAACTGGAAGTAACCAAGATGCCCTTTAATAGAGAAATGGATAAACAATACAATATTGTATAAATATTGTAACATTTATTACAATAAAATATTATTTGGTAATAAAAAGAAATGAGCTGTTTCCTTTCTGTGCTGATGCCACTCACGCAATCATGGTGAATGTTCCTAAAACCCGCCGGACTTTCTGTAAGAAGTGTGGCAAGCGCCAACCCCACAAAGTGACACAGTACAAGAAGTGCACCCGGCGCGGTGGCTCACGCCTGTAATCCCAGCACTTTGGGAGGCCCAGGAGGGCGGATCACGAGGTCGGGAGATTGAGACCACCCTGGCTAATACGGTGAAACCCCGTCTCTACTAAAATACAAAAAAATTAGCCGGGCGTGGTGGTGGGCGCCTGTAGTCCCAGCTATTTGGGAGGCTGAGGCAAGAGAATGGCATGAATCCGGAAGACGGGGCTTGCAGTGAGCCGAGATCGCGCCACTGCACTCCAGCCTGGGAGACAGAGCAAGACTCTGCCTCAAAAAAAAAAAAAAAATTTAAAAAAAAAAAAAAAAAAAAAGAAGGGCAAGCATTCTCTGCATGCCCAGGGAAAGCGATATTATGACAGGGAGCAGAGTGGCTATGGTGCCTGCCCAGGGAAAGCGGTGTTATGACAGGAAGCAGAGTGGCTATGGTGGGCAGACTAAGCCGATTTTCTGGAAAAAGGCTAAAACTACAAAGAAGATTGTGCTAAGGCTTGAGTGTGTTGAGCCCAACTGCAGATCTAAGCGAACACTGGCTATTAAAAGATGCAAGCATTTTGAGCTGGGAGGAGATAAGAAGAGAAAGGGCCAAGTGATCCAGTTCTAAGTGTCATCTTTTGTTTTATTATCAAGACAATAAAATCTGGAGTTTATGTTAAAAAATAAAATAAAATAAAATAAAAAGAAATGAGCTACCAAGCCAAGAAGAGACACAGAGGAATCTGGAAAACTTAATACCTAGGCGATGGGTTGATCTGTGCAGTAAACCACCATGGCACACGTTTACTTATGTAACAAACCTACACATCCTGCACATGTACCCCTGAACTTAAAATAAAAGCTGAAGAAAAAATAAATAAATTAATTAAAAGATTGGGAAAAAAGGAAAGAAACTAGTCAGAAAGGCTACATACTATATGATTTAAATTATATGACATGTTGGGAAAGGAAAAACTACAGGGACAGTAAAAAGATCAATGGTTGCCAGTGGCTCAGTGGCGGGGAGGAAAAGGTTTAATGGCTAAAGCACAGGAGATTTTTTAGGGAGGTGAAACTATTGTGTATGATATTGTATTCATGAATAAGTGACGCTATGCATTTGTCATAAACCATATAACTTTACAGCACAGAGAGTATAACTTAATGTATGCAAATTTTAAAAATAATTTATAAAGTTGGGGGATCCAAGAATGAAATTAAGACTGTGATGAAATCATCTTAACTGTATAACAAATGTATGAAACAATCTCACTTAAGGAGGTGGAGGGAAAAAGTGAGGACATAAGTAACTTTGGAAATGAGTGCATACGGTAAGACTAAAAGCAAAAGGAACTGTACATCAAAGTGCTGTACTTTAGTTGGTAAAGTTGTTTCCCATGGGGCTATAGGTTAACAATTCTAAAACCACCAAGCATGTATACTGTAATTGAACAATTAGGTAAACAGATGGATGGTTGTGAGAGCAAAGTGTCTCATTCTTGAAGTGGGAGGTTATGACAAGCAAGGGGAGAAGGCTAGAATGATCTACATAGTAATAGAGTTGAAGACATCAGTACAAAATCTTGTTTATCATACTAGATATAGATAGATGTATAGACAGAGCTGGTGATGATAGATGATAGAGATAGATGATAGGGAGGGAGATAGATAGATAGATAGATAGATAGATAGATAGGAGATACATACACACATAAAAGTGAGCATACATACATGTATCTCTGTGCTCTGTCAGCTGATAAATTTAGTGTTTCTATTGATTTGCTTGGTCCTTATAGACATGATGATCCTCAACTTGCCATAAAGTTAATTTAAACAATTATGAGATTCTGGAGCTTGCTTTGAACTTTCAGAGGTAGACAGTGGTTACTACAGGTGCTGGTGGGAATGTAATTCTGCAAACCCTTTAAAAAGCAATTTGACAGTATACATCAAGAGGCTGAAAAAAAGAGTTTTCTCTACTGGGAATCTATCCTAAAGGCTGAGTACGTTTATTACAAAATAATTGGCTACTGTTTTTAAAAAGACATATAAAAGAAAAGAAAGAACTTCACGTAACAAGAAAGCGTTTAAATCCATTTAATGAAAACACATGCAGTTGTTAAAATGTTTATAAAGCATGTACGATGAATGTTAAGTTAAAAAAGCCCCACAAAATTATATATAATACATCATTATAACTATGTAGGAAATACACATAACAAGAGGACTGGAAAGATATACAACAAGAATGTTTATAACAATTCTCTTTATTTAACTGTACTTTCCAAAGTAGTCTAGATTCAGTATGTTATTATGACGGATATCGCTGGGTGTGGTGGCTCACGCCTGTAATCCCAGCACTTTGGGAGGCCGAGTCGGGCAGATCACCTGAGTTCAGAAGTTTGAGACCAGCCTGACCAACATGGAGAAACCCCGTCTCTACTAAAAATACAAAATTAGCTGGGTGTGGTGGTGCATGCCTGTAATCCCAGCTACTCGGGAGGCTGAGGCAGGAGAATTGCTTGAACCCGGGAGGTGGAGGTTGTGGTGAGCTGAGATCGTGCCATTGCACTCCAGCCTGGGCAACAAGAGCGAAACTCTCAAAAAAATAAAAAAATAAAAAAATAGAAAAAAAAAAAGACTGACATCTAAATAGACCGTCTAATTAACTGCCTTCCCCATGGGCCCCCGCCACAATAATGGCAAACTCAAAAGCTTACCAGAAAATATTACCGAGGAAGAACCCAGTTATATTGCTGACTGCATAAAATTTTTATGGACAAACCACCACTGAGCTCCTTTTGGATCATAGGAATAATGTTGAGAACAACACTGGTTTGTTTGTTTAGTTGCCATTTACCCTTATTGTTCCTGAATCTCAACTGCTTTAACATTTTGTCAAGCAGGCTGACGGATTCTTTTGGTAAAGACACAATTGGCCCAGATAGATTCATACAGTTTATTACTTATACAGAGAGCAAAAGCAAGATCAGCATGGTGTCAGCTTCATGCATCACTTGACTTCCAGGACAATAAAAAAATCAAAGGGGCCAGATGAAAGACAACATGGGCAGTGGTTACTTTGTCACCGAGGTGTCTTCTCTAGATCAGCTAAGCCATTTTGTAGTTCACAGCTGTACCCTAAGGAGGAGGTAGTGAAGTAGAATGTCCCATGCCTCATTGGTATCAGGGAGGCAGATGAGAAGGATGAGAATCTGCCTTGTGGTAGCCTCCTGCAAGATAAGGAGGCAAATAACAAATGCTGAAGACAGCTCTTCGTAAGGCTGCCAATCTTGTCATGTTCTTGGGAGGATCACAGGGTATTTCACCAAGACACACAAACCTGCATTTGAGCCTTGCCTATATAGTTTATGTGGAGACGTGCAAGGTTGCCAGAGTACCAGCATGGAACTCCTAACCCTTTTCCCTCTTAAAAGTGTCCTGGTTTAGACATGAAATTATATGGTCACCCTGTTTTAGCACCAACATCTAAAAGGGATAATCATCTACCTCCTTTCCACAATACACAGAACACAAAACACTGCATACATAGGCCAACTTGTTTATAGGTGGGGAGTGAGAGTAAATGAAGGAGTGCAAGCCCACCTCTAATATTTGTTAATGTGTTTTTTAGAACTTAAAAATGATGCTTAGCTTTACATAGAACAATAACTGGAAAAGATTGTGTAAGCAAACAATAAAAGACATATATTAATATACATTATAAAGCCACAATAAACAATGTGATATTGACAAAGAATTAAGTAGACAAATAACTGAAACAGAATGGAGAAATCAAGAAATAGCTATGGTTCTATTTGCACACAGGAATACACGATAAAACTTTCACAACAAATAGGTGGCAGAATGATGAATTACTAAATAAATGATGTTGAAACCATTGGCAAAGTGTTTAGAAATAGAATGATTAGGTTTCCTGCCTCATACCAAATACAAAAATACATTCTAAGAAGATTAAAGAGATAAGCATATAAGGTAAAATGATGAAAGAACTAGAAAATACAGCTCAGGTAAATACTTATTTATCTGATTAGGCATGGTCTTGAAATGTATGAAACAAAAACAACATCATAAAGAAAAAATTATGTCAAAATGATAATAATGCCTACTTCGTAGCAGTTCTCTCAGCTGAGAGAACTGAGACTCAGAAAGGTTAACTTACTTCAACCCTAGCACCATGGTACCACTTTGAGGTCTAGAAATGTGTCTCGAAGTGGACAGCATGTCCTAATTTTCCCATGAGAACAGAGATCACATCTTCTCCAGAAATCCCTAAGTATCAAAATCCATGCTTCTCCTACAACTCTGTAAGTGAGCTTAGTTAATGACTATAGGTGATAGAGGTCTTAATTAAAATTTGAGGAAGGTTTGATACATGCAAGATGTGTCCCATAGAGAATCTGTAGGAAAAATAAACAATAAACTTATGTAATTTCTGTTGCTGCCTCGAAGATGTGTCATAACCTAAACTCAAAGCAGAAGGATTATTGCTAGTCTTGATCTCATGTTGTTTATCTCACTCATGTAGGTTACTCCTGCTAATGCCATTACTAATCACAGGGAGACAATTTGGCAGCAAATCTATTACCCAGGACATTCTAGGAGGAAAAGTTACTTTCATCAGGTTTAAATGTGTAATTTGATATCACTCTTTTGCAAAGAAAAACAACTGAATCTCAAGACAAAAACCGCTGGCCTTGAAGAAGTGACTAAACTAATTCAAGATGTTAAAACATTTTCTTCTAAGCACTTGAGGATAAATACGTAGAATATTATAATATTGCTTAACAAAAAAGCAGATTTATAAGTGCAGATGTCTCATAAACTACTATGTCAAACAGCTTTATAAGAAATGGGTACAAATATATGGTTTGATAGAAGAAATAAGACGTAGTGTTAGATCAGTAGGGTGACTATAGTTTACAATAATCTACTGTATATTTAAAAATTAGCTAGAATTGTACTGGTTCTAGTGTGAAGAAAAGACAAATATTTAAGGCAATGGATATCCTAAGTATAATGATTTGATCTTTACAAATTGTATAAAAGTATTAAATTATCACATGTATCCCCTAAAAGAACTCTTAGGTGTCCAGGTCCCTCTCACCAACATGGTTCTGCCATCAAGACACTTGCAAATATGAAGTACAAGCTAGAAAGACCTTTAAAAACCAGTTGATATAACCTCTTTGTTTTGCATATAAGGAGACTAAGTTTAAGGTTTTGAAACCAATAACAAGATAAACACAACATGACATCACTGGGCAAAGAACATGAAAAGAAAATTCCCCTCAAAATAAATAATAGTGGAAAATAAACATACAGATCTACAAAAAAACTAGTATCCAAGAAATTCTAATAAAATAATAGACAATAATTACCCTGTATTGAATGTTCTCCTGTCTGCTAAGCACTAATTGCCAGTTTAACCCTCACACTAACCTATGAAATAGGTACCATTCATATCCACATTTTACATGAGACTTGAGCCTTGCCTATATAGCCTATGAGGAGTCATGCGAGGTTGTCAGGGTGCCAATATGGAGCTGCTCCCTCACACATTTGTCTGAGCTCATTTTACTCTCCTGGTTTGTACATTGAAGTTTACGGTCACACTAATATTAGCTTCAATGCCCGGATAGAATAATCAGCTACCTCTTTCCACAACCTATACAACATTATACACACAGGCAGACTTGGTTATAGGTGGTGAGTGAGAATGAATGGAAGAGAGCAAATTAAGGAGACAAAGACAAAGAGAGGTTAAGGAATTGCTTAGGGCCACAAGCCCAGTAAATAGGAAAAGCCAGGATTTGAGCCCAGGCAGTCTGACTTCAGAGCCAACTCTTTATCCACTTAGTTAAGCATGTTTCCATACTAAGTTATCTTTCTAATACATTTGAAAATAGTCTAAAGATTTATAATAACCAGTATTGATAAAAGTGTGAGGAAATAGATATCCTCATATACTGTTGGTGGGAATGTAACTGAGTAATGGTCACTTGGGAAATTTGTATCCAAATTTAAAATGCTCATATCCATGAACCTGTAATTCAACTTTTAGGACTTTAAGTAATAGAAATAAAGGTGAATGTGCAAATACATATGCAGAAGGATAATTAATATAGTATCGTTTTTAAAAGCAAATATGGATGCTTTAGTAGTGTTGTGAATGAAGTTTTTGGTGTCGCAAAAAAAGAATTAACGAGGGGAACAAATGATCTCTCAGCAAGGTGAGCTTTACTTTCTGCAGAAAGGGTGCTACTCAATAGCTGTCCAGCCATGAGAGCACACCAAACAAAGGAGACAGAGTTATTTATAACTGACGTGTCTACCCTACTGCTGTGTCCAGTTTCCATTGGCTGGAATAGGACCTCACATTTTACACTTTACCCAATTGGCTACTCATTTAAAACCTTTTTAATTGGGTAAGGGGAACAGAACAAAGAAAGAAAAGGAAGTTGCCCAGGGATAGTTAAGGAAGCATCTCCAAACAAGGAATGGCATGCACTACGGGCTGGGGCTTGTCTAGTTCTGTCCAGGCATGCCGCAGCAAGCTAGGATAGCTGATTTCGAATATATATACTAACAGTGGATAACAATTAGTGGATAACAATATACTAATAGTGGATAACACTCTTATAGTAAGAAATTGTGACTTTTATAATCTTTGAAGCAGAACTTTCCCATTTCTCACAGTGGTAAGACAAATACCCAATAAGCTTCAAAATTAAGTTTTATTTTCTCATAAAATAATTGTATATATTGTGGAAGCAGGAGAGCCAAAGGTTGCTAAAATGGATCAAAGAGGAGTCAGGGGCTTTCTGTTTTGCTCTATAAAATTCAGAGTTGGCCAGGCACAGTGGCTCACGCTTGTAATCCCAGCACTTTGGGAGGCCGAGGCGGGCGGATCATGAGGTCAGGAGTTCAAGACCAACCTGGCTAACACAGTGAAACCCTGTCTCTACTAAAAACACAAAAATTAGCCGGGCGTGGTGGTGGGCGCCTGTAATCCCAGCTACTTGGGAGGCTGAGGCAGAAGAATCGCTTGAACACGGGAGGTTGCAGTGAACCGAGGTCATACCACTGCACTCCAGCCTGGGCGACAGAGCTAGACTTCATCTCAAAAAAAAACCAAAAAAACAAAAAAACAGAAAAAACACTCAGAGTTGACTTTAGTCTTCAGGTTATTGTCTCATGGACACAAGGGGGCTGACATAGTTTTAGACATCACATCCTTATAGAACTGCATCCAAAGGCACAGCAATAGTCAGCAGCCAGAGGAGTGAGAAATAGCTCCTTGTGAGCTTCCATCTACTAATTAAGGAGGGAAATCTTTCCTAGAAGCCATGCAGAAAACATTTCCTTACATATCTCTGTAACTGATCCAACTGGCCACATGTCAAAAGAGGCTGGGGAGGACAAATATATTGGCTTTGCAACATCAATTATGAATTTGAAGGGTGTAGATGCACTCTGCCTCAAGAAAGATGGACAAGGAGAAATGTCTGTTTATTAGACAATTAACAATAGATGACACAGAAAAACGTAGAAAGCGATCTACACGTATATCACTAAATCACCAGGGAATTGGTTAAATTAATTACCATACTATAATTTACTATGCAGTCATTAAATCCATATGTAGATTTCTATTTATGGGGCTGGCATGTTACTGAGTAAAAGGAATCTTTTAAAAATACATGTAGAGTATTATTGTCACATTTACCTTAATGTACGTGTATAAAGAAAGAAATCTAGATAGATGGAACAGTAATAGCTAGAATTGTACTGGTTCTACGTGAAGAAAAGACAAATGTTTAACACAACGATGAAATTATGGGCCAGGTGCGGTGGCTCATGCCTGTAATCCCAGCACTTTGGGAGGCGGAGGCCAGTGGATCATTTGAGGTCAGGCATTCAAGACCAGCCTGGCCAACGTGGTGAAAACCCATCTCCATTAAAAATACAAAAATTAGCCAGGTGAGGTTGCGGACACCTGTAATCCCAGCTACTCAGGAGGCTGAGGCAAGAGAATCGTTTGAACCTGGGAGGCGGAGGTTTTGCCCATTTGCATTCAAGGTTAATATTGATATATGTGTATTTGATCCTGACATCGTGTTATTAGCTGGTTGATTATGTGGTTGCTTTATAGTGTCAATGCTCTATGTACTTATATGTGTTTTTGTGAAGGCTAGTAATGGTATTTCATTTTCCTATTTAGCACTCTCTTAAGGACCTCTCTTAAGGCAGGTCTGCTGGTAATGAATTCCCTTAGCATTTGCTTGTCTAAAAAGGATCTTATTTTTCCTTTGCCTGTAAAGCTTAGTTTGGCTGGATATGTAATTCTTGGTTGGAATTTATTTTCTTTAAGAATGCTGTATATAGGTCCTTAATCTCTTCTGGCTTATAGGGTTTCTGCTGACAGGTCTGCTGTTGTCCTTATGGGGTTCCCTTTGTAGGTGACCTGGCCCTTCTCTCTAGCTGGCTTTAACATTTTTTACCTTTCATTTCAACCTTGGAGAATCTAATGACTATATGTCTTGGGGATGGTCATCTTGTATAGTATCTTGCAGGGGTTTTCTGTATTTCCTGAATTTGAATGCTGGCCTCTCTAGCGCAGTTGGGGAAATTTTCATGGACAATATGAAATATGTGTTCCAAGTTGCTTGCTCACTCTCCCTCTCATTCAGAGATACCAAGAAGTCATAAACTTGGTCTCTTTACAGAATCCCATATTTCTTGGAGGTTTTGTTCATTCTTTTTTCTTCATTTTTGTCTGGCTGACTTAATTTGGAGAATGTGTCTTTGAGTTCCGAGATTCTTTTCTCAGCTTGGTCTATTCTGCTGTTAATACTTGAAATTGTATTATCAAATTATTGTAGTCAGTTTTTCAGCTCTATTAGGCCAGTTTGTTTTTTCTTAAAATGGCCACTTTGTCTTTCAGCTCCTGTATCATTTTTATTATATTCCTTAGATTCCTTGGATTGGGTTTCGACTTTCTCCTGAATGTCAGTGATCTTCATTCCTCTCCATATTCTGAATTCCATGTCTGTTATTTCAGCCATTTCAGCCTGGTTAAGAACCATTGCTGGCTGGGCATGGTGGCTCATGCCTGTAATCCCAGCACTTTTGGAGGCTGAGGGAGGCAGATTGCTTGAGCTCAGGGGTTCAAGACCAGCCTGGGCAACATGGTATAATCCTGTCTCTACGAAAAGTACAAAAAACATTTAGCCAGGCATGGTGGTGCATGCCTGTGTTCCCAGCTACTTGGAAGGCTGAGGCGGGAGGATCATTTGGGCCTGGGAGGTCGAGGCTGCAGTGAGCCATGATCGCAACACTGTGCTCCATACTAAGTGACAAAGTGAGACTCTGTCTCAAATTAAAAAAAAAAAAAAAAAGGCCGGGCGCTGTGGCTCATGCCTCTAATCCCAGCACTTTGGGAGGCTAAGACGGGCGGATCACGAGGAGATCGAGACCATCCTGGCTAACGCGGTGAAACCCTGTCTCTACTAAAAATACAAAAAAAAAAATTAGCTGGGCGTGGTGGCGGGCGCCTGCAGTCCCAGCTACTCGGGAGGCTGAGGCAGGAGAATGGCGTGAACCCGGGAGGCAGAGCTTGCAGTGAGCCGAGACCGTGCCACTGCACTCCAGGCTGGGCGACAGAGTAAGACTCCGTCTCAAAAAAAAAAAAAAAAAAAAAAAAAGAATCATTGCTGGGAAACTAGTGTGATCTTTTGGAAGTAAAAGGGCACTCTGGCTTTGTGAGTTGGCAGAGTTCGTGCACTGGTTCTTTTTCATCTGTGTGGGCTGACACTCCTTTAGTCTTCGAAGTTGCTGTTCATTGGATGGGTTTTGTTGTTGTTGTTGTTGTTGTTTTGCTTTATCTTCTTTGTTGCCCTTGGGGGTTTATTTGTGGCTTAAAGTGAGGTTAGTTGACTGACTTCATTTCTGGAAGATTGTAAGGGGGCTAAGGCTCAGCTCAGTACCCTGGGCTGCGTGCTCTAACTCTGGGGAGAAGCTAGTACCATTCTCCCAGCTTTGTTTGCTGGCCCCTCAATGATAGCAACCTTCTGTGCTAGAGGGACCAAGGCATTCCCAGACTGCTGGCCACAACACTCTGATAGCAGGTACTGGCCAAAGTGCTTTGTTGGGGCAGTGGCAGCAGGATCTGGGCTCGCTCTCACGTGCCAGCAGCTGCAGCAACTTTCACTCTCTTTTGCATAGCTCCTGGGAATAACCATCTCAGTGATCTCTAAAACGTCCGTAACTTTGGAGTCTTCCATCATTATCTGGTCTATCATATCAGTACTTTGTATATTTACGAATTTGACTAATTCCTCAATGTTTTCTTCCTTTCCAATCTCTAAACTCTGCTTTTCTTTCTCCCTCTCAGCTGGCTCTTTCCCACAAGACTGTAAGCATGCTGAAGTAGCTCTCTCATTAACTCCACCAACCAACCAATCAAATGTAGGTGTTCGCCTTGCACTGACCCAACACCCCTATCCAATTACTGTTGCATTTCTTCATTTCCATTCACACCGATATTTCTTGTCAAAAGAGTTGTCCTTTCTCTCTGTTGCAACTTTTTTGCCTTGAGTTCACTCTTCCTCCCACTCCAGCTCTGCTTCCAGCTTCACCACCGTTGAATCAAATTATCTGACTTCTCTATGCCTACATGCAAGCAGTTAAACATTGCTGCAGAAATCTAATGACCAGTTCTACTAAATTCAATTTGAATTTCTAATGACAAATTGTAAGAAAACACATGTTGAGGCAGCAATCCTACTATACTTCTCTTACTGATCTTTGTCCACTTTGTGGAACGACTGAATCGTACCATCGACTTCTCTTTCAAACTTCTAAGAAAATGGAAGCCATCAGAGAATTTACACACCATTCTAACACCAAATTTGTATTTCTCTCTGCATTTGCAGCCATGTTGTCTATATCTGCTGAGTCCAACTCCTTACCTTCTGCTTATATTTCCATATCCCCCAAATCTGCTTTTGATACTCAGCACCTACAATGAAACTGCTTTTGTTAAGATCACAGAGAATTCCCTATTGTAAAATCCAATTAATATTTTTTTTCTTAACTTGTTAGATCTATCAGAAGTATTTGAAACACTTGCCGACTCTCCCTCTCTTGAAACACATTCCTCTGACTTCTGGATGCCACATCCGTCTAATTTTCCTCCTTTCTCCCTGGTGGCTCCTAAACAGTCTCTTTTACTGGATCATCTTCCTCCCCTTCTTCTCAACCTGTAAATGCAGGAGTGTCATATGGCTTTAAATACCTTCACGTCACAACTTAAATGTCACTATCCAGAGACCTTTCCTGACTGCCAATTTGAAAGTAAGTTATCCTATTATTGTTTATTAAAGCACCATGTCGACTCACTTCATGGCATTAACCATATGCTGTATTTTTGTATGTGTTTAATTGTCACACTGTGATATGTGCTACAATAGACAACTGAGCTCAGTGTGACAAACAGTAGCAGCTTAAAATAACTTTTCTCAAATTTCAGTGATTCCATGCTGTTTAGTAAATGGTGAACAGACTATAAGAGTCAGCATTAAAAAAAAAATAAGCATCCTGGTGATACTGATGCAGGTGTTTCACAAATTGCCCTTTGAGAAACTCAGGCAAAGGGGACTGAATTTTAAAAATTGAATACTTTTATAGTCATTCAAAATTTATTGTGGTTCTACAATATGCCAACCACTATGCTAGGTATAAGCCAAAGAATCATTTGACAAGTCCTCATAAAAATTGAAAAAGGAAAGAAAACTCACTGATACAACAGGAAGGAAATATCCTAAATCTCACAAAGCACATAAGACAAAGGGATGAAGTAAACAATCTAGAAAGACAAAGAAATTGTTTCTAAGACTTTGGTTTTACTGGTAACATAACGCCTAGACAAAAAGAAAGAAGCTTCCATATTTATATTTTTTAACAGGTTTCATGGACTTTCCTTAGTAACAATTATGCTTTGGAAGGCTTTATTTGGACACTGGGCAATTATAATGGCATGTGTACTTCAAAACAAATGCTTTTAAGGATACAGAAAAATCATGTTAGTAATAAGCAGCTGGCAAAATATCCTGCTTCAGTGGGCAATATTTTAATGTCTCAACCTCCAGCAGCCCCCTCTTTCCTCACACATTTCACAGTACAGTTTTCACGCATACAATATTCAGTATCCTTTTTAGCTGTAAAAAACTCAAGAAACTCCAAAATTTTCACCAAAGTGGAAACTATTCAAACCAGTGTGCTTTTAATATAAAAACTAAGACACATTCAGAAATATGATCACAGTCAGAAATAAGCAATCATAGGACTTGACTTCTATCTATGGTTTCCAGCATCCTCTTCCCTTGAATCCCAAATGTTTTTGAAAGTTTTTTTTTAATTTCTCAATAACTTACTCTTTCATCAAGTGCTATTGAAAGAAAAACCATGAAATTTTGAGCTCATACTATAATTTGGTGATTCATTCAACAAATACTATCATTAGCCCCAAATTTCTGTCAGGCCCTGTCTTAGGAGCTAGGCACACAATAGTGAACAAAACAGACAAAAATTCATGTCTTCATGAAGCTTCTATTCAGTGTGTGTGGTAAGTAGGTACAGTAAGTAAAGCACGATTTATGCTAGATGATGTTAAGTGCTATAGGGGAAAGCAGGGAACTAGAGTCATGAGTGCTGCTAGGGGCATTCAGATTTTAAACAGGATAGCCAGGGAAGACCTAACTGTGCAGGTGACATTTGAGCACGATCCTGAAACAGGTTAGGGAGAGAGACATGCAAATGTCTGGGCAAAGTTTATTCCAGGCAAAATGAAGCAAACGTAAGTATCTTCTGTTGGAAGCATGTGTGGTATGGTCAAGGAAAAGCAAAGAGGCCAATGGAGCTGAGTAGAATGAAGGGAAAGGAGAGTTGTGGCATAAGTTAAAGAGGTAGGTAGGAGCAAGATCACAAGGACCTTGTGAGAAAGCTTTTATCCTGATAGAGAGAGGAATCACTGGAGAGCTTTGAGTAGAAACTTAACACAATCCTTTAAAAAGATTACTGTGGCTGCTATGTGGCTAATAGAGTGTAAACAGGCAAGTGTGGAGGCAGGGAATCAATTTAGGAAAATATTGCTATTATCCAGGCAAAGAATGGTGTCTCAGAGCAGAGTGGCATTAATGGGAATGATGAATAATGTATTGAAGGTCCAAAGGCTGATCCCTGGAGTAGTCCAAAGTTTAGAATTGGGGAAGTGAAGGAGGAAGTCATCAAAGGACGCTGAGGAGGAAAAACCAGTGAGGTATGAAGAAAACGAAGAAATTATAGTGCCCTTAAAGCAAAATGAAGATATTATATGAAGGGAGAGGAAATAATTAACTATATTAAATACTGCTGATACGTCAAGTTACATGAAGACTGAGAATGGGCCTTAGGGTTAGCAACATGGAGGTCACCGGTAAGTATATTAGTTTTCTAGGGCTGCCATAACACTATACCACAGACTGGGTGGCTTAAACAAAATAAATTTATTTGCTCACACTTCTGGATGCTGAAAGTGTGAGGTCAAGATGTTGATAGGTTTGGGTCCTTCTGGGGCCTCTCTCCTTGGCTGGCAGACAAGCTGTTTTCTTACTGAGTCCACACATGTCCTTTCCCCTGTGACTCTGCACCCTTGTGTCTCTGTGTGCCCAACTTCTTACCTTGTAAGGACACCAATCATATTGGATTAGAGCCCACCTTAATAGCCTCATTTTAACCTAACACTCCTTTAAAAAGCCTATCTCCAAATACAGTCACATTCTGAGGTACAAGGGATTAGGACTTCAACATAGGAAATTGGGGGGACACAATTCAGCCCATAACAGTAACCTTTATAAAAGGTGGTGGGAAAAGTGGTAAGATTTAAAGCCTTTAACAAAAAAGTTGGAGGAGAAAACTCAAAATCAACAAATGTAGACTATATTTTCGAGGACTTTTGCTGTAAAGAGGAGAGAGAAATGGGACAGCAGCCAGAGAAGAAAGTGAAATCAAGAGAGCTATTTGATTTGGTTCGTTTTTTTTTTTTTTTTTTTTTTTAAGATGGGAGAAATATCAGCAGGTTATGTTTATGAGAAAGACCCACTAGAAAGGGAAAATTTAATAATATGGGATAGGAAGAAGAAAATTATAGGAGGGTTATCTTGGTGCTGGTGAGTAGGGATGAGGTTAAGTTCAACTGCTTTAGCTAGAAGTATGTGTAGTTCACCGTTATTAACAGGAAAAATGCTGAATATATGGGCATAGAAACTGGTTGGTGAAAAGATATGGGGAGAGTGGATGGAGGAAAATCTCTTTTGATTGTTTTTATTTTCTCATGTAAACAGGAAGCAAGTTGGAGTTAGTGGATATTTGAATTTTGAAAAGGGAGAAGGCATGGAATAGTTACTGAGAATGTTAATGGAATTGGCAAATATAGCACAATTGACAGGCAGCATTAAGGACTCACTTGGGGCTAGCGATATTGAGTTTAAAGTGAGACCAGTTAGAAGGACTGTATGATTTTCTTTGATCATGTTCAACTTAATTAGACTTAGGATTTTGTCAAATGGGTATAATTACCAAGAGAGAGAGCCAAGGGAGTTGAAGATAATATGAGAGAGTAATTTTAATGGTGGACCA
Organism: Homo sapiens; assembly: GCF_000001405.40. Classification (NCBI taxonomy): domain Eukaryota; kingdom Metazoa; phylum Chordata; class Mammalia; order Primates; family Hominidae; genus Homo; species Homo sapiens. The sequence continues at coordinate 141,153,247 of NC_000023.11, forward strand.
TGGACTCTAAGCCCAGTGTGGAGGAAAGTGAGGATATATTTGGGTTGTGAAGGGGAAGAGACGTGAAAGAGAAAAGTTAGAAGAGTTATGAGATTGGAGGTCTCCATTGGGTAAAATAATTATCAGAGTACCAAAGGGAGTGAGTTAGTGGTCAAGTGGGATGTTTGAAATTGACGTTATGGAGGGATTGCAGTTATTGATAATGACAAGATAAGTTATGGCCATAGGAACAAGTGGTAAAGTTGATGAGGAAAATAACACTGAAGATGGGGTAAAGGAAATGAGAGGCCAGGGTGTTGAAAGGATCATCATACACCTGGATATTGACATCAACAAGAATTGAAACATAAATGATATTGGTAAGAGCAATATTATGCCACAAAGTAAAACATCCTCAATAATTGAGAGGGAATAAACTGAAAGTCAGTAGATTACTGTAACAAGGAGGTTTATTAGTCAGGGTTCTCTGGAGAAACAGAGCAAATAGGGTGTGTGTGTGTGTATGTATAGAGAGAGAGCAATATACATAGAGAAAGAGATTATACAAAATTGACTCAAATGATTCTGGAAGCTAACAGGATCCAAAATCTGTAGGCAGCAAGCTGAAGACCCAGGAGAGTTGATGGTGTAGTTCCAGTTTGAGTCTGAAGGCCTGAGAACCACTTAGAGCCAATGGTGTAGTTCCCATCCAAAGGCCAGCACGCTTGAGATCCAGGAAGAGCTGATGTCTCAGTAGAAGTTCGAAGGCAGGAAAAAGCCAATGTCCCAGTTTGAAGGCAGTCAGGCAGGAGGAATTCCCTCTTATTCAGGAGAAGATCAGCCTTTTTCTTCTAGTCAGGTCTTCAGATGATTGGATGAAGTTCACACACATTAGAGAAGACAATCTGCTTTACTCAATCTACTGATTCAACTGTTAGTCTCATACAAAAACACCCTCACAGAAACACACAGATTAGTGTTTGATCAATTATATGGGCAACCCTTGGCCCAGTCAAGGTTACATGTAAATTTTACCATCACAAGGGGTAACGGGAAGTATAATCTAAGGACATAAGTTTCCAAGCTGGAAGGAGGAGGATAGGAGAATAGTCCTCCACTAGCAAGGAGGAGCAAGGAGAACACTATGTTAACTCCAGGATCAATAGTAATTGCATTGTGTCAGAGAAAGAAAAATCACCATTTAAAAAGCCTTTAGGCCAGGTGCGGTGGCTCACGCCTGTAATCCCAGCACTTTGGGATGCCAAGGCGGGTGGATCACCCGAGGTCAGGAGTTCGAGGTCAGCCTGGCCAACATGGTGAAACTCTGTCTCTACTAAAAATACAAAAAAAATTGCCAGGCATGGTGGCATGTGCCTGTAATCCCAGCTGCTCGGGAAGCTGAGGCAGGAGAATCGCTTGAACCTGGAAGGCAGAGGTTACAGTGATCCAAAATTGTGCCATTGCACTCCAGCCTGGGCAACAAGAGCAAAACTCCATCTAAAAAAAAAAAAACAACTTTAGTGGGAGCCACAGATTAGGGTAGAACCAGATTTAAGTTAAAATAAGTAGACGAAGGAAACATTAAGACAAGTTGTTGAAGGTAAGTGGGATTTTCTCGAATACCAACTCTGATTTCCAGAGGACAAAGTATAAGGTTTACAAGAGTTGAGAGACAGGATTAAAACAAAGATATACAAGGAAAATATAAAGATGAGGAGACCTGGGATATTTGAGGATTAATCCTAATGGCCCTAAGTCAAAATAGTGATGGTATGACTCTAATCATCATTGTTCAGAAAGGAAGGGTAGTAGTTTTGTCTGAGAGCAGGTTTGTTTGGGTGTTATTCTGCTCTGCAAACTTTGTGTTTTCCCCTTAATATGGGGGTTTCTTCTCTTAACATTTATTTTTTGCTATAGACTTTTTTTTTTACAATGAGATAAGAAAAACAGGCTCTGATTGACTGTTTAGGATACACTCATGTTTTATTCAATTAACTGTCATGCCACTGTTAGATATGAGTTCTAAATTTCTCTTCAAAGAATCAATGTCAGTGTGTTCAATTCTTTGCCTTCTACTTTTAAACTTAACTTCCTCATAAAGCAACCTTTTTCGATTACCTGCTCCACCCTGACTCATTCTGATCACCTGCTCCACCCTGACTCATTCTGATTTCCTGCTCCACCCTGACTCATTCTGATTTCCTGCTCTGTCATAACCATTTTTCTGGCCAAACCACTCACCCATCCTATCACTCTCTTTAAATTAGCCAATTGGAATTAGTTTAGCCTGTGCAGTCTAACCTTAACCAATAGGGGAATGACATGGCAGCAGGGGCCACGTGCATCAGGAATAAGAACCCCTTCCCATCCCTTGTCCAGGTGTGCGCTCACCATTGCTCCATCTGTGAGGGTGCACCCTTCTTTTTTTTTTTTTTTTTTTTTGAGATGGAGTGTCATTCTGTCACCCAGGCTGGAGTGCAGTGGCATGATCTCGGCTCACTGCAAGCTCCACCTACCGGGTTCACACCATTCTCCTGCCTCAGCCTCCCAAGTAACTGGGACTACAGGTGCCTGCCACCATGCTTGGCTAATTTTTTGTATTTTTAGTAGACAGGGTTTCACCATGTTAGCCAGGATGGTCTTGATCTCCTGACCTCGTGATCTGCCTGCCTTGGACTCCAAAAGTGCTGGGATTACAGGTGTGAGCCACCACGCCCAGCTGAGGGCACACCCTTCTATAGAAGTAAATCGCCTTGCTGAGAAGAAAAAAAGAAAATTTTATATTCGAGTGCTATTTCTTTTGCAGCACCGAAACTTTATTTATAACACCACTTAGAATGCAAGTTCCTTGAAGACAGAGTCTACACTGTGAATATTCACTCTAAAAATAATTTATCCCATAGAATATTTAAACTTTCTATTAAGGATTTCATGTTGGCTGGTTTGAGCCCACAGGAATAAGCCTGCTACGTGCTCTGTGTACCCTTTGTCTGTTCAACTTTTCATCAGACCTAACCATCTCCTCAGGCCTTTTGGAGAACCCCAACACTTCCATCTCCTCCAGGAAGCCATAATTGGGAGAAGGGGTCAAAGACCCTAGTCCAACTCAGTCTGACCATAGAGATGTGATGGTTAATATTAAGTGTCGACTGGATTGAAGGATGCAAAGTATTGTTCCTAGGTATGTCTGTGAAGGTGTTACCAGAGGACATTAACATTTGAGTCAGTGAACTGGGAGAGGCAGACCCACCCTCAATCTGGGTAGGCCCATCTATCAGTTGCCAGCACGGATAGGAAAAGAAGCAGGCAGAGGAACGTGGAAAGACTAGGCTGGCTAAGTCTTCCAGCCTCCATCTTTCTCCCGTGCTGGAAGCTTCCTGTCCTCGAACACTGGACTCCAAGTTCTTCAGCTTTTTGACTCTTGGACCTACACCAGTGGTTTGCCAGGGGCTCTCAGGCCTTTGACCACGACTGAAGGCTGCACTGTTGGCTTCCCTACTTTTGAGATTTTGGGACTCGGACTGGCTTCCTTGATCCTCAGCTTGCAGACAACCTATTGTGGGACTTCACCTTATGATCATGTGCATCGATACTCCTTAATATACTCCCTGTCATATATACATCTATACTATTAGTCCTGTCCCTCTAGAGAACCCTGACTAATACAAATTCATTATGTACTGTAGTGGGCTGAATGGTAGCGATGCCAAAATGCATGTCTACATCATAATCTCCAGAACCTATGAATGTTGCTTTATTTGGAAAATGGGTATCTGCAGATATAATTAAGTTAAGGATGTTGAGATGGGGAGATCATCTTGGATTATCCAGATGAACCCTAAATCCTATGACAAGTGTCCTTTATAGGAGCGAGACTGACATAAAAAAAGATGAGTTCATGTCCTTCGCAGGGACATGGACGAAGCTGGAAACCATCATTCTCAGCAAACTAACACAGGAACAGAAAACCAAACACCGCATGTTCTCACACATAAGTGGGAACACAATGAGAACACATGGACACGGGGAGGGTAACATCACACACCGGGGCCTGTCAGGGGGTGGAGGGTTAGGGGAGGGATAGCATTAGGAGAAATACCTAATGTAGACGATGGATCGATGGGTGCAGCAAACCACCATGGCATGTGTATACCTATGTAACAAACCTGCATGTTCTGCACATGTATCCCAGAACTTAAAGTATAATTTAAAAAAAAAAGTAGGAGTTATCTCCTTTCGTTTTTCAGAGCATAAGCTCTCACAAGGAAAAAGATTATTAAATCATATTCCTCTATGGCAGAAAACCATAGAGAATTTGCCCTAAATAAATAATGTATGAGAATAAAAACCAGTTATTTTTATAGTAGCATAATTTTTAACAGTGAAAAACTGGAAGCAATGTAAAACACTGACAGAGTGTGGTGGCTCACGCCTGTATTCCCAGCACTTTGGAAGGCTGAGGTGGGAGGATAGCTTGAATCCAGGAGTTCAAGACCAGCCTGGGCAACATAGCAAGACCCCACTGTACAACACAAAATTTAAAAATTAGCTGGACCTGGTGATACACACCTGTAGTCCCAGCTACTCAGGAGGCTGAGGTGGGAGGATTGCTTGAGCCCGGGAGTTTGAGGCTACAGTGAGCTATGATCACACCACTGCACTCCAGCCTGGGTGGCAGAGTAAGACCCTGCCTGTAAATAAATAAACAGAAGGAAATCAAACATAAGCAGTTAGAGATTGACTATTCAAATTAAGACATGAATTTGAGAAAATCATGTAGTTCTATTAAAACCACAAATAAAAAAAAAGAGTGCGGCTGAGAGAGATTTGACAGGCAGAAGAGGAGGAGGCAACGTGACCAGTGAGGTAGAAATTGTAGTGATGCCGCCACAAGCCACTGGAATCTGGAAAAGGAAAAGAACAGACTCTCCTAGAACCTCCAGAGGAGGGCAACTCTGCAGACTCAATTTTGGATTTCTGGACTCTAAAACTGTGAGAGAAAAAAATTTCTGCTGGTTAGATTCACGCGGTTTGTGGTAATGTGTTACAGTAGCCACAGGAAACTAGTAACATCCTTCAAATGTCACTTCTGTCTCATATATGCTCACTCCTCTATTATATGATATAGTTATTTGATGTATATGATTATTCACATGAAAACATTTTGTTGGTGTCTTTGGAATCACATAGACTTGGGTTTGAATCCTGGCTTAGGCACTCATTAGTCATAAAATTTGGGCAGGTATTTATATCTCACTGAGCCTCAGTTTCCTGTTGAATAAGGATAGTAATATTTTGAAAGGTTGTGATAAGGTTAGAGATAATGTGTATGGTGTACATAGCACAGAGCTTGGCATAAATGGGCATTCAGAAATGTTATTATGCTCTCCATGGAGAATATGCTATCATGTGCTCCATGGGACCACATTCGTGACAGCTAACATTAAAATGTCCAAATATTTAATTGATCACCATACCTCCTTAAATAAGTCCACCCCAGTTCTAGCACACAACTGTCCTTCCTGAAAACTGCTTTCATCTACACTTCCCTTTAGCAATATTTCTTAACAAAAGCAAGAACCAAGGGGTTCTAAATTCTAATCCTAACACTTAACACTAAGGGTGATCCTTGGGAGGGTGATCCTGCGTACTTCCAACAGTCTTTATCTACCTAAATTTCAGCCTCTACCTAAATTTCAGCCTCTACCAAAAGGCTTAATATGCCTCCTGAGATACGCAAAGATCTATAAACAAATAGGAAAGCACAAATATTTCCATCCCTGATGTGAACCGTGTCATCATTGAGCCATCAAAGCAGTGGCACTAGACCTCTATTCAAATAATTACTTTTTGCAAAACTGAATAATTTACCCCAGGGATTTAAAATCTACTTCCGCATCGGCCAAACATTGTGCCAGCAAATCCAAAGCCAGATATTGTATATCTGCTTTCCAGAGACATCTCTACAAGAGAATCTCTCCTGTAGTGTATAGCCAGAGGTTCTTAGTGTCCCAAGAGATTGTACCAAAATGGATTTTGGAATATCGTTGGCCTCTTCAAGTGCCTCTGTAGGTATTTTTAAAGTATTGAATATAAATTATAATTAATAATGGCCTATCATTCAACAATTTTGAGGAGTTTATTTACATTCTATAGGCATTTTTCTTTTTTTTTTCTTTTGAGATGTAGTCTCACTCTGTCACCCAGGCTGGAGTGCAGTGGCGCTATCTTGGCTCTCTGCAACCTCCACCTCCAGGGTTCAAGCGATTCTCCTGCCTCAGCCCCCCGAGTAGTTGGGATTACAGGTGCCCACCACCACGCCCGGCTAATTTTTGTATTTTTAGTAGCGATGGGGTTTCACCATGTTTGCCAGGCTGGTCTCGAACTCCTGACCTCAAGTGATCTGCCCGCCTTGGCCTCCCAAAGTGCTGGGATTACAGGTATGAGCCACTGCACCTGGCCTCTATAGGCATTTTTCAAGTTTCACTCAGTAATATCTCTACATAAGAGGACGTTGAGATATTATTTACTGAGATAACTACCATGAAGGGCAGGAGATTGTTCAGCATTATGTTAGCTTCAGGAACACATGTCCATGAAACTGTATCTCTCAGGGACAGGGCTCTGCTATTGATGTTATTAGAGAAAGGGCAAAGCAAGGCTCATAAAATATACACTCTCTTTCCTCATCTCTCTAACTCCTAAAAGTATGTCCGCTGCCGTGCAAGTGATCAAAACATTTCCCTCAAGTCTTCTGAAATAATCCAATTTAAATGCTAAAATAATATAAGGAAAGGGAAAGATAGAGTCTCATGTATGTACATGTGTCTTCAGGGCAAGGAGGCTGAGACATGGGAAGGCTTCACTGAGAAAGTAAACATTTGAACAAGACCAGCAGCATGCATAGAGTAGAATGTCATGCAAATGCTAGATTTCAATTTTCAATTGAAAATTTAGAAATTACCATCAACTATGTTTATATTTGCCATGTGCAGTTCTGAGAGCAGGAGTTTTGGAAATAACCAAAAAGTATTGAATATGAAATGCTTAAAAGACAAAAACACTCAAAATGTTCTCTCAAGTTCCTTTGTTTCATTCATATGTATGACGGTAGCCACCATCTCAGAGGCAGTTACGACAAGCTCGCCACAGAGTGGAATGTTGCATTCGGAACTCTTTTTATTGCACCTTTAGAAATTTTAGACCTGAAAATATAGTCTGAGTGAATTTACAGGAACTACTTTAATTGTTCCATTGTTGGCTGATCAGTCAAGGGAAGGGTGAAATGCAGACAAAAAAGAAAAGGGTATGGAAATAAAAAGGTACAAAAGAAGAAAAATAACTTCAAAATAGTCAAACTACTGTGCTCATATAGACATGTCCTTGTGTTGACATTTTTTTTAAAACCCATTATCTTTCTCCAAAAGTACCTTTTAACCTCAAACTGAAATCAGTGATATTTCCTAATTTCCTTGGGGAGGAAGCACGGGTCCACTGTTTTCAATGATAATGATTTTTTTTTTTCAAACATACTAAAATCTCCAGCGCAGCCTAAGAATTTAATGTTATCATTGACAATAAAGTGATACGGAGAGCAGAAGCTGTGTACATTATTTAGTAAACTTAAGAAAAATTTCCATTCCCAGCTGTCCTTATTCACTACTTTTCTTTGATAAATTAAGAAAGGAAAAGATAGGGCTGGGAGCAGTGGCTCATGCCTGTAATCTCAGCACTTTGGGAGGCTGAGGCGGGCGGATCACGAGGTCAGGAGTTTGAGACCAGCCTGGCCAACATAGTGAAACCCTGTCTCTACTAAAAATACAAAAATTAGCCAGGTGTGGTGGCGGGTGCCTATAATCCCAGCTACTTGAGAGGCTGAGGCAGAACTGCTTGAACCCGGGAGGCAGAGGTTGCAGTGAGCTGAGATTGCGCCACTGCACTCCATCCTGGGTAACAGGGCAAGACTCTGTCTGGGGGCGGGGGTGGGAAGGAAATGACAATACCTCATAAAGTACTTGAAACCCTACAAAAAGAGCTCTGCATTGTCTTTCTTTCACAGAAATGCCTACTTTCCTTCTTAGGGCATGTTTATGCCAGTCTCCTTCCTATCCATTAAGGTAATGATGCCTGAATTTTCTGATATCCTTCAGACTCTGAGTATCTCATGCAGCAACCTCTTCCACAATGTTTGTTTAAAATCATTCATTTATTCATCTATACAACAGATATTTACTAGTGCCTACTAGGTGCTCAGCATTATTCTAGGTATTAGGCATATAATGGAGAATGAGGAAAGCAAGGACTCTGACCTTACGGAGCTTGAATTCTAATAGGACATCCCCCCCACCAAAAAAAAAAGCTAATTAAATAAATGATTACTTAATACAAGCTCCAACGAATAAGTATAGCCTGTTGAGAGTTTATAACAGGAATCCTTTGGGAGCAGAGGTAGGGGGTGAGGGGTGGGGCATTGGCTAGATAAGGCCACCATGGGAAAATTATATTTAAGGTAACATTAGAAGAGAATGTTGGAGTTAGCTAGGTAAAAAGAGGTGGGGAAAATCTTCCCAGGCAGAGAAAGAGAATGTGGAAGTCCTTATGGAAGGAAAAATTCTGGCAGTTCTGAAATTAATGAAAGCCGGTTAAATTACTATATTGCTGCTCATTAAGTGTGTGGCTTGGGAAGCCACTTTACTCTTCTGACCTCTGGTTTTCTTGTCCATAAAATGGGCATAATAATAGGTTTATGAGATTGAAGAGAAGGTCAAATTATATAATATCAAATTATTTATTGAATATTTTTGTTAACTTATTAACTATTATCAAATATTAAGCAAGGTTAACTATTACTAAACTTTTAGTAAAACATTTATAAACTATTTATTAGTCTGAAATAGCACATATTATTTTTCACTAGAGAATTCTGACGTACTAATTTTGTAAAGACTATTTATTTCATAGGTTTTTTTTTTTTTTTTTTTTTTTTTTTTTTTTTTTTGTCGCTGCATTGCCCAGGCTGGAGTGCAGTGGTGCAATCTCAGCTCACTGCAACCTCTGCCTCCCGGGTTCAAGCAATTCTCCTGTCTCAGCTTCCCGAGTAGCTAGGACTACAGGCGTCTGCCACCATGCCCGGCTAATTTTTGTATTTTTAGTACAGATGGGGTTTCACCTTGTTGGTCAGGCTGGTCTCGAACTCCTAACCTCAGGTGATCCACCTGCCTCGGCCTCCCAAAGTGCTGGGATTACAGGTGTGAGCCACTGCCCCTGGCCTTCATAGAGATTTTAAATTGAAACTGGATATGGCTTAATCTCACTGCCACTCAAATTGTTCCAGAGCCTAATAAAAGAAAAACTTTCATTCTGCTAATGAAGGAAGGATAATATTGATCACAAACCTAATAAAATTATACAAACAAAAAACTACAGACCAATCTCATAAATATCGAAGAAAATTTTCAAATCATAATACGAAGCAGACTCCAATTGAACATTAAAAGTAAAAAGAAAGAAAGCCATTATTGCAAAATGAGATTTATTCTGGAATTAGAGGGATGATATTATATTAGGAAATCTATTATTTGCCACTTAAATAAATCTAAAAAAAAATCATAAGCTTTTTTACACAGATGCTGAAAACAGGTTGTACAAAATTTAATGCCATAATGTAACATTATATATCACACACAAAATACACAAATATAAATGTATGTGTTTATAGATAAGTTGTTTGGGATTCTTTATGAACATTGTCAATAAGGAGACAAACAATGGAAATATTCCATCTATGTCCATTATAACTTCATAGTGAGAGAAAACAGTTGGAGGCATAAGAATTAGAAGTTTTTGCATATAATATATTTGGAAAACCAAAGACAACAAATATCAAAATTAAATTACATAACATTTAAAAATTAAGTTTTTTGGCATGATTTAAAATTTTCACACAAAAATAATATTATACAGACATATACACACACAGATAAATCGGTCAAAAGCTACTTAGGAATACAGTATCTAAAACCTATATAAGAAAACATTAAAACATTCCTGAGAGGCTCAAAAGTAAATTTGAACAATTAAAAGGGCATTTATTGTTCTTGGATAGCCTATGTTAACTTCATAATAATGTCAATACTCCCCAAATTAATATACAAATTTAGGGCTATTTCAACAAATATAAGTTATTTTTTCTAATGTTAAACATGTGAATTATAACATTCATATAGAAAACAAAACATGTAAGAACTCTGAGAAAGAATAACAATAAAAGGAAGACTAATGCTACCAGATATTAAAACATACTCTAAAGCTTCTATAGATTGTGAGGTCATGACATAAATAAGGTCTACAGAACATTTAACTGAATAGAAAGTACACAAATAAATACAAGGACTTATGGTAATTTAGTATATATGATAATCATATCACATGGAAGACGTGATGAGTGTTTAACAAATGGCTTGGGACACCTCAATAGCCCTTTGGAAAAAAATTAATTGAATACTTACTTCACACCATACCCCAGAATAAACTTCAAATAGAAGAGAGATATAAATGTTAAAAAACTGAGACCACAGAAGTACTGAAAGAAAACATTGGGGGCATTCCTTTATAACCTAGATGTGGAGAAAGTCTTCTAACTATAACTCAAAATCTAGAAGCAATAAAAGAGAGCACTGATAAATCTATCTGCATGAAAACAAAAAAAAACTTTTGCATTGCAAAATATACATGTCATAAAGAGGATGAAACACAAATGGCAAACTGGGAGAAAATCTATGTAAGTCGTATCATAGACAAAAGACTAATTTTCCTGGTAAACAAAAGCTTTTAAATAATAATAAAAAATACAAAAAACAAGATAAATGATCAAAAGACATTAACAGATAATTCATGGAAAAAGAAACACAAATGGCCCTGAACATATGAAAAATACTTCACTCATAATAAGAGAAATGCAAAGTAATATTACACTGAGATATTTCAAAAAATCTATCAGATATTCAGAAAATCAAAATAGCCCTTATCTTGGAAATTGCATAAGAAAACAGGCAGCCTTATGCATTTTTAGTGGATGTATAAAATGGTAAAACCACTATGGGAGGTATTTTAGCAATATCTGACAAATTACATATGTGTTTAGTCTTTGATCAAGGAAACATTCTTCTAAAAACTTATTGTAAATGTATACTTCCACAAATATAAAACAAAGTATGTCCAAATTTATTCATGGTGAAACTTATTCGTAATAACAAAATAATTTCCCATACATAGGAAAATTTTTAATAACTATGACAAATCCATGGAATTAACTATGCAGCTGCACAGAAATGTAGAAAACATCTATGAACTGACACAGTTACTTCTGAATTTACAGTTAAGTGACCAAAGCAGGTGCAAATTAATGTGTGTGGAAAAGTTCCCAACTCATTCTAGGAGGGCAGTATTGCCCTCATACCAAAACCAGACAAAGACATCATAAAAAATACATATAATTACTCCTTATGAATAGAGACAAAAATCCTCAACAAAATACTAGCAAAAGAAATTTAGCAACATATAAAATGTATTATACAACATGAACAAGCATGATTTATTCTAGGAAGTCAAGATTCATTCAACATTTGAAAACCAGTCAATGTAATAACCCCATTTTAGTAGAATATAAAACAGAAACCATATTATTATCTCGATAGACGCAGAAACAGCATTGGACAAAATCCAACAACCTTTCATGATAAAAAAAAATACCCCATAAACTAGGAGTAGAGGGAATTTCCTCAACCAATAAAGAGCATCTATGAAAACTGCACAGCTAACCTCATACTCCTCATACTCAATGATGGAAGGACTGAATCCTTTCCCTCTAAGATCATGAACAAGACTGCTCATGCCACTTCTATTCAACATTGGACTTAAAGGTATAGCTAGAAAAATTAGGTAAGAGAAAGAAATAAAAGTAGTTCAGATCGAAAAGGAAGAAGTAAAACTATCTCTACATGTATAGGACATAATCTTGTATATAGAAAATCCTAAGCAATCCACAAAACAAACTACTAGATCTAATAAGTTCAATAGGGCTGCAAGATTAAGATCAATAAACAAAAATCAATTGTATTTCTATGCACAAACAATGGATAATCTGAAGACAAAACTTTAAAAATTCCACTTAGAATAATATAAAAAGAATAAAATACTTAGAAAACATTTAGCAAAAATAAATGGAAAACATAATAAAATCAACAAAACACCAATGAAATGAATTATACAATACTTAAATTAAATGGAAAGACATCCATGTTCATCAACTATAAGATTTAATATTGTTAAGATTGCAACACTCCCCAAATTGATCTACAGGTTCTATGCAATCCCAATTAAATTCCAGATGTAGCTTTTGAAGAAACTGAGAATCTGATCATAAGACTCACATGAAAATGCAAGGGACCCCAAACAACCAAAACAATCTTGAAAAAAGAATAAAGTTGGAAGACTCACAATCCCCAATTTCAAAAGCTACTACAAAGCTACTATGAACAAGATAGTTTGATACTGTCATAAAGATAGACATATAGATTAAAAGAATAAAATTGAGATTCCAAAAATAAACCTATACATTTGTGAATTGCATTTCAATAAGGGCCCCAAGAGACTTTGAGGAGAAAATAATAGTCTTCTCAACAAATGGTGTCAGGACAACTAGATCTCCATATACAAAATAATGAAGTTGAACTACTACCTCATACTGTATATGAAAATTAGTTCAAAATGGACCAAAGACCTACATGTAAGAGCTAAAACTGTAAAACTCTATGAACCATGAAAACATAAATGTAAAACATGAAATCTGTGAAAACATAGGTGTTAATTGTTGTGACCCTGGATTAGGCAATGATTTCTTAAACATGACATGAAAAGCACAATCAATGAAAAAAACAGATAAATTGGACTACATCAAAATTAAACATTTTTGTGCATCAAAGGATACTATGAAGAATGTGTAAAGCCAATCGATTAATGGGAGAAAATATTTGTAAATCATGTATCTGATAATTGTCTAGTATCTAAAATATATAAGGAACTCCTATAACTCAACAATGAAAGGACAGTCCATTTTTTAAAAGTAGGTATTTCTCCAACAAAAGATATGCAAATGTCCCATAAGCACATGAAAAAATGCTCACCATCATTAAACATTAGTGAAATGTGGGTAAAAATCATGATATAACACTTTGCACCAACTAGGATGACTATAATAAAAAACAGACAATAAAAGGAGTTGCTGAGAAAGTGGAAACAGTGGAAAATCCATACACTACTGGTAAGAATGCAAATGGCACAGCTACTTTGGAAAACAATCTGGCAGTTCCTCAAAAAATTAAATAAAAAAATTACATATGACTGAGCAATTCCATTCCTATAGATATACCCACTATAATTGAAAACAGGTGTTGAGACAAAAATTTATACAAGGATTGTCATGGAAGCAGTATTCATAATAGCCAAAAATTGGAAACAAACCAAATGTCCATCAAATGATGAACAGGTAATGAAAAGTTTATCCATACAATGGAAAATAATTCAGCCATGAAAAGGATTGAAGTTCTGATATATGCTGCAACATCAGTGAAGCTTGAAAATATGCTAAGGTGAAAGAAGTAACAAAAGAGCATGTATTGTATGATTCTATTTGTATAAAATGTCCAGAATAGGCAAACCCATAGAAACAGAAATTAGATTAGTAGTTTCCAAGGACTAGAGAGTTATAGGGGCAGGGAGGGAGATGAACAATGAGGGGAGTAACTAATGGGTACAGTTTCTTTTTTGTATGATGACAAGCTCTGGAATCGGATAGTGGTGATGGTAGCACAACTTTGTGAATATACTAAAAATACTGAATTATACACATAAAAAGGTTAATTGTATGGTATGGGAATTATATCTAAATAATTTTTTTTAAAAAAGAGTAATCCAAGTATTTTTCCTCAAATCTCATACTGGTTCTTGCCAGTACACCAGTGATGGTGAAAAATGAGGATGGAATCAGAGAATCACAGAGTTGGAAGGACAGCACCAGGTACTCATTCTAAAGGCCCTAATGTTGTTAAAGGCAAGAAAGAACTGCAATGGTCTGCTAATGAAAATATTTCACATTACAAATGAGGAAATGAAGGCCCAAAGGAGATAAGTAACTTGCAAAAGGCATTTTCAAAGGCAACATGAAATTGTATACCGAGCACTGGACTTGTGGTAGGAACTCCTGGCCAAGTTTCTGTCATTTTCTATCACGAACAAGCCCCTGAGCATTGCTGAGTCTAAATATTGCAATGTGTAAAATACGAATACAATATCTCCTCACCAACTTGTTGTATCAAGTAAGAAAATGAATATGAAAATAAGTTATAAATGTCAAATGCTCTTCATATGGTAATTAATATTTAATATCTATTCTTGTGAATGTCCCTCTGTATATTTTAATGTGTTGACCACCTTTTCTCCTATGACATTCCAAGTCCCCCAATATTAGTGTCTTTCTATCAGGACACTCAAGTCTATCATAAAAGTCAATCTTATATTCTTATTTTGCTAAGAAATATCTACTAAGGAAAAGAAGAATAGGGCTAACACTTAACCACCAAACAAGATATTAGTTAGATTTTTTTCTTACATTATTCCTGAGATATAATTATTCCCATGATATAGGTGCAGAAGTTTAGAATCAGATAAATCAACTCAGTTGTCTCTAGTTTCCAGAGTGAGCCTATGGCAACGCCAGGACAGGGATCAAAGTCCTTCTGATCACCAAACCCATTCTAATTGAACTCAGACTTTGTGCAAAGAACAATCCATTCTCAGCTCACAATGAACCAGTCTTTCCATATATGCTTGTCTATCTCTTCTAAGGTCCATTTTCTAATGCTAATTTTAGCCCCCTCCACTTTTTATTCCAATGAATCACAAATTTATGTATCCCATATACATATTGATCAAGTCTCCTACGCATGTGGCTCGCCTTCTCCACAGATGACTAAAATCCTTCCACTTGTCCTCTTGCTACACAGAGCAATAAAAAGTTATTCTGAAAATTAACGGTAAAATTATTATCTTATTTTTGAAACACACACACACACACACACACACACACACACACAGCAGTGAAAAAGTACTCTAAGCCATTAATATTTTGTTATTTAGCTTTCAGTTTCTCCTATCCCCAAAGCTGAGTCTTATTCAGTCCCAATCATAAGTTAGCTTGACACTTTCCTGGAACATAGACTATCTCAGGTTATTCAGACATCAAAACTACTGAGCAGCAGGGGCTAGAACAGTAAGTACAGACTGTTGCCTCTGAAAATAATGTCAGAAATCTTCTAGGTACATCCAGGTATAATGAAAACAGGAGAGTACTATTGAAATGACCATGATTTGTTAAAAAAGGAGGGAGAGTGTTCTCAGACCTAGCTCATCCCTGGCAAACTAGAAGTATGTCATGTAGAAGCCACCAGCATTGAGTTATTTCTGCCAGAAAAATTCTGTTGAGACAGGACTAAAAGAGGCTGCCTTATAATTATCCTTACTGCAGAAGAGTGGCATTACTAGGAAGTAGATAAGATCCCAAAAGGTTTCCAGGAACACTGCCATAGAGGGAGAAGGACAGAAAAAAACAGCAAATAGCACTTCCTGGAAAAATATTGCCAAGAAACACATGTGACCTATCATATGACCATATATCATATCATATCACCATCAAATTTTTTTTTTTGAGACGGAGTCTTGCTCTGTTGCCCAAGCTGGAGAGTAGTGGCATGATCTTGGCTCACTGCAACCTCTGCCTCCTGGGTTCAAGAAATTCTCCTGCCTCAGCCTCCCAAGTAGCTGGGATTACAGGCACCTGCCACCATGCCCAGCTAATTTTTTTGTATTTTTAATAGAGACGGGGTTTCACCATGTTGGCCAGGCTGGTGTTGAACCAATTTTTTAATATGAAGGAATCACAGCTAAACAACAAGACAACAAATCAGAGTTATGAGATTCAGGAATATGTAGAAGTCAATAGAAGCTAAACATGACCCAGAAGCACTTGTCAAAGAAGTGGAAGAAAAACAAATAAAATTATCACAGAAATGAAAGCCAAATTGAAAGCAATGCAAAGATTGACAATTAATGCTGAAAACATTGTAAAGGACATAGAGAACAAGATGGAGAGAAGTAAGCAGAATGAAATGGAAATGAAGAAAACATGTAAAAGTCTGGGAAATTTTAAAATATGGAGGACAGGTAAAGGAGAGTAAACATAAGTACATGTTAGCATATATTATATATACTCAAAAAATAAGGAAAGCTTTGCATAAATGAAATAAGCTTTGATTCTACATAACAGATAGTGACACTGGGTTTCAGAAAAAATGACAGAATAACATTGGGACAGAGTGAATAACATTGGGATATATTCTATTCAAATATAAAGAAAAATTCTCTGAGAACTAAGTAGAACTCTCAACAATATGATTGGAAAATATTAGAGTGGTCTCAGACTTCTACAAAATAGCATTCAATGCTAACAAATAGCGGAGAAATAAGAAAGGGGGACCCAAAAACTCTACAGGTAATGAAACTGTCATTCACCCTCAGAAACTCAGGGTATATAATCCCCAGTTGTTTTTTTATTCCTAAGAAACAACTAAAAAGAACAGCAAAAAAATTACTAACATAAAGAGGTAAATTGAAAATATGGACAGAATAGTAATTATTTAACCCATTTATGTGCTATGTTAAAACAAATGGGAAGATTATGGTCATAGGAAAAATATGTAAATGTTATGATAACATAATGATGTCACTTATAAAGTTGATAGAGAGTATTAGTGTATTGAATTCCTCATCTTTCATGGCTAAATCAAAATTTATAATTCATATCTGAAAAATAATAGTGTCTGGACTATTTAAAGGCATAAACACTAACAGAAATGATACAAGCAATTAAACTGGGGAGCGCAGAGATGGGAGGAGAGTGGAAAAAAAGGAAAATATACTAAATATTTTCTCAACAGCCTGAACTATCATAAAGTAAATAGGCAAACGACAAACTGGGCATAAATATTTGCGACATATATCACAGATCCCTAATAAACAAAGAGCTTCTAAAAAATTGAGAGAGTAACACTAACAACCCAAGAGAAAACTGGGCAAGGATATGAAAAGAATAAAGCAAATCTAGAATATAGGAAATTTTATAGACAAATAACCAGGTTTCCTCAAAGAATACACTGCAGAGAAAAAAAAAAGAGTGGGAGGAGCTGTTATTAATTAAAAGAAGGTTAAGAGATAGATAGACCAAATGTGCTGACATTTTAAGGAAAGTAATTCAAGCAAACAATTAAAAAGACATTTTTAAGACACTGGGGATATCTGACTCTGAATTGAATATTAAATATTAAGGAGACTGTTAATTTTAGTAGGTCTGTTAATGATATGGTGGATTATGTTTTTTAAGGCCTTATCTGTTAAGAGAAACATACTGAAGTATTGAAGGGTGAATTGAAGTGTTATCTGGGATTTGTTTCACAGTATGCCATAACAATTGCAAGAAATTTAAGGGATAAATAAAGCAAAAATGTCGATAATTTTTTAATCCAGGAGATGAGTCTGTGGGGGTTCATCATAGTATTCTCTCTAACTTTGTATATGTTAAAATTTTTATTGTGTACATTCAAATAAGCAGTTTCTAAAAATCCTATATGGCAGTGTAATTATCTGTCTAGAGAACATATAAATCTGGAACATCACAATTACTTTAGTTACCATTGAAATACAAATCCCTTCACTTTCATTTTACTGATGTTATTTGTTTTAAATCTGAAGCTTTAAAGTGGGGCATATAAAAATAGCCCCGGCAACAGTTTTATATCTTTAACTGACTGATTCTGAACTGACTGGTCCATTCAATTACACCGACTGTATAGGAACTTTGGCTAAAACGTAAGAATTACATTATTGCAATTTTGCTGATGAAATCCTTGGTCATTTAGAGAGGGGAGTGGAGGTGTGTAAATTTTGTGGCTAGAATAATAAGAAATATAATGTATTACTGACCATATGTCAGATACCAGCCTCTGAGGGGAAAAAGGGAGGTACAACAATGTTGCTATATCTACCTATTCTGAAACACCCTTTTCAGCACCTCTCCATTTTATATGGTTTGGTTCCATGTTCTGACCTAAATCTCATGTTGAATTGTAACTCCAATGCTGGAGGTGAGGCCTGGTGGGAGATGATTGGATCATGGGGGCAGTTTCTCATGAATGGCTTCATATCATCCCCCTTGGTACTGCATAATGAGCGAATTCTCAGGAGAGTTGGTTATTTAGTAAGTGTGTAGCACCTACTCCCTCATTCTGTCTTCCTCCTGCTCCACCATGTAAGACATGCTGCTTCTCCTTAGCCTTCCTCCATGACTGGAAGTTTCCTGAGGCCTCCCCAGAAGTCATCATGCTTCCTGTACAGCCTGGGGAACCATGAGGCAATTAAACCTCTTTTCTCTGTAAATTACCCAGTCTCAAGTATTTCTTTGGAGATGGGATTAATATACCACTCCTCCTCCCAACTCATCCATGGAACAGTTTTTGCTCTATGAACAAACTGGCTGTGGTGTTCATAATTTTTTCAAGCAAGCCATTCCTTCAATCTTTCTCAGGGTTAAAAAAAAAAAAAAAGACACTAGGCCGGTGTGGTGGCTCACACCTGTAATCCCAGCACTTTGGGAGGCCGAGGTGGGTGAATCATGAGGTCAGGAGTTCGAGACCAGCCTGGCCAACATGGTGAAACCCCGTCTCTACCAAAAATACAAAAAATTAGCTGGGAGTAGTGGCGGCGCCTGTAATCCCAGCTACTTGGGAGGCTGAGGCAGGAGAATCGCTTAAATCCGGGAGGCAGAGGTTGCAGTGAGCCGAAATTGCGCCACTGCACTCCAGCCCCGGCGACAGAGTGAGACTCTCTCTCAAAAACAAAACAAAACAAAACAGAATAAAAAAAAATAGAACATTCTGTGTACAATAGAACATTTGAAGACAAAGGAACACATTCTAACAGGCATTTTAGGCAACAGAAAAAAATGCAAGGTAGATGATCAGATGTTCATGAAGGGAGATGGAGGGTTACCAGCACTGTCAAAGGACACCATTGTACCTACCTTTAGAACTACGTGGGCTAAGACTGCAGGGAATATACTTGAGCTATTCAGTAATGCAAACTGCTGCCAGACACTAAACCCTGACTTAGCAAAATCCATATTTCAAAGCAAATAATAAAGATTCTTCATACAATTATCCCACCCTTACCATCAAGGAAAACATTCTCAGAACCTTTAATTAATACAGCTTTATTAGCTTTGCTTTACTCACTTTAAGAACCAAGAGGCCGGGTGCGGTGGCTCACACCTGTAATCCCAGCACTTTGGGAGGCCGAGGCGGGTGAATCATGAGGTCAGGAGTTCGAGGTCAGCTTGGCCAACATGGCAAAACCCCATCTCTGCTAAAAATACAAAAATTAGCCAGGCACTGTGGCGGGCATTTGTCATCCCAGCTACTCGGGAGGCTGAGGCAGGAGAATCACTTGAACCCAGGAGACAGAGGTTGCAGTGAGCCGAGATTGTGCTACTGCACTCCAGCCTGGGCGACGGAGCGAGACTCCGTTTCAAAACAACAACAACAACAACAAAAACACAACAACAAAAAAAACAAAACAAACAAAACAAAATAAAACAAAAAAACAAGAAAAAAATTTAAGCGCATTTTTATGCAAATATCCCACTAACTTCAACAAGACTTCTCCCTCTAATCTGCCTACTTCCAAATTACTGAGGTTTTAGCCATGCTTTAATAGCAGAAAATAATCAAATATACATGTGCATAAAGTACCTCTAGCTTTATATACCATTCTGCAGGATACAGCAACACGGACTTAATAGATGGCAGTGCTTATCTATTCAAATGAATAGAAGAGTCCAAAGATATATTGGTATATTTAATACGATTAAATGATTACGACATTTAATATGACTAATTTCATTTCATTGATAGTATAATTTCAGCGGCCATTTCAAGTCTATTACGCCCAAAATGAGAATTCAGGGTCTAAGTTCATATTTATTCAGCATTCCTACCTATTTTTAATAGTTTTGATCAAAGTGGCACTTTTATCCTTAGACATACTTCTACTTCTTCCTTCTTTTTTGCCATGCTTTATGCCATTATCATGAATTCCTCCCTGGGTGGTGGAGCCCTTGCCAGTATCTGCGCTTTTATTGCAGAATCTGCCCCCAAAGTAACCAGAATCCCTTTTCTGCATCTCACAGCATAACCTGTTTGTCCATGATGTAAGAAGGACATCACTTAACACACACACACACAGAGCACACACATACTGGGTCACAGCAAGCTCATGTGCACATGCACACATACTCAGGAAATGTACACTTCAGATCACAGAAGCTCCCTGGCCTAGTTCTCCCAGATGCCATTCAGATGCTGCCTTGGCATGGCATCCTTACTGAACCTCCCTTCCTCCACAGAACACCTACTCATATGTCCTCAACTTCCACCCCAGAAAGGTCATTCCCAGATCTAATCACAGCCCAGATTCTCTTCCTGGCCCTTTCCTGTAACTAATCATCAAAGTTCTGACCCAGGGCACAGTAAAAGCAGCAGACTGGACTCGCTATGAAGGCAGAGATCACATTTTATTCAAAGATGTTTCTGTAACTCCACTCAGCATAACTGGGCCATAATCAGTTTGGAATAAATGACTTTTGGTCTCACTGGATCCTTTACCTTTTAGATCTTGCTCACTTTTCCACATTTATCCCCAATTCAAGGCCTTTCTAGTTAGGAAGAAAGTGTAATTATCTGGCCTCACACATATTATGTCTCAAATATAATCTCTCTCTTCCAAGGGGTTTTGTATATTTTCCAAGGAGACTGGGAGAAGTGATCAATGAATTCTAAATAACCAGCTGTCTCCTTGATTCAGATTTGGAGGCGGCAGCTCCCTGAAGAGCCCCAGATCTCATTTCCACCCAAGCCTCAGCCTCTTTTATTAAGTCATACGCAACCCTGTCCCCACCCTCCAGAAACAGCTATCCTAGGGGTGAGATATAACTCCTACCCTGAACTTTGCCTGTCCACCACGTAAAACAGCTTTGTTTCTTGCTTCATATAAGACTCCAAAAAGTAAATGGGGTCTTATCATGCTCTCATTTCCATTCTCCCTGAACCTGCTCTGCTCCTCTTCACGCTGACATTTTCCTACTAAAGCCAGGCTCAGAGTCAGAGACTTGCTTTCTGAGACTTCTGTTCCCTGGCCCAGGAGTAACAGCCCATGGTTTGCTGAGTGCTCACCATGTAGCAGGGAAAGTTCTAAATGCTTCATGGGTATGATCTCATTTAATCCGCACCTATGAGGTGATTAATATGAAGACCCATATCTCATTTAATCAACACTGAGGTTTACCAGTACAAATACAATATCTTGCCTCAAAAGGCCTTAAACAGTACGGAAATGTGTTATCTAAATTAATTAAAGGTTATAAAGTCAAGTTGGCTCCAGACATGGTACAATGAGGACATCTGGACAGATATAAAAGAGAACTCTGAACCCCTCATATCCTCCTAAACCTTTCTAAGAGGCAGTCCTCTCAAATCCCCAACCAAGCTGCTCTGCATTAAACATTTCAATGACTTAACCTGGAGCAATGGCCTCACACAGGTATGCAGCTTCTTCTCAGCAGCCACCCCCTTCACTGCTCTGAACCCTCCAGGCCCAGAGATCTCAGCATAGCCCCTAGATAGCAGTACAAGGTCTGATTTAAGAGATAACCAAGCATCTTGCTAATTTCCATAGGGAGGAATCTGGGACACATCTATGAGTGGGAATTCTAAGGATGTCTGTCCAAGGAGAACGAAATGTTTGTTAAGATCAGGCTATATCTTTATGGGTGCACTTGCCCAGGATCCGGGACTTAATGTTAGCTGGAGCACCTGAAAGTGACATGTTGGCTATTTGGAGTTTGAAAGTGACAATCTACTATGTTGGCTCTCTGGAGTCTGAACTCAACAGCTGCACATAGGCAATAAGGATTAAGGGGCAGAACTTCCCTGGCACAGTGTTAAGGAATCCAAAAGCTCAGAGAATTAGGAGCATTACATATATATGTCCAGGTTTACGCCTATTGTTATGGTCTAATTATTAATACTGCTCTCTTTGCCGTCTGCTCAGCCAACCCTTAACCACGCCACCCTGGAGGACCCAGAGAACACACCCTTTGCCAGGGCTTTAAGAAATGCGTTGGTGAAGGGAGCATCAGAACCCTGACAAAGCCCTGAGGTAGCTGTCCCCAGCAGCCTGGAGATGACAGCGGGGAATACTAGGATTGGTTGTATTCCCTGATTTCCACGGGAATAATGGTAGTCAGAGTGACAGTGGTAGAGGCCAGTGATAGCACTTAACCATTAAAAGACAATCATTTCTTTTTTTAGTGCTTGATATTTATTGAAAATAATGCCAATGCTTTTTCCAGGTAGTATTGAGGAGCTGGGCTGAGTGCTTGTTTGTTTTGTTTTTAAGTACTATTTGTCCAAATGCACACATCTGTGGGACTGCTGCAATTTTGAAAGAAAAATGACAGCTGTGTAAAACCAGTGCATAGGAAAAAAGAAGTGTCAACAATTTGGCTGCCAGGCACACCGCGCCCCTGCAGCAATCTGGTGGGGCAGGGGAGGACACTCGGAGTAGGTAGAAAACTAACCAGGCTGAACGGCCCCTTCAGGGGTTGGTGAGCTGTCCAAATCAATGTCTGAAAAGGCATAGCCAACTCTGGCATTTTCCAGGTTGGTCCTGATCTCGAAAGGTGGTAGTCTGTAGGTGGGATGTGGTGAGTGGATGTGAAGTGGCAGCATAGTTCTCTGGGAAGATGTAAGCCTGGCAGCAGGGCAGGTGGCAGCAGCAGGGCTACGGGTGGTCTGCGCAGTTTGTAACAGGGGCCTGGCCAATAGCTGGGGTTCAGGACACAGTTCAGATTAGCAGGGGAGGGATCCCGGGGATGGCCAGGGTAGATGACACTTCCAAGCACTTCCGAGTGAGTGAGGCTCCAGCCCCGACCCCAGCAGCAGGTAACTGGAGCGCTATTCCTGGAACAAAGACAAGCACTACGGAGAAATGAAGAGAGAGAGCAGACGGGCGCGGGTAGGTAAGGGGACCGGAGGGCAAGGGGGAGAGCAGTGGCTCCTGGCGGGGTGAGGGCTGCGGGGAGGGGGTGGCGGCGTGCAGGGCCCTCCCCCCCGAGGCCCGAGGGTCGAGGGCCTAATAATCATCCTCCTCTTCTTCGTCGTCGTCGTCTTCGTCGTCATCCCAGCCAAAGCACTGTTTCATCTCATCGAGGAAGGCCCGGTAATCACCTAGGATGGGGCTATCCATCTCGATGTAGGGCACCACCCACTCCTCGGCTTCCCCGGTGAGGAGGCTGATTAGGAATGCCACCTTCATGGCGTCGTTGCAGAATCGGTTCTCGTTCACGAGCATGTAAGACGCCGTCTGCACGATAAACTCGGGGAGCCGGGAGCTCTCGCCATTAAACGTTTCGGGGAAGGGCACCGGGCAGCTCGGCGGACGTACCTGGCGCAGCAGGCTGGCCCTCTCGCACACCAGCAGCCGCAGCTGTTCCATGAGCTGGCTGTTCTCGATGCTCAGGGCGCGGTGCCGCATCAGGAGCGCGTGCAGCAGCAGCACCAACTCATCCACCATTGCGAACGGCCTGGAAGGACAGGACTCGGCTCGGTTCGGCTCGGCCAAGGTGCGCACGGAGCCCTCGCAGGAAGTGCGTGTCCACGGAGGCGCTTGGTGGCCAGGGGCGGGGGGCGGGGGGCGGTGTGCGCCGGGGTCCGGGAGGCTACGCAAGCTCCGCCCACGAGGCCATTCGGACGGACGGTGCGCCGGCGCGACGGGGGAGGGGCGTGGCTAGGCTGGGAGTGGGGGGGCCGCGGCGGCGTGGGGGCGTGGCCGGGATGGGAAGGGTGTAGACAAAGAGGGCGTGGCCAGGAAAAGGATGCGCTGGGTCGCTGAACCACCGGCTTGTGGTAGGTCTCTCGGCGGGCAGTTAAAGGCTGGGATAGGCTCCCCTAGCTCCTAGTTGTGGGGCCTGCGTTAGCAGAGGACTTGGCGAGCGCTGAGTCCGGTCTCAGAGAAGGTAAATTTGTTCAAACTGAAAGGATTAGCCACCCTTCTACCTAGGTAGCTTGCACAACTCAGTGTTCCTTCGTGGGTCTGTGGCCACTAGATTCTCTTGGCTTGATGTTTTATTAACACATTTTCTTTCTTATTTAAATCTCACTCAGAGAAGTATTGACACTGCTGGCTGCCCTGTGGGAGTCACACTTCCTTTTAGAATCATGAAGACCCTCAGGGGGTCCTGCCTTTCATGAAAAAGGTAGTATTTAAACAGTGACTTCTTTAGTAGGGAAATAATATGGTATACACACACACACACACACACACACACACACACACACAAAACCTAAGTAACAAGATATAAAAAAGTTCTGCAAAATCAGCATCCAATAGTCAATTGCAGGCATCCCACATATCTTTGATTCTCTATTTCTTGTCTTGCTATTAGTGCCGTTGGCCACTGGGTATTATTCTGTACTTAAAAATGAACTGTTAAGATGTTTGTGTTTTTAAATAATTTTGTTTTTCTACTTTGAATGGATCCCTGATTCTAGAGCCAACATGAATTGTTGGCTCTGCTTTCAAATATATTGCCAATTCAATCACGTCTTGTCATTTCTGCCACTGCCACCCTGATTCCTAGCCTTTCTTTCTCACCCAGACTGCTGCAACTAATCACTTAGCTTTCACTCTTTTCTTCCTATAGTATATTCTCCATAGAGTAGCCACGGGAATCCTTTAAAACAAAAATTAGGGCCGGGCGCGGTGGCTCACGCCTGTAATCCCAGCACTTTGGGAGGCCGAGGCGGGCGGATCACGAGGTCAGGAGATCGAGACCATCCTGGCTAACAGGGTGAAACCCGTCTCTACTAAAAATACAAAAAATTAGCTGGGCGTGGTGGCGCATGCCCGTAATCCCAGCTACTCGGGAGGCTGAGGCAGGGGAATTGCTTGAACCCTGGAGGCAGAGGTTGCAGTGAGCCGAGATAGCGCCACTGCACTCCAGCCTGGGCTACAGAGCGAGACTCCGTTTCAAAAGAAAAAAAAAAAGATCCCTTCACTCTCCTGCTCAAAATCCTCCAACAGTTTCACCTGAGAATAAAGAGCAAAGTTGCAGCCAAGGCCTACAAGGCCCCTCCTTCTATCCTGTGCCTCTTCCCAGTTTCTGCTGTGCTCTAATCACTGTCCTCCTTGCTGATTCTCACACCCATCAAGCAGTTCTGGCTTCATAGCCTTTGCATCTTCTATTCCTTCTGCCTTGCAAGGCTGTCATCCCAGTTGGCTGCCTGACTCCTCCTACTGCTTTCAGAGAGAACTTTTCTGACCACCGGACCTATCAGAGCACCCTGTTCTCTGCCCCCAATCTGTAACCCTTTACTCTGCTTCATTTATCTACATAACATTTATTGTGCTACCGGCCACCATGTCGTATGTATATACAGTACTTTGCTCATCATCTGCTTCCATTTTAGAATATATAAGTCAAACACTGCTTTTGCTATCTGGTCTATCCCTAATGCCTAGAAAAGTTCTGGCCCAGAGTAGAGGCTTCATTAATGTTTGGCGAGTAAAATCATCCCAGAGTGAAGATGCTGAGATGAAAATCAGAAGTTGTCGCTGCACAAAGAGTCAAAAAATACTCTTCAAATTGTTAAATGTAAGGTTGGGCGTGGTGGCTCATGCCTGTAATCCCAGCACTTTGGGAGGCTGAGGGGGGCAGACCACCTGAGGTCAGGAGTTAAGACCAGGCTGACCAACATGGAGAAACCCTGTCTTTCCAAAAAATACAAAATTAGCCAGGTGTGGTGGTGGGCGCCTGTAATCCCAGCTACTTGGGAGGCTGAGGCAGGAGAATCACTTGAACCTGGGAGGCAGAGGTTGCCTGAGCCGAGATCACGCCATTGTGCTCCAGCCTGGGCAATAAGAGCAAAACACCATCTCAAAAAGAAAAAAAAAAAAGAAAAAAAATTGTTCAGTGTATTTTATCTCTGACCATGGATCAGTCTCGATTGTGAAACAATGACTGATGTAATAAAACTGGCTGAATAGATTTTTAAAGAAATTCGATTCGGTCCTTTAGGATAGAATTGAATGATCATCCATGGAAGTAGGAGGCTGGGAAAGAGCAGAGAAACAGGGCCAAGCCCCAAGCAGGGACACGGGGAAGATCACAGTGGTGAAAGGATAAGCAGTGAAAAAAAGAGATAGGAGGAATGTGAGCTTTTGGCCTCTCCTGTGCTATGAGCTCCGCCACCTGAGAAGTTGGCAGGCAGGGATCCACTCTCACTCTTAATTTTATCTTCAGCACCTGGCAGTGTTTACTAGCTGCTCCGTAAACATTCAGTGTAAGGATTGAGGGGAGGGATGTGAAATGTGGAAAGTAGGTCTCTGGCCATCATGCCCATTTACAGTTCAGAGTACAGGATGGGCCTGACTGGGACAGAGGTAGTGTCCAGCTTCACCTTTCATATCCAGGCCCTAATACAGGAAGAGTACTCAGGGTTCGACTCCTGGGAGCACACTTTCTTTCTTTCTTTTTCTTTTTTTTAGACAGAGTTTTGCTCGTGTTGCCCAGGCTGGAGTGCAATGGCACAATCTCGACTCACTGCAACCTCCGCCTCCCGGGTTCAAGCGATTCTCCTGCTTCAGCCTCCCGAGTAGCTGGGATTACAGGCATGCGCCACCACGCCCAGCTAATTTTATATTTTTAGTAGAGACAGGGTTTTTCCATGTTGGTCAGGCTGGTCTCAAACTCCTGACCTCAGGTGATCCACCCGCCTCGGCCTTCCAAAATGCTGGGATTACAGGCGTGAGCCACCGCGCCCGGCCTAGAGCACACTTTCTGTAGCAGACACTGGGCCAGGTGATTGGCAGGGCTGTCACAATGACTCATACACAAGGACCAGACATGGGAATGGGCATTTTAGAGCCAGAGACCCAGGAGGTAAATATCTAAACCTAATAAAGCAATAGGTTGATGGTGCTATACCTTCATGCCAACCTCTCTAACTCTAAAGCCCGCCCATGCCCTTGCTCTGAATAATTAATATGTGCTGGACCCTTGTGACTTCAGTGGGCCCAGGCAGGTCTAGTGGGGAACCAGAGATGATTAGGCAGATGCTGCCCTAATTTTCTCCCTACAACCCCACAGCAGAGGGATTCAGGGAGGAAACCAGACGAGGCAACCACTATTGTTCCCTCTGAGTGTGCTCTGAGACCCTGGAAGACAGGAAATGTCCTGCCCAGAACTGAGCAGTGACTTTGGGAGGTGCTTCCCTGGTTGGAGAAAGGGAATGGAGACAAGCAGCTTAGCACTGACTCACAACAGAAGCAGTCAGGAAGAGGTATGTAGTATCAGTTGATAGAAGATGTAGAATCTTAATGCTCATTTTAACCAGCTTCCAGGTGCCTGTGAGGCTCTCCCACCAGTGCCAATGCATATCAGCACTTCCTTCTCCATTCACCCTGCTCACAGCTGCATGTCGCCTTCCTCATTTTCTTTCCCCTTCTCGAGTGGCCCTTAAGTGTTCCTTTCCACTTAACGTGAATATGCTGGGGGCAGACACAAGTACTCCCTGTGACAAGTACTCATAGGGAGTACTTGTCTCGGGCCAGTAAAATTTATCAGGACAGCTCTGGGTTGGAACGCCCTAAGGGTGGCTTAGACTCCACCGTTTGGCAAGAGCACAAGTCCAAGGCACTCACTACCACCATGTTTCAGGCTCCAAACCGTGCCCTGGTACACATCAAGCATCCAGACTGTAAAATTCTCTTGAACATGAAAATTTCCCATGATTCTTGAGCCACCAGATGAGTGTGCACACATCGACTGGGTGAACTAACTCAGCACTCAAATATACAGCCAGGAACAGAAACAGCTTCGGAAAGAATATTTGTGAGAGGACTGCATGAATGCTGCCAAGAGCCAGATCTCTTCCCACATAGACTTCCCCCATCCCCCTTCTTAGCCAGGTGCACCTGGGACTGCTTTTTACAGAAACCTCACTTGGAGGGCAATAGAGACCTCTGGCCCGGAGAGAGGAATGAAGAGGCACAACTTCCTCCCTCCTGTCTTTGCCCTCTCCAGCTTACTAAAGTGCTGGAAACATTTTTACATGTTTATTAATGTACTAAATTGATGTATTCTTATGGTTGAAATACCTTAAATAATATTGATGTCTTAAAATAAAAAAGGAACATTCTTAAGACCTCTCCTTCTCACAAAATATCACTTAATAAGATTGTTGAAAATTCAAATTTTGCCCTCTCTTGTTCTCTCTCTCTAAGGAGACTCAACGCTTCAGTTTCTTAGATGATATAGAAAAAGCGTGGTGCAAATAAAGTCATAGTTCCAGATATAGAACTGGAAAATCAGCTTTCTGTAACTGAAAGATTTTTATGAATTAATGTTTTATATTAAGTATTTTGTATTCTTCATGTATAGGCTTTTGTATTGCCATAATATAGAATTAATTGCCTGCAGTGTGCTGCACTAGATAGTTGTTAGTTTTTCTCTTGCCTAGTTATTTTAATATAATTGGTCACAGTGATTATACAAGAGTTTATACACGTGTTTTGTTTCTGCCATTTTTGTACATTTTAGAAAATATCTGGCATCATGTTGAATTTGTTCTTATGGATCTCCAGAAAGTGATCTGTTATCATCTGTGTTTGCCTGTTTTGTTTTAACTGTTTAATAGCCCCTCTTTTAGATTGGCTAGTTACTTTGATCTAGACTCAGTTTTTCACGAGGCACAATGGGTGTGGTGAATTGAAGGTAACCACAAATTATTTGCCATTCAGCAGAGAGGAAGAAATAATTTTCCCTGCCTCATTAATCTGGGGTGGCCCTGTGACTTGATTTGACAAACACAATGTGATGCAGTGCCTTAAAGTTTATGAGACAAGGCCTTAAATAACTGAAGATTCTGCCTTTGCCACTTGGTACACTTCCTGTTAAGAGCCACCCACCATATGTAAGAAGTCTAACTACCATGGGATCATTATACTGTGAAGAAGCTGAATCTAGCCACGTAGAGAAAGAGAGATCATGTGGAGGAGCAGCAAGACAGTAAACAAACATGAGACTGAAGCTCCTTTCTTGGACTTTCCAGCCTAGCAGAGCCACCACCTGAATGCAGCTGAGTGATTAACTCCAACTGACCATATATAAAGCAAAAAACAAAACAAAACAAAACAAACAAACAAACAAACAAAAGAACCATCCAGCTGAGCCCTAACTGAATTTATGATCCACAGAACCATGAATAAATAGAATGCCAGTTGCTGTAAGCCACTAAGTTTTGAGATAGTTTGTTACCTGGCAGTAGAGGACTTAAACATGGAGAAACTTAGGGTATGCTGCAGATGAAAGCAGGAGCCCCATATTAAAAAAACACAATTTCTGAATCTACTGCCCTGTTCCATGTTCTTAGATTTATATTTGTCTATTTGGCATCCATTAATCACAAGGCCAAAGTAATGGCCAAAGTTCTTTGCATCCTCCTTGCCATCCAGAGCCCATACTCTTAAACTACTTCCTTTATCTAGTTCTCATGTACCAAGCCAATATTTTCCCTGCTCTAAATTAACCTGAAGCCAGGTATCAGACAACTAGGGATCTGCCCTATCCCCCTAAACCAGCTGGAATTATTCGAACTACCCCATTCTAAACTGTTTGGCCTGCCCTGCCTTGCCTTTCCCACAGATACGCCAGTGAAGACTATGGCTTCCACTCACTCCTTTCTGCCTCCTGGTGTTCACCCACGTGTCCCTGCATGATGTGGTGAGCCTCCTCCTACTTACATTGGGAAATCTAAGTAACAAAAATCTTTCAATTACATTGGCCTATCTATGTCATCACTCAGTCATCTCCATAAATTAAAATCCTGCAGGTACAATTGGGACACACGAAAAGTAATCCTCTCCTGTGAGGAACTCTGAAGCGTGTGCTTGTGCATGAGTGCCTGAGTGCCTCTCTTTCCTTGTGTGAGTGTCTGTAGTCAAGCAGACGTAAGCATATTGCTGCCCTGTAACATCAAGGATGCTGCATGTAGGGAAAACTGGCAGTGTCATGGTATGACAAAGATAGAATCAAAAGCAGCCGTGTTTACTCCAGGGAATCTGTATGCCTATGTAAAAGCAGTGAAGCACATTCCAGGGAAACATTATGGAAAAAAAATAATTTTTGGAAAGAGGAGTTCTGTCTTCATACTGTTGCTTGCAACCTTTGTGGCTTGAGTAAGTCATTTGTTCTTTTTTCTGAGCTTCTGTTTCCTTATCAATAAAGTGCATCCTACTAATATCTGTATCATAAGGCTGCAGTGAATATCAAATCATAAAATATAAAAGTATCTGGCAAACTACAAAAAACTTTTGTGCACAGATTACATATTATTGTTCACTAGACAATTGAGATTTAGTAGCATTGCAGTGACTCATATTAACTGCATGTGAATTTTAATAGGTAGGTAGTTCTCTTATGTTAACCTAGTATCCATGAGTTTACCCATGAAGTTTAAAAGTATAAAGTATACCTTTGAATAACTAGCTGGAAGAATAAAATAAGGTTATATCAGGATCTTGCTTTTGTCAATTCAAAGCATTCTGCTCTTACAAGTTTTTTAGGGGAAAAAAAGGCATTTATTATTATAGTTCAAAGACCTACATGTTACATTTTCTTTTCTTTTCTTTTTTGTTTTTTTTGGCAGTTCACAGTACATTTACTGGGTAATTTCTAGTTAACAGTAGCAATGATGATCACCTTGAAAATCTTGTATTTTGTGGTGGTTTTCTCTTACATAAGCCTCTTGCTTTGTTGAAAGCATAGATTCTTTTTTTTCTCTTTTATATATATATATATATATATTTTATTATACTTCAAGTTCTAGGGTACATGTGCACAGTGTGCAGGTTTGTTACATATGTATACATGTGCCATGTTGGTGTGCTGCACCCATTAACTCATCATTTACATTTTCTATTTTGTCCTATCAATCTGGAAAAAATCCATACTACATCTGGGATATGGATACACAATCTCCTCTCAGAGTAAAGAGGCAATTATATCTCCAGAAACTTTTCATCACTGTAGACCATGGTGGTCTTCCTTGGAGAGGACAGCAGTTCCAGGGACATATGAAAAAGAGAAAACAGGGTTTCTCTCGGCCTTAGAAGTTTCTCTGGCCTGCATCACCTGAGCCAGCATCCTCTCCTCTCAGGTTCTCTGGGCTTTCCTGCTAGCCTCCTTCATGGCCCTTGGCATCTCCTAAACACTCAGTGATTATTTTTGTTTTTAATTTTTAATTTTTGTGGGTACATAGTAGATGTATTTTTTGTGGAGTACATGAGATATTTTGGTACAGGCATACAATACATAATAAACACATCAGGGCAAATGGGATACCTGTCGCCTCAAGAATTTATCATTTCTTTGTGTTACAAACATTCTAATTTTACTCTTTTAGTTGTTTTTAAATGTACAATAAATTATTATTGACTATAGTCACCGTGTGTGCTACCAAATACTATGTCTTATTTATTCTTTTTTTTTTTTGAAACGGAGTCTCAGTCTGTTGCTCAGGCTGGAGTGCAGTGGCAGGATCTTGGTTCATTGCAACCTCTGCCTCCCAGGTTCAAGCAATTCTCCTGCTTCAGCCTCCTGAGTAGCTGGGATTACAGGCACCCAGGACCACTCCCAGCTAATTTTTGTATTTTTAGTAGAGACGGAGTTTCACCATGTTGGCCAGGCTGGTCTCGAACTCCTGACCTCAAATGATCCGCCTGCTTCAGCCTCCCAAAGTGCTGGGATTACAGGCGTGAGCCACTGCGCCCAGCCTTGCTTATACTTTCTATTTTCTAACTATATTTTTGGACTCATTAACCACCCCCACTTCCCCCCTAGGCCCCCACTACCCTTCCCAGCCTCTGGTAACTATCATTCTACTCTCTATCTCCATGTGTTCAATTGTATTAATTTTTATTTCCCACAAACGAATCAAAACATGCAAAGTTTGTCTTTCTAGGACTGGCTTGTTTCACCGAACATAATGTCCTCCAGTTCCGTTGTATGTGTTTGCAAATGACAGGATCTCATTATTTTCTGTGGCTGAATAGTACTGCATTGTGTCTATGTACCACATTTTCTGTATCCATTCATCTGTTGATGGACACTTACATTGCTTCCAAATCTTGGCTATTGTGAACAGTTATGCGACAAACACGAGATTGCAGATACCCATCAGTATGAGGAAATCAATACACTGATTTCCTTTCTTTTGGGTATATTCCCAGCAGTGGGATTACTGGATCATATGGTGTCTCAACTTTTATTTTCTTGAGGAACCACCAAACTGTTCTCCTTAGTGGCTGACTAATTTACATTCCTACCAGCAGTGTAGAAGGGTTCCCTTTTCTCCACATCCTTGCCAGCATTTGTTATTTCCTGACTTTCGGATATAAGCCATTTAAACTGGTGTGAGATGATATCTCATTGTAGTTCATAATTGCATTACTCTGATCAGTGATGTTGAGCACCTTTTCATATGCTTGTTTGCCATTTGTATGTATTCTTCTGAGAAATGTCTATTCAGATCTTATGCCCAATTTTTCAAAGGACTATTAGATTTTTTCCTATAGAGTTGTTTAAGCTCCTTACATATTGTGGTTATTAATCCCTTGTCAGATGGATTGTTTGCTAATATTCTTTCCCTTTCTGTTGGTTGTCTCTCCACTTTGTTGATTCATTTCTTTGTTGTATAGAACCTTTTTAACTTGATGTGATTCCATTTGTCTGTGATTACCTTGGTTGCTTGTGTTTGTGGGGTACTGCTCAAGAAATTTTTGCCCAGACCAATGTCCTAGAGATTTTCCCCAATGTTTCTTCTTTTTTTTTGAGGTGGAGTCTCACTCTGTTACCCAGGCTGGAGTGCAATGGCATGATCTCGGCTCATTGCAACCTCCACTTCCCAGATTCAAGTGATTCTCCTGCCTCAGCCTCCAGAGTAGCTGGGATTACAGGCACATGTTACCATGTCTGGCTAATTTTTGTATTTTTAGTAGAGATGGGGGTTTCACCATATTGGCCAGGCTGGTCTTGAACTCCTGACCTCAGGCGATCCACCCACCTCGGCCTCCCAAAGTGCTGAGATTACAGGCATGAGCCACCGCGCCCGGGCTTCCTGAATGTTTTCTTTTAGTAACTTTATGGTTTGAGATCTTAGATTTAAGTCTTTAATCCATTTTGATTTCATTTTTGTATATGGCAAGAGATAGGGGTCTAGTTTCTGTCTTCTGCATATGGATGGATATATAATTTTCCTGGCCCTATATATTGAACAGAGTGTCCTTTTTCCAGGATATGTACTTGGCACCTGTGTTGAAAATCAGTTGGGTGTAAATAAGTACATTTGTTTCTGTGTTCTTTATTCTGTTTCATTGGTCTTTGTATCTGCTTTTATACTAATACCATGTTGGTTTGGTTGCTATAACTCTGTAGTATAATTTGAAGTCATGTTCATGTGATTCCTGCAGTTTTCTTCTTTTGCTCACAGTGGCTTTGGATGTTCTGGGTCTTTTATGATTCCATATAAATTTTAGGATTATTTTTCCTATTTCTGTAAAGAATGTCAATGGTATTTTGATAGAGATTGCATTGAATCTATAGATTGCCTTGAATAGTATGGACATTTTGACAGTATTGATTTTTCCAATGTCTGATCATAAAATATCTTTCCATTTTTTTGTATCTTCATTTTCTTATATTAATGTTTGATAGTTTTCATTGCAGAGATCATTCGCTTTGGTTAATTCCCAGGTATTTTGTTTTATATTTGGCTGTTGTACATGGGATTACTTTATTGATTTCTTTTTCAGATTATTTGCTGTTGGCATATAGAAATGTTACTGATTTTTGTACATTGCAACTTTACTGAGTTTGTTCAATTCTAATAGTTTTTTATGGAGTCTTTAGTTTTTTCCAAATATACAATCATCATTTGCAAGCAAGTATAATATGAATTCTTCCTTTCCAATTTGGATGCCCTTTATTTCTTTCTCTTGTCTAATTTATCTAGCCAGGATTTCCAGTGCTATATTGAATAACAATGATGAAAGTGGGCATCCTTGTTGTATTCCAGATCTTAGACAAAAGGCTTTCAATATTTCCCTGTTCAGTATGACACTAGTTGTGAGTATGTTGCATATGACTTTTGTTCCTTCTATACCCAGTTTTTTTTAGGGTTTTTATCTTACAGGGATGTTGAATTTTATCACATGCTATTTCCACATCAGTGAAATGGTTGTAATTTTTGTCTTTCATACAGTTGATATTGTGTCCAGAATTGGTGGGTTCTTGGTCTCACTGACTTCAAGAATGAAGCTGTGGACCCTCACGGTGAGTGTTACAGCTCTTAAGGTGGCGCGTCTGGAGTTTGTTCCTTCTGATGTTCGGATGTGTTTGGAGTTTCTTCCTTTTGGTGGGTTCGTGGTCTCGCTGGCTCAGGCAGGAGTGAAGCTGCAGACCTTCGCGGTGAGTTACAGCTCATAAAGGCAGTGTGGACCCAAAGAGTGAGCAGCAGCAGGATTTATTGCAAAGAGCGAAAGAACAAAGCTTCCACAGTGTGGAAGGGAACCCCAGCGGGTTGCCACTGCTGGCTGGGGCAGCCTGCTTTTATTCTCTTATCTGGCCCCACCCACATCCTGCTGATTGGTAGAGCCGAGTGGTCTGTTTTGACAGGGCACTGATTGGTGCGTTTACAATCCCTGAGCTAGACGCAAAGGTTCTCTACCTCCCCACCAGATTAGCTAGATACAGAGTATCCACACAAAGGTTCTCCAAGTCCCCACCAGAGTAGCTAGATACAGAGTGTGAATTGGCGCATTTACAAACCCTGAGCTAGACACAGGGTGCTGATTGGTGTGTTTACAAACCTTGAGCTAGATACAGAGTGCTGATTGGTGTATTTACAGTCCTTTAGCTAGACATAAAGGTTCTCCAAGTTCCCACTAGACTCAGGAGCCCAGCTGGCTTCACCCAGTGGGTCTCGCACTGGGGCTGCAGGTGGAGCTGCCTGCCAGTCCTGCGCAGTGCATCCACACTCCTCAGCCCTTGGGTAGTTGATGGGACTGGGTGCCATAGATCAGGGGGCGGCGCTCCTCAGGGAGGCTCGGCCTGCACAGGAGCCCACGGAGGCGGGGGGAGGCTCAGGCATGGCAGGCTGCAGGTCTCAAGCCCTGCCCTGTGGGAAGGCAGCTAAGGCCTGGCCAGAAATTGAGCGCAGCACCAGTGGGCCGGCACTGCTGGGGGACCCAGCACACCCTCCGCAGCCGCTAGCCTGGGGCTGCTCCGAGTGCGGGGTCCGCCGAGCCCACGCCCACCTGCAACTTGCGTTGGCCCGCAAGCAGTGCGCGCAGCCCTGGTTCCCGCCCGCGCCTCTCCCTCCACACCTCCTGGCAAGCTGAGGGAGCGGGCTCCGGCCTTGGCCAGCCCAGAAAGGGGCTCCCACAGTGCAGCGGTGGGCTGAAGGGCTCCTCAAGTGCTGCCAAAGTGGGAGCCCAGGCAGAGGAGGCGCCGAGAGTGAGCGAGGGCTGTGAGGACTGCCAGCACGCTGTCACTTCTCAATAAGATGTATCACAATAATTGATTTCTGTATGTTGAACCATCCTTGCATCCAAGGGATAAATCTCATATGGTAATGATGAATGATGTGTTTATTGTGTTGTTGAATTTGGATTACTAGTATTTTGTTGAGAATTTTTGCATCAGTGTTCATCAGGGTTGTGGGCCTGTAGTAGTCTTTTTTTGATCTGTCTTTGGTTTTGGTATCAGGGTTATAGTTGCCTCATAGAATGAGTTTACAAGTATTCCCTTCTCCTCTGTCATTTGGAGTAGTTTGAGTGAGATTGATAAGAGTTTTTCTTTAAACATTTGGTAAAATTCATCTGTGAAGCCATCGGGTCACAGGATTTTCTTTGCTGCAAGACTTTTACTTATGGTTTCAACTTCATTACTTGTTATTGGTCTATTCAGGTTTTGAATTTCTTCATGGTTCAATCTAAGTAGGTTGCATGTGTCTAGGAATTTATCCCTTTCTCCTAGGTTTTCCAATTTATTGGCATATAGTTGCTCAATGTAGTTTCTAATGATCCTGTGAATCTCTGTGGTGTCAGTTGCAATGTCTCCTTTTTTATCTCTGATTTATTTATTTGGTTCTTTTTTCATTTTTTCTTGGTGTGACTAAAAGTTTGTCAATTTTCTTTATGTTTTCGCAAAATCGACTTTTCATTTTGTTGATCTTTTCTATTTTTGGTTTTAAATTTTGTTTATTTCTGCTGTGATTTTCATTATTTCTTTTCTTCTACCAGCCTTGGGTTTGATTTCCTCTTGCTTTTCTAGTTCTTTAAGATGCATTCTTAAGTTGTATATTTTGAAGTTTTTCTTCTTTTTTGATGTAGGCACTTATAGTTCAAACTTCCTTCTTAGTACTGCTTTTGCTGTACCCCATAGGTTTTGATATGTTGTGTTTTCATTTTCATTTGTATCATGAAATATTTTAATTTTCTTTTAAATTTCCTTACTGTTTCACTTCTCATTTAGGAAAATATTGTTTAATTTCCATGTATTTGTGTAGATTCCAAATTTTCTCTTGTTACTGATTTCTAGTTTCATTCCATTGTGATCAAATAAGATACTTGATAATTTTTGAATGTTTTAAGACTAATTTGTGACCTAACCTACGGGCTATCCTTGAGGATAATCCATGAGCTGAGGAAAAGAGTGTGTTTTCTGCAGCCATTGGATGAAATGTTCTGTAAATACCTATTAGATCCATTTGGTTTATAGTGCAGATTAGGTCTGATGTTTCTTTGTTGATTTTCTGTCTGGATAATCTGTTCAATCCTGAAAATGAGGTGTTGAAGTCCCCAGCTGTTATTGTATTGGGGTCTATCTCTCTCTTTAGCTCTAAGAATATTTGCTTTATATATTGAGGTGCTCCAGTGTTGCCTGCATATACTTTTAAAATTCTTATATCCTCTTTCTGAATTGACTGCTTTTTAATTAGATAACAAGCTTCTTTATAGCTATAGTTTTTGTGTTAAAATCTATTGTTTCTGAGATAAGTATAGCTATTCCTGCTCTTTTTTGGTTTCTGTTCACATGGAATATCTTTTTCCACCTCTTTGTTTTGCATCTATGTATGTCTATGTGAAATGTCTTTTTGTAGGCATTAGAGCTAATTTTTGTATTATTATTATTATTGTTATTTTTTTTTTAGTAGAGACAGGGTTTCACCATATTGACCAGACTGGTCTTGAACTCCTGACCTTGTGATCTGCCCGCCTCGGCCTCCCAAAGTACTGGGCGTGAGCCACCGCACCTGGCCAAGTTTTAAGTGTCCCAGAAGCTTGTCTGCTTTAGTATTTCCGCTGTGTATTTTTAGTAGAGACAGGGTTTCTCCTTGTTGGTCAGGCTGGTCTCGAACTCCTGACCTCAGGTGATCCACCCATCTCAGCCTCCCAAAGTGCTGGGATTACAGATGTGAGCCACTGTGCCTGACCAATTTTGTCTTTTTAAGAATCCATTCTGTCACTCTGTTTCTTTGGTTTGTAGAGTTTATTTCATTTACATGCAATGTTATTATTGACAAGTAAGGACTTACTCCTGCCATTTTAAAATTTGTTTATCTAGTTGTTTTGTGGTCTTCCTTCCCTCTTTTTTTTCCTCTCTTCCCTTTTGTGAAAGTATTTTTTTTTTCTGGCGGTATGTTTTAATTTCTTACTTTTAATTTTTTTTGTGTGTATCTGATGTAGGTTTTTTGATTTGAGACTACTATGTGGCTTGCAATTAACATCTTTTAATCCATTATTTTAAACTGATGATAACTTAACTCTAATTGCAAAAACAAACAAACAAACAATACTCAGTGATAATTTATCTCAATTCAGGAAATGGATTATTTGAAGAAAAATTCTCATTAAGTGGGGGTTTGAGCTGTATAAGGATAATTCCCAGCCTCTTTCTCAAATTTCATGCTGGTTCCTGCCAGTACATCACTGGGAAAAATGGGAATGGAATCACAGAAGTTTACTGTTGCAGGGGACAGTTTCAGTCATTTACTATAAGAGTTTCAGTGTTTCTAAATGAGAAAAGGACCTGCAGAATGGCCCACCAATGAAAACAGATTAAATGAAAAAGCAAAGGTCCAGAGATGAACAACTTATACAAGGCAAACATTAAGACATCATCTTCAAAGACAGCATGAAACTATAAAAAGAACACTGGACTTGGAGGTGATAAAACCTGGTGCAGATTCTACATATGACATTTTATATTATGGACAAAATTCCAGATTCTCTAAATCTCAATTTCCTTATTTTTCTTCATTTATAAAAAGTGAGTAAAAAATGCTTTCTCACAGAATTGATGTTTGATGTGTTTCAAATTAAAAAAAATAGTATGACAGTAAGTTTTAAAGTGTAAATTGTTTTTGACACATTAGTTCTTATCCATTCTTTCTAAAGTTGTCTTGAAATCATTTCAAATTTATAAAATATCTTGTAAGAATTTTATGAATTCCTGGATATTCTAACCCCCAGGTGAGCCAATTGGTATCTGCTTTTTTTTTTTTTTTTTTTTTTTGAGATGGAGTCTCACTCTGTCACCCAGGCTGGAGTGCAGTGGCGTGATCTCAGCTCACTGCAAGCTCTGCCTCCTGGGTTCACACCATTCTCCTGCCTCAGCCTCCCGAGTAGCTGAGACTACAGGTGCCTGCCACCACGCCCGGCTAAGTTTTTGTAGACGGGGTTTCACCATGTTAGCCAGGATCGTCTCGATCTCCTGACCTCGTGATCTGCCTGCCTTGACCTCCCAAAGTTCTGGGATTACAGGCATGAGCCACTGTGCCCAGCCGCCAATTGCTATCTTTTTATCAAGTTTGACTTACTCTTGTTCTCTATGTCAATATTTGTATGTATATATGTGTATGTGCTTACATAATCCTTTTTCTGAACCATTTGAGAGTTGCAAACAGAAAGGCTCATTACCACTTGGTATTTCAGTGAGCATTTTTGAAAAACAGGTACACTATCCTACAAAA
The DNA here is from genome assembly GCF_000001405.40 of Homo sapiens. NCBI lineage: Eukaryota > Metazoa > Chordata > Mammalia > Primates > Hominidae > Homo > Homo sapiens. The sequence goes on from NC_000023.11 coordinate 141,192,540, forward strand.
CCACAGTCTATCAAAATCAAGGAGCTTAAAATTAATATAATGCTTCCACTTACCCCATTAAGATTTCCTTCAGCTGTGCCCAAAATGAAATTTTTAGATCCAAGTTCCAAGCCTGGAGCATGCATTATATTTAGTTATTGATATGGTTTGGCTGTGTCCCCACCCAAATTTCATCTTGAGTTGTAGCTTGCATAATCCCCATGTATTATGGGAGGGACCTGGTGGGAGGTGATTGAAACATCGGGGTGGGTTTTTCCAATCCTGTTCTCATGATAGTGAATAAGTCTCATGAGATCTGATGGTTTTATAAAGGGCAGTTCCCCTGCAGATGCTCTCTGGCCTGCTGCCATGTAAGATGTGCCTTTGCTCCTCCTCCGCCTTCTGGCATGATTGTGAGGCCTCCCCAGCCATGTGGAACTGTGAGTCCATTAAACCTATTTTCTTTTACAAATTTCCTAGTCTCAGATATTTCTTCATAGCAGTATGAAAATGGACTAATACAGTAATTTGGTATGGATAGACTGGGGTACTGCTATTAAGATACCCAATAATGTGGAAGCAGCTTTGGAAGTGGATAATGGGCAGAAGTTGGAACAGTTTAGAGGGCTCAGAAGAAGATAGGAAAACGTAGGAAAGTTTGGAACTTCCTAGACACTTGAAGGGCTCAGAAGACAGGAAGATGTGGGAGTTTGGAACTTCCTAGAGACTTGTTGAATGGCTTTGACTAAAATGCTGCTAGTGCTGTGGACAATAAAGTCCAGGCTGAGGTGGTCTCAGATGGACATGAGGAACTTTTTGGTAACTGGAGCAAAGGTCACTCTTGCAATATAAAGAGACTGGTGGCATTTTGCCCCTGCTGTAGAGATCAGTAGAACTTTGAACTTGAGAGAGATGATTTAGGGTATCTGGCAGACAAAATTTCTAAGCAGCAAAGCACTCAAGAGGAAGCAGAGTATAAAAGTTTGGAAAATTTGCAGCCCGACAATGGAATAGAAAAGAAAAACCCTTTTTCTGGGGAGAAATTAAAGCCAGCTGCAGAAATTTGCATAAGTAAGGAGGAGCCAAATGCTAATAGCCAAGACAATGGGGAAAACATCTCCAGGACATGTCAGAGACACAGCCCCTCCCATCACAGGCCCAGAGGCCTAGGAGTGAAAAATGGTTTCCTGGGCTAAATCTAGGGCCCCCTTTCTGTGTGCAGCCTAAGGACTTGGTGCCCTGTGCTCCAGCAATTCCAGCTGAGGGTAAAGGGGCCAAGGTACACCTCGGGCTGTGGCTTCAGAGAGTGCAAGCCCCAAGCCTTGGCAGCTTCCACATGGTGTTGAGCCTGCAGGTGCACAGAAGCCAAGAATTGAGGTTTGGGAACCTCCACCAAGACTTCAGATGATGTGTGGAAATGCCTGGATGTTCAGGCAAAAGTTTGCTCCAGGGGCAGGGCCCTCATGGAGGACCTCTGCTAGGGCAGTACAGAAGGGAAATCTGGGGTCGGAGCTCCCACTTAGAGTCCCCACTGGGGCACTCCCTAGTGAAGATGTGAGAAGAGGGCCACCATCCTTCAGAGCCCAGAATGGTAGACCCACTTACAGCTTGCACTGTGTTCCTGGAAAAGCCACAGACACTCAATGCCAGCCATGACAGCAGCCACCGGGGTGGAGGGGGGCTGTACCCTGCAAAGCCACAGAAGCAGAGCTCCCCAAGGGAGCCCACCTCTTGCATCAGTGTGACCTGGATGTGAGACATGATCAAAGGAGATGGAGATCGAGTCAAAGGAGATCATTTTGATTGATGGCCCCACTGGATTTTGGGCTTGTATGGAATCTGTAGCCCCTTTGGCCAATTTCTCTCATTTGTAATGGGTGTATTTACTTGATGTCTGTATCCCCATTGTATCTAGGAGGTAACTAACTTGCTTTTGATTTTACAGGCTCATAGGTGGAAGGGACTTGCCTTATCTCAGATGAGACTTTAGACTTGGGCTTTTGAGTTAATGCTGAAATGAGTTAAGACTTTGGGGGACTCTTGGGAAGGCATGATTGGTTTTGAAATATGAGGACATGAGATTTGGGAGGGGTCAGGGATGGAAGGAAATTGTTTGGCTGTGTCCCCACCCAAATCTCATCTTGAATTGTAGTTCCCATAATCCCTGTGTCATGGGAGGGACCAAGTGGGAGGTAATTGTATCATGGAGGCACGTTTTTTTCTCGTGCTTTTCTTGTGATAGTGAGTAAGTCTTATGAGATCTGATTATTTTATAAAGAGCTGTTCCCCTGTGCATGCAGTCTTGCTTGCTGCCATGTAAGACATGCCTTTTGCTCCTCCTTCACCTTCTGCCATGATTGTGAGGCCTCCTTAGCCATGTGGAACTGTGAGTTCATTAAACTTCTTTTTCTCTATAAATTACCCAATCTCAGGTATTTTTTCATAGCAATATGAAAATAGACTAATACAGTTATCATGTCTCTTCAGTCTCCACAGTCTGGATCCATTCTTCAGTCTTTTCCTTGCCATGTCCTTGGCAGTTTTGAAAAGTGCAGGCTAGTAACTAAAAATGTCCCTCAATTCCTGGTATTTATTCATTATTAGATAAATATTATGCATTTTCTTTACTAGTGTAGTGTTTTTCCGGCAAAACCCCGTCTCTACTAAAAATACAAAAAATAAGCCGGGCGTGGTGGTGGGCACCTGTAATCCCAGCTACTTGGGAGGCTGAGGCAGGAGAATGGCATGAACCTGGAAGGTGGAGGTTGCAGTGAGCCTAGATTGTGCCACTGCACTCCAGCCTGGGCGACAGGGCAAGGAGACTCTGTCTCAAAAAAAAAAAAAAAAAAGTATAGTGTTTTTTCTGAGTGCCTCGTGTCAGAAAGCACATGATTTCAATTTTTTCTATCACTGTTGGTGGTAACTTTTATCACTTGTTTAAGGTGGTTTCTGCCAGATTTCTCCCCAAAGGTAAAATAATTATTTTGCAAGTTTTAGGAAGTATTTAATAGTAATTACATTCTACTCTATAGGAATGTTTTCCGTTCTCTTTTACATATCTATATATATATATATACATTTACATACAAAATATATATTAGTATGGACCTCTGGATTCCTATTTAATGCATTGGATTATAATCCATTACTATCATTATTCATGTCAAAGCTTACATTTTCCAGATTTGCCCAGTTGAGACCCCTTTAAGCTAGATTATGTGTCTTATTGTCATGCTTATCTCATTCTTTGAGCACTTCTTTCTTTCCTGTACAATATGATATTCCTGGCTCATCTTGTACTTTTCTCGCCCCAGCCCTGGAATCATCCATTTCTCCAAGGAATACTCATTAACTTCAGTAGTGATTGGTTTTCAGAAATAAACATCTCAAGGTTAGGAGTGCAAATTGCTGTTGATATTGATTTCTCACTTTTGGAACAACCATTCAGCCATTTGGAAAAGAAAGTCAACCTCAAACCTTACCTTATTCCATGTACAAACATTAATCATAGACTTAACATAAAAGTTAACAACTACAAAGTTTCTATGTTTTTTATATAAAAGAAAATAATTACAAATTGGATTTCATACAAAGAAAATTATTTTGCTCATTAAGACACTGGTAAAGGCCAGGTGCGGTGGCTCACACCTGTAATCCCAGCACTTTGGGAGGCTGAGGTGGGTGGATCACCTGAGGTCAGGAGTTTGAGACCAGCCTGACCAATATGATGAAACCCTGTCTCTACTAAAAATACAAAAATTAGCCGAGTGTGGTGGCATGCGCCTGTAATCCCAGCTACTCAGGAGGCTGAGACAGGAGAATTGCTTGAACCCGGGAGGCAAAGGTTGCAGTGAGCCAAGACTGTGCCACTGCAATCCAGCCTGGTGACAGAGCAATAAATAAATAAATAACAACAACAACAACAACAAAAACAAAAAAGCACTAGTGATCAGCAGAATAATATTACATAATTCTGTATGTTTGCCCAGTTATTAATATAGGATCAGGCTTTCCCTGTAGGGACTTTCCTAAGCCTTTTTCTCTCTGATATCCCATTTTCTGTAACATTTTAAATCCCGGATTCTCAATAGTTTCATTTGTAAGTCTCATATCCCATGCTGTAAGTCTCAACCCCATAGGTTAACAGCTACAGTTGCAACATAAGGCTGAAAAGTACATGACTGTCCATCTAGTCTGAGACAGGGTAAAATCTCAGCACTCTGTTGAACACTTTGAGCTGTTCCCACTCCGACTAAGGATGTAGAAGTTAATTGCAAGGGCCAGGATGGGGGCCAATTGTCTTTAGATATTACTGACACATCAGCTCCTGTATCCATAAGCCCATAAAATGTCTTTCCTGTAATTTGCACTGTACAGGTAGGTCGATTAGAAGCTATGAGTTGGGATAGGTAAATTTCCCTCCTAGTTTTACTCTCAAATCCTTGATTCCCTTGTTTCTCCTTATGTGGAGAAGGGTGTAACTTGCAAGGAATAAGCAATAGCTGAGCAGTATATTCTCCCAGTTCAAAAACCCAAAGATCTTGTGACATTACCACTACTTGAATTTCTCCTTCATAATCAGAATCGATAACTCTTGGGACTATAGTAATGCCCTGTAAGTTAAGACAGCTTTTTGCCAAAATTAATCCCATATATCCTGTTGGCAAAGGTCCCCAAATACCAGTGGGAATCTTGGTGGGTTTGTCTCCTCCAACTAATATAACCCGTTCTCTGACTGGGAGATCTAATCCTGAGCTTCCGGGTGTTCCTGGGGAGAGGGAATCAATGTGCCTCCGGGAACCTATCCCTGAGACAGGGCTGTGGCCTGGATTGGGAATGCCCTCATTGTTTGTGGGGCCTGGGTTCAGGCCCTCTTCTCGTTTTCCGACAAGGGGGTGCCATTCTGATGAAATTTGGAATGGCATTGACTAGCCCAATGATTTCCTTTATTGCAAGAAGGCAAAGTCCTGGCGTTTTTTCTTTTGGGGGCGGAGAACTGCATTATAAGATCCCTTCTGCCCAGAGGTCTGACGGCATTCTTTTTTGAAATGTCCGATTTTTCAACAATTACATTTTCTCATTTTAAGATTTGCCCCTTGGCCCTTTTTAGATTTGTCCATTACTAAATCAGCCATTGCTTGAGCCATCATTGTAGAGCGATAAAGCTCAGTTCCCACATCTGGACAAGCTTTAAGAAAATTTCCCAAGTTTTTTGTACATCTCACAGGTGCCAGTGCACGTTTGCAATCCACATTTGCATTCTCAAAAGCTAGAGTTAAGGTTAGCATTTCTGCAGCAGTGGTATGAGGAATCTGTTGCTTCACTGCCTCTTGTAGTCTTGCAAGAAAATGTGCATAGGGTTCCTGCAATTCTTGCATGATACATAAAAATGATTTTACAGGGACCCCTTCCTCTGGAATTGTGGCCCAGGTGCGTTTAGCAGCCAAGGCACACTGCTTATAAGCAGCATCTGGGAGTGCCATTTGATGTTGCGGGTCTGAATAAGGGTGATTACCTAATAGCATATCCTCTGTAATGTCTCCGTGTCCAGCAGCACGATTCTTTCTAGCCTGGTCTGCACACAGTTCTTGCCAATTTAAATTCCATGTCAGGTACACACTAGCAGACAAACAAGTGCGAGCCAAATGCTTTACATCAAATGGTGGAGGATGCATGGCACCAAATATAGATTCTAACAATCCTAAAGTGAATGGGCTTTGGACTCCATTATTCACTATACTAGCTTTCAATTCTTTCGGCAACTTAAACTCTAGTGTGGTGTGTTGATGAATAAACTGCTGTGGATTATTTGGATCGGGCCTCATGGAAATGGGAAAAGTGCAAGGTCCTAAGGGCTCTCCAGCTATAGCAGCAGAGCGTAAAATTCTTTGTATTGGGGTCTCTATTTCTGCTACTGAAGGAGGTGGTACAGATGTTTCTGCTACTGGAGGGGGTGACACAGGCCAATTTTCATCCTCCCTCCCCTGTTTATTATTTTTAATTGGTACTGTGGGTGGGACAAAAGATTCTTTTAAATTTTTAGACTCAGGACATGACTCCTGCTGTCTAGCAGAATAAGAAGGAGATAATGGCAGAAGGACAGTACAAACTAAACTCCAAGCAGAAAAAACACAAGGATCAACTTTAAGACCTTTTTGATGAGCTCGTTTTAATCCTTCTCCTGCTCTGTCCCAATTTTCCACATCAAGAGTGCCTATCTGTGGAAAGCATGGGTTATGCGTGATAACCTCCTGCAGCATCTTAGTGTTTGAGAACTAACCTGAGCACCAGATTGTTTAAGTAAAACTTTAAGCAACTGCACATAATGTTGCTCCTCAATAGACAAATTCTGCCCCATGTTACCCTGATTAAGAAAACGTCCTGTTCCCAGTACCTCTTTAGGGCACTGACCTTATATCTGCTGCCGCCACACTCCTCCCGGGGTTTCTCGTTTGTCTTGTCAGTTTCACGTTCTCTCCTCCAGCAGACCTTCTTTGCTCACTGTCTGTGTTCAAGGCGCCACTTGTCGCTGACGGTTTCTACGGGAGTGAACAAAGGGGGACGAACGCAGAAATAGAGACAAAAACAAGAGGATCTGTTTTAAAAGAAGGGGTCGGGGGCTCCTTGCTTCTAGTGAGGAAAGGCAGCCCTGAGCTTCTACAGCCCTTCATATTTATTAGGTAGAAAGAGCAGGGAGGAAGAGGTAATTGTTGGTCAGCTGCTTGATTTATCACAGGTACACATAATTGCTTTCTTTGTACAACAGGCTTCAGATGTTCTAATAGATAATCACAAGGAACACTGTGCTTGAGGCATGACTGCCCTCAGCACCCCTTCTGGCGGCAGATGCAGTTGTTAGCTTTCCAACATCTTGCTTTCATGACAGCAGTTTGCTGTTTGCTCATATAGCCTCCAGTGGTATACTGAGTTGGTCATGACCCCCATTTTCTTGCCCTATAACACAAGAGCAAAACTCTGTCTCAAAAAAAAAAAAAGACACCGCTAAGAAAATGAATGTACAAACCACTGAATATATAAACATATACACCCTCAAATGAATACTACCTAGAACATATAAAAATTTTAGAATATATAAATATAAATGTTTATTAAGAATATATAAACATATAAATTACTCCTAAAATCAACAATTAAAGAAAAACATCCTTAGAAAATAATTGGACAGTTTCATACACAGGCTTAACATACTCTTACTATTTAGCAATTGCATTCCTTAGTATTTAATGAAGTGACTTGAAAACATATCCACATAAAAACCTGCACATGAATGGTTTTAGCAGCTTTATTTATAGTTGCCAAAACTTGAAAGCAACCAAGACATCCTTCAACAATGAATAAACTGTAGTACATCAAATGGAATATTATTCAGAAATAAAAGAAGTTAGCTGTCAAACCTTGAAAAAACAAGGTATATGTATTAATCCATTCTTGCATTGCTATAAAACAATACTTGAGACTGGGTAATTTATAAAGAAAAGAGGATTAATTAGCTCATGGTTCTGCTGGCTATACAGGAAGTGTGGTGCCAGCATCTGCTTCTGGTGCAGCCTCAGGAAGCTTACAATCATGGTGGAAGGTGAAGGGGAGCCAGTATGTTCCATGGCAAGAGCAAGAGCAAGAGAGAGAGAGGTAGTCCCAGAAACTTTAACAATCAGGTCTCAGATGAATTAAGAGTGACTATTCCTTTATAATCAAGTGGATAATGTTAAACCCTTTATGAAGGATCTGCCTCATGATTGAGTCACCTCTCACTAGGTCCCAGCTCCAACACTGGGAATCACCTAACAACATGAGATTTGAAGGAGACAAAGTGACGTGGTTTGGATTTGTATCCCCACTGAAATCACATGTCGAATTGTAATCCCTAGTGTTGGAGGAGTGGCCTGGTTGGAGGTGATTGAATCATGGGAATGGATTTTCCCCTCGTTGTTCTCATGATAGTGAGTGAATTCTCAGGAGATCTGGTTGCTTAAAAGTGTGTAGCATCTCCCCGTTCTCTCTCTCCTGCTCGGGCCACGTGAAGATGTGCCTGCTTCCCCTTCCCCTTGTGCCATGGTTGAAAGTTTCTTGTGGCTGGCTGGGCACGGTGGCTCACGCCTGTAATCCCAGCACTTCGGGAGGCCGAGGCAGGTGGATCATGAGGTCAGGAGATCGAGACCATCCTGGCTAACATGGTGAAACCCCATCTCTACTAAAATTACAAATAATTAGCCGGGCATGGTGGCAGGCACCTGTAGTCCCAGCTACTCGGGAGGCTGAGGCAGGAGAATGGCGTGAACCCAGGAGGTGGAGCTTTCAGTGAGCTGAGATTGCGCCACTGCACTCCAGCCTGGGTGACAGAGCAAGACTCCGTCTCAAAAAAAAAAAAAAAAAAAGTTTCCTGTGGCCTCCACAGCTATGCAAAACTGTGAGCCAGTTATATCCCTTTTATTTATAAATTACCCCATCTTAGGTATTTCTTTATAGCAGTACCATTTTTCTAAAACAGAAAAATGGTACCAGGAATTGGGGCATTGCTATAAAGATACTGAAAATGTGGAAGTAGGTTTGGAACTGGGGAATGAGCAGAGGTTGGAATAGATTGGAGGGTTCAGAAGAAGACAGGAAGATGAGGGAAAGTTTGGAACTTCCTGGAGACTTGTTGAATGGTTGTGACCAAAATGCTAATAGTGATATGAACAGTGAAGTCCAGTCTGAAGAGGCCTCAGGTAGAGATGAGGAACTTATTGGGAACGGAGTAAAGCTCACTGTTGCTATGCTTTAGCAAAGAGACTGGTAGCATTGTGCCCCTGCTATAGGGATCTGTGGAACTTTAAATTTGAGAGAGATGATTTAGGGTATCTGCAAGAAGAAATGTCTAAGTTGCAAAGCATTCAAGATGTAGTCTGGCTGCTTCCAAAAGCATATTCTCGTATGCATAGCACACAGATGTTATGAAGTTGGAACTTATATTTAAAAGAGAAGCAGAGCATAAAAGTTTGGAAAATTTGCAGCCTAACCATGTGGTAGTCAAGAAAAACCCATTTCCTGAGGAGGTTTGCTTAAGTAAAGAAGAGCTAAATGTTAATAGCCAAGACAATGGGAAAATGCCTCAAAGGCATTTCAGAGACCTTTGAGGCAGCACCTTCCATCACATGCCCTGAGGCCTAGGGGAGAAAAATGGTTTTGTGGATCAGGCCTAGGACCCTGCTGCCCTGCACAATGTTGGGACCCTTCTCCCTGTGTCCCAGCCACTCCAGCTCCAGCTGTGGATAAAAGGGCCCGAGATACATCTCAGGCCGCTGCTCCAGAGGGTGCAAGCCACAAGCCTTGGTGGCTTCCATGTGGTGTTAAGGCTGCAGGTACACAGAGAGCAAGAGTTGAGTTTGGGAGTCTCTGCTTAGATTTCAGAGGATAAATGGAAATGCCTGGATGTCTAGGCAGAAGTCTGCTGCAGGGGTGGATCCCTCATGGGGAACCTCTACTAGGGCATGTGGAGGGGAAGTGTGGGATTGGAGCACTCACAAATGTTCCCACCAGGGCACTGTCTAGTGGAGCTGTGAGAAGAGGGCCACCATCCTCCAGACCCCAGAATGGTATCTCCAGAAATAGTTTGCACTGTGCACCTGGAAAAGCCACAGGCACTCAGTGCCAGCCCAGGAAAGCAGCTGTCGGGGATGAGCCCTGCAGAGCCACAGGGGTGGAGCTGCTGAAGGCTTGGGAGCCCACCCCTTATATCAGTGTGACCTGAATTTGGGACATGGAGTCAAAAAAGATTATTTTGGAACTTTAATGTTTAATGACTGCCCTGCTGGGTTTCAGACTTACGTGGCGGTTGTGGCCCCTGTCTTTTGGCCTATTTCTCCCTTTTGGAAAAGGAGTATTTACCAAATGCCTATACCCCTGTTGTATCTTGGAAGTAACTAACTTGGTTTTGATTTTATGGGCTTATAGGCAGAAGAGATTTGCCTTGTCTTAGATGAGACTGAACTGCGGACTTTCTGAGTTAATGGTGAAATGAGTTAAGATCTGGGGGACTATTGAGATGGATGATTGTATTTTGCAGTGTCAGAAGGACATGACATTTGGGAGGGGTCAGGGGCAGAATGATATAGTTTGAATTTGTGTCACTGCCCAAATCTCAGGTTGAATTGTAATCCCCAGGGTTGGAGGAGGGACCTGGTGGGAGGTTATTGAATCATGGGGGTGGATTTCTCACTTGCTGTTCTCATGATAGTGAGTTCTCATGTGATTTGGTTGTTTAAAATATACACCATCTCTCCCTTTGCTCTGTTCCTCCTGCTCTGGCCATGTAAGGTGAGGCTGCTTCCCTGTCACCTTCCACCATGATTGAAAGTTTCCTAATGTGTCCCTCATCTTTCTACCTATACAGCCTGTGGAAGCACGACCCAATTAAACCTCTTTTCTTTATGAATTACCCAGTCTCTGGTATTTCTTTTTTACTTTATCTTTTTTTTTTTTTTTTTTTGAGACAGAGTCTCGCTTTGTCTCCCAGGCTGGAGTACAGTGGTGCGATCTCGGCTCACTGCAACCTCTGTCTCCCGGCATCAAGCAATTCTCCTACCTTAGCCTCCTGAGTAGCTGGGACTACAGGTGCGTGCCACCACGCCCAGCTAATTTTTGTATTTTTAGTAGAGATGGGGTTTCACCATGTTGGCCAGGCTGGTCTTGAACTCCTGACCTCATGATCCACCCACCTCGGCCTCCCAAAGTGCTGGGATTACAGGTGTGAGCCACTGTGCCCAGCCTCTGGTATTTCTTTATAGCAGTGTGAGAATGGACTAATACTAAAAATATCCAAATCATATCATTCTGCCCCTGGTCCCCCAAATTTTGTGTTTGTCTCACATTGCAAAATACAATCATGCCTTTGCAATAGTCTCCCAAAGTCTTAACTTGTTCCAGTGTTATTAACTCATAAGTTCCAAGTCCCAAGTCCATAGTCTCATGTGGAGAAGAGTTCCTGCCACCTGTGAGCCTATGAGATGAAAAGCATGTTACTTATTCCCAAGATATAATGGTGGTACAGGCATCGAGTATACATTTTCATTTCAAACAGGAGAACTTAGCCAAAATACATGGGCTACAGGCCCCACACAAGTCTGAAACCAGCAGGGCAGTCATTAAACCTTAAAGCTTCAAAATAATCCCTGATTCCATGTCCCACATCCAGGGCACACCAGTGCAAGGAGTGGGCTCCCAAGACCTTGGGCAGCTCTGCCCTTGTGATTTTGCAGGGTGAAGCCTCTGTGGCTGCTCTCACAAGTTGGAGTTGAACACCTGTGGCTTTTCCAGATTCAGTATGCCAGCTGCCCATGGCTCTATCATTCTAGAGTCCAGAGGGTGGTGGCCCCCTTCCCACAGCTCAACTGGACAATGCCTCATTGGAGACTCTGTGTCGGGGCTTCAACCCCACATTTCCCCTCAGTACTGACCTAGTATATTTCTCTGTGGTGCTGTGCCCCTGTGGCAGGTTTCTGTCTGGGTACCCAGACTTTCCGATACATCCTCTGAAATTTTGGTCGAAGCTGCCAAGCCTCCTTCATTTTTGCATTCTGTGCACCTGCAGGCTTATTGTCCTGTGGAGGCCGCCATGGGTTATGGTTTGTGCCCTCCAAAGCATCCCAAGCTGTACCTGGGACCTTTTGATCTGAGGCTGGAACTGGGGTTGCCTGTATGCAGGAAGCAGTGTCTTGAGGCTTCTTTGGGGCAGCAGGGCCCTGGGCCTGGCCCGTGAAACCATTCTTTCTTCCCAGGGCTCTGGGCCTGTGAGGGGAGAAACCGTCTTCAAAATTTTTGAAATGCCTTTGAGGCCTTTTTCCCATTGTCTTGGCTATAAGTAGCTGGCTGGCTTTTAGTCATGCTAGTCTCCCTAGCACGTGTTGCTCCACAGCCCTCTTGAATTCCTCTTTTGAAAATGCTCTTTCCTTTACCAAAATTGGCCAGGCTGCCCATTTCCAAATTTTTATACCCTGCTTCCCTTTTAAATATAAGTTCCAAATTTATTTCTTTTCTCTCATATCTGATCACAGAGTGTTAAAAGCATCCAGGCCAAATCTTAGATGTTTTGCTGCTTAGAAATTTCTTCTGCCACATACCGTAAGTCATTTACTCTTAAGTTCAAACTTCCAGAGATCCCTAGGACGTAAACACAATGCAGCAAAGCACTTTGCTAGAGTATAATATGAGTGACCTTTATTCCAGTTTCCAATAACTTCCTCATTTCCATCGGAGACCTCATTAGTCTGGACTTCACTGTTCGTATTCTTATCAGCATTTTTGCATACAATCATTTAGTCTCTAAGAAGTTCCAAACTTAACCTCATCTTCCTGTCTTCTTCTAAGTCCTCCAAACTCTTCCAACCTCTGCCCAATAACCAGCTCCAAAGCTGTTTCTACATTTTTAGATATTGTTATAACAATAGCCCATTCTTTGGTACCAATTTTTGGTATTAGTCCATTCTTGCATTGCTATATAGAAATGCCTGAGACTGAGTAATCTATAAAGAAAAAAGGTTTAATTGGCTCATGGTTCTGCAGGCTGTAAAGAAGCATGACAGCATCTGCTTCTGGTGAGGGTTTCAGGAAGCTTACAATCACAGAAGAAGGCAAAGGGGAGCCAGTGTGCCATGTGGTGAAAGCAGCAGTAAGATAGAGAGAAGTGGGAAGTCTCATACTTTTTGAACAACCAGATCTCATGTGAACTAACTGAGTGAGAATTCACTTATCACCAAGTGGATGGTGCTGAAGGATTAATGAGGGATCCACCCCTATTATCCAATACCTCTCACCAGGCCCCACCTCCAACACTGGGAATCACATTTCAAGATGAGATTTTGAGGTTGCAAACATCCAAACCATATTAACAGACATGTGCGCATATAGCTGAGTGAAAAGACACACATAGTGCTAAGTGAAAGAAGCTAATATGAGAAGACTACATACTGTATGATTCCAACTATATGACATTCTGGTAAAGACAATGGAAACAGTAAAAAGATCAGTGGTTTCCAGGTTTGGGGAGAGAGTGAAATGAATAGGTGGTGGACAGACGATTTTTAGGTCAATCAAGCTATTCTTATTTTATTTATTTATTTTTTTTGAGACAGAGTTTCTCTGTTGTTGCCCAGGCTGGAGTGCAATGATACGACCTTGGCTCACTGCAACCTCCGAGTCCCAGGTTCAAGCGATTCTCCTGTCTGAGCCTCCCAAGTAGCTGGGATTACAGGCGCATGCCACCACACCCATCTAATTTTTGTATTTTTAGTAGAGATGAGGGTTAATCATATTGGTCAGGCTGGTCTCGCACTCCTGACCTCAGGTGATCCACCCGCCTCCGCCTCCCAAAGTGCTGAGATTATAGGTGTAAGCCACCACGCCCAGCCGAAACTATTTTTTACAGTACTATAATGGTGGATATATGTTATTATATATTTTTCAGTAGCCACACAATGTACAACAGAGAAAGTGAACCCTAATGTAAACTATAGACTTTAGTCAATAATAATATATTGACATTGGCTTATCAATTGTAACAAATGTATTACACTAATGCAAGATGTTATTAATAGGAGAAACTGTGTGTGGGAGGGTATTGGGGTAAATGGGAAAAATCTATTTTCTGCCCAATTTTTCTGTAAACTTGAAACTTCTCTAAAAATGGTTTATTAATTATAAACAAAAGGCAAACAACCCAGGTTTTTCTAATGGGCAAAAGTCTTGAATAAACTAATTCACAAAAGAAGATATGAGAATGGCAAATAGATATATGAAAAGGTTCTTAACATCATTATTGTAAAGGAGATACAATAAGATACCATTTTATACTAAAATTTGGATGGCTAAAATTTTTTAAATGCATAATTCCCTTAATGATATTGAAAATGCAAAATCACCGGAATTCTCACACACTGCTGGTAGGAATATAAAATGGTGCATCCACTTTGTAGAACTGTTTGCTAGTTTCTTTTTTTTTCTTTTTTTTCTTTTTTTGAGACAGAGTCTTAATCTGTCTCCAAGGCTGGAGTGCAGTGGCGTGATCTCGGCTCAGAGCAACCTCTGTCTCCCGGGTTCAAGCAATTCTTCTGCCTCAGCCTCCCGAGTAGCTGGGACTACAGGCACGTGCCACCACACTCGGCTAATTTTTGTGTGTTTTTAGTAGAGATGGGTTTTCACCATGTTGGTCAGGCTGGTCTCAAACTCCTGATTTCAAATGATCCGCCCGCCTTGGCCTCCCAAAGTGCTGGGATTACAGGTAGTTTCTTAAACAGTTAAAGATACACCTACACCACGGCCCACTACCGGTTTCTAGAATGAAAACATGTTCACAAAAATTTTCTTCTAGAATGTACGTAAACCACTGGAAACAACTCAAATGCCCATCGACAGAGGAATGTTTAAAATGCATTGTAGCACATTCCTGTAATCAATACCACTCAGAAAACTACTAATACACACAAGACAAAGATTAATCTCAAAAGCATTATTTTGAATGAAATACAGACACATAAGAGTAGCATACCTGTATGGTTCAATTTATATACAATCCAAGAACAGGGGAAACTGCCTCCTGGTTATAGAAATGAGAAGGGTGGGTGTACAATGCTCTATATTTGACTATGGTGGTGGTTATACGGCTCTATACAATTGCTAAAACTCGTCAAACTGAACACATACTGTTTATGCTTCTAATTCATATAAATATACCTAAATTAAAAGAAAAAAGACTGGAATATTAACTTCAAAGACCTCAACAAAAGAAAAACTGATGATACAAAAATTTAATAACAATAAACATAACGAAACTGTCATTCAAGTATAAAGACACAGAACGCTTTTGTACCAAGAGACAGTAGCTTCCATTTACCTGAAAGGGCCCTAGGAGAGATATAGCTAAATGTGAACTTTAGTAGCATCTTCAAAAATGACACATGGGAAATATATTCTATTCGATTTTCCAAACTCCCAAAAGCGTATGTCTTTATACCAACATTTCAGTTTACCCGTCTTGAAATTGCTGTTTTGAAGTCCAGTGCCCCAGTACCTCAGAATGTGACCTTATTTGGGGATAGAGTCTTTGCAGAGATAATTTGGTTAAAATGAATTCATTAGGGTATGATCTATTCTGACTGGTGTCCCTGTAAAAAGAGGAAATTTGGGTGCACACACCCAAAGGGAGAACAGTGTGAAAATACAGAGAAAAGACTGCCATCTACAAGCTCAGGAGAAGGGCCTAGAACAGATCCTTCCCTCACAACCCCCAGAAGGAAGCAACCCTGCGAACACCTCGATCTTTTACTTCTAACCTCCAGAGCTGTTAAAAATAAATAAATTTCTGTTGTTTAAGCCACCCAGTCTGTGCTTCTTTGTTATAGCAGCCCTAAAAAAACAAGTACATAATGGCTTAGTTAACTAACACTACTCCCACAAAACGTAGTTCAGATGTCGGGTACCACTGTATACCCACTGGTTATTCCATAAAGTACGTATTTTGCTGCTAACTCTTCAGTCCACATTTCATTATATAAATAACAGACATGCATCATAAATGGCCAATCACATCACTTTCTACAAAGACTGTCAGTAATTGGTCACTGCACATCTAATATTTAATGCATACATAGCAAAGCATGTTAATTGTGTTGCCTCCTTTCCTTTCAGTGATAAAGCTATGTGACATTTTAGATACATGGACAACAGAAAGACGGAATTGGACAAAGAATGAAAATGCAGGGAAGAAATAAATCAGCAAACAAAACACTGAACGTGAAATTGGAAAGTGGTTGTAATGGGAAGGATGAAGATGTCCCAAAGGAAGTAACACTGGCAACAACTTTCACATTAAAGAAACTTTTGGGGAAATTTTACAAATTTAAATACAAAGGGTAAAACACTGGAAGCGATCCATACTTAGAAAGGAATATGACAATTCACTAAAGCAAAGCAAGATGCTTACTTCATATCATAAATTACATGATTTATGTGCTAAGAAGCTGTTGTGATTTTCAAGAATCTCGAGGAAGCTCCCAATAGCTATCTCATTCTGCCACAACAAAGCAGATATCTCTTAAGTGCTTACTAAGAAGCCCATGTGACTTTCACATCTGCCTATGCACCTGTCTGCAACTACCCCAGAGTATAATAGACTGTTCTCTTCCACCTTTTAAATCTCATTCATGCAAGTGCCTCCTACTGGAAAACTGTAATCCAGAATCATTTCGGGGAGAGGATTCTGGGAAACTGTTCACTGGCTTCCCTTCTGTGATACAAAAAGAGGATCTTAAAGCAGCTTGGTCGTTGTGGTAGGCAGAAAAATTGCCTTCCAGAGATGTTCGATCCCTGCAACCTGTGAATATATTACTTTATATGCGAACAGAAACTTCAGAGATGGTATTAAGTTTACTTTAAAAATAGAGAAAACATCCTGGATTATTCACATGATCCTAGTGTGATCACATGTGTCCTTATTAAAACTGGAAGAGGGAGACAGAAGACTGAGTCAGAGAGATGCAAGAAAATTCAAAGTGTGAGAGGGACTCCTACCCACCATTGCTGGTGTGAAAGATAGAGAAAAGGGGCCAGAAGCCAAGGCATGGAGGCAGCATCTACAAGCTAGATATCACCTTCATCTGACAGCCTCAAAGGAAACAGGAATGCTAGTGCTACAATTGCAACAACCTGAATGTACAATAAAGCAATTCTCGACCGGGCACAGTGGCTCATGCTTGTAATCCCGGCACTTTGGGAGGTCGAAGCAGGCGGATCACCTGAGGTTGGGAGTTCGAGACCAGCCTGGCCAACATGGAGAAACCCATCTCTACTAAAAATACAAAATTAGCTGGGCGTGGTGGTGCACACCTGTAAACCCAGCTACTCGGGAGCCTGAGGCAGGAGAATTGCTTGAACCCGGGAGGCAGAGATTGTGGTGAGCCAAAATCTTGCCGTTGCATTCCACCCTGGGCAACAAGAGCAAAACTTCATCTCAAAACAAAAAAAAAACAAAACAAAACAAAACAAAAAAACCAATTCTCACTTAGAGCCTTTAGAAAGGAACAGAGCTCTACTGACTCCTTCATTTCTGCTTGGTGAGAAATTCATCTGACTTTTGCCCTAGAGAACTGAAGGTTAATCAATTTATGTTGTTCAAGCCACTGAGTTTGTAGTAATTTGCTACTGCAGCAATGGGAAACTAATACAATGGTCATGCTGAGTTCATAACAGGCCTCTAGAAATAACGAGGACATAAGTGGAAACTCAGTCAAAAAGTCTAGCAGTAAGGATTGAACCCATTGAAATGTAGGGCTACAATTAAAATAAATGTAGAGATTATGAGTACAAATTTTAAAAATATAAATTCTGTAAATTCTGATAATATAGAAATTAAGTAATTAAGGAAGAGAAGAACTAGAGGAAAATGGCTAGCTTTTTCTATGGTAGTAAGTTCATCTTTCATAACTGAGATCAAACCATCATTGTAACTAGATAAAATAATATAAAAACTCAGATACTTTTAATGATAAAGATAAACATTGGAGAAATAAAATAATTAACCAAAATTTGGGTAGTAGAGAAGTAGAAGGGAAAGGTGGAGAAAGTGGAAATATACTAATTCTACCATTGTTCATTATAAGCAAAGAATACTATCTAAAGAAGAGAGGATTAAATGTGTTTTTTATAATTAAAGCAAAACTAGCAGATTAAAAATATAACCCTTCCCAAGCTTCAGAAGAAATACACAAAAAAGTAAAGAAAATATATTAAAGACTTTTAAAACAGAAAACATAATGTGAAATAACTTGACAAACTAAGCCCGTAAGTGCCTACCATTTAAATAAAATCAGCTAAAGTCACTTTTTAAAGGATATGTTTTCAGATCTCATTACATAGCAAAACCCCTGTACTTAAAAATGACTCAGAAACACTAACATTAAATGATGGAGAGAGTTAAACCATGCAAATGCAAACAAAAATAAATCAGGGTTCATACTTTTAAAATTGGACATGTTGAATTTATCGCAAAAAGCATTATAATAGAAAAAATAGTGAAACACTTTGTTGGTTTTTTTTCTTCAACTTTTATTTTAAGTTCCTGGGGTACATGTGCAGGATATGCAGGTTTGTTACATAGGTAAATGTGTGTCATGGTGGTTTGCTGTGCAGATCAAACCGTCACCTAGGTGTTAAACTCTGCATGGATTAGCTATCCTTCCTGATGCTCTCCCTCCCCGTACCCTCCTGACAGCCCTCAGTGTGTGTTGTTCCCCAGCCATGTGTCCATGTGTTATCATTTAGCTCCCACTTTCCCACTTATAAGTGAGAACGTGTGGTGTTTGGTTTTCTGTTCTTTCATTAGTTTGCTGAGGATAATAGCTTCCAGCTCCATCCATGTCCCTGCAAAGGACATGAACTCATTCCTTTTTATGGCTGCATAGTATTCCGTGGTATATATGTACCACATTTTCTTTATCCAGTCTATCATTGATGGGCATTTGGGTTGATTTCATGTCTTTGCTATTATGAATAGTGCTGCAATGAACATACACATGCATGTATCTTTATAATAGAATGATTTATATTCCTTTGGTTTTATACCCAGTAATGGGATTGCTGGGTCAAATGGTATTTCTGCTTCTAGATCTTTAGAGAATCTCCACACTGTCTTCCACGGTAGTTGAACTAATTTACATCCCCACCAACAGTGTAAAAGCCTTCTGTTTTCCTTGCAACCTCGCCAGCATCTGTTGTTTCTTGACTTTTTAATAATTGCCATTCTGACTGGCATAAGATGATATTTCATTGTGGTTTTGATTTGCATTTCTCTAATGATCAGTGATGTTGAGCTTTTTTTCATGTTGTTGACTGCATGAATGTCTTCTTTTGAGAAGTTTCTGTTCGTGTCCTTGGCCCACTTTTTAATGTTTTTTTTTTCTCGTAAATTTGTTTAAGCTTAGTGGAACACTTTGTAATGATAAAGGTTGCAATTCCCATCAGAGATCCAACAATTATGAAAATCCATGTGCTAAATAATATAGCATTAATTTTCATAAGGCAAGCATTTCAAGAGTAAAAAGAGAAGAATAAAATCATATTAGTAGTGAAGGGTTTTAATACGTCTCTCTCAGTCCATAATAGATCCCAGAGGACAAAAAATCCCCACATAGATCTCAATCTCCTAATTAGTAAAGTATATATAATTGACAAATATTGAACCAACCATATTAATGTCAGGAAAAGGACTAAATTTAAGGTTCTCAGATTCCCAGTATGCTGTTTTCTTGCCCCTGAAACTGTGATTTTCGTCTATATTAAATTATATGCAAAAGAATGATGTCGGACTTATACCTCAGGCCATACACGAATAACTTGAAATAAAACAAAGGCCCTACAGCAATAGCTAAAACTACAAAACTCTTAAGAGAAAACATAGGTTTTAGTCTTCATGACTTTGGATTTGGCAATGGCTTCTTAGATGTGACACCAAACACACAAGTGACAAAAAAAGTAGAAACACCGGACCTCATAAAACTTAAA
Organism: Homo sapiens; assembly: GCF_000001405.40. NCBI lineage: Eukaryota > Metazoa > Chordata > Mammalia > Primates > Hominidae > Homo > Homo sapiens. The sequence goes on from NC_000023.11 coordinate 141,212,070, forward strand.
AGCTTTAGTGCCTCAAAAGCCACTATCAATAAAATGAATGGACATCCCAGAGAATGAGATAAACTATTTTCAAACTGTATATCACATAAGTGACTAATATGTAAAATATGTAAAGAACTCCTCCAGCTCAGCATGAAAAAGAGAAAACACCCAAATAAAAAGTGTGCAAAGGTCTTGAATAGACATTTTTCCAAAGTAGGTATACAGTTGATCAATAAGCACATGAAAAAAATATTCAAGATCGTTAATCATCAGGAAAATGCAAATCAAAACCACAATGAGATACTACTGCATACCAATTGGTATGGCTATAATATTAATTTTAAAAAACAATAAAAAGCGTTGCTGAGAATGTGGAGAAATTGGAACCCTCAATCATTGCTGGTGGGAATGTAAAATGGTGCAGCTGCTAAAAAAAGCCTGGCATTGTTCTCAAATGGTTAACCATAGAGTTACCATTTCATCCAGCAATTCTATTTCTGGGTATATACTTGTGAGAAATGAAGACGTATGTCCACCCAGAAACATGAACATGATTATTTATAGTATCATTATTTATAACAGCAAAATTGAATCAACTCAAATGTCCATCCACTGATTCAATACATAAAATGAGATGCATCCATGCAAATAAATATGATTCTGCAATGCAAAAGATGAAGTATTGATACATACTACAATATGGATGAACCTTAAACAAAATGCTAAGTGCAAGAAGCCAGTCGCAAAGGAACACACGATTCCATTTACGTTAAATCTCTGGAATAAGCAAATTCACAGATACAAAAATAGAGTAGAAATTGCTTAGCACTGGGGAATGGAGGAAATGGGCATGACCGCTAAAGGGCTAAAGGGAATGGAGTGCCTTTTTGGGTGAAAATGTTCTAAAATTGGTTGCGGCAATAATTTTACAACCTTGCGAATATACTAAAAGTGTGCTAGATTATACACTTTTAAATGGCAAATTGCATGGCATGTAAGTAATCACAATCAATATCATACACACACACGTACACATATGTTTACACTGAGAAACAGCACCCATGTTTACCCAGAGAAGATTAGTGTAGGGTTTTGCAGTGTGACAGTCCATGCACGTTGTCACTGATCTGCTGCCTCACCTTTTTGATGTAGGTATTAGAGACAGACTTGTAACTCCTTCAGCTCCTGCGGTATCTTCAGCTTCATCTTCTCTGACTGTTGGGCCAGGTGTGTGTTTAGCTTCCCGATGAAGGACATTGACTTCTCTTGCACTTCATCTGCATCATCCAAGTTGAAGGTTTAGAGGTCGCGGGAAACTGATGTGGATTTCTGCTTATCTTTGGGAATTCTGGTTATCCCTTTTCTCCACCATTTTGCAGGCATCTTTCCTTCCTTACTGCCTGTCCTGCTGTCTTCAGAGTAAACACAAGACTCAGAAGTAATGGGAAAATATAGATTTCTTTACCACTTCCTACAATAGCATATAATCAAATAATGCCTATAATAAATGCTTTATTCTATATTACTTGTAGTGGTTCTGTTGCAATTGTGATACATGTCTGGTTTCATAATGTTTCCAGATAGTCTCTTACATCTTATCAGCCTGAACAATATTATTGCCTGCATAGATTCCCCACATGGCAAATCTACATGCAGTTGTCCCAGAAAATAAAAGCTGTCCCAGACAGCCTTTCCAACTTTTATCTTCTGACAATATTATCTCACAACAACAGATTACACCTTAGCTACTCCCTTAAATCACATTTTGCCCCTCCCATCTTCTTCACATCAGTGTTATGCTTTATTGTGCTCGGTGATATAATTTGGAATTTGTAGCTATAGACAACATTTCTGTCTTTGCCAAGCAGTTAATTAAGGTGTTACTATAACCTCACTGCAAATGTAATCTAAAGGATTAAAGTATGACTCAAACTTACCTATCTCAAGATAGTCAGATAAGCTATATTTTGGGAAACTAACATTGAATGAGCTTCTACATTATGCTTATCACATCCTCTCATTTACTACTAAAAACCTTGCATGATTAATATAGTTTTGCCTATTTCACAAATGAAAAAACTGAGGCACAGAGATGTTACTATGAAAACAATGACTCTAATGTACGTAACTGTGAATGGACTTGATTTGGTTTCTTCCTGTAGAAAGCATGTCAATGGGCTCTCCCATATACTTTTTCGATTTCTCTCCCCTGCTCATCACACATTTTAACTCTGTCCCTGACTATACATTGGCCTTATTCTCATCAGCTGCAGATGTGGTTTTCCCACAAGACTGTGGAGTTTCTGGCAACAACTAGGCTTCATATGTTCCCAGTTGAACAACTCCAATAGAAAAATAACTTTCTTCTGAAAGTCTTCCAGGGGAGGACTCTGACAGGACATGCTTTAATTATGTCTCCCTTGGACCAATCACTGTGACAAAAAGGATGTTCTATTTTGAATGACTCAGCCTAAATCAGGTCCATTCCCCTGTGGCAGAGAGCAGGAGGTGGGTAATTGGGAGGAGACACCATTTTAGATGCCACTGTCATGACCACACGAAGTGGGCATTCTCCAGCGCAGCAAAAATAAGGGAGGTGGGAGGGTGTGCTGAGAACTTGCCTAGCTATAGTTAACAGAGTCACCCGCACTAGTTGACTCCTTTTTAGAGGTAAAATTTTAGATACAATTTGGGTAACAGTCTCAAAATGATAAGCCTGTTCTACAATCGTTTGATCCCAGGATAGCAATATGAAAACACAATTATTTTATTGATTAAAAATATGTGCATTATCCAGAATCATTTTTGTACTGCGTTTGTCTTCTGCTCAGTCTTGTAAGATATCTCAACCTAGTAACTTTCTATTTGAAAAGAGAATTTTTTTATATAAATTGCTTTTCATTAAGAAACACTAGACTATGTCCTGAGGCAGGGTAAGGATGGGAGAATATCAATGTCCATACTTATAGATTCTCACACCAGTGAAAATCTGGCAATTTCTCTGCTACTTTTGGAAAGATTTATTTTGTCAGTCTGGTAGTGACTCTTAGAAATGATCAATGCAATCCTTAGATGTAGGAGAAAATGGAGAGATTACACTGGGGTTTAAGCTAATCTCCTTTGAGATATGGTTTCTTCTTTCATTTAAGAGCTGTTATTTTGCTTGGTTTCAAAGATGATAGGAAATCATAGTTTAGAGGAAGAAACAGTCAAAATAAAGCCAAAAGCACTCAGTTTCTCTGTTTTTGAGAGCCTAGTCTTTTTATGCTTTCAAAGACAATGTCCAGTGAACTCTTGAGTTACTTGGCCCTATTTTGTGAGCAAAGTAAAACAAAATTTCAATGTTAAAAATTTAGCAGTAATTGTTCATATAATAAATTAAACTAGATATGTACATTATTTTCATAAAAGACTGCTTCAGTGCTTTTTAAAAAAATAATTTCATCCTGGCCTGGCACGGTGGCTCATGCCTGTAATCCCAGCACTTTGGGAGGCTGAGGCGGGTGGCTCACCTAAGGTCAGAAGTTCGAGACCAGCGTGGCCAACATGGTGAAACCCTGTCTCTACTAAAATTACAAAAAGTTAGCCGGTTGTGGTGGCGGGCACCTGTAATCCCAGCTACTCGGGAAACTGAGGCAGGAGAATCGCTTGAACCCGGGAGGCAGAGGTTGCAGTGAGCCGAGATCATGCCATTGCACTCCAGCCTGGGCAACAAAAGTGAAACTCCATCTCAAAAAAAAAAAAATTATTCTTTATTTTAGATTCAGAGGGTACATGTGCAGGTTTGTAATATGGGCATATTGCGTGATGCTAAGGTTTGGGATATGAATGATCCTGTAACCCAAGTGGTAAGCATAGTACTCACTGGATTGAAAAACAACCCCCCCCGATTAGTCCCCAAGTGTCTATTGTTGCCATCCTGTGTCCATAAATACCCAGTGTCTAGCCCCTGCTTATAAGTGAGAACTCGTGGTATCTGATTTTCTGTTCCTGCGTTAATTCACTTAGGAAAATGACCTCCAGCTGCATCCATGTTGCTGCACATACAAGTATGTGTTTAGACAATAAATTCATTATAAAGAAAGAGAAAAAATATGACAGTTGTAGAAACTGATACTGATTTTTAAAATGACACTAACTCTTGTCAGACATTTGGAAGAAAGCACTGCAGAAAATGCATAAATTATCACATTCCAATAGCAAATTCCTAGGTTTGCAGAGAAAATAGAATGGATACTTAAAGGTAAAATTAAAGTTTGGATTACTGTTAACTTTTATTTAATCCACTAAGCTGCCTACCTCTGAAAATGTAGTAGCACTCTATGGAAGCCCATTTTTGATAGGCAGTTTCAAGACAAAACCTGTGTGTTGTTACCGTTGTGATGAGACCTGCTATCTCATTTGAACACCTCAATGGCAAAAGGACCTTTATGATTTGACTAGAACATTAGTAAGCAGTGAAAACAAAGTCACTGAAGTTAGCACTGAGTTTTGCCAGAGTTCTGATGAAGAAGTGCTCTCAGATTATTGAAATGATTTGGAAACATCTTACCTCATTATCTCATGGATGGACCTTGGAGGCCACTAATTCTAAGGCCTGGAGGTTGTAGACTTGTTCCGTTGACAAAAGTAAAAGGCGAAAGTATTGACAAAGAGTAAGATGTTGTAGGCACTTGTGAGGAGATAACCACAGGACAAAGGGAAGGTGGTTGGAGGATGGTTTTGAGTTTTAGTGCTTTATGATCTTGCTACTATGTACCAGGAAAAGTGTAGGTTTGCTCGATGCACTTGGAGCTGGGCCATCAACACTCTGATCACCCTTGATCGAATTCAGCTGATTCAAGTTCTGTATGAAAAGACCTTCTGAATGCAATGGGGATCTTTTCTGGGCAGGGTTCTTATTATGCATGAGGACCTTCTTACCATATCGGTATCTCCTCAGGTTAGAAAACTGCAGTTGAGATATGACTATTTTTCTGATCCTCCCTTTCTTTTAGTTTGTTTTCATTTTGCTTTCCCTCTAGCTTTAGTAAAATCATTTTGAAAATCCTAATTTTTCACAACTTGGCCACAATTAACAAGAAGTTAGTTTTTTTCTCATTGTTTGTTCTTTAGCCAGGAAGAAACTGGGGATAGCCTTTTCTTGAGATTAAGTATAAGAAACACAGAAGGGGCCGGGCGTGGTGGCTCACACCTGTAATCCGAGCACATTGGGAGGCCGAGGCAAGTGGATCATCTGAGGTGGGGAGTTCGAGACCATCCTGGCCAACATGGCGAAACCCCCTCTCTACTAAAAATACAAAAATTAGCTAGGCGTGGTGGCATGTGCCTGTAATCCCAGTTACCTCAGAGGCTGAGGCAGGAGAATTGCTTGAACCCGGGAGGCAGAGGTTTCAGTGAGCCGAGATTGCGCCACTGCACTCTAGCCTGGGCGACAGAGTGAGATTCTGTCTCAAAAAAAAAAAAAAAAAAAAAAGTAGGAAATACTTCTATTTCGTTTTCTGTGTTGTGAAAACCTAATGTTGAGCTGGTCAAGTGGGAAATTTGTTTTCTGCTGCTTTACTCCTCCTGAAAAATTTGATTTCAATTTCAAAACTGCTCCAAAGTGAAATGGCGCTCAGTAACCACGTATTACTTCCTATCATGGGCTCATCAAAAACACAACTTTCTACTACTGATAACCATTCCCAAAAGAGAAAAGGTATGAAAAGTGTAAGATTTGCAGGTCAGTATGAGAAAAATGTCCAAGTGAGATTTTCACGAGATCTTCCCGTGCCAATAAAAATATCACCTGCAATTCAAGGAACATAACTGGCTCCGTGAGCTGAATCACTTTACCTGGCTAAGTCTCACCTTTCTCAGCTACAAAATGAAGGGGTAGTTCCAGATCAGTGGTTCTCATCCTTGGCTACTGCGCATCGTAACTTTCCAAGATGCTTTTCAATCACACTGAAGCTGGGCCCCAAGAACACTTTGTATGATACGGGGGTCTCTCTTCCTTAAAGGTTTGATAGAACTTGACTAGAAAATTTCCTGGATATGTGCATATATGTTTATGTGTGTGCGTGTTGACATATTTTCACAGGCAGATTTTTATCTACTGATTTAATATATTTACTGGTTATAAGTTTATTCAGGTTTTCAGTGTTTTTATGACACACTTCTGAGAAGTTTTGCTAGGAAATTGTCCATCTTATACATGTTTAAGTGTATACTGGCAGAAAGTTGTTCATAATATTCCTTTATACTTTTACAATTTTATAAGTATATTTGCAGTTACGTTCATACTTTCACTTATAATATTGTTTATTTGGCTCTTTTGTTTACCCTTTTAATCTTTATTTCTAGAGTTTTTATCTATTTGACTTTTTTTAAAAAAACATACATTTTGTATTATTGCTCCTATTATTTCTTTGTTTTTTCTTTACTTCGGTTTTTATATTTACATGCTCCTTTTCTACTTTATTTGCTTTTGTGCTGCTATTCTTTGTTTTAGGTTTTTGTGTAGCACATTTGGCTCCCTCGTTTTAAGCTTTTCATCTTTTCTGATGTATGCAGTTGGGTCTAAACCTTTCCCTGTCATTACTGCTTTGGCTGTGTATCACAACTGTTGATACGAAATGTTTTCATTGTCATTCATTTCAAAATATGATTTAATTTCTATTATGGCTTTCTCTTTGTTCCATAAGTTATTATAAATATATTTTAATCTTTCTAAGTAGCAAGGAATTCGTTTTCTTTTAGCTTTTTATTTCTGTTATTTCATTTCATCTCAAACCATATGGATAGTCCATATGATATTGATTGGTATTTGTTAAGATTTTCTTTGTGGATTAAAATTATTTTTTTTAATTATACCTTAAGTTCTGGGATACATGTGCAGAACGTGCAGGTTGCTGACATAGGTATACACGTGCCATGGTGGTTTGCTGCACCCATCAACCTGTCATCTACATTAGGTATTTCTCCTAATGCTATCCCTCCCCTAGTCCCCCACCCCCTGACAGGCCCCGGTGTGTGATGTTCCCCTTCCTGTGTCCATGTGTTCTCATTGTTCAGCTCCCACTTATGAGTGAGAGCATGCGGTGTTTGGTTTTCTGTTCTTGTGTTAGTTTGCTGAGAATGATGGTTTCCAGCTTCATCCATGTCTGTGCAAAGGACATGAACGCATCCTTTTTTATGGCTGCATAATATTCCATGGTGTTTATGTGCCACAAAAAATGTGGTTAATTTTTTAATAAAGCCCCATTGGTGCTTTAAAAAAAATTTTATTATCTAATTGCTACGTGTGAGATTCTATATGTCCATTAAATAAAGCTTGCTAATTTTGATATACAAATATTTTATAGTCTTTATATATATTACTGATTGATTCATTAGTTTCTGAGCAAGAGATATTAAAATCTTCCACCATGATCATATATTTATGATTTTTCTCTTTATAATTCTAATATTTTTGGTTTTACATGTTTTGATGTTATGTGTTAGGTGCTTATAAATTCCCACTAATATCTCTTTAGTATACATTTTAGCATTATCATATAACTAAAAATGCTCTTTTGTCTAAATTCTGTTTTGCTTAATATTGATATTAATATACCCATGGCACATTAATCCTGATTTGTTTTCTTCCATTCCTTTATCTTAAACGTCTCAAGGTCTTTACATTTTAATCATCTCTCTTATAAACAACATATGGCTACATGTTTTATATGCAATATAAGACCATTGATTTTAACTGACAATTAAGGACATTTACATTTATTGTGATGACAGATATATTTCAATATATTTGTACCATTTTCTTTTTGCATTTCTTTCTAGATTCTCTCTTTGCTTCAGTTTACCTCCCTCCTTTCTTGCATTCTATTTACTAATCTGCTCATCTTTGTTACATTTTCCTCCATTAGCATATAAATAATACATTTCATCCATTTCTGTTTTCCTTTTTTTCACATTTTATTTCTAATGTTTTAGTCATCAATTTTGAGATTTTAAAGAAGTGACTTAAACTCTAAACTTATCAGTGCCTCTACTCCCCTTTTGCACAATAAAGTTCTTAGATCACTTTTTACAGAGATCATCCTCTTCCCTTCTTAGATGTCTAGTATTTTAATTCCATTTCATTTTATGCCCATCTAAAGTTAAGCTACAGTTATTGTTTTATGTAGCTCATGCTTAAATTACCCACGTATTTATCAGCTTCTTTTTCACCATTGCTTGTTACATCTCAGTCCTTCCTCTGAGTGTAATTTTTATTTTTATATAGTAGTTCCATTAACATTATAGCAAAATCTATAATCTGGTGACCTCTCAGTCTTTCTTTATCTGAATGTATGTTCATTTTTACATTATAATCAGTCAGTTACAGATTGCTAGGTTTGCAATTACTTTCTTCCATTGCCTGAAGTAATGATTTCATTGTCTTTTGGCTTCTTTTACTGCTTTTGAGAAACTTACACCCATGTAATGGTATATTACTTCTTGTTAGGTGAACTTCTCCCTCCCTTGGTAGCTCTTAGGATTGTTCCCCAAATGGAGATATACCTAATGTTAAATGACGAGTTACTGGGTGCAGCACACCAACATGGCACATGTATACATATGTAACTAACCTGCACATTGTGCACATGTACCCTAAAACTTAAAGTATAATAAAAAAAAAAAGAAAGGATTGTTCCCCTGTTGTTGGTCTGCGGTTTCACTATTATATGTCTATGAGTAGTTTCAGGAAGCTGTGAGTCATCTGGACTGGAGGCAAATTCTTTCAGGATGATTTCATGTTTGCCAATGTCCAGGGATAAAGGCAGTTTATTTCCAATTTTATGCCAATTTCTTGGCTTGAGGTTTCCTGCATCACACAGGTGGAGTGTAGTTTCATATCCACATGTGGCACAGACCTAGAGCTTTGAATTTTTAGAAGAGATATTTTCACGGTTTTTTCCTACCCAGAGACATGAAAACACAAAATTTCTCACTTGTCGTATCCCTGGATTGTTAGGAATCTTAATTTGTCATTTCTTTTATTCCCCCATACCTCATCATTTAGCCAAAGATGCAGACCTTCAAGGTTCCTGTCTTTAAGCCAGGATTTTACTTCAAATTATTTTCCTCCATAAGCCAAAGGCCTAATCTGTTCTCAGATGGATGTCAAAAGCTCCAATTCTTATATTACTGATACCCACAACCCCTTATCATTCTTATCCCTGTAGTAGTTACAGCATTAATATTAACTCACATACTTCTTACTTAGCAGTTTTTTCTTAATTTCGGACACCAGAAATTACGATCTCAACTAAGTACATGAAAGAATTCTTTTTTATATCTAGTTCAGCACTAACTAGGTGTTCATTGCAAGGGTATTTTCAATTCTCTTTATCTGCTGCTTTGCTGCAGAAGACTAATTGTCTATTTTGGGTATCTGTCTTTCAAAGTAGACTCACGCTTCTCCAGGCTAAAACTCGAGTTAAGACTTCATGGAGTGTGGTAGTAGCAGCATTCTAGGCAATAAAAGAGAATGTTCAAAAGCTTGGAATTAAACATCCTATGCTGTTTTCTGGGAACAGTCCAGTGTAGTTTATCTTTTGGTTATGTGAGGGTGCGTAAAGGAAGCTATGACAAGTGCCAATGGTGATGGTCATTTCATGTCATCATAAAGAATTTAGTTTTATTTTCCAACAAAATTGAAGCCATTGGAGAGTTTAAACAGTGGAATGTCATAATCAGATTTGTGTTCCAGGCCAATGGCTCCAATTGCTCAGGCTGATATGAGTATAAGTAAAAGTGGATGTGGGAAACCAATGAGACAACCACAAGAGTTCAGGAAAGAGTGCATTTTAATCAGGCTATTTTCAGGAACACAATTTCATCTCTAGGTTTCTGGAGACCAGAGAAGACACTTTACAGACGCATACACACATTTGTACACACATACCCTGCTGCCATCACACCAAACTTTAAATAAACTTGGTATGTTTCTGCAGTCAATAAGTGATTAATTATTGCTTAATTGACTCAGCAAGCCAGCTACTATTCCATAGCCTCACCTGAGCTACAACATCAAGCTGTATGAATCATATTTATCTTTCCAATGTCATGAAAATAAAATGAAGTTTAAAATAAATAAAAGAAAATGAAATTCGTGACCCTACCTAAGCCAGAAAAGCAGCTGTATGCTTATCTGTGGGAATGACGATTGTTTCATTCTGGAGATGTCAGCTCAGCTGTGTAGCTTTTCTGGCACATTATATCACTAAACCAATTGCTTGTATGGTCAGTTAGCCCCTTCTATCAGTGACTTGACAAGGGTTCCAGCATTCTCCCTCCCATCAGTTTACTACAAGAACTAAAACAAAACAAAACAAAAACAAAACAAAACAAAAACCAAAGCAAAAACATCCTTCTTTACATGAAAACTCATTGTCTTCCCAAAGTTACCCACAATGAATGATTTCTGTAGGAGAGAGGCTCACTGTCAAGATCAGTCTGTTTTCTGAAACTCACTCCCATCTATCCTCTAGTAAATACTTTTCAGCATACACTCAGGCTTACCTGTCTCAACCAATACCCTAGGTTGTCTGATGGCACAGAGATCTAGTGGTGTCTCACTCTTTTAAATTCTTCAAACAGCCACTGAAGACAAGTGGAGTCTACACTGTTTGGTTCACAAATCAAGAAAAGACATGTAAATATACCCAGGTGGACACGACATGACATTTTCTTTCAAATATTCTGCACTCGTGGCCTGCCAAACATTTCAAGAGTATTTCTCTCCCTTATTTGGACAAGGTTCTTCTGCATAAATGAGCTGTGCTAAGAAGCTAATCCATAGAAATAAGAGATTGATAAGGGATTAAGAATGAATAAGCAGGCTACTCATGACACTATCCATATGCTGTTTATTTAACTAAGAATAGTCTGATTTTTTAAATTTTTAATTCTGTTGAGAAGAAAGATACTCTTTCCTTTTATCATCCTTATTTATACCACTCATGATTTCTAAGGTTCATAAATAATTCATCTTTTTTTGATTGAGAATGATGACCTTATTGCTTTTAGATACGGATACTGTGTTAGGAACAGGAAGGTCTTCTTAAGAATACTGCACCAGTCGTGCTGAGCTGTGATTTTCCTGGAAGAAAGAACATGGCACACTCAGCTGGTAATGGCGATTGTGGAGAAAAGTCCAGTACCTGTGGGTCAATCTGTGGCAGTCTCTGTTTTCAGTGGGAGCTGTGGCAATTGAAGTTGCAAATAAGATTGTGTTAAATTTTATAGAATAAGACATTGTTAATGCAATATTTAAATTAACTAATAAACCATAGATTTTATATGCCACATTCAAATGGTGTAATACAGTGCATTTGATAAATTTTCATTATTGCAAAAAAAATGACAGCATATTTATATTTCATAATTTATTTCTCCATGACATATGGGAATTCACAAACGCTAAAAGTAATATATAGTACAGTCATTTAAAGATGGTATCATGCTTCTGACATGTTATATAGAAATTTAAAGAAATTTACATTTAATTTAAACAAGTATGAATTGCTTATTTTTTATTTTTATTTTTTAAATTATGCTTTAAGTTCTGGGATACATGTGCAGAACATGCAGGTTTGTTACATACGTATACACCTGCCATGGTGGTTTGCTGCACCCATCAACCCGTCATCTACATTAGGTATTTCTCCTAATGCTATCCCTCTCCTAGCTCCCAACCCCCAATAGGCCCTGGTGTGTGATGTTCCCCTCCCTTGTCCATATGTTCTCATTGTTCAACTCCCACTTATGAGTGAGAACATGCAGTGGTTGGTTTTGTTCCTGTGTTAGTTTGCTGCAAGTGATGGTTTCCAGCTTCATCCATGTCCCTGCAAAGGACATGAATTCATCCTTTTTTATGGCTGCATAGTATTCCATGGTGTATATGTGCCACATTTTCTTTATCCAGCCTATCATCGATGGGAATTTGGGTTGGTCCCAAGTCTTTGCTATTGTGAATAGTGCCGCAATAAACATATGCGTGCATGTGTCTTTATAGTAGAATGATTTATTGTCCTTTGGGTATATACCCAGTAATGGGATTGCTGAGTCAAATGATATTTCTGGTTCTAGATCCTTAAGGAGTAGCCACACTGTCTTCCACAATGGTTAAACTAATTTACACTCCCACCAACAGTGTAAAAGTGTTCCTATTTCTGCACATCCTCTCCAGCATCTGTTGTTTCCTGACTTTTTAATGATTGCCATTCTAACTGGCATGAGAGGTTATCTAACTGTGGTTTTGATTTCCAATTCTCTAATGACCAGTGATGATGAGCTTTTTTTCATGTTTGTTGGCCGCATAAATATCTTCTTTTGAGAAGTGTCTGTTCATATCCTTTGCCCACTTTTTGATGGGGTTGTTTGTTTTTTTTTCTTGTGAATTTGTTTAAGTTCCTTGTAGATTCTGGATATTAGCCCTTTGTCAGATGGATAGATTGCAAAAATTTTCATCCATTTTGTAGGTTGCCTGTTCACTGATGATAGTTTATTTTGCTATGCAGAAGCTCCTTAGTTTAATTAGATCCCATTTGTCAATTTTGGCTTTTGTTGCCATTGCTTTTGGTGTTTTAGTCATGAAGTCTTTGCCCATGCCTATATCCTGAATGGTATTGCCTAGGTTTTCTTCTAGGGTTTTTATGATTTCAGGTCTTACATTTAAGTCTTTAATCCATCTTGAGTTAATTTTTGTATAAGGTGTAAGGAAGGGATCCAGTTTCAGCTTTCTCCATATGGCTAGCCATTTTTCCCAGCACCATTTATTAAATAGGGAATCCTTTCCCCATTTCTTGTTTTTGTCAGGTTTGTCAAAGATCAGATGGTTGTAGATATGTGGCGTTATTTCTGAGGGCTCTGTTCTGTTCCATTGGTCTATATCTCTGTTTTAGTACCAGTACCATGCTGTTTTGGTTACTGTAGCCTTGTAGTATAGTTTGAAGTCAGGTAGTGTGATGCCTCCAGCTTTGTTCTTTTGACTTAGGATTGACTTGGCGATGCGGGCTCTTTTTTGGTGCCATATGAACTTTAAAGTAGTTTTTCCCAGTTCTGTGAAGAAAGTCATTGGTAGCTTGATGGGGATGGCATTGAATCTGTAAATTACCTTGGGCAGTATGGCCATTTTCACGATATTGATTCTTCCTACCCATGAACTTGAAATGTTCTTCCATTTGTTTGTATCCTCTTTTATTTCGTTGAGCAGTGGTTTGTAGTTCTCCTTGAAGAGGTCCTTCACATCCCTTGTAAGTTGGATTCCTAGGTATTTTATTCTCTTTGAAGCAATTGTGAATGGGAGTTCACTCATGATTTGGATCTCTGTTTGTCTGTTATTGGTGTTATAAGAATGCTTGTGGTTTTTGCACATTGATTTTGTATCCTGAGACTTTGCTGAAGTTGCCTATCAGCTTAAGGAGATTTTGGGCTGAGACGATGGGGTATTCTAGATATACAATCATGTCGTCTGCAAACAGGGACGATTTGGCTTCCTCTTTTCCGAATTGAATACCCTTTATTTCTTCCTCCTGCCCGATTGCCCTGGCCAGAACTTCCAACACTATATTGAATAGGAGTGGTGAGAGAGGGCATCCCTGTCTTGTGCCAGTTTTCAAAGGGAATGCTTCCGGTTTTTGCCCATTCAGTATGATATTGGCTGTGGGTTTGTCATAGATAGCTGTTACTATTTTGAGATACGTCCCATCAATACCTAATTTATTGAGAGTTTTTAGCATGCAGCGTTGTTGAGTTTTGTCAAGGCCTTTTCTGCATCTATTGAGATAATCATATGGTTTGTGTCGTCGATTCTGTTTATATGCTGGATTACATTTCTTGATTTGTGTATGTTGAAGCAGCCTTGCATCCGTGGGATGAAGCCCGCTTGATCATGGTGGATAAGCTTTTTGATGTGCTGTTGGATTCGGTTTGCTAGTATTTTATTGAGGATTTTTGCATCGATGTTCATCAGGGATACTGGTCTAAAATTCTCTTTTTTTGTTGTGTCTCTGCCAGGCTTTGGTATCAGGATGATGCTGCCCTCATCAAATGAGTTAGGGAGGATTCCCTGTTTTTCTGTTGATTGGGATCGTTTCAGAAGGAATGGTACCAGCTCCTTCTTTTACCTCTGGTAGAATTCGGTTGTGAATCCATCTGGTCCTGGACTTTCTTTGGTTGGTAAGCTATTAATTATTGCCTGAATTTCAGATCCTTTGATTTGTCTATTCAGAGATTCAACTTCCTGGTTTAGTCTTGGGATGTTGTATGTGTCGAAGAATTTATCCATTTCTTCTAGATTTTCTAGTTTATTTGCATAGAGGTGTTTATAGTATTCTCTGATGGTAGTTTGTATTTCTGTGGGATCGGTGGTGATATCCCCTTTATTGTTTTTTATTGTGTCTATTTGATTCTTTCTTTCCTTCCTTATTTGTCTTGCCAGTGGTCTATGAATTTTGTTGATCTTTTCAAAAAACCAGCTCCTGGATTCATTGGTTTTTTTTGAAGGGTTTTTGGTATGTCTGTTTCCTTCAGTTCTGCTCTGATCTTAGTTATTTCTTGCCTTCTGCTAGCTTTTGAATGTGTTTGCTGTTGCTTCTCTAGTGCTTTTAATTGTGATGTTAGGGTGTCAATTTTAGATCTTTCCTGCGTTCTCTTGTGGGCATTTAGTGCTATAAATTTCCCTCTACACACTGCTTTGAATGTGTTCCAGAGATTCTGGTATGTTGTGTCTTTGTTCTCGTTGATTTCAAAGAACATCTTTATTTCTGACTTCATTTCGTTATGTACCCAGTAGTCATTCAGGAGCAGGTTGTTCAGATTCCCTGTAGTTGAGCGGTTTTGAGTGAGTTTCTGAATCCTGAGTTCTAGTTTGATTGCACTGTGGTCTGAGAGACAGTTTGTTATAATTTCTGTTCTTTTCCATTTGCTGAGGAGTGCTTGACTTCCAACTATGTGGTCAATTTTGGAATAAGAGCGATGTGGTGCTGAGAAGAATGTATATCCTGTTGATTTGGGGTGGAGAGTTCTGTAGATGTCTATTCGGTCTGCTTGTTGCAGAGCTGAGTTCAATTCCAGAAGGAAAACTAACAAACAGAAAGGACATCCCCCCCAAACACCTTCTGTTCGTCACCATCATCAAAGACCAAAGGTAGATAAAACCACAAAGATGGGGAAAAAACAGAGCAGAAAAACTGGAAACTCTGAAAATCAGAGTGCCTCTCCTCCTCCAAAGGAACGCTGCTCCTCACCAGCAACAGAACAAAGCTGCACGGAGAATGACTTTGACGAGTTGAAGGAAGAATGCTTCAGACGATCAGACTACTCCGAGCTAAAGGAGGAAGTTCGAACCAATGGCAGAGAAGTTAAAATCCTTGAAAAAAAAAATGGATGAATGGCTAACTAGAATAACCAATGCCGAGAAGTCCTTAAAGGACCTGATGGAGCTGAAAACCAAGGCACAAGAACTACATGACGAATGCAGAAGCCTCAGTAGCCAATTCGATCAACTGGAAGAAAGGGTATCAGTGATGGAAGATCAAATGAGTGAAATGAAGCGAGAAGAGCAGTTTAGAGAAGAAGAATAAAAAGAAATGAACAAAGCCTCCTCGAAATACGGGATTATGTGAAAAGAGCAAATTTACGTCTGATTGGTGTACCTGAAAGTGATGGGGAGAATGGAACCAAGCTGGAAACCACTCTGCAGGATATTATCCAGGAGAACTTCCCCAATCTAGCAAGGCACGCCGACATTCAAATTCAGGAAATGCGGAGAACGCCACAAAGATACTCCTCGAGAAGAGCAACTCCAAGACATATAATTGTCAGATTCACCAAAGTTGAAATGAAGGAAAACATGTTAAGGGCAGCCAGAGAGAAAGGTCGGGTTACCCACAAAGGGAAGCCCATCAGACTAACAGCTGATCTCTCGGCAGGAACTCTACAAGCCAGAAGAGAGTGGGGGCCAATATTCAACATTCTTAAAGTAAAGAATTTTCACCAGAATTTCATATCCAGCCAAACTAAGCTTCATAAGTGAAGGAGACATAAAATCCTTTATAGACAAGCAAATGCTGAGAGATTTTGTCACCACCAGGCCTGCCCTGAAAGAGCTCTTGAAGGAAGCACTGAACATGGAAAGGAACAACTGGTACCAGCCACTGCAAAAACATGCCAAACTGTAAAGACCATCGAAGCTAGGAAGAAACTGCATCAACTAAGGAGCACAATAACCAGCTAACATCACAATGACAGGATCAAATTCACACATAACAATATTAACCTTAAATGTAAATGGGCTAAATGCTCCAATTAAAAGACACAGAGTGGCAAATTGGATAAAGAGTCACAACCCATCAGTGTGCTGTATTCAGGAAACCCATCTCACGTGCAGAGACACACATAGGCTCAAAATAAAGGGATGGAGGAAGATCTACCAAGCCAGTGGAAAACAAGACAAGGCAGGGGTTGCAATCCTAGTGTCTGATAAAACAGACTTTAAACCAATAAAGATCAAAGGAGACAAAGAAGGCCATTACATAATGGTAAAGGGATCAATTCAACAAGAAGAGCTAACTATCCTAAATATATACGCAGCCAATACAGGAGCACCCAGATTCATAAAGGAAGTCCTTAGAGACCTACAAAGGGACCTAGACTCCCACACAATAATAATGGGAGACTTTAACAACCCACTGTCAACATTAGACAGATCAACGAGACAGAAAATTAACAGTAAGTTTCAAAGAATGAAAATGAATCAAGCAGAGATTGTAGAGCTGAAAAATGCAAGTGATAGGCTGCAGAATCTCTCAAATTCTGTTAATAGCAGAATCAATCAACAGAAGATGGTATTAATAAGCTTGAAGAAAGGCTATTTGAAAATGGTCTTTTGTCAGAAAAGACAAAAGAAAAACCGAGTAGAAAGCAATGAAGCATGTCTACAGGATCTAGAAGATAGCTTCAAAAGGACAAATCTAAGAGTTATTGGCCTTAAGGAGGAGGTACAGAAACACATATGAGTAGAAAGTTTCTCCAAAGAGATTATAATAGAGAACTTCCCAAACCTAGAGAAAGAGACACATATCCAAGTACAAGTATGTTATAGAACACCAAGGAGACTTAACTGAAAGAAGGGTGCTTCAAGTTATTCATTAATGAAACTCCCAAAAATCAAGGATAAAGAACTTTTCTTAAAGCAGCAAGAGAAGAGAAACAAATAACATCCAATGGAGCTCCAATATGTCTGGCAGCAGACTTTTCAGTGGAAACCTTACAGGCCCGGAGAGAGTGGCATGACATATTTAAAGTGCTGAAAGAAAAAAATTTTAACCTTAGAATGATATATCTGAAACAACTATCCTTCAAACATGAAGGAGAAATAAAAATGGGCCCAGAGAATCAAAACCTGAGGGATTTCATCATCACTAGCCCTGTCCTACAAGAAATGTTACAAGGAGTATTTCAATCAGAAAGAAAAGGATGGTACTGAACAATAAGTAATCAACTGAACAATAAGTAATCAACTGAAGGTACAAAACTCAGTGGTCATTGTAAGTACACAGAAAAACAGAATATTTTAAAAAAGTAACTGTAGTGTGTAAAGCGCTCTTATTCTAAGTAGAAAGCCTAAAGGATAAACCAATCAAAATGGAAAAGCACAACTTTTCAAGACACAGTCAACACAATGAGATACAGAAAGAAATGACAAAAAATTAGAAAGCAGTGGGACAAAGTTAAGATGCAGCTTTATTAGTTTTATTTTTGTTTGCTGTTTGTTTGTCAAAATCGTCTTAAGTAAATATCAGATTAAAAATAATGGTTTATAAGATATTATTTGCAAGCCTCAAGGTAACCTGAAACTAAAGAACATGCAATATATACACAAAAATTCGAAGGCAAGGAACTAAATCATCTACCCACAGAAAAATCATCCTAAGAAAAGACAGAAAGGAAAGAAAGAAGGAAGATAAGATCACAAAAACATCTGAACATAAAAATCAAAATGACAGGAGTAAGTTCCTACTTATCAATAGTAACATTGAATGTAAATGGGCTAAACTCTTCCATGAAAAGACATAGACTGGCTGAATGTATGAAAAAACAAGACACATTGATCTGTTGCCTGCCAGAAACACACTTCACTTCTGAAGACACACATAGACTGAAAATAAAGGGATAGAAAGAGATGCTCCATGCGAATGGAACCAAAAAGAAGCAGGATTAGCTATATTCCTAGCAAACAAAATAGATTTCAAGACACAAAATGTAAGAGGAAAAAAAGTCACTATATAATAATGAAGGGATCAGTTCAACAAAAGGCTATAAGAACTTTACATATATGTGCACCCAACCCTGTAGCACCAAGGTATATAAAGGAAACACTATTACAACTAATGGGAGAGATAGGTCCCAATAGCATAATGGCTGGGGGCTTCAACACCCTACTTTCAGCATTGGACAGTTCTTCCAGACATAAAATCAACACAGAAACATCACACTTAATGTACATTACAGACCAAATGGATGTAACAGACATTTACAAAACACTTCTTCCAAGGACTGCAAAATACACCTTCTTTTACCCAGCACGTGGATCATTCTCAAGGTTAGAATATATGTTAGGTCATAAAACAAGTCTTAAAACATCAACATTCAAATAAATTGAAATAATTTCAAGCTTCTTCTCTGACCACCAAAAAACAAAAAAAGAAAATCCCGAAAATAACAAGGGGAACTTTGAAAATTATACAAATCCATAGAATTAAAAAAAAAAAAATGCTCCTGAATGACCCACAGGTCAATGAAGAAATTAAAAACTAAATTGTAAAATTTCTCAAAATAAATGATCATGGAAACACAACATACCAAAACCCATGGGATACAGCAAAAGCAGTATTAAGAGGGAAGTTTATAGCTATAAGTGCCTACATTGAAAAAGAGGAACACCTGCAAATAATTCATGACGCATCTTAAAAAAACAGAAAAATAAGCTCAAAGTGAACCCCAAATCAGTAGAAGAAAAGAAATAATGAAAGACCAGAGCAGAAATAAATGAAAGTAAAATGAAGAAAGTCAAAACACTATCAAGGAAACAAAAAGTTGGGTTTTTTTTAAAAAGCTATACAAAATTGAGAAACCTGTAGCCAATCTAAGGAAGAAAAAGGAGAGATCGAGATAAATAAACTCCAAAATTGAAAGGAGACATTACAGGCTAAAGCTGCAAAAATTCAAAGGGCTCTTGTGGTGACCGTGGGAAACTGTATGTCAATAAATTGGAAGATCTCCCTGAAATGAAAATTACTTCCTGCTGACGAGGGGACGGAGAGTTTTTTGGGTTGACAGTAGGAGCAATGCCGTCTGTAGATGTTTTTGGGTAGTTGTCTGTGAAATGGCCGTGATCCTGTTAGTTAAAATTTTCCGAGAAAGGTTAATTAGGCAGGGTAAGAAAATTAGTCCCAGGCATATTGTTAGGAGAGGGCCCAGAAATAGGATGACCCATGCTATGATTGTGTTCCCAAACCAAGAACTTATTTGGTTGTTTTGGTACTCCCTTAGCTTTTTAGCCTTTTCTTTATGTTTGTTTTAGCAGCGTTTTTTAACTAGGCCTGATTGGTTGATAAAGAAACAATATTCCTTACCTAATGAGAGGTAGAAGCACATGTTTGGAAAGGCCCATGTGTTAGTTTCTGTTAGTAAGCGTTATTCCTGCTAAGAGGCTAATAATTAAGCAAAATGCTACAGTAATTGAGATTGTTTTTGTCTGACATTTTACCCTGAGGGTGCTACAGTATATAGTTTTACTGCAAATAGTAGGGTGAGTAAAGCAGTTTCCACAAGGGTGGTGTAGTCAATAATTTCCATTAAAAAGTTGTAATATTTGGCTTGAAAGGAGAGATAGGAATGACAAAAGTGTTTGGTGAGGTAGGGGTGAGACTGAGTAAGACGAGCAATTCTTTCTCGGTTATTTATTTTTTATGATTTTTAGCTTACGATTTCCTATTTCTTTATTTGCTCCTGTGAGGGTTAGGGGGCTTAGAGGCAGTGCCTGCTGAAACATCTAGTTTCCAGTTTATAGGGCTTTAAGAAAGCACAGCTTATTTTGAAGTCTTGTAGTCAGAAAAATTAGAATTTAATTAAACAGTAGCAAATAATAACTGAAAAACATCAGGCAACTCTAGAATTTAACAAGAGGGGTGTCATAGTTTTGGAAACATAATTTCCTCTCTCCACTTTCCCATTTTTATTAAAAGACAAATTATGGTAGGTTTGCTTTAGGATACTTGGCTTACTTATTTGCATACAGTGCTGCAAGAATAATTATTTGTTACATAGGCCTTTTAAATGGGCTTTGGTGGAATTTGGTTTTGTAGAAGCAATCTGAGATAAAAGACTTTTTAAAGCCAAGCCCAGCCATGGATTTGTACCATTAAATACCTATGACTTGGGTGAATTCCTCTCCTCTTGATGTTTCAAGATAACTTAGGGTTCCTGGCCTGTTAGAAAGTGACATGTTCTGTTTACCACAGATCACAAACCCTGTACGGGGACTGTGTACACAAAATATGAGGCCAGTTTTTCAAGGGCTTTATTGGCTTTATAAGTTAAAGCTGGATTCCTTAAAGGAAAAGCACACCATTCCAGTCAAAGCCTTGGTAAGAATAACCAGTTTTTCCAATCGTGTCCCGTTACAAAAGAAAACAGATTCTTGTTGTATTTATGCAAATAACTATATTGCCATAAGTTAAGAATACTCATAGATAGTTTCCAAATTTTGGAGAGAATAAGGTAGAGAGAAACAAGTATCCTCCAAATTTTGTTGATGGGAGTTAACAGTTAAAAGTTAAACAGTGAAAAGTGAACAGTTAACTCTCATACATATGGGAGTTAGCGGTTAACAGTTAACAGTTAAAAGCTGTTAATCGCTTAAAAAAAGTTTCTTTGACTTTGAAAGGCAAAACAAAGGGTTAGCAATATTTTAAGCAAAAGGTTAAACAGATTAGTTTCCTATTAGTTTGATTTATGCAGTTAATTCCTGTCCTGCTTTTTATCAGAAACCTGCATTCAGAGCTTTATAGCTGATTAGAAAACCACCCTTTGAAGAGGACTAAAACAAGACAACAATTGTTTATGGATGACAGAAAGTTTTAGGGTAGCCATAGTTAAAGACACAGTTGACAAAGATATCCGTTACCTCTGTGGCACACAATAATTTTAACAAAACAATTATAATTATTAGTGATAACGTACACTAAGATATATTAGAATGATAGGAATCTGCCATAACTTTGGAACACATCCCAATAGCATATTTATACAACTATAGCCCAAAGAAAGCCAAATACCATTTTATATTTGACAATGCTTCCTGTATGATTTTATATCAAATAAGCCAAATTTTACCATTGTATTAGTGTGCTATTAATGTTAAGCTCCATTTTTCATAAAACCTTGTAGACGCATTTACCCAATGTTCATGTTTGACCAGAAGGTAAGGTTTTTATAGACCCTTTTTAACCGTTTATACTTTTTGTTAAAGAGCAGGTTAGTGCTTTAACAGAAACCCGTTGTGCTTTTATTTTAATGCTCGATTTACAGAAAACCTGAATGATACCCCTTTAACTTTAGCCAGTATGTACACACACGAAATTTTCTTTACAATTAACCTTCCAAAAGTTGCTTAAACCTTTAAAACAATTTTTTAACCTTTTAATGTAGGCAAAAATCCACATTCTTAGGCCTCCTTATAATCTTTTTACCAAAAGTATATTTTACTTTCCTTACACACCTTGCTCATAAACTATTTCTTCGGTAGTTTTAAATACGTGTTACACTGCTAACTTTTAGC
Source organism: Homo sapiens (assembly GCF_000001405.40). Taxonomy (NCBI): domain Eukaryota; kingdom Metazoa; phylum Chordata; class Mammalia; order Primates; family Hominidae; genus Homo; species Homo sapiens. The sequence goes on from NC_000023.11 coordinate 141,233,929, forward strand.
AACCTTTACTTTTGATGAAAACCTTGGTAAGTCTGGGAATCTAATTACGCACTAGGTGTAGGGCCTAGGACCCAGACGGAAGTGCGGAGAAGGTCTGGCTTATTCCAGCATTTAACTCCATGTGTCCTAGGGTTTATTCAGCTGCAAAGCAGGCAAGCTGTACAGCTAAGAGTTAGAGTGAAATTGTATACGGCATTGAGGAGGCCGAATTACTTTTAAATTGTGCGACATTTCTTGCACAAATTCCCTTTTATAAAATTCTTCAGGACTTTCACAGACAATTTCTGACATGCCTTACCTTTCTGACTTGTTGTAAAGTCATCCCTTTTTTTAAACAACAGTTAATTTACTTTAGGACAAAAATTTACCATGTGAGATTCTTTCTTATGCCAATTATCTTTTCTTTAATATTAAAGATAACAGTTCTTTCCCAAAACAAATTTCCTTCATGTCTGTGGACTAGACTGCCTAAGGCCACAAGGTTGGAAGTTAGCATATTTTACTAAATAGTTAAAGATATAGCTATCTTCGTTAAACCAGTATTCATGCTTTATTTATTGAAAAAATTACACAAGCAAAGATTATTTTGTTTGGGCTGAGTTGTCCTTTTGTAGCCTCTGTGCCAAATGTTGACACCTTATAGTATTTTGCAGCCATAAGTATGAAATTGCTTGATTAATAAATGCAAATAAAAACGTACGCTGGCAACTCTTAACGACTTTCAACTCAACTTTTAACTTTGCTGTACCAGTAAGTTCTAAAGATTAAAATTACGAGAACTGAAAGGTCCCACAGCTTTTACTTTTCCCTTAAAAATATTTGATTTAAGTGCTTATTTTTTTGGCCAGTTAATTAGAGTTCTTTTAATAGACATCACACACATAAAACATATATAGCCACACAGACAATCAGAAGAAGATTGAGTAGTTATGAGATTTTTTTTCTGCTAATTTTCCAATTGGATTATTGGCCTTCGGGTGAGGCCTTTTAAGAACAGGGCTAAGAAAACAGTTTCTAGGGCCTAATGAACAAGTACAGTTGGAAGACAAAGACAGATCTTTGAGAGGTACTTATTTAAGTCTAGGGGTTTCATAAGGAAAACAGAGGTTTTTCCCAAAACGGGATTTGTGGCACCTTTTTTGTTTTCCCAAGGAGTCCCAGGCCACCAGGAGTCGTTTCAGGGTCTTTCATACATGCACCAAGAGTGGCAAGACAGAGTGGAGAAAAGTAATTTAGTCGATCAGGAAAAAACCTTTTCCAGGAAAACAAAATTTATGAAGAGAAAAACATAAACGCGGCTGGGCACGGTGGCTCACGCCTGTAATCCCAGCACTTTGGGAGGCCGAGGTGGGCGGATCTTGAGGTCAGGAGTTCTGAGACCAGCTGGGCCAACATAGTGAAACCCTGTCTCTACTAAAAATACAAAAATCAGCCAGGTGCGAAGGCAAACGCCTGTAGTCCCAGCTACTTGGCAGGCTGAGACAGGAGAATCGCTTGAACCCAGGAGGCAGAGGTTGCAGTGAGCCGAGACCATCACCCAACTAGGATGTAGCAGAATTTCAGATTTGAACCAGGCCCATGATCTTACTTTTATTCCATATTTCCTCTGAACATAACAAGAGTAATACTAACGAGTACAACATTAATATAAGTTTAGTACTACAGTTGGCAATTTAATAACCCTTGCCACAACTGTGAGAACATGTAGCATGAATAGTACTCTATCCATTTTATGGATAGGGAATTAATCACTTACCAGTGTTGCTCCCTGACAGTTAAAACATGTAAATGCTTTCTGGTAATGAAGACTGCAATACTAAATTCAGATTAACATGCATTCATTCACCAAATATTTCTTGCAAGTTTACATGTTCCAGGTACTGTAGTAAAATAACTGATAAAAGTATCATTTTTTTTGAAAGAAGTACAAGTACCATTTAACGTCTTCACCATTAAATGGAGGATAGCCTTTCCAATAAAGTGACTTCTGACTAGTGACCTGAAGAAAATTCGGATACACAGGCCGGGCGTGGTGGCTCACGATTGTAATCTCAGCACTTTGGGAGGCGAAGGCAGGCGGATCACGAGGTCAGGAGTTCAAGACCAGCCTGGCCAACCAATGAAACCCCATCTATACTAAAACTACAAACATTAGCCAGGCGTGGTAGCAGGCGCCTGTAATCTCAGCTACTCAGGAGGCTGAGGCAGGAGAATTGCTTGAAACCAGGAGGTGGAGGTTGCAGAGAGCCGAGAGTGCACCACTGCACTCCAGGCTAGCTGACAAAGCAAGGCTCCATCTCAAAAAAAAAAAAAAAAAAAAAAAAAAAAAAAAAAAAAGGAAAAAGAAAGAAGGAAAGAAGAAGAAAAGAAAAGAAAATTAGGATACATAGTGGATATTTTAGAGAAGAACCTTCCAGGCAGAAGTATGCAAAGACCCTGATATGGATGGCAGGTTAGAGGAATCACATGCGTGGTGAGTTACAAGAGTCACAGATTGGGGAGTGTGATAGAAGCAGAGTGATTCACGAGAAGAATAAGTATTAATGTCAGAGAGGTAATAGGTGCCCACATCATGTACGGCCTTATTAGGAATTTGGATTTTATTTTAATCAAGATGAAAAGTCTGGAGTTTTCATCAAAGGAAAAACATGATCTGGCTTAAAATATACTGTAGGAGATCAAGGATAGAAGAAATAACCCATTGTCATTATTACATTACCAAATATTTTTCAGAATCATTTTTTGTTTGCTCAGATGATTTTCAAAAACATCTTTAGCTACTTAATTTAACTTGTTAAGTATTCAGACTTGTGAAGCTTTCTACCAGTTTAGGTTTAGAGATCGTCTCCTCTCTTCTCTCCTCTTCTCCTTTCCTCCCTCCCTCCCTCCCTCCTTCCCTCCCTCCCTTCCTTCCTCCCTCCCTTCCTTCCTTTCTTTCTTCCTTACTTCCTTGTCTTTGAGATTCCTCCCAGAGCATAGGATAACACAGGACGAGGTTTGCTGTCTGAAATGCGTTGAAGTCCCCTGTTATTACAAGAGTTCAAAAACGTGATGACCTCCAAAGGATGCTTAAGAAATAGAATCAGTCTTAAGTTGTAGTGTGGTGTATGGGGATCACTCTCTAGGGTCTACATTTAGTCAATGACAAAATATTTTCTGACTTTCAAATGGATCGGTGATTTCTTGTTTTTGTTTTTGTTGTTTTGAGACAGAGTCTGGCTCTGTCACCCAAGCCGGAGTGCAGTGGCACGATCTCGGCTCACTGCAACCTCCACTGCCTGGATTCAAGCAATTCTCCTGCCTCAGCCTCCCCAGTAGCTTGGATTACAGGCGCCCACCACCACGCCCAGCTAATTTTTTTTTGTATTTTAGCAGAGACAGGGTTTCACCATGTTGGCCAGGCTCGCCTCAAACTCCTGACCTCGGGTGATCCGCCCGCCTCTGCCTCCCAAAGTGCTGGGATGACAGGCATGAGCCACTGCACCTGGCCAGATCAGTGATTCTTGATTTTCTTGGCCATGAAGAAAATGATGCAATATGCTCTTCAAGGGCCTTTCTGCAGAATAGAGAAGATGAGATGCAAACTATTCTCATTGATGAACACCTTGGTTATAACTATATCTCTTTCTCTTACATTCAGAAAATTGTATTGGAATGCAAATGGTTGTGAGAGATACCACTTTTTATTGAAATAGCTGGCACATGAATATACCTGGTTACAATGCTTGGCCGAATGAGAAATGCAATGCCATTTTATGTAATTGCACTTAATATGCATGAGTCTCACACTTAATCAATTCAGAATCTCAGAATTTCCCAATGTTGTATCCATCGAACATCTCCTGAGATGCGTATCATCCCATCTGGCCCTAAATGGCTGATTCATGCAGAACATTTTCATGTCATCCCTCAAGCCCAACCACAGGGCACCTTCAGATCCAACTCTCTTTAAAACACTTTAGTGTCCTTCTTAGGGGCATGAGAAACATTAAACTGGTTTCTTTCACCATTCTGATTCTTCAAGAAAGGAAGTAGAGCTGTTATAGGCCATTTACTGACTATGTGCTGCTCTCAGGTAGCCCCACTCCCTCTGCTGTCCTGCACAGAAAAACATAGTACGTGATTAACTATGTAAGACTCTCTCAGGCCCATCTTCCCAGGCAGAACACTTGGACATGTCTTTCTTCTTTATTTTTATTATTTTAAACTGAACAGATAAAATGGAATGTGTCTATCATGTATCTAATGTTTGAAGTATATACATTGTAGAATGAATAAATATAGCTAATTAACATATGCATCATCCCACAAAGTTATCATTTTGTATTGAGAACACTTACCATCTACTCTCTTAGCATTCATCAATAATACAACATATTATGATCACCTGTAGTCACCGTGTCGTACAATGTATCTCTGCAGCTTATTCCTTCAGTCTAACAGAAATTTGGTATCCTTTGAGCAATGTCTTTCCAGCCACCACCACCGAGCCCCTAGTCACCACCATTCTACGCTCTACCTCTGTGAGACTTCTTAATTTTTTATTATTTTATTTTTAAATTTTTGTTAACTTTTATGTTAGGTTCAGGGGTACATGTGCAGGCTCGTTATATAGGGAAGTTGCGTGTCACACGGGTTTGGTGTACACATTATTTCATCACCCAGGTAATCAGCATAATAGCTGATAGGTAGCTTTTCAACCCTCACCCTCCTCCCCATCCTTTACCCCCAAGTAGACACGGGTGTCTGTTGTTCCCTTCTTTGTGTCCATGCGTACTGATGTTTAGCTCTTGCTTATAAATGGAAAAAGGTGGTATTCCATTTTCTGTTCCCACGTGAGTTCGCTTAGAGTAATGGCCTCCAGCTCCATCCATGTTGCTGCAAAAGACATGATCTCGTTTTTTTATGGCTGCATAGTATTCCGTGCTGTTTATGTACCACATTGTCTTTATCCAGTCTGCTGCTGATGGGCCTTTAGGTTGATTCAATATCTTTGCTATTGTGAATAGTGCTGTCAAGAACATACGCATGCGTATGTCTTAATGGTAGAATGATATATATCGTTTGGGTATATATCCAGTAATGTGATTGCTGAGATGAATGGTATTTCTAAGTTCTTGCAGAAATCACCAAACTGCTTTCTACAATGGCTGAACTAAGTTACATTCCCATAAACAGTGTATAGGTGTTCTCTTTTCATTTCTTTCAAGGCAGCAGGTTTCTTTCTGGCCTAGGGTGTGTCTAGAAATGTTATCCAGGAGCGAGTGCCTGGAGCAGGGGCTTCACAACCCCGACCGGTGCCCTGTCCCGCTGTAGTTGAGCTGGTATTCAAGATGCAAGAAAAAAAAAAACGCTCCTCACTATTCCATCTCCTCAAGTGGAAGGAGGGGGTCTTTTATGGAGCCGCTAGCTGGGCAGTCTGGGGCTAGGGCAGGGGTGACACCAGCACTCACTTGGCTGCCCCAGCTGGTATCTCAGGAGGTCATGTGCACCCCTCCACATACCCGCCACAATCCACTGCCTCTGGGCCCAATTCTATGCTAGAACTCACCTACGAGTTAGAGATCTTATGGCCTAGACTGCCTTTAAGGTTGTCTGAGAAACCTGGAACCGTTTCTTAGCCCTTGGTGGCAAGGTTTGCAGAAACTCAAGTTCTGATTCCTGGGATGGGTAATTTCCCTCTGGCTAGAGGTGGTTTCAATGCTCCCTTCCCAGATGGGAGTCAGCTAAGTTTGCTCTGGTTTTCCTTTCTCCTGTAAGAGACAGCACCGAGGTCAGTGACCCACAACTGCTCTGCTCTTGCTCGTCCAGCTTCCAGAGATGCTCTTTACACCATACTGCCACTGCCTAGGATAGGGAAGGGGCGGGGTCAGCGATTTAAGACTGTTTCTTCTAACTCTTCAGTGCCTCTTTCAGTGATACCGCCAGGTACTATGAGAGTTCCCCTGATTTTGGGTTCTTATGGAGGTGTTTTCTACTGTGTGGATCGTTGTTAAATTTGTGTCCTTGCGAGGGGGCTGATCTGGGCGGCCTTCTATTCTGCTTTTCTTGCTCCGCCTCTCTCAGCTTAGTTTTGGTTTGGTTTTGTTTGTTTGTTTTTCCTCTGCAATGCCTAAGGCTAAAGAATGTGATCCCGTATTACTATCCTAAATATGAAAAATTCTTTAATGTCTCGTGCTGGGTGGAAATAGTAGTTTGCAATGAGGAATACCTTCAATTGTACAGATCAAAGAGTAAGAAAAAAAGCATTGGGATTTTTTGTTTTTACCTTGTGGTCCGACAACTTGAAAGAATATTCTTTTATTCCAAAGATGGTACGTGGGGGATTTTGTTCTGGAAATCAGTGCTAGGTATTTAGGTATTTGGTTGGAGAAAAGCAAACTGGTTTTTGTCTATTGATATTTAGTATATTTTATTTTTTCATGTTATCCATGACAGTGTTATGACTTAGCAAACAACAGTTACAAATAACTAAAACTGTAATTGCTCCTGCATTTCTATTTAACTCCCTCATGTATCCTGAGAAGACCTTCTTGTTTTACCTAATGATCTCTCCAACATCCCCTGAACTCTCAAGAGGTAGACACTATGTGAAGGTCAATTCAAAGACAGAAACTAAAACCCCATCCACGGGTGACTCCATGGTGAATCCCTGTGGTGTCTTTTCCCGCTAACCGATGTGTATCCACCAAGCAGTTTTCTTTTTCAGTATAAATATTATATTGTTTGACATTTTAAGACACATGGTAATCAAAATCTATAGCCTTAATTAAATGATGACTTTCAGGAAATTATCATGCAAAATGGAAGTGTTAGGAAGCCGATAATAGACACACTCTCCTAAAAATGATCTCACCACATCACACCTAACCCTTCTCACCACCTTGCAGTTCACATTCCATGGGAAAAAGCTCCTCATACTTAAGAGTGTTTTACTTTCCTTTTCCCAAGTCATGGCGATTTTGAATATTCACACTTTGCGGATATCAACACATTTCTAAAGCATACTTATCTTGATTAAAGACTGCTGAGGTCATTAAAACACTAACAAATATTTAAGATGCATTGAACATTTTGTTTTAGAATTGGCTTTTCAATCATTTCATCACAAGCAATGCTTTCCTGCCGTTTACTTACTCCTACATCTACTATCTTCTTTTGTATTGTGCTTTGTGTTTTACAGAACATTTACGCTTTATAAAGCATCTATTTCTAGCCTAGGAAAATATCAAATGGAAAGGGGATGGGAATACCTTTGATATGTACATTCAGCAGAACTATGTGCTGCCGGGTACAGTTGCGTGAACATATACACATCTCCACTTCCTGTGAGATAAAATTTTAAGAAGAAAATTTTCTTTAGGAATCAGTCCTCCCCCAGGCCTTATTTACAATGTCTGGCTTACTGTCAACCTGTGGGTCTGTCCACCAACCCTACAGGACCTCATATCCCTCCCTTCTCAAATGCCTACCTCTTCCCTTCCCTTCCCTTCCCCCGCCACCATCAGAAAACAGGCAGAGATATACACAGCCATCAGCTTCTCAAACTTTATTTTCATTGCCCAAGGTTGAGAGATGTAGCTTCTTGCTACTTTGCAGGTATTTCAACCATTATTTCCATGAATTCCTCCTCCTCCATTTGGAGGGGGTTGATTCTGTTCTCTCGGGCGTGGTCATTCACCAGTTCCTCTGGAGATGTTCTTTTCACGTTCCTCCTGTAGCGAACCACTAGTATGGTCGAGGACTCAGATGTTTTTAGTTTTTTCGGAGCAGGTTGCGGGTCTGAGTACCCACTCGAGGTCTCCGGCATCTGTTAAGAAAGCAGGGAGAGGCCAGGAGGACATTATTTTGGGTGAACAGGATAGAGACTGGATAGCAAGGGGGCTTCATGAGAAGAAGGAATGCGGGTTGAGGAAGGGGTTTGATCCAGAGAAGAAGAAGGTTGAAGCACAGAGTAGGGATCTATGGGGAAGAAGAAGAGGAGCGTGGGTAGGGTCACCTGTGAGTCCAAACTGCACCATTTTGTCAGTTCTTTGCTATTTTGCAGACCTTGGTCAAAGTGAAACATCCCATGGGGGTTCAGGCCGTGAGAAACATCCTGCCTAACCACCTGTCCGCAAGGCGGACAAAGGCCCAACTGAAGAAACATCCCTATCATATCTTGCTTGGCAGCGTTCTAAGGAACACCACAATGATATTCCACCAGAAAAAGGGCCAAACCACCTGATCATAAGAACATCTTATCAATATCCTGCCGGGCAGCAAGCCATACTGCCCAGGCCCCTCCCACCCCTACCTACAAGCACCCCAGCCTGTAAGCGGCGGTGGGCTCTGGCATTAAGCGGGCCCCCCACTTCCACAATGGTCTGCAATATTCCTGTGTTGTTGTTTGAGCCGCCCCCGCTCTGTGTGTCTTTCTTTCACCCTCGCCTTCAATTCAAAACCTAACAGTCTTACCATCTCGTTGGCCTCGTTGGAATCACAGGGGACGCTCCTCTTCACCCCGCCGGCACTGGATTGTTTGTCCATTGTATATATTGGTTCTTCAATGTCAGCGGCAGGCTTTTGTAGGTTTTGAATCTTCGCAGTGGCCCGGAGCTCTTGCCCTCCCTGTATATACCCTCCTGGTGACAAGGCAAAGCCACACCCTTGAGCTTTGTTTGATCATACAGGCAGTGTCCCAGCCAATGGCAGCCCTAGGGTGGCTTCACATCACAAAGCCCCACTGCTGACCACTCCCTGGGCTTGCGGGCGAGGGGTGACAGGGGTGTAGAGCAAACCAAATGCTGTTGTTGTTTCAGCATCCCCTGAAGATGCATCCCAAACCGATCTGCCGCCGCTCCTCATTTCTCCATGTTTAATGTTCACGGTTCACATGGAAGTCAGAGGATGATTCCTTCAAGCCCTTCCCCACAGCCATTCCTATTAAGTGATTCATTCTTTTGTCTTCCAGCCCTCACCATGACTTAGTATTTTCGATGTCTCACCTCAAATCCCCCAAGCTAGTGTGGCTACATTTATTTATTGGCAGAGATGTGAATTATCCCATTTCCCTCCTACAGTTCCTTCACATGCACCTCGAAGACCATTTACTTTTGGGCTACTGCCAGGCAAATTTCAACCCATGTTCTTTTACCCAATGTCCATGTAGTTCTTTTAAGTTTCCTATCTCCAATCTGAAATAATGGCCTTCAGTCTGTCAAAACTTTAGTGAATAAACATTCTTTACCGTGTATCCTAGTCTTGTTTCAAATCAGGGGTGTATATTTTTTTCTCTTTTTGAAATGGAGTTTCACTGTTGTTGCCCAGGCTGGAGTGCAATGGCATGATCTCAGCTCACTGCAACCTCTGCCTCCTGGGTTTAAGTGATTCTCTGGCTCAGCTTCCTGAGTAGCTGGGATTACAGGCCTGTGCCACCACGCCCGGCTAATTTTTGTATTTTTAGGAGAGACGGGGGTCTCACCATCTTGGCCAAGCTGGTCTTGAACTCCTGACCTCGTGATCCACCCGCCTTGGCCTCCAAAGTGCTGGGATTACAGGCGTGAGCCACCACACCCAGCCAGGACAGCCATTATTAAAACCACCATTGACAAGTAAATTTTGGTTACTTCTGTAGCATACAAGAATTTAACATAAAAGTTATAATTAATAACATACACAAGTTATTTCAGAAGTATAAGAGTTTCCCATAATTTTGGAGCACATATCAATGACATTTCTATAAATACAGCCCAAAGAAAGTCAAACAGCATTTTATATTTGACGATGCTTCTTGTATGATTTTTATACCAAATAAGACCAATATGTCTCTTTTGGACTTCAGAGGACTCATATCAAAAAATTAATGAGGAATCAAGTTAGAATTTGACTTTGGAAAGTTCGTCAAAGATAAAAAGTTTAAAATGCTTGATATCACGAAATAGGGTCATGGGTCATTGTAAAATAAGTCATTCATTTAACCAAAGCAGTAACTCAAAGATTTCAAAAAAGAAAAAAAAAAGGTGAAAATCTTTATTCTTTGAGAGAGGAGGCTTAATATCCCAAACAATAAGCCCTAATTAAAAACAGGATGCGGCAAATGAAATTTGTTTTTTTGAAATTTTATAATAAAAGTTTAATCATCTTGAGTATAAAATATAATTTCTATAAACCTTGTAACCTTTATCATTTTGCATTAAGGAGTGAGTTAATGCTCCAAGAAAGCCTTGTTAAACTGACACAGCAACCTAGATACTGGTTTTGCTTTAGTGTGCCTTTGATATTAATGGTTAATTCCTAGAGAAACTGAGCTACTTTTCTCTTAATATCAGCCCTTACAATCTCACATGCCCACCTGTTCCACGATAGTCCTTGGGCCTTGAGGAGTTGAATAGTTTTAATTTCTGACCCTGCATCTCATGAACGCAGTTTACTTTGATTAGCATCTTCTACTGGGCCTGAAGATGAGGCTGTAATTGATGTCAGTGTTTAAGATATAGCAGAACTTGGTGTCCTTTTTAGACCCAGAAGTCAAAGCCCTATAGCTCAATGGCACAAGGACTTTAAAAGCACATACAGAAAGTTACACAGATGGAAGAAAACACTTTTTTAGACCTTGAAGAAAAAATTTTTGGCCTGTCATAGTGGCTCATGCCTGTAATCCTAGCACTTTGGGAGGCTGAAGCAGGTGGATCACTTGAGGTCAGAAGTTCGAGACCAGCCTGGCAACACGGTGAAACCCTGTCTCTACTACAAATACAAAAATTAGCCGGGCGTGGTGGCAGGAGAATTGCTTGAACCTGGAAGGGGGAGGTTGCAGTGAGCCAAGATTGTGCCACTGCACTCTCAGCCTGGGTGACTGAGTGAGACCCCACCTCAAAAAAAAAAAAGAAAAAGAAAAAAAAACATTTTTAGCATGAGGCCACAACAAACAGAACACAAGAGAAAAAAAGAAAAAACTTATATGAGCTGAAAATGAGTTGAAAGAGAGAGTTATTATTTTCACCTTTTAAAAGAGGAGAGTAAACCGAAAATGGTGAGATGTGATAAAAGTTAAACTTTGGGTTTAAACAATTAAAATCTTTTAATTTATTAAGAGTAAATCAACTCCTTAAGAAAATTTTATTGTTCTGATGAATTTTTTTAGTGTTTTTTTAATATCATAAGCTAAATCTGGAAAGACTATTATAAATAATTTCCCTTTAATTATAGACAACTTTATACAAATCATTTATGACAGCTTGGACTTTCTGTTTTATCCCTTCCTCTTTCTTTATTCCTTTGAGATACAGTCTTGCTCCGTCGCCCAGGCTAGAGTCGTGCAGTGGCGCCATCTCGGCTCCCTGCAACCTCCGCCTCCCATGTACAAGCAATTCTCCTGCCTCAGCCTCCGGAGTAGCTGGGACTAGAGGCACGTGTCACCACACCTGGCTAATTTTTGTATTTTTAGTAGAGACAGGGATTTGCCACGTTTGCCAGGCTGGTCTCGAACTCCTGACCTCAGGTGATCCATCCACCTCGGCTTCCCAAAATGCTGGAATTAACAAGCATGAGCCACCATGCCCAGGCTTCCTTTTTCTTTAATAACCAGTTATTTTATTTTAGAACAAAAATTTACCATACAAGATTCTTTCTCAGATGAAATTATTTTCCTTTTAACCTTTTGTGCCAAAAATGCCTGTTCATAACTTCCTTCACATTGTTCTTATTCACTGATTACCTAATTTCATAAATAACTTTTAAATAAGCTTCGAATTAGACAAAAAGTATTTTCCTTTAAGATCACATTTCTTTCTTACAGAAAAATGTTATCCTAGAATTAAAAAAATTGGAAATGACCCAGACGTGTAATATCTATTATTTAGCTTAATATAACTTTAGATTTTAAATTATATGACAAGATAATCTACAAGAACTTATTCTGTTACATTTGTGTAATTAATTTTCTAATAGTTTACTCAGGTTACTTATGAAAACTGTGATAGTTACCATTTAAAGTTATGTCCTTGTTAACCATTTTTATAACCTGTGAATTTCAGGTTGTCCTGAGTAAGAACATTAAGGTTAGATAAAGGGTCGTTTTTTTGTTTGTTTGTTTGTTTTTGTTTTTTTGTCAATAACTCAGGATTTAGCTATTTTCATTAACCAAACAATATTAAATTCCTTACTTACTAAATTTTACATAAACAAAGATAATTCTCATTTGAGCTGCATTCATAGCTTTAGAACCCTCATGCCAAATGTTGACATCTAGCAGAGATAAATATGTTGAGAATTCCAAAGCCATTTCTAATTCAATTTCACTAAAATTTTTAAAACCAGCTTGTTTATTGAAGATTTGCTTAAGTCACATGAACTTGAAAAAGCATTTGGCTTAAAGTCTATTTTTCTGAAAAGCATTAGATTTAAGTGCCTTTGTTAAGCCAATTAATTAGAGCTCTTTTCTACATTTTTAGTAGTGAAATGTCATATCCATGACACATAAATACATAGATGTATTAGATATGTAGATAGAAGTAGATCTTATAAATTCCTAAGGCCTTTATTTTTTCCTCGTATTTTAGATTTACAATTTCTTCATAACCTATTTTATTGCCCTAGGCAGTTGTCATCTAGATAGCCCTAAATGTGCATATTAAAGGAACTCTTAGGTAAAAAAAATCAGATAGTGAAATTTACATGTCAAAGCACAGAGAGAAAGAGTCGGGCGATGTTAGAGGGAGATTAAACATGGATGCCAAATCAAACACAAAATTGTAGAAATATATTATAGGATTGTATAAGGAGACCAGTTGTATTTAGATAGGGACTACCTGTCTTTTAACTGGATCTCTGAGCTCTGGGCAGAGCCCACACTGAATCCTAGGTCTCCAAAAAGGGAGAATTACTATGAGGCTACACCAAGTGACGGTTTTACAGTGTCCTTTTTTTTTTTTTAACAAAGACATTTCTAAGTGTTCAAGCTACTTTCTTCCTTAAAAATCCAAGAATAAACTAATAACAGTTTTAGTTAAAAAATCAAGTAACACAATACAAAAGCAGGCAGCTTAAGATCTGAGATGAACTTGTCTGTTTACACTCTTGGGAAAAATAGAGGTTTCTCCCCAAAAGGGAGTGTGGCATCTTCTCCATTTTCTTTAAGGAATGCAGGCAATTATAAACTATTTTACGTCCCTCATGCAACAGTGGGTAGCAAAATAAAGGAGAGACAGCAGAAGTAAATGAAGAAAACAGAATGTCATCGTCTGAGAAGAAAAAAAAAAAAACTTTTGCTCAAAAAAGACAAGGTCCTAGGAGAGAAGATGTAGAAAGTAGTAATGTTTCTCTTCAAAACTCATCTTGGTTTAAAAATAAAATAATAGACACTATAAGTAATAGCTCCTTACTCTAAAGCCTCCTCTCAACTACTAGTTCTTACACTTGAGCCCAGTTAGTTGCTTTGGCTTACTCAGGCATGTCTGGACAGGCCCAGGCAAGTCTTAGCTCATAGCTTATGCCCCTTCCTTTTTTGAAATGTTAATTGCTTCCTTAAACCTTTAGTAAGCAACTTCTTTTTCTTCTTTGTTCTCCCTTGCACTTACCTGTTTAGGAAAGTTTTAGGTTATTAGCAGATTTGGTATCAGTTGAAGACTGTGAGGTCCAGCTCCAGCCAATGGATGCAGGACAGAGCCGTAAGGCTGACCCAAATACGTAAATAATAAATATGTCTGCTTTTCCTTTGTTCAAGTGTGCTGTCACGATTGTTCGATCTGCGAGGGGCACCCTTTCTGCAGAAAGTAAAGATTGCCTTGCTGAGAGATCCTTTGTCTTTTCTTCATGGCACCGATTATCTGTTTCTAACAGAGGAAAAAATAAAGGCCTTTTAATACAAATGCACACATGCACACACACACACATCTCAGATGTTAGCTTTTAATTAAGCTGACTTTTAACCCTTGAGCTCCTTTAAAAAAATCTTTCTGAATCTCATTACCATTTTTTAGCTAGGAAAAATTGCTGATGTTTCAAAAGAAGCAAGTATCAAACCAGAAAGGGCTTGATTTAGGAAGCAAACCCAGGCTGTTGTGGAAAAAAAAGAAGGCAGAACCTTAGCTATGAAACTGCAGCATGGGGCAACAGCGTTGCTCTTTCAATTTGGCCTGGATAGCAAAAAAGTGGCCTTGCTATGTACATAAAGCCCCTTAAGTACTCAAAATCAAAAATCTTTATTGTTTTTTCTTTTGCTGAGCATTTTTCCTCCCAAGCCCTCCCCACCTTTTGTGGAAATTTAGCCACTTCAGAGGCCTTGTTCCTCATAATTTGGAACTTTCCTTTAGATTTGATCAAGTTGGATAGTTTCCCAATGAAGAAAGAAAGACCAAAACAACAAAAACAGAAACAAACAACGGCAAAAAAAAAAAAAGTTAAGCAAAAACACAAAGTATCTCAAAATTTATATGATTACTGAGCACTCTAATGGTAAGGAGAAATTAAGACCAGCTTGTTGTTAATCTTAACTTTAGACAAGACAAAACCCCTATTGAGCTACTTACCTAGTGATGGGTCTCAGGCTGAAGACTGCTGTCTGTTACCCTAGAAGCAGGAAAAAACTCAGATTCATCTTCCGTGCTGGGAGCAAGGTCAAACTCCATAAAGGAATTACCTGCCTTCCATTGACATGGAAGCAGGAAAACTTGCCTTCCTTGTTGAAAGCAGGTAAATTTTCAGAAAAGGAGTTGTGCAGCAAAATAAAGTTTAGATTGCAACCAAATTTTTGGAGATCAGGGATTCTTTGGAGGGGTGGCTTTCAGGCCTCAGCAAATTGTCCTATTGGTTTTAACCATGAAGATAGCTCAAGCTGGTACCAAGTACCAGTAGAAGATTTGTGAAAGGTCAGGGGCACCTACACTCAGAATCCCTCTGTGGTTACCCAAATGTGAACCCCAAATATCTGAGACAGGTCTCAGTCAATTTTGAAAATTAATTTTGCCAAGGTTAAGGATGCACCCATGACGCAGCCTCAGGAAGTCCTGATGATACAGACAGGAGACAAGGAAATACTGGGTAGGAGAGGGTGGTTCCCCAGCAAAAGTGCTACCCTCAAGCCTGGAAACCCATGGCTCTAAATGGGAACAGGCATTCCTGTTTTCATGACTAAAAGTTGCCTTTGGACCCACCACATCCCCCTATCCTGTACCTATATAAACCCCAAAGCCTAGGCTCCATGAGCAGACGAGCAGAGGAACAGAAGAGCAGAAGAATGGCAGAGAAGGAGAGAAGAGAAGGAGCATCTGAACATTGAGAGGAGTTCAGCTGGGGACAGCAAATCTCCAGGGAAAGATCATCTTCTGACTCTGTCTCCCTTTCAGCTCCCCATCCGTCCCACTGAGAGCCACCCTGACCACTCAATAAAACCTCCACATTCACCATCCTTCAAATCCATGTGAGACCTGATTTTTCCTGGATGCTGGACAAGAGTTTGGGATACAGAAAGCTGTCACACTGGCTTTCTGCCCTTGTGAAAAGGCAGAGGGTCCATTAAGCTGTTTAACACTTAAGCCATCCGTGGATGGCAAAGCTAAAAGAGCACACTGTAATATACACCCACTTGGGCTTTGGGCTTCACAGGCACCCACCCCTGGATGCTGCCATGGGTCTAGAGCCCAGGAGTGCTTGCCCCAGCTTCTGCACCTGCCTGTCTGTGTGTTCCCTTTCCCATGAGGGGTTTGAACATGCATGGCAGCCAGAGGAGCCACACGCCTGTCGCACACTTTTTGATGGGGTTGTTTGTTTTTTTTCTTGTGAATTTGTTTAAGTTCCTTGTAGATTCTGGATATTAGCCCTTTGTCAGATGGATAGATTGCAAAAATTTTCATCCATTTTGTAGGTTGCCTATTCACTGATGATAGTTTATTTTGCTATGCAGAAGCTCCTTAGTTTAATTAGATCCCATTTGTCAATTTTGGCTTTTGTTGCCATTGCTTTTGGTGTTTTAGTCATGAAGTCTTTGCCCATGCCTATATCCTGAATGGTATTGCCTAGGTTTTCTTCTAGGGTTTTTATGATTTCAGGTCTTACATTTAAGTCTTTAATCCATCTTGAGTTAATTTTTGTATAAGGTGTAAGTAAGGAAGGGATCCAGTTTCAGCTTTCTGCATATAGCTAGCCAGTTTTCCCATCACCATTTATTAAATAGGGAATCCTTTCCTCATTGCTTGTTTTTGTCAGGTTTGTCAAAGATCAGATGGTTGTAGATGTGTGGCGTTATTTCTGAGGGCTCTGTTCTGTTCCATTGGTCTACATATCTGTTTTGGTACCAGTACCATGCTATTTTAGTTACTGTAGCCTTGTAGTATATATAGTTCGCAGTCAGGTAGCATGATGCCTCCAGATTTGTTCTTTTTGCTTTGGATTGTCTTGGCTATACGGGCTCTTTTTTGGTTCCATATGAAATTTAAAGTAGTTTTTTCTAATTCTGTGAAGAAAGTCAGTGGTAGCTTGATGGGGATAGCATTGCATCTATAAATTACTTTGGGCAGTATGGCCATTTTCTCAATATTGATTCTTCCTATCCATAAGCATGGAATGTTTTTCCATTTGTTTATGTCCTCGTTATTTCCTTGAGCAGTGGTTTGTAGTTCTCCTTGAAGAGGTCCTTCACATCCGTTGTAAGTTGTATTCCTAGGTGTTTTATTCTCTTTGTAGCAATTGTGAATGGGAGTTCACTCATGATTTGGTTCTCTGTCTATTATTGGTGTATAGGAATGCTTGTGATTTTTGCACATTGATTTTGTATCCTGAGACTTTGCTGAAGTTGCTTATCAGCTTAAGGAGATTTTGGGCTGAGATGATGGGGTTTTCTAAATATACAATCATGTCATCTGCAAATAGAGACAATTTGATTTCCTCTCTTCCTATTTGAGTACCTTTATTTCTTTCTCTTGCCTGATTGCCTTGGCCAGAACTTGAAATACTATGTTGAATAGGAGTGGAGAGAGAGGGCTTCCTTGTCTTGTGCCAGTTTTCACAGGGAATGCTTCCAGCTTTTGCCCATTCAGTATGTTATTGGCTTTAGATTTATCATAAATAGCTCTTATTATTTTGAGATATGTTCCTTTGAGAGTTTTTATTTTGAAGGGGTGTTGAATTTTATCAAAGGCCTTTTCTATATCTATTGTGATAATCGTGGTTTTTGTCATTGATTCTGCTTATGTGATGGATTACGTTTATTGATTTGCGTATGTTGAACCAGCCTTGCATCCCAGGGATGAAGCTGACTTGATCGTGGTGGATAAGCTTTTTGATCTGCTGGTAGATTCAGTTTGCCAGTATTTTATTGAGGATTTTTGCATCAATGTTCATCAGGAATGTTGGCCTAAAATTTTCTTTTTTTGCTGTGTCTCTACCAGGTTTTGGTATCAGGATGATGCTGCCCTTATGAAATGAGTTAGGGAGGAGCCCCTCTTTTTCTATTGTTTGGAATAGTTTCAGAAGGAATGGTACCAGCTCCTCTTTGTACCTCTGGTAGAATTCGGCTGTGAGTCCATCTGATCCGGGGCTTTTTTTGCTTGGTAGACTATTAATTACTGCCTCAATTTCAGAACTTGTTATTGGTTTATTCAGGGTTTTGACTTCTTCCTTGTTTAGTCTTGGGAGGGTGTATGTGTCCAGGAATTTATCCATTTCTTCTAGATTTTCTAGTTTATTTTTGTAGAGATGTTTATAGTATTCTCTGAGGGTAGTTTGTATTTCTGTGGGAACAGTGGTGATATCCCCTTTATCAGTTTTTTTGTGTGTGTGTGTGTGTGACGGAGTCTTGCTCTGTCATCCAGGCTGGAGTGCAGTGGCGTAATCTTGGCTCACCGTAACCTCCGCCTCCCAGGTTCAAGTGATTCTCCTGCCTCAGCCTCCCAAGTATCTGGGATTACAGGCACCTGCCAACACGCCTGGCTAATTTTTGTGTTTTTCGTAGAGATAGGGTTTCACCATTTTGGCCAGGTTGGTCTTGAACTCCTGACCTCTGGTGTTCTGCCCACCTCAGCCTCCCAAAATGCTGGGATTACAGACATGAGCCACCATGCCCAACCCCCTTTATCATTTTTTTATTGTGTCTATTTGATTCTTCTCTCTTTTCTTCTTTATTATTCTGGCCAGCGGTCTATCTATTAATCTTTTGAAAAAACCAGATCCTGGATTCATTGATTTTTTTGAAGGGTTTTCATGTCTCTATCTCCTTCAGTTCTGATCTGATCTTAGTTATTTCTTGTCTTCTGCTAGCTTTTGAATTTGTTTGCTCTTGCTTCTCTAGTTCTTTTAATCGTGATGTTAGGGTGTCGATTTTAGATCTTTCCCGCTTTCTTCTTTGGGCATTTAGTGCTGTAAATTTCCCTCTAAACACACTGCTTTAGCTGTGTCCCAGAGATTCTGGTACGTTGTGTCTTTGTTCTCATTGGTTTCAAAGAACTTATTTATTTCTGCCTTAATTTTGTTACTTACCTAGTAGTCGTTCAGGAGCAGGTTGTTCAGTTTCCATGTAGTTGTGTGGTTTTGAGTGAGTTTCTTAATCCTGAGTTCTAATTTGATTGCACTGTGGTCTGAGAGACTGTTTGTTATGATTTCCGTTCTTTTGCATTTGCTGAGGAGTGTTTTACTTCCAATTATGTGGTCAATTTTAGAATAAGTTCAACGTGGTGCTGAGAAGAATGTATATTCTGTTGACTTGGGGTGGAGAGTTCTGTAGATATCTCTTGGGTCCGCTTGGTCCAGAGCTGAGTTCAAGTCCTGATTATCCTTGTTAATTCTCTGTCTCGTCGATCTGTCTAATATTGACAATGGGGTCTTATAGTCTCCTACAATTATTATGCGGGAGTCTAAGTCTCTTTGTAGGTCTCTAAGAACTTGCTTTATGAATCTGGGTGCTCCTGTATTGGGTGCATATATAGTTAGCTCTTCTTGTTGAATTGATCCCTTTACCATTATGTAATGCCCTTCTTTGTCTTTTTTGATCTTTGTTGGTTTAAAGTCTGTTTTATCAGAGACTAGGATTGTAACCCCTGCTTTTTTTGTTTGTTTGTTTTTTGAGTCGAAGCCTCACTCTGTTGCCCAGGCTGCAGTGCAGTGACACAATCTCGGCTCACTGCAACCTCTGCCTCCTGGGTTCAAGATATTCTCCTGCCTCAGCCTCCCAAGTAGCTGGGATTATAGGCACCTGCCACCACCCTGGGCTAATTTTTGTATTTTTAGTACGGACGGGTTTTCACCATGTTGGCCAGGCTGGTTTCAAACTGCTGTTCTTAGATGATTCTCACGCCTTGGCCTCCCAAAGTGCTGGGGTTACAGGTGTGAGCAACCTCGCCCAGCCAATGACTAATCTTAAATTGTGTGTGTGTGCGTGCGTGTGTGCGCTCCACTGTGTGTGCAAATGGCCCTTTACTGCCATTAAGCCATTTCTTTTATTAATAACAGTTTATTAATTAGTTCGGTTCTTAGAGAGCAGCTTCCTTGGGCCGGAGTGCTATCCACATGGACTGAGAATGGAATATTGTCCCTACTTTTGAGCAGCTCTCAAGACATTAAAGTAGAATGAATAGAACAATGATTATAGTTGAGTATAATTAGAATCCTGAATTTGGCACGAAAATAAGTTAACATTTTGTTTAACTGGTAGATGATTGCTCAGTTTGTCTTCAAACTGTGTATTTTTATTTTCTGCCTCATAAAAATGCAAAAAGTAAAAATATAAATTACATTTAGCATCTAGATACCAACTATCACTAGGCTCCTTCCAGTTTACTGTCCTACAGAATTCCAGGCTTGAGAATCAGAGTATTTAATATAATTCCTACGTCATGACAGCAAGTTGCTTAGTGGGAGGAAGATTGGATTGGGAATGGGACAGTCCAGCCTAGCTTCCTGACCATTTATTGAGTCTCTATTTTTTTTTCTTTGAATGGATTGCCACTGTCTTAGGTCTGAGTGTGGGCTCAGACTTAATTCACAAAGCATTTATTGAGTGCTTACTATTTACATGGATTTTTAATAGAAAATGATATCAAGAATGATGTTTCACCTGACACTCTGCTGCGGGATTATTTTATAAATGTAAAATGTGCTTTTCACAAGGAAATGACCAGAATTTCCTCAGGAAAATGTTTAAATGCTGACTACCGTGTAATCTATGCCAAAAGTTCCACTGATAACACTAATATTAGTTACCAGTTAGCTGATAATTAAGGTGCTAACTGATTATTAGGGGGTTGGTTGATAATAGGTCAAGTTTTGAATACTCCTAACACATTGGAATTGTCAAAGGGTGGAAAGTAGATGAAACAACCTGCTACTGTCTACAACATACCACTCTACTACATTCTACTCTCTTGCATTCCCGGACCCATCTGTTCATTGTTTAGAAATGGAGAATGTGTGATTTTTCAGGGTTGAGGAATGATTGGATATAAGCCTTTTCCCTATTGGTTTCACACTGCAGCTGCCTTGGCATATTTCCTTTAAGGTCTATCAAAAAGGAAAAGGAAAAGAAAAGCAAAGAAAGAGGAGATGCTAAACCTTGTCTTAGAAGAAATAGGCCTGGCTGGAAAACAAAAACAAACAACAACAAAATCACCCTGACAATTTATATTTTTTCATAGCTTTATTTCAAATCCATAAAGCATCACATTCCCTAGTACCAGTTACTGAGACAATTTAGTCAACGGGTTGACAGGGACATCTGTAAGGATGCCATCACAGCCAGCAAAGGAAGGTATTTTTGAAACCAGCCGAATAACGAAATTAATTTTACACTGCTTCATCTAATGGTAAAACCAACATTTTAACCACGCCTGAGCCATGTCTAACACAGCGTAACTTTGGAGGGAGAGAGTAGACTAAGAGAAGGGAGCAGTGGGTCTCTTTGAACAATGATGGGAAATATCTGCTGTTTCAGAGCTCAAATTGTATTTACCTGAGAAAAGCCATCAAATATAAGCAGAGATAGCTTGTACTTCTTGTCTGTTTTTCCAAAGGGCAAGATAATACCTCAGAGTGAGGGGTGTCTTTATGTGTGCTGAGACTGAAGATACAATTTTTTACACTCAACGGTTGTTTATTTTCTGATGCTTCATTCATTCTGGGACAGGAATCTTGGGAGCTTTAAGTCTCACCCAGTCTTTCTAGGGGAATAAGAAAGCCATCACTCACTGTGGCTTTGTCAGCTTTGTTTAGCCCACCTCTTTGGAGTAAGCCAATAAAGGTTTCTGGTGAGGAATCTGAACTAGATAAGGAAAGGACTTATCCTAAATACATAGCTGAGAAAGACTTCTAATTCTTCCAAGAAGAAGACAATGTCAACACTGACAATGTGTGGGTAAGGCAGTCTCCAGGACTCACAAGAACCCCTATTTACGGAGTTATCCATATATTCAGCAAACTGTACTAAATACTTATTTTTAGATGGTTCTATGCTCAATCAATTCAAAGCATAAGTAAATATTAAACCATCCATGACACATAGGAGCCCACTGTCAATAGTTTAAAATACTGACAAATAAACAGATGGTTATAATAGTACAAAAAGGGTTCTGATAGAGTATTCACAGCTTGCTGTGAAAATACATTGAAGGGGCAATTAACAAAGACTCAGCTAGCTTGTGACGGGATATAGGGAAGGTTTTTGATATGGTCTGGCTGTGTGTCCCCAGCCAAATCTCATCTCAAATTGTAATCCCCACGTGTCAAGGAAGGGGCCTTGTGGGAAGTGATTGAATCATGGGGACATTTTCCCCCATGCTGTTCTCATGATAGTGAGTGAGTTCTCATGGAAGTTGGTGGCTTTAAAGTGTGGCACTTCCACGTTTGCTCTCTCTTTCTCTCTCCTGCCACCATGTAAGACGAGTCTTGCTTCCCCTTTGCCTTCTACCATGATTCTAAGTTTCCTGAGGCCTCCCCAGCCATGTGGATCTGTGAGTCATTAAACTTATTTTATTTATAAATTACCTAGTCTCAGATAGTATCTTTATAGCAGTGTGAAAATGGACTAATACAGATTCCTAATATTTTTGCCTTTTTATTTGTATTCAGGTGACTCCTTCTTGTTCTAGTGTTAGGGCATGTCAGTGACTTAACTAATTCACTTAGCAAATACTTATTTTATATATTTGAGTCATGCAGAAGAAAGAAAAAAATGTATAGTCTCATGAGCAGAATCAGGCAATAAACAATATATATACGTAAAACAAATAGTATTTTAGAAGAGTCAAAGTGTTACAGAGAAAAAAAAAAGCAGGGGAGGGCAATAGGGAGAATTAAATGGGCAGTGTCAGATGGAAAGAAAAGGTGGCATTTTTTTTTTGAGACAGAGTCTCACTCTGTCACCCAGGCTGGAGTGCAATGGCATGGTCTTGGTTCACTGCAACCTCTGCCTCCCGGGTTCAAGCAATTCTCCTGCCTCAGCCTTCGTAGTAGCTGGGACTACAGATGCGCGCCACCATGCCCAGCTATTTGGTTTTTTTTGGTTTGTTTGTTTGTTTGTTTTGTATTTTCAGTAGAGACGGTGTTTCACCACGTTGGCCAGGCTGGTCTCAAACCCCTGACCTCAAGTGTTCCACCCACCTCGGCATCCCAAAGTGCTGGGATTACAGGCATGAGCCACTGCACCCTGCCAGGTGGCAAGTTTTAAATGCTATCACTCTGAGTGAGATCTCAAGCCAAAAATTATGTTTTAGCAGAGGAATGCCAAGATCTGATTTCTGTTTCAACAAGATCACCCTGGTTGATGTGTCAAGAACAGACCTATGAGGCCAAGTTTGTAAACAGGGAAACTCTTAGCACCCTGGTTGATGTGTCAAGAAGAGATTTATGGGACCAAGTTTGTAAACAGGGAAACTCTTAAAATAATCAAGACAGGAGAATATGTATCTTGAATCGAGTTTGTAGCAATGGGAGTGGGTGAGAAGTGGAGAGATTCTGTATATATGTTAAAGATATTACTTAGAGCATTTCTGGATGGTTTTAAGATTGAGAGGAGGGAGAAATCAAGGGTGACTCCAGAAATTTTGAGTTGAGCAACTAGAAGGATGGAATTAACATTAACTCAGAACTTAAAAGGAACAGAAAATTATGAGAAGAAGAAAAAATTGGGAATTCAGTTGGGTACCTAATAGTATTGCGATACTTAGCCAAATGGAGATCTTGATTTGGCAATTAAATATATGAGTTTGAGGTAGAGAGGATAGCTTAGAACGACTGCAAAAATTGGGAAATCATCAGCTAATAGATTGTGAAGGCCTAAGGCTGCATGGCATCACCTAGAAAGTGAGTGTAGATTTTTAAAAGGGTTCGAAGACTAAGCCCTGTGGCATGACAACATTACGAGTCTGGGCAGATGAGATTGAACTAGGAAGGAAGACTGAGAAGGAGTGGCCAGTGGGGTGGAAGGAAAATTGGAAGTATAATGTCAGCAGCCAAATGAAGGAAGTTTTTGGGAAAAAGGGAGTCATCAACTATTTCAAATGCTGCTATATGTTAAATAAGATGAGGATGGAGGATTTGACACTGGATTTAACAGTGTGAAGATGATTCCTGGCATACCTAAAAGTAGTTGTGGTGGAATGGTAGAGTCAAAAGCCTAATTGGAATGAGATCAAGAAGAAATGGAAGGGGAAGAATAGAAGACAGTAAGTAGACAACTTTTGCAAACCAGTGCTAGTATCCTCTGATAGACAAAGGCCTTCTTAAGCAAGCACCCATTCTTTCTTTGTACTTACAAACAAAAGGAAATGGAGTCTTGACTTGGGAACTTTTTTTTTTTTTTTTTTTGAGATGAAGTTTTTGCTTTTGTTGCCCAGGCTGGAGTGCAGTGGCGCGATCTCGGCTCACCACAGCCTCCTCCTCTAGATTAAAGCGATTCTCCTGTCTCAGCCTCTCGAGTAGCTGGGATTACAAATATGCGCCACCACACCTGGCTAATTTTGTACTTTTAGTAGAGAGGGGGTTTTTCCATGTTGGTCAGGCTGCTCTCGACCTCCCGACCTCAGGTGATCCGCCCGCCTCGGCCTTCCAAAGTGCTGGGATTACAGGCGTGAGCCACTGCGCCCGGCGAGTTGGGAACGTTTTTTTATAGGAGAGACAGAAGCAGGGAGAAGAAATTTGGAATGGAATTCAGCAGGAGGTTCTCAAATTTAGATGAGACACTGTGTTATTGGGATCTTTCAGTGTGCAAGGAACAGAGTTGTGTTCAGGTTGACTGAGTTCAAGTTCAAAAGTGTTCATTGGAAAGATACACAGACAAGTGGAGGACAGGAGAGATTCTCCAAGAAGAAACCCAGTTTTACTCCTATCCCCTCACCAACATATGTTAATTGCTCCCTATTCTAGCAACTCTACCACATTCCTGACTCAGCATTTCTGTTTATCTGCTTCTTCTGTTCCATTTTGATTATTGCCCACTGACTTCTTTGTAGTCTCCTCTCATGTGACAGCTTCTGAATAATCCTGGATTCTACTGCCTCATTCTCGTACTTCTTGTTTTGTCTCATTCTGTTTCTGCTCTTTTCTATATCTCCAAATTAAAATTCCCCAAGAGAGAGATGATTAGATTGCTTTAGTTCTTGTTCTCTATATAGCTGGCCCTAATCCCTGGTTAGTTGTGGTCAGCATATTGGACTCATGCGGTTCCTATTTATAAAGAGAAAATCGTGGGAATGGTGTCATGGGTATTGGTAGACATTCGGAACTTTACAGACTCCTCCTGAATACATTTGTTGAGAGTAGAATAAGTTGAAAAGTGTCATAAATACAAGCAAAAGATGGATAAAAATTACTTCAAATTTAGTTTTTTAAAACTTTTTTTTGAGAAGAAAAACATCTATAATACATCTTTGAATTATATACAGACAAGCATGAATGCTGAGGTAGATCATGTTTACATATACTCTATACATAGGAATTTACCTCACCAGCAAAAATGGATATAGGTGCATTTCACTACTTAGCCTCTCTGAGATACTAATCATACCTAATTCATGGGGAAGGAAGTGCCTAATTCAAAGACATAAATCCCCAGTGATGACATTTCAGTTATCAATGTAGGGCTTTTTTGTTACCATCTTCAAATGACATCTACTTACTCTATGCATGCAGATTCCAGAGATCTCAGAAAACATTTAATTTGTCTTCTTAGTGACATTAGACCTTTAAAAATAGTGAGCAATTTTTGCTGGCAGTTCTATCACGTGAATCCTTACTTTTCAGCACTTAAAACCTCTATCAATTCACCCTGGATGTCTTGCTTATAAATGTTCCTAAGTTGTAGAGTACAGCTCCCAGCTGAATCATAAATTCTTCCAGGGCAAGTTCCACATCTTTAACTTCTTTTGTGTTTGCTTCTAGCATTTAGTAGTATTTAGTGGAGTTCTCTTCACACACACCATGAATGTTTTGTTTTGACTTCGTATGTCCACGACGACTTTCAGGCACACCTGCAAAAGGGAGTCTTTTATTGTAATGGAGAGTGGAGTTGCCGACAAATTCTTTATAGAAAATGAATTTTCCTTTAATTTAGGAATGTATATACAAAATCCAAGGAGACTTGGCTTAATTGGTTATCCAACATAACCATTAAGTCTATATTTTTCTGGATTGATTTTTTTTATATATAATTCTTACTCTACAGAAAACTAAAGTATGAGTTATCCTCCAACATGTAGAAAAACAAACAAAAAATCAGCCCAAATATGTGTTAAATGTCATTGAGTTGATTTGTTTTTCCCAGCTGCATGAGGATATTAGGGATGACATCACTGTGTGTATACAATATATTTCAAATCCCTTTTTGGAATGCAATGACAGTTCTATTGCTATAAAAGTATTATACTACTAAATAATTAACTAGGAAATTATGAAAAAACATAATGGAGAATAAAAGACAATTGCGTAAGCATTTATTCACAACAAAATAGTCTTTTATAGTTGATTATGTTTCTTTTTCTATGACTGAAGAACAAAATATCAATTATGGGCAGATGGCCATTAGCATAATCCATAATGCCAGAAGACAAAACAATGCTTTGTATCTATCACCTTTGATTGGTAGCATTATGTTTTATTAGAGTCTGTATAAATAACAATGAGTAACAGAATATGGGCTTTGACAAAGCAACAGTTTGCTCTTAAATAGCGGCATTTCTGTTTGGAAATAAAGGAAGAAAATATTTTACAAATCCAAATTGTATCAAGATGATGGATTTCCTGATTTCCTCAAACTAAGGGCACACACTCGGTATACAGCAGTCCATTAAAATAAATAATTAACAATTCCATGAAAATCTTCTTTAACCAATAAAGCAATTCAGATGTTTTAACATAAAATCAAATGGCGTAAGGGGTATATCCACAGCCTAAGTGTTTGAAGGAAAGTACAGTGTCAGACTTGTCTTAGATTTCACCTAATGGGACTTTGACAGCCTTGGCTGTGATTTCCTTAACCTCCATCACCCCCTACTCTATTTCCACCAGGAGTAAAAGAAAACAAAAGTTACAGACAACAAAGCATTAGGGACCTCCATTCTCAATATTTAAGATGTTTCTGTGGCTTAGATTGGCTGACTCATAACTAAAAGTAAATTCAGGTGAACATCTTCCCTAAACAAAATCTCTGTAGGAAGAATAGACAAAGGGTATTAAAGATGACACTGAAAGTTCTTTAATTCCACTGGAGTACAAAAGTTACAATTACTTTTTTTTTTCCAAACAAAAAAGTTGTAATGAAAAAGAAAAGACATTAACAATTTTTTTAAACAGTAGGATTTGGGCATGGGGCCGGTTGATCTTAAAAATCCTACTCCATTCATTCACATCAAGCTGTCCAAACCTAGTAACTGGAAAGGTCCCATGATGCTGGGCTCTAAACATTGAAAACAAAGACTAGAATTATAGAATTATCTCTTATTTTCCTTTTCCTGAAAATTCCATCTTCAACTGGGGTCTATGGGCTCAAGAGCCATATTTACGAACCAAAATTCAGGACACATATTCTGGTACAGGGACAATAGATGGTGTGAAAAATATCCAGGATATCTAGCTGTTGAAACTGCAGCCCTCCCAATGACTCTAATACTCAAGGGATTAAAAGCACAGCCCCAGAAGTTTTACATACAAAAATAGTAACAACCCAACTAAATTTGACTGCATTAAAAAAAATAATTATTTCTAAATCTGCTGAGCAGCTGAACAGTCTTCAGTGATGCCTACTGTCACTGGGATTCGAAGACTCCCGCTCCCGGGAGCGCCGGGCCCTTTTATGCCTATGGGATTTATCTCGGCTCCTACGTCTTTTAAAAAAAAAATTATTATACTTTAAGTTCTGAGGTACATGTGCAGAACGTGCGGGTTTGTTACACAGGTACACATGTGCCATGGTGGTTTGCTGCACCCATCAACCTGTCATCTACATTAGGTATTTCTCCTAATGCTATCCCTCCCCTAGCCCCCCACCCCCCGACAGGCCCCAGTGTGTGATGTTCCCCTCCCTGTGTGCATGTGTTCTCATTGTTCAACTCCCACTTATGAGTGAGAACATGTGGTGTTTGGTTTTCTGTTCTTGTGTTAGTTTGCTGAGAATGATGGTTTCCAGCTTCATCCATGTCCATGCAAAGGACATGAACTCATCTTTTTTATGACTGCATAGTATTCCATGGTGTATATGTGCCACATTTTCTTAATCCAGTCTATCATTGATGGCCAGTTGGGTTGGTTCCACATCTTTGCTATTGTGAACAGTGCTGCAATAAACATACATGTCCATGTGTTTTTATAGTAGAATGATTTATAGTCCTTTGGGTATATACCCAGTAATGGGATTGCTCGGTCAAATGGTATTTCTGCTTCTAGATCCTTGAGGAATCGCCACACTGTCTTCCACAATGGTTGAACTAATTTACACTCCCACCAACAGTGTAAAAGCATTCCTATTTCTCCACATCCTCTCCAGCATCTGTTGTTTCCTGACTTTTTAATGATCACCATTCAAATTGGCATGAGATGATATCTCATTGTGGTGTTGATTTGCATTTGTCTAATGACCAGTGATGATGAGCTTTTTTTCATATGTTTGTTGACTGCATAAATGTCTTCTTTTTAGAAGTGTCTGTTCATATCCTTCCCCCCACGTTTTGATGGGGTTGTTTTTTTCTTGTAAATTTGCTTACTGAGTGGGCAAAAACTGGAAGCATTCCCTTTGAAAACCAGCACAAGACAAGGATACCCTCTCTCACCACTCCTATTCAACATTATATTGGAAGTTCTGGCCAGGGCAATCAGGCAAGAGAAAGA
Source organism: Homo sapiens (assembly GCF_000001405.40). Lineage (NCBI taxonomy): Eukaryota > Metazoa > Chordata > Mammalia > Primates > Hominidae > Homo > Homo sapiens. The sequence continues at coordinate 141,262,210 of NC_000023.11, forward strand.
AATAAAGGTATTCAAATAGGAAGAGAGGAAGTCAAAGTGTCTCTGTTTGCAGATGACATGATTGTATATTTAGAAAACCCCATCGTCTCAGCCCAAAATCTCCTTAAGCTGATAAGCAACTTCAGCAAAGTCTCAGGATACAAAATCAATGTGCAAAAATCACAGGCATTCCTATACACCAATAATAGTCAAACAGAGAGCCAAATCATGAGTGAATTCCCATTAGCAATTGCTACAAAGAGAATAAAATACCTAGGAATACAAATTACAAGGGATGTGAAGGACCTCTTCAAGGAGAACTACAAACCACTGCTCAAGGAAATAAGAGAGGGTACAAACAAATGGAAAAATATTCCATGCTCATGGATAGGAAGAGTCAATATCGTGAAAATGGCCATACTGCCCAAAGTAATTTATAGATTCAGTGCTATCCCCATCAAGCCAACATTGACTTAGAAATTAGAAAGTAGAATTAGAAAAACTACTTTAAATTTCACATGGAACCAAAAAAGTGCCCGTATAGCCAAGACAATCCTAAGCAGAAAGAACAAAGCTGGAGGCATCATGCTACCTGACTTCAAACTATACTAAAAGGCTACAGTAACCAAAATAGCACAGTACTGGTACCAAAACAGATATGTAGGCCAATGGAACAGAACAGAGGCCTCAGAAATAACACCACACACCTACAACCATCTGATCTTTGACAAACCTGACAAAAAAGAGCAATGGGGAAAAGATTCCCTATTTAATAAATGGTGTTGGGAATACTGGCTAGCCATATGCAGAAAACTGAAACTGGATCCCTTCCTTACACCTTATACAAAAATTAACTCAAGATGGATTAAAGACTTAAACATAAGACCTAAAATTGTAAAAACCCTAGAAGAAAACCTAGGCAATACCATTCAGGATATAGGCATGGGCAAAGACTTCTTGACTAAAACAGCAAAAGCAATGGCAACAAAAGCCAAAATTGACAGATCGGATCTAATTAAACTAAAGAGCTTCTGCACAGCAAAGGAAACCATCATCAGAGTGAACAGGCACCCTACAGAATGGGAGAAAATTTTTGCAGTCTATCCATCTGACAAAAGGCTAATATCCAGAATCTACAAAGAACTTAAAGAAATTCGGCTCCTACTTTTACTTCTATGACTACGCCCTTCAGAACACCCATTGTACTGGCTAGAATGTGTGTCTGAGCTCCGCCCTCTGTCCCTATTACTGGTCTTTTCTTCTCTTGCCTCCCTCCTGCTTGAGGACTTGTGCTCATGCTTGGGTTTCTCTTTCTTCAGGTCCCTCTCTAGGTCCTCTGCTCCACCAGAGTAGGCAGTCCTGGCCTTAGGGAGCTTCATCCCCTCCCTGGGCTCTGACTTCTGAGCTCTCTCTGAGTTCTTGCTGCTGTGCTTCTCAGGGCCAGGGTCATCCTTTTCTTTCACTGTCTTGCTTCTGGGTGATGAAAGAGGATGGTTGCTCTGCCTGTACCTCCCAGCCAATTTTCTCTTTTTCTTTTTTTTTTCTTTTTGTCATTTTTGTGCTTTTTTGTTGGTTTTTCATTTTCAGAGCTCAGACAAACTTGGTGAGGGAGTACAAGCCCCACAGCCCTTCTCCTGGAGCTCTTTGGTCACATTATCCATTTCTTCTGAGTCCTTAGGAGTCCAATAGTTAGACACATGATCCACTCGGATAGTTCTTCCTTTGATCTTGATCCCATTAAAATTGTCAATGGCCAGAATTGTGCTCCTCTGGCCTTCATAGCAGAGGAAACAGAATCCTTTGGATTTCCCAGTCTTCTTGTCCCGCATGAGATTGATGTTAACAATCTCCCATATTGTGAGAACACACAGATGATGTCCCCTTCAGTCAGTTCATAAGGAAGCCCTCCCAGGAAGATCCAGGCACTGTCCTTGTACTCGGAAGGCCAGGACATCTTATCGGCCACCCCAAGCTGGACCTCTCGCTCATTCAGCTAGTTGATCGGCTTCATCTTAAAGGGTTCATCTCTGCGGGCTCGCACTCAGCGTTCAGGTATCAGAACAATCACTTTTATAACCTGTATGAAATAGAGTAAAGCACCAGCAAACCTGCAAGGGGACAAGTTTTAACTGTAACTGTGTCAGTTAAGGAGATAACTGATGGTTGGGAAAACAGAAAAGTATCTATGGGGTGAGGGGCATAGGGACTCTAAGTAACAGGGGAGAGTCTTTTGGACAGAACTCAGCAGAAATTGTTCCTTTCTCCTACTTATATCCAACAGGGTAGCCATATTGCAAATATATTTTCCAGCAAATGTATTTTGCAGACAGCATTACCAGAGCCAGTTTGCACTAAAGAGAGTTGCAGTGCCAGCATTCCACAAATCTGTGAAGATAGCAACTAGAGTCATAGAAATATAAGGACAGGAGGTTGAGCAACTGCCATTATATGAAAAAACTCTTTGCAGTTAATATTTTGGAACTTAATGGGTAGACACTATAGACTAACTAAGGAGATCCCTCTCACTGTCTGGCAGCACTTCCCCTACAAATCTCTATATATTGCAATAAAAGCATTTATTCTGATCATAAGAATTATATGTGCTTATCATGGAAATTTGAAAAATACCTCAAAATATTAAAAAGGGGAACATTCTATCATCCAGTGATAATAGCTTGTGTACTGATGTGTATTCACCCAGCCTTTTCTTCCACTGAGAATGATGTATATGGCTGTGTGTGTGTGTGTGTGTGTGTGTGTGTGTGTTTTAAAATCGATATCATATTCCAAAAACAAATCTCTTTTTTCACTTAATACATGAGGAACATTTCCCATGTCATTAAATATTCTTCAAAATTTCATTGTTAATGACTGCATAGTGTTCAGGTTTTCTGTATAACTGTTAAGCATTAGTATATGAAACATTTTTCTCTCTCTGTAATTATTACTTGCAATAGCTAATGCAATGAAATAGGAAAATTAAATATGTAGTGTACATTATTATTATTTTTTTTTGAAAGGGAGTCTCGCTGTGTTGCCCAGACTGGAGTGCAGTGGCACAATCTCAGCTCACTGGAACCTCCACCTCCCAGGTTCAAGCGATTCTCCTGCCTCAGCCTCCGGAGTAGCTGGGATTACAGGCACCTGCCACCACACCTGGCTAATTTTTGTATTTTTTTTAGTAGAGACGGGGTTTCACCATGTTGGCCAGGCTGGTCTCAAACTCCTGTAATCCCAGCACTTTGGGAGGCCGAGGCAGGCAGTATACATTTTTGAATGTGGGACAAAATTAATATTATTTGAGAATATTATTATTTTATACGTAGAAAAACACAAAGCAACCCAGTAAATTAGCTATCAGGGTGAGAAAATTTAGTAAGTTAGCTAGAAAAAAGATTAGATTTGTTTTATATTGACAATATACAATTAGAATTTGAAATGGAAAGAAAAAGAAATCACACTTCCAATTTCCACAAAAATGATAAAATAACAAGAAATACAGTTTTTGTTTGTTTGTTTGTTTGTTTGTTTGAGTCTCGCTCTGTCGCCCAGGCTGGAGTGTAGTGGCACAATCTTGGCTCACTGCAACCTCCGCCTCCCGGGTTCAAGTGATTCTCCTGCCTCAGCCTCAGGAGTAGCTGGGACTACAGGCGTGTGCCACCATGCTCAGCTAATTTTTGTATTTTTAGTATAGACAGGGTTTCACCATGTTGGCCAGGCTGATCTCAAACTCCTGACCTCAAGTGATCCGCCTGCCTTGGCCTCCCAAAATGCTGGGATTACAGGCATGAGCCACCACGCCCGGCCAAGAAATACACTTTATAATGAAAAATTATAAAAGAACATATTGAAGCCATACCTGAATAAATGAACAGACATAGCACTGTCCTTGGAAGGAAGAAAATACTATAAAGATGTAATGTATTCCAAAATATAAATTAATTTTCTGTTGTTTGGATTGAATTTTCAAAGATATAATATGTTTAATATGACATGAGATAAAATGAGACTATGTTGGTTTTTATGAAAATCATATTTGAGGGCTCTGGGGGTAACCTCTAGGCGTAAGGTGCCCTCCAGAACAGTTGACACTGAAGCACAAGACATCCATGTGAATGCTGATCTTCAATGAAATGTTGAAGGCCATAGAAAAAGCACATGAGCAGCAAATCACAGAATTAGACATAATGAATTGCATATTTTGAATTGCAATCAAAATGGTTTACTACTTGAATAGCAATCTAAGGTTAAAAAGCTACGATTTATTTATTTACTGATAGTTGACAATGCTAATTCTCAGCTATAGAATTAGTTAATGTATTAATGTTTCAATCAAAATCCAAGTGGATTTTTTTGCAATATAACAAATAAATTTAAAGTTAGATGACAGAAGAAATGTACAAGAAGCACCCAGATATTTTTTAAGAAGAATACTATGAAGGGAATTGACCTATCAGATAGCAAAGTACATTTTATTTTATTTTATTTTATTTTTTTTTACATTTTTTAAAATTATTATTATACTTTAAGTTTTAGGGTACATGTGTACAATGTGCAGGTTAGTTACATATGTATACATGTGCCATGCTGGTGCGCTGCACCCACTAACTCGTCATCTAGCATTAGGTATGTCTCCTAATGCTATCCCTCCCCCCTCCCCCCACCCCACAACAGTCCCCAGAGTGTGATGTTCCCCTTCCTGTGTCCATGTGTTCTCATTGTTCAATTCCCACCTATGAGTGAGAAGATGTGGTGTTTGGTTTTCTGTTCTTGCGATAGTTTACTGAGAATGATGATTTCCAATTTCATCCATGTCCCTACAGAGAACATGAACTCATCATTTTTTTATGGCTGCATAGTATTCCATGGTGTATATGTGCCACATTTTCTTAATCCAGTCTATCATTGTTGGACATTTGGCTTGGTTCCAAGTCTTTGCTATTGTGAATAGTGCTGCACTAAACATTCGTATGCATGTGTCTTTATAGCAGCATGATTTATAGTCCTTTGGGTATATACCCAGTAATGGGATGGCTGGGTCAAATGGTATTTCTAGTTCTAGATCCCTGAGGAATCGCCACACTGACTTCGACAATGGTTGAACTAGTTTACAGTCCCACCAACAGTGTAAAAGTGTTCCTATTTCTCCACATCCTCTCCAGCACCTGTTGTTTCCTGACTTTTTAATGATTGCCATTCTAACTGGCGTGAGATGGTATCTCATTGTGGTTTTGATTTGCATTTCTCTGATGGCCAGTGATGGTGAGCATTTTTTCATGTGTTTTTTGGCTGCATAAATGTCTTCTTTTGAGAAGTGTCTGTTCATGTCTTTCGCCCACTTTTTGATGGGGTTGTTTGTTTTGTTCTTGTAAATTTGTTTGAGTTCATTGTAGATTCTGGCTATTAGCCCTTTGTCAGATGAGTAGGTTGCAAAAATTTTCTCCCATTTTGTAGGTTGCCTGTTCACTCTGATGGTAGTTTCTTTTGCTGTGCAGAAGCTCTTTAGTTTAATTAGATCCCATTTGTCAATTTTGTCTTTTGTTGCCATTGCTTTTGGTGTTTTAGACATGAAGTCCTTGCCCATGCCTATGTCCTGAATGGTAATGCCTAGATTTTCTTCTAGGGTTTTTATGGTTTTAGGTCTAACGTTTAAGTCTTTAATCCATCTTGAATAAAGCCACTGTAATCAAAGGAGCATGCTGTTGACAAAAGAATAGACAAATGAATTAGTGGAATAGAAAAAAGAGTCAAGAAATACTTCCAAGTATACAGAGGGATGAACTATATTAAAATGAATATATCAAAGAGGTGAGGGAATGAAGGATTATTCAATGTAATTGGGTCCATTGAATACACACTTGGAAAAAATAAATTTAGTTTCTTATTTGTAAATATTTTGAATGATTATCTGAACTTAATATAAATGGAATCACATAGTTTAAAAAATGTAATGAGGTGAAATGGATATCATACGAGGAAATATAGGACAATATTTTGTAAATTCAGTCTGAGTATACATATCCTATCAGGATAAAAAATCAAGAAGGGATAAAATATAAACTTGATCAATTTAATCATGTAAATATTAAAATCTCCTACACATCCAAAGGTTCTACAAATACACTAAAATGACAAAACCCAGGAGAATACATTTTTAAAATATAAGACAGAGATAAAACGTTTACAGCTCTAATACACAACAAAATCCTTCAACTCGGTAATTAGTAATTGATTATACAAAATATGATTAATAAAATTTAAAATGGGCAAAGAATATAAACACACTATTCACATAATTAAAATAATAACAATCATATGAGAATATGTGCAACCTCAATAACTGTCAAGGAAATAAAAATTGAATTATCAAAAGGATATAATATTTTGAAAATTATATGCAAAATTTAGAAGGTTAAGAAAATGTGAGAATATCTACTTCTAGAAGAGAAACGAGACAACAGCAATATTGCACAGATATTTGGCAGGAATATAGATTTGCTCTAACCATTTGGGAAAGTAATTTGGCAATGAGTATGAACATTTTAAGAACGCATAAACTTTGATGCAGCTATTGCACTTGTAGGAATTTACCTCATTAGGTTAAATGGATATACGTGCATGGAGGCTCATTATAGCACCCCTCAGTGTCCTCGACATTGCAAAGCTCTTTATTGTCCGAAAACAATTGAAATCAGTTGTCTTTCTGAGCCAAGATAATTGACATTTAAATTTTTATCCAAAAAGCAGGCATCCAAATAATGCTATGAGACTTGGACATGAGAAAACCACTTTGCCCAACACAGTTAATCCTTTTGTGAAATTTCTGGAAATACATGGAACTTCATAGAAACATTTTCTTAAAATCCCAACAGTTGACATGAGCATTAAGGGTAGACAAAAATATTGTTCAGTCTGTAACATTGTTACTGCATACACTGCATGGTATAGTATGATCCTGATCTTCCACCAACTTTCTTACTGCCCAGCTGACAAAGATATAAGATCAACTCAACTATTAAAGAAGTTCTGTTTAGTAATGCTTTCAGTAAGTTAATTTGGATAATTGGTCATATTACAATGTCACTTGTACAAATTAAGTCTTCAATAAATATATTTGAATAAATAAGCTAATATTCTTGATTGAGGGTAGTAATTTGAACATGGGAAGGGGAAAGACGTAAACCAGTCACCCAGGTATCTGTCGCATGTCTTAATTTCTAATTTTTTTCTCCAAATATTTTCAGTTCACACTTTGTGTCAGTCACCATTCATTTATTCAACAAATCTTTACTGAGCACCTACGATAAGCCAGGCACTATTTCAAGAACATAGGACACACAACAGTGAATAATAGAGATGATAAAGTTTACACAGTATTGGGAATTCCCTAGCCTAGACCTTTTACTAACAACATCTACCTAAAGGTTTTTTCAGCCTATTTCGGAAAAACAAAAACCTCCCCATAGGGACTTCTTCAAAAGCTGCAACTTGTTTTCGATTTCTTCATTCAAGCCACACATTTACTGAAATGCCTACTATTAGGAGCCAGGCACTGCTCTAGGCATTGGAGAAACATCAGCAAACAAAAAAGACAAAGTCTTTGACCTCAAGAAGATTGTGTTCTAGAAACAAACAAAATACAAAATAATTTTAGATATTGATAAGTGTCACGAATAAAATGCAGAGGGCTGTATGATAAAAGTAATTGGGAGGAAAAGGCTTTAAAAGCTAGGGTGATCTGGAAGGCCACTCTGTGGAAATGACATATAAAACAAAACCCGAATGACTAGAGGGAGCCAGCCATGGAAAGATCAATATGAAGAGCTTTCCAGACAGAAAGAACAGCTCTTCCAGAAGAATAAACTTGAGATGTTCTAAGAACAGAGAAGAGCAGAGTGATCAAGAGTGGAAGTGATTGATAAGAGATGAGTTCAGAGAAGTGGCAGGAGACCAGATAATTTTTGACCTTGTAGGCTAGGCTAAAGAGCGTAATTTTTATTCTGTATACAGTGGACAGTCACTAGAAGGTGTAGAATAGAGTAGTGATAAAATAAGATTTACTTTCTTTTTGAAAACCCAATATTTATTTCTTCCAGCTTTATTGAGGTATAATTGGCAAATAAAAATTGTATAAAGTATGAAACATGTTTTTATAAATGTATATATTGTGAAATGATTACCATAGTCAAGTTAATTAGCATGTCCATCACCTCACATAGTTACCTTTTTTTGTGGTGAGAAGATTTAAGATGTATTTTCTTAGCTAATTTTAAGTATACAATATAGTATTATTGATTATAGTCACCATGATCTACATTAGATTTCCAGAACTGACTCATTCTGCATAACTGAAACTCTGTACCTTTTGACTAATATCTCCCTATTTCCCCCATATCCCTGCCCCTGGTAACCAGCATTGTCCTCTTTGCTTCTTTGAGTTCACCTTTTTAATAGAATCCACATAAAAGTGAGATGATGCAGTATTTGTCTTTCTGTACCTTGCTTATTCCACTTAGCATAATGTCCTCCAGGTTCATCCATGTTGACTCTAATGATAAGGTTTACTTATTTTTTAGGGCTAAATGGAGTGGAATATATATGGAGTGGAATATTATTCACTTATGTTTCTCCAGTGGCTACTGTGGGGCATATATATTACATATATATATATACACATATGTATATACACACACATATATATATATACACACATATATATATATACATATATATATATATCTAGCATTGTGCTCTTTGCTTTTGCTTTTTTGCCTCTTTGCTTCTTTGGGTATATATATATATATATATATATATATATATATATATATAAAATAAATGTATAAATGTAAGGTATGAAATATATATATATGCCACATTTTCTTTATCCACTCATCATGGAGGGACATCTAGGTTGATTCTATATCTTGGCTATTTTTAATAGTGATGCAATGTACATGAGTGTCCAGATATCTTTTTGACTTACTTATTTCAATTTCTTTGGACATATACCTAGAGTTAGGATTGCTGGATCACATGGTAGTTTTATTTTTAGCTTTTTGAGAAATTTTCATACTGTTTTCCATAATGGCTATACAAATCATTTCTACCAATAGTGTTCAAGGGTTCCCTCTTGTCCACATTCTCATTAACACTTGCTATCTTTTGTCTCTTTGATAGTAGCCATTCTAGTTTGTCTCTGTTTGCAGATGAAATGACCTTATATAAGAAAACCCTAAAGACTCCACGTAAAAACTTTTAAAACTCGTAAACAAATCTACTAATGTTGCAAGATACAAAATCAACATGCAAAATTCAGCCGCATTTCTATATACTAACGGCAAACTATTTGAAAAATAAAGTAAGAAATCAATCTCATTTATAATAGCACCAAAAAATAAAATGCACAGGAATAAATTTAACCAGGAGGTGAACAATCTGTACACTGAAAACTATAAAACATTGATGAAAGAAATTGAAGAAGACACAAATAAATGGCTTGGAAGTGTGAATCCAGAAAATCTTAGACAGGTCTCAGTTAATTTAGAAAGTTTATTTTGCCAAGGTTGAGGACGAGCCCGTGACACAGCCTCAGGAAGTCCTGAGGACATGTGCCCAAAGTGGTCAGGGCACAGGTTGGTTTTATACATTTTAGGGAGACAAGAGACATCAATCAATATATTAAGAAGTACATTGGTTTAGTCTGGAAAGGTGGGACAACTTGAAGCAAAGGCAGGAAGACTCGAAGCCGGGGAGGGAGCTTCCAGGTCACAGATATAAGGGATACACAAATGGTTACATTCTTTTGAGTTTCTGTTTAGCCTCTCCAAGGGAGGCAATCAATTATGCGTCTATCTCAGTGAGCTGAGGGGTGACTTTGAGTAGAATAGGAGGCAGGTTGACCCTAAGCAGTTTCCAGCCTGAGCTTTCCTTAGTGATTTTGGGGGCCCAAGATATATTCCTTTCACCAAAGAATTAATATTGTTGAAATATTCATACTGTCCAAAGGGATCTACAGATTCAGCACAATCCCTATCCACATTCCAACGTCATTTTTCACAGATATAAAAGAGACAATACTAAGATTTATATTTTTATCACTCTGTCAGCTATTTAGAAAACTGACTATAGGGTAGTACTGGTAAAATCATAATTACATTATCCCAGATGCGAGATTATGATTGTTTGGACCAGAGTGGGAGCTGCAAAGAAGGTATGCAGTGGCTAAGTCCTGGGTATATTTTGAAGGTAGAGTGTTTCAGTGGCCTTAAGACCACCTTCAAATTTGCAGATTCGCTACAAGGACTCACCTGACTCAATAGCAGATTGTTTTAATAACTGAGATTTATTACAGCAAAGGATAAAGTGCAAAAACAACAGGAACATATATGCATTGGGCATAGTACAGAGAGGCTAGACACAGTTTTCCAAGTCCTTCCCCATCTGGGGCCACACAGAGCATGCTTTATTTCTAGCAGCCAACTAGAAGAGCTGTTGTGGGATAGATTGGACCAGGGAAGCCCATTTGAATCTTTGGGTCCAAGGCTTTTATTCAGAGTTGATTAGAAAGGCATATCATCCATAGCAATAGAAACATGAGAGTCCAACAATGGAACCAGGTGCACATGATCAGTCTTGGTGTTTGTGCAAAGCAACCTGAGAAACTGATATGGAACAGTCCATAGCTCCAGGTGAACACAATGAAACCCTTAATCACTGACATGAATTATATTCTAAGGGTCACATTTCCAAGGGCTGACCAAGGGGTCGATCATGATTCCAGATGTCCTTGGACATGCAAGGAGTAAGCAACCAGCTAAGAGGTCAAGTCATTGAGGATAAAAAATTGACTCTTGGTTTTTGTAAGTTTTAGGTCATAGTGATCTTAAGAGTGTCTCAGTTGAGTGGTGAGCATAACAGTCTGATATAAAATGTTGATGAGATAATGGAAGGTTAGGAATTAAAGTGAGTATACACAACTCTTTTAATGTATTTTCCTGTGAAGGGGAACCAAGAAATGAGGAGGTTTCTAGAGTATTTCAGATGTCAAGGAATTCTGTGGTCAGTTTTAAGATTAAAAATATCACAGCATATTTATATGCTGACCTAGTAATGATTCAAGAAAGAAGGAAATACATGGTAGGTACTTGTATTAGTCTGTTCTTGCACTGCCATAACGAAATACCTGAGACTGGGTAATTTATAAAGAAAAGAGGTTTAATTGTGTCACAGTCCCACAGGCTGCACAGAAAACATCACTGTGGAGGCCTCAGGAAACTTACAATCATGGTGGAAGGCGACAGGGAAGCAGGCACATCTTACATGGCAGGAGCAGGGTTGGGGGTGCTGCCGCACACTTTTCAACAACTAGATCTCATGAGAACTCTATCACAAGAACAGCAGCGAAAGGGGAAGTCCACCCCTATGATCCAATCACCTCCCACCAAGCCCCACCTCAAACACTGGGGATTACAATTCAACATGAGATTTGGGCAGGGAAAAAAATCTAAATCACTATCAGCCCTTGAAAAGAGAGAGGTAGGCTGGGCGCGGTGGCTCACGCCTGTAATCCCAGCACTCTGGGAGGCTGAGGCAGGCAGATCATGAGGTCAGGAGATCAAGACAATCCTGGCTAACATGGTGAAACCCCATCTCTACTGAAAATACAAAAATTAGCTGGACGTAGTGGCACGTGCCTGTAATCCCAGCTACTCGGGAGGCTGAGGCAGGAGAATCCCTTGAACCAGGGAGTCAGAGGTTGCCGTGAGCCGAGATCGTGCCATTGCACTCCAGCCTGGAGACAGAGCAAGACTCTGTCTCAAAAAAAAATAATAAAAATAAAAATAAAAAAAAAGGGAGAGGTAAAGAGATACAGAACTCAAGTAGAGTTCCAGGCTTTTGATGGGAGGGGCTGTTGCGAAGGTCTCTGACATGCCCTGGAGACATTTTCCTCATCATCTTGGTGATTAGCCTTTGGCTCCTTGTTACTTATGCAAATTTCTGCAGCTGGGATGAATTTCTCCCCAGAAAATGGGATTTTCTTTTCTACCACATCGTCAGGCTGCAAATTTTCCAAATGTTTATGCACTGTCACCTCTTGAACGCTTTGCTGTTTAGAAATTTCTTCCACCAGATACTTTAAATCAACTCTCTTAAGTTCAAAGTTTCACAGATCTGCAGGGCAAGGGCGAAATGCCCCCAGTCTCTTCGATAAAGCATAACATGAGTGACCTCTGCTCCGATTCCCAACAAGTTCATCATCTCCATCTGAGACCACCTCAGCCTGGACTTCATCTTCTGTATCACTATCAGTATTTTGGTCAAAGCCATTCAACAAGTCTCTAGGAAGTTCCACCCTTTCCCACATATTCCTGTCTTCTGAGCTCTCCAAACTGTTCCAACCTCTGCCTGTTACCCAGTTCTAAAGTTGCATCCACATTTTCGGGTATCCTTATAGCAGCACCCTATTACCTTGGTGCCAATTTACTGTATTAGTCTATTCTCACACTGCTATGAAAAGCTGCCTGAGACTGGGTAATTTATAAAGAAAGGAAGTTTAATTTGCTCGCAGTTCTATATGGCTGGGGAGGCATCAGGAAACTTACAATCATGGTGGAAGGCACCTCTTCACAGGGCAGCAGGAGAGAGAATGAGTGCAAGCAGGAGACAGCCCAGATGCTTATAAAACCATCAGATCTCACGAGAACTTACTATCATGAGAACAGCATGGGGGAAATTGCCATCATGATCCAGTCACTTCCCACTCTGTCCCTTCCATGACACATGGGGATTATGGGAATTACAGTTCAAGATGTCGTTCGGGTGGGGACACAGCCAAACTATATCACTTGTAAACATTCATATACATCTGTACATACCTTCACACACTTATAAACACACACAGCATCACACTCTCATATCTCTTACACATGCTGAAAAACACATACTCAGTAACACACACTCACACATTCAATCACACACATTTTCACAAGTCTCACACACTCATACATACACATTCCTATACTCAAATACACTCACAAATTCTCTTACATGCTCTGTAACACTAAAACTCTCACACACTTTCAGATTCACACAGTCACATTCTGACACATACATACTTTCAAACACACACTCCTACATATACTCACATAATCACATACACTCACACTTACACATAGTCTCACACTGAAACAGCCACACATTCACACAGACACGAACTCACAGATGTGAAAGACATATCAGTTTTCATTGTTGCCATGGCTATTCTAGCAGTGAGAATATTTAAATAAAAATACAAAAATCCTTTGGAGTTTATATTCTACTGGGTAATGATAGATAACTAAACAAATGATATAATATCAAGCAGTGATTCATGTTATGAGGACAAGTTGACTAGGATAAAAGAATAAAGTGCGGGGGTGATATATTAAGTACAGCAGTCTGGGAGGTTTTCAGAACATTTGAGCAGAGACAGGCTGTGGTCATATTTGTGTTTTAAAAAGTAAATACATACTATGGAAAAATAATTAGGTGATAATGGTGGAAACAATTTTCTGGTCAGGAGATGATGGTGTCATGGAATAGAAATGATGCTGAGTTAGAACAGGTGGATAGCAGTGGAAGCGCTAAGAAAGAGTGGTATTCTAGATATATTTTGAGCATAGAGGGAACAGAATTTGCTAACAAATTGGAAATGAGTCATGAGAGAAAGAGAGGACTTAAGGATGATTTCAAAGTTGTTGATTGGAGCAACTTGAAACATAGAGCTGCCATTTACTATAATAGAATGAAGGATACAAAGAATAGCCTGCTTGTCACTGGGGAAATGGGAATGCAGTGGAAATGGAGAGTTCGGGTTTGGACATTAGGTTAAGGTAGCTATTGGTCATTCAAGCAGAAAGATTAGAAATGAAGATTAGAATATGATAAGCATTAGTCTGGAGTTAGGGCCAATGTTGTTTATTAAGTATTCATTAATTCACTCAACCAATAATTATTGAGCACCTCTGCTCTTATAGGCTCCGGAGATTCAGAAATTTACAAGACCAAGTCCCTTTCCTCAGAGCTCACATTCTGGTAGGGGAAGACAGCCCATATACAAATAAATATATTGTAAAATATAAAGGTAGTGATAAGTGTTATGACAGGGAAAATGAAACTGTGCTTGACACAGTTATGTGGATTTAAATCACATAATGAATGCAAGGAGATACTGGTATTATTCCCAATTTACAGTTGGGAAAAGCAAGCCTCTCACATGCCAAGTAGTAAGTCAAGGCTTAATGAATAAATGAGTTAATATTTTAACGTATCGAACTGTATAGGACTACCAAGGCTTCACTCCAAAGATACTGGCATGGATCATTCTATTTTGTCCCCAAGCCACCATACCAAGTTACCCATCTGTCTTGATCCTGAAAAGTAGTCACTAAACAGAAAATGGGCAACAAAATACTGTGAACACCCGAGGTTCCTAAAAGTACATGAGGTTTGAAATACAGCAAAGGAAACCATGAACGGGAAAATTTTAATAGCCCTTTAAATTTGAAAAGACTTTCAGTTTACAAAGCTTTTGCACTTATATACAAATTTTCCTGAATTACATAGACCAGAGTATAAAACATGGGTGCATTCACCATTTCATTGGTCTTTATAGTAACAACCTCTACAAATTGCCAACTTAGGATGGCCTCTTCTCCTGATCTGGAAGCCCTGCAAAGAATACCACTTTGCTCCCTATACATGCCCACCTCTGGTGGCTCCACATACATTTTCACAAGGGCTGCCATTTCCCTCAAAAATTATTGCTGAGATAAATGAACTGGAGCCCTCAAGGTGCAAATCTGCAGAGTTCTGTGACAAAGTGGGGGTGATCATCTCTTTATTTTTGGTGTCATAATCAAAGCCCCAGAGCAAATTATCTTGGGTCTCAACATATTACAGGTTATTTAGTGAAATATCTATGTCAGATATTTTGTTCACAATTCTCTATTTTCTTTGGACCCAGGCATAAGTCTGTTGGCAGTGGTGGGGGTAGAGCAACATCCTTTCCCTTGGCATCGTGTTCCTAAACAGAAGAACCTATGCTAGAGCAATACGCACAGCCTTTCTCCACAGGAGGAGGCATGTCTTCATTTAGTTCAATACATGCTACTTCTCTTTTTAGGACAAGCCTACAGTGAGGAAGCACATAGTCTTAGTTCCACACACCACGAGTTTCTCAGGTGCAGGTCTTCATTGGAGGAGATGCACCACATTTGTTCAGTGGTGCTTATGACTAGGTAAGTCTAGCTAATTGTGGGATGTAGAATTAGGAGAGTCACGTTTTCCTGCACAGCTGAAACATATTCTCCAAACCCAGCTGTTTTTAGTAATAAAGATGCTAGTGTTGATCTCCATCTGTCTGACTCGGTTAATTGCAAACTCAGGTGAAAAGAACAGTGCCATGTATTGGGCCCACTGAATCCCACAAAGTCTGTGGGGACTAGGCTAAAGAGAGTTTTCACTGACAGACTGTCCTCAAAACCATTCCCTAGATGCCACTGTATTTTTTTCACTTGCCTAAGGTTAGCAGTCTAGATCTCTTCCTTAGGGGAATTAAATTATAATGATATTTTTAACTTTGGGTTCAGTCCTTCATTTCTTCCCTCCTCCTTTCCTTCAACAAGTGTTTAGTGATGGCTTTTCTTTTCCAGGCACTGTCCTGACCTCTGACAATGCAACAGTGAGCAAGACAGAAATAGCACCTCTCCTCATAAAGCTTACAGTCTAGTAGCCCAACAAACGTAATTGAAATGGTCACCTGAGTGTTAGAGTGTATAATATCAACAAGCGCTGTGAGGGTCTTGGACTCTGATACAGTCTGAGGGATCAAGGAAGCCTCCCTTGTGAAAACGATGCTTGAGCTGAGATCTAAAGAATGAGTTGAAGTTAACTAGACAGAAAGATGGGGTATGAGAAACAGTGTATTTTAAACAAGGGCAAAGGAATAAGCAAAGGCCTGATGGTAGTAAGGAGGGAGTATCAAAGTTTGTATCCACCCATCACTTTCGTCCTCTCAACCAGCCTTTCTACAATTTAGCTTGGATTCTCCTTTTACACATGAATATATTGAGGCACAAATGGTTACTAGCTGCATGACCTTGGATAAGTAGTAGAACTAAAATGTAAAGCCAACATTCAGTGCTTCTAAGGTAGTACTTCTCCATTGGAGGCTAATCCCTCACACTCTACCCTCCCTAGGCACATTTGGCAATATCTGGAGACATTTTTAGTAGGAGGGATGAACTACTGCCATCTAGTGGGTAGAGGCCAGGCCTGCTGTTAAGCATTCCGCAGTGCACAGGACAGGGGTCCACATGAAATGATTATCTGGCCCGAAATATCTTTTTCTTCAGCTTTTGGAGATTTGTTTTCAATTTATTTCTTAACTTTTTATTCCGGCCACATATATGTTTATGTATGTGTATATGTATATTTGATATAATCATTTCAAAAATTTAAATAGTGCCAAAGTTGAGAAACCCCACACCAAGCTCCTAATCTTCCCACAGTTCTGCCTCATTACCTGGAGGCTTCTCAGTCCCTCATGCAAATGGACTTCTGGCCAATCAGCTCTAATTAGCCATTTTTATTCAGTAGTGGAAATGGATTAGATTTAAGCAGGGACCTCTGCTACTTTGCAATTATCTCAATGATCTTCACCAGCTTTGTATTATCCCTTAGCCTCATAGATGAGGAAATAGAGGTTAAATTACATGCCTTGGGTTTCAGAATCCAAAGCAACAGAGTAATTGAGTCCAGCTCTTCTCAAATTGATATTGTTTTCTCTTCATATCGTGGCCCTTTTGAGGATACATGCTTGCTCTCAGCCTTCTCAAGTACAACTGGCAAAGGCTGGAGATGCAGGTCTGGATCGGAGCTGCAGGAGTGCTGTGAAGAGTTTGTCAAACTTAATGGCCGCATTATTTTTTTAGGAGCTTGAAAATCAGCCTAGTGTTATTCAGCTTGAATTCTTCTCTTGCTAGGCTCAAGGCACATCAGACACACAATCTGCTGTTTGTGTAGAAAATATGTCAGGAGAGAAAAAGATAGCACCCACATGCGAGCATCTGCTGGAAAAATTCATTTTACCATTAACCATACAATTGAGTGAGAAAAACATCTGTGCCTGCTATTGCAGATGTAATCATAAAACCCAAATGTAGCAATGAAACAAAGCGGAAGAGGGGCAGAGGATGAGGAACTAGAGAAACACATGACTTTAGTGTCAGGAAGGGATGGCTCTGTGGCTCTGTTGCTGTACTGAATACTCTCACCTCCACCTTTCAAATATGACACCATCCTTAGGGAACAACACAATTGTAAGCAGGCAAATTATGCATGAGACATAGCATCTTAAACTCAAACCAGCAAGGCGGCTCCGAGAGAGCTATAAACAAGGCAGAGGAATCCCAGAGACTGCAAATTAACAGCAAAAAAACCATCTAAATAGATGTTGGCAGCATTTCAGTATTAAGGCTGACTTAGAATTGTGGAACTGGAGAATGCAGAAAATGTCAAAGCCCTCAGAGATCAACTAGTTTAATTCCCAGTTTTACTCATAAGGAAACCAAAGCCCAGAGAGGGATGTGACTGCCCAAGGTCACACAGCTAGTTAGTGGCAGATGATTCCAGACAGTTCCTGGGGAACACAACTTGTTTTTCAGACTGATAAGAGGAAGAACTTTCACAAAACTTTTCAAGTATCCGGGAGCATCAGCTTGAGAGCATAATTGTATTACAGTGATATAAAGGTAGACTTTGACTCTGGAAGCCAAAAGCCAATGGTGATTACCCAGCTTTGTTCAACCTGCTGAGGTATAATTCTGCTGCTCAAGGTGGAATAGAAACACCTATGAGATCTCAGCAAATGACACTGTACATCTGCTTTGAAAACAAATCTCAAATGTAAATGTGGTTCTGCTTCAGTTGTGTTTCCAGTTTCAAAGCAGCATACAACTTTGATCTGAAAGTGGGAAGAAGGAAATCCGACAAGGTCTAAGGCACCCCATTTCACACTCTCGTCGGTCAGTTTGCATGGTCCAGTGAAGGAGCCTGCATCCACGGAACCAGGAAGACTAGCATTGGCTTCTGGTTCTGCCTAGGACTAGCTGTATGACTTTGGGACGAAGGCCACTGGGCTTGAGCCCTCTATAGCCTTTTCATCATGGAAAAATGGAATAAGGAGAAGCAAAAGTAGAGGATAAAATGGAGAAATGTATGGTAAGAGATGGGGGTAAGAAACAGGGCTACCCTCTCTCCCTGCTCATGCCCTCAACTGACAGCATAACTAGCAGCATGTTATGGAGCCCAGACAATGTCCCTTTTCAATTCAGTTGTGTTCACATCATTCCTTTTATTCTTTTGTGAAGTCTTAGTTCAAATCTTTTGTCGATTTGTACTGGTCATTTACTTGTTAATGAATTGTAAGCAGGATTTATAGGTTGAGGATACAAGTACTTTGATATAAGCGCTGTAAATAGTTTCTGCGGTCCAAGACTTCCTTTCCCATTTTCTTGACCGTATCTTTCAAATGGCAAACATTTTTAATTTTGACATCAAATGTATCTTTTTTTAATGTTTGTGTTTATTGTGTTCTGTATATAAAACTTTTGCTTATCCTAAAGTCACACATTTCTTTATTTTTTATTTTTATTTATTTTTATTTTTGAGACAGAGGCTCTCTCTGTTGCCCAGGTTGGAGTGCAATGGTGTGATCTCGACTCACTGCAACCTCCACCTCCCGGGTTCAAGCGATTCTCCTGCCTCAGCCTTCCAAGTAGCTGGCATTACAGGCACCCACCACCGCGCTTGGCTAATGTTTTGTATTTTTTAGTAGAGACTGGGTTTTGCCATGTGGGCCAGGCTGGTTTCAAACTCCTGACCTCAGGTGATCCACCCACCTCGGCCTCCCAAAGTGCCGGGATTACAGGCATGAGCCACCGTGCCTGGCCACAAATATTTTCTTTTATACTTTCTTCTAGATGTTTCAGAGTTTGAGGTTTTACATTTAGGTCCATTTAGAAGCTATGCACATTTATTATCTATTTTGAGCTGATTTGTGTGTATGACATAAGTTAAAAGTTAGTGTTGGCTTTTTCCCGTATGGGTATACAGTTGGTACAGCAGTATTGGTTGAAAAGGTCATTTTCCCCATTTAATTACCTTGGTACCTTTGATAAATTGATCATATATGTATAACACTTTTGGCTTGTGGGCAGACCTAGACCTACACTTCAAAGACAATGCAAAGGAAGACACAAGTTTACAAACACATTTGCTCTGATTCCAGCTCAGTGAAGCTCAACTCATGAGGTCTGACTGTCTAGGACATCACAGTTTTTCCCAGGGGAGAAGGAGGGTGAAATAACAAGAGACTACTTAGGATAGTTAATTATAACAGGCACACAAGATTGGGGCAATCCTCGTCTCTACTTTATAAGCATCACATTACTAATCCTTCTAAACAACCCTGTGAAATCACAATTAATGCGATCCCCATGCTTTAAAGTGAAGCATTGAGAGGTCACTTACTTATCTAAGGTCATGTAGAGCTGGAGGACCTGGAGTCTGAAACTAGACTCTATGATGCCAGAGCTATGCTTTGAATCACTGTTTCTATTTATCTTTGTAGCTCCATTACTGTTATCTGCACAGTGCTCTGTAATGGTTCTCAACTAAAACAACCTACTACTATTCTCTTCCCTCCCAGCTGTTGAGGGCTAACTAATAAAAATAGTTAATATTTGTTGAGCACTAAAGCGCATAGGCTCTTTACATACATTAGTTCATTCAATTCTCACAACAGCTCCAAATAAGTTTTGTACTATTATCATCTCCATTTTACTGATGCAGAAACTCAGTCTCAGATCCTTTAAGTAACTCTCTCTAGATCATACAGCTATTAAATGACAGAGCCAGGATCTCAAGCCAAAATTGCCTGCCACTACATTCCCTGCTCTTAACTACTACAACGTGCCACCTTCTAGACTTTTTTTTTTTTTTTTTAGATAGGAGTCTCATTCTGTCACCCAGGATGGAGTGCGGTGGCGCGATCTCGGCTCACTGCGCCCTCCACCTCCCAAGTTCAAGCGATTCTCCTGCCTCAGCCTCCCAGGTAGCTGGGATTACACGCTCGGCCACCACGCCTGGCTAATTTTTGTATTTTTGGTAGAGATGGGGTTTTGCCACGTTCCCAGTCTGGTCTCGAACTCCTGACCTGAGGTGATCCACCCATCCCAGCCTCCCAAAGTGCTGGGATTACAGGCGTGAGCCACAGCGCCTGGCTTCACCTTCTAGACTTTAAGGTAGATTATCCCTGCATGGTTGCAGGGGGTGAGGTAAAGACACTGGTAAGTCGCTAATGTGCCTTCACACCCAAGAAGATTCCCTGGATCTATGTCTATGTTTATCACTTAAAGCTAGGGGTTGGGAAAATGAGCAATTCAGAAGTTCCCACAGCTGACTTAGAATTTCCATGGAATTGCCTGTCTTCAGAAGATCAAAGGCTTCCGTATTACAAAGTGGCACCACTTGCTCTATTCTGCTTGGAACTTCAGGAAGAACAGTATATGCAAAATGATTCATTTTGATAAGCTGTTATGGATTAACCTAACAACAAATAAATTATTCAATTATTCAGAATTATCCTAATAATACTTTTATGTTTAATCTTTATGATCTTCAATATGGTTTCACCAGTGCTCTCTCATTTGGTTTTCACAACCTTGTACAATAAGCAGAGAAGATGCTATTATCCCCATTTGACTGATGAAGAAACTGAAAATTAAATGGAGGTAAGTGACTTGTCAGGTTTACAGAGCTAGTATGCAGTGGAGCTGAGATTGAGCCCCAGGTCTTTTGACGGCTCGCTAATAATTTTCAAATCAAAAGCCACTAATGTTACAATCATTGTGCCTTAATATTTCAGGTTATTCAGATGCAGACTGTAACAACACCAAGATCTCAAAATATTTTCTTTAATAATTATTTTCCTAAATTATGAGCATCCTAGTATCACTATCTGGACCACTGGGATAGAAACAGCTGCACCTATGGCCTTTCAAGTGAAATCACTTTAGCAGGCTTTTAAGACAGACTGGGCCAAAGGAAAAGATTACTGAAAGGAAGGAAGGAACATGTTACCTTGAAGGGTAATCAATTATGCGAATGGTTTCACTGCCTGTTATACCATGGATTATGCTTTCATTTTTCATATTAATGTTCTTTATGTTTTTCAATTAGTCACAGCAAATTACCTGTCCTTCGCCTTGGCAAGAGCAGCTCAGTGGGCCTCCGTGGAGTATTTTCCAAGTTTTGTCCGGTGAATTCTTGCTTTAATTCTCCTTAAGCATTAACATGTAATGTTTTTTCAAATGCAGATTTGACACTATCTCATTCATGTAGGAAATTACCTATTAAATAAGGAGTTTGAGGAATCTTCCTTTTTTTATTTTGCAATGGTGCATTATAAAAATAATTTAACTTAAATATAAAAAAGAATTGAAACATTAAAGAAAATTAAAATTTATTCAATACTTCTTAGTCATTCTAACAGAGAGAGCTTATGGCATGAATCATATAAAAGAGCAAATTCTCCAAAATCCATTTCCCTCTGCCCAGCCCTGGCAAAGTGCCTGCCCTCCCGCCCCCGGCACTCCATCCCATGGCCCCCATATTTCTCATCCCACAACACCTAACCAGCTGCATTTTAATGCTCTGTTTATAGTCAGTCCTTGCCCCCTTCCCCTAATAACACAGGAACAATGTCTTCATCAGAAGTGAATCCCTAGATCTTGGCACACTATATGGCACAGAAGTAGGTGCTTAGGAAGTGATAGATGAATGAAGCCATTTGCCTTTGGAAAACACTAGTGCATCCATTTTAGCTATGGTCATATCTCACAAATTAGGATTTTTCTCTGGCTGTAGTTTAAGCATTATGTTGCTTTCCCATAATCCTCTCTGGTAAGGGAAACCAAATAACTTCTCCGCCCTTGAGGACCCCACAGTCTAACAGAGCTCTGTCTAATGTTAACGTTTCTGAAGGCCTCGTGGTAGACTCCATTCCGAGTGCTTTGTCAGCAGTTGCCATATTCCCTTTTTCTTTCATGTGTGCCATTGTCCTTAAGATTAGAAAGCTCTCTCAAACACTATAAGGTTGGTGTCTCAGAGGACAAATACGTTGGTCCATGGGCTACTAATGTCTTTTTTTTTATTATTATACTTTAAGTTTTAGGGTACATGTGCACAACGTGCAGGTTAGTTACATATGTATACATGTGCCATGTTGGTGTGCTGCACCCATTAACTCTTCACTTAACACTAGGTATATCTCCTAATGCTATCCCTCCCCACTCCCCCCACCCCACAACAGGCCCCGGTGTGTGATGTTCCCCTTCCTGTGTCCATGTGTTCTCCTTGTTCAATTCCCACCTATGAGTGAGAACATGCGGTGTTTGCTTTTTTGTCCTTGCGATAGTTTGCTGAGAATGATGGTTTCCAGCTTTATCCATGTCCCTACAAAGGACATGAACTCATCATTTTTTATGGCTCCATAGTATTCCGTGGTGTATATGTGCCACAGTTTCTTAATCCAGCCTATCATTGTTGGACATTTGGGTTGGTTCCAAGTCTTTGCTATTGTGAATAGTGCCCCAATAAACATACGTGTGCATGTGTCTTTATAGCAGCATGATTTATAGTCCTTTGGGTATATACCCAGTAATGGGATGGCTGGGTCAAATGGTATTTCTAGTTCTAGATCCCTGAGGAATCGCCACACTGACTTCCACAATGGTTGAACTAGTTTACAGTCCCACCAACAGTGTAAAAGTGTTCCTATTTCTCCACATCCTCTCCAGCAAATGTTGTTTCCTGACTATTGAATGATCGCCATGCTAACTGGGGTGAGATGGTATCTTATTGTGGTTTTGATTTGCATTTCTCTGATGGCCAGTGATGATGAGCATTTTTTCATGTGTCTGTTGGCTACATAAATGTCTTCTTTTGAGAAGTATCTGTTCATATCCTTCGCCCACTTTTTGATGGGGTTGTTTGTTTTTTTTCTTGTAAATTTGTTCGAGTTCATTGTAGATTCTGGATATTAGCCCTTTGTCAGTTGGGTAGATTGCAAAAATTTTCTCCCATTCTGTAGGTTGCATGTTCACTCTGATGGTAGTTTCTTTTGCTGTGCAGAAGCTCTTTAGTTTAATTAGATCCCATTTGTCAAGTTTGGCTTTTGTTGCCATTGCTTTTGGTGTTTTAGACATGAAGTCCTTGCCCATGCCTATGTCCTGAATGGTATTGCCTAGGTTTTCTTCTAGGGTTTTTATGGTTTCAGGTCTAACATTTACGTCTTTAATCCATCTGGAATTAATTTTTGTATAAGGTGTAAGGAAGGGATCCAGTTTCAGCTTTCTCCATATGGCTATCCAGTTTTCCCAGCACCATTTATTAAATAGGGAATCCTTTCCCCATTTCTTGTTTTTGTCAGGTTTGTCAAAGATCAGATGGTTGTAGATATGTGGCATTATTTCTGAGGGCTCTGTTCTGTTCCATTTGTCTATATCTCTGTTTTGGTACCAGTAACATGCTGTTTTGGTTACTGTAGCCTTGTAGTATAGTTTGAAGTCAGGTAGTGTGATGCCTCCAGCTTTGTTCTTTTGGCTTAGGATTGACTTGGCAATGCGGGCTCTTTTTTGGTTCCATATGAACTTTAAAGTAGTTTTTTCCAATTCTGTGAAGAAAGTCATTGGTAGCTTGATGGGGATGGCATTGAATGTATAAATTACCTTGGGCAGTATGGCCATTTTCACGATATTGATTCTTCCTACCCATGAGCATGGAATGTTCTTCCATTTGTTTGTATCCTCTTTTATTTCATTGAGCAGTGGTTTGTAGTTCTCCTTGAAGAGGTCCTTCACATCCCTTGTAAGTTGGATTCCTAGGTATTTTATTCTCTTTGTAGCAATTGTGAATGGGAGTTCACTCATGATTTGGCTCTCTGTTTGTTATTGGTGTATAAGAATGCTTGTGATTTTTGCACGTTGATTTTGTATCCTGGGACTTTGCTGAAGTTGCCTATCAGCTTAAGGAGATTTTGGGCTGGGACGATGGGGTATTCTAGATATACAATCATGTCATCTGCAAACAGGGACAATTTGACTTCCTCTTTTCCTAATTGAATACCCTTTATTTCCTTCTCCTGCCTGATTGCCCTGGCCAGAACTTCCAACACTATGTTGAATAGGAGTGGTGAGAGAGGGCATCCCTGTCTTGTGCCAGTTTTCAAAGGGAATGCTTCTAGTTTTTGCCCATTCAGTAGGATATTGGCTGTGGGTTTGTCATAGATCGCTCTTATTATTTTGAGATACGTCCCATCAATACCTAATTTATTGAGAGTTTTTAGCATGAAGGGTTGTTGAATTTTGTTAAAGGCCTTTTCTGCATCTATTGAAATAATCATGTGGTTTTTGTCTTTGGTTCTGTTTATATGCTGGATTACGTTTATTGATTTTAGTATGTTGAACCAGCCTTGCATCCCAGGGATGAAGCCCACTTGATCATGGTGGATAAGCTTTTTGATGTGCTGCTAGATTCGGTTTGCTAGTATTTTATTGAAGATTTTTGCATCAATGTTCATCAGGGATATTGGTCTCAAATTCTCTTTTTTGTTGTTGTTGTGTCTCTGCCAGGCTTTGGTATCAGGATAATGCAGGCCTCATAAAATGAGTTAGGGAGGATTCCCTCTTTTTCTATTGATTGGAATAGTTTCAGAAGGAATGGTACCAGCTTATCCTTGTACCTCTGGTAGAATTCGGCCGTGAATCCATCTGGTCGTGGACTTTTTTTGGTTGATAAGCTATTAATTATTGTCTCAATTTCAGAGCCTGTTATTGGTCTATTCAGAGATTCAACTTCTTCCTGGTTTAGTCTTGGGAGGGTGTATGTGTCGAGGAATTTGTCCATTTCTTCTAGATTTTCTAGTTTATTTGCATAGAGGTGTTTATAGTATTCTCTGATGGTAGTTTGTATTTCTGTGGGATCGGTGGTGATATCCCCTTTATCATTTTTTATTGCGTCTATTTGATTCTTCTCTCTTTTCTTCTTTATTAGTCTTGATAGCGGTCTATCAATTTTGTTGATCTTTTCAAAAAACCAGGTCCTGGATTCATTGATTTTTTTGAAAGGTTTTTTGTGTCTCTATTTCCTTCAGTTCTGCTCTGATGTTAGTTATTTCTTGCTTTCTGCTAGGTTTTGAATGTGTTTGCTCTTGCTTCTCTAGTTCTTTCCATTGTGATGTTAGGGTGTCCATTTTAGATCTTTCCTGCTTTCTCTTGTGGGCATTTAGTGCTATAAATTTCCTTCTACACACTGCTTTGAAATTTCCCTCTACACACTCTAGGACTGTGTCCTAGAGATTCTGGTATGTTTGTTTCTTTGTTCTCGTTGATTTCAAAGAACATCTTTATTTCTGCCTTCATTTCGTTATTTACCCAGTAGCATTCAGGAGCAGGTTGTTCAGTTTCCATGTAGTTGATTGGTTTTGAGTGAGTTTCTTAATCCTGAGTTCTAGTTTGATTGCACTGTGGTCTGAGAGATAGTTTGTTATAATTTCTGTTCTTTTACATTTGCTGAGGAGAGCTTTATTTCCTACTATGTGGTCAATTTTGGAATAGGTGTGGTGTGGTGCTGAAAAGAATGTATATTCTGTTGATTTGGGGTGGAGAGTTCTGTAGATGTCTATTAGGTCCACTTCGTGCAGAGCTGAGTTCAATTCCTGGATATCCTTGTTAACTTTCTGTCTCATTAATCTTTCTAATGTTTTCAGTTGGGTGTTAAAGTCTCCCATTGTTATTGTGTGGGAGTCTAAGTCTCTTTGTAGGTCTCTAAGGACTTGCTTTATGAATCTGGGTACTCCTGTATTGGGTGCATATATATTTAGGATAGTTAGCTCTTCTTGTTGAATTGATCGCTTTACCATTATGTAATGGCCTTCTTTGTCTCTTTTGATCTTTTTTGGCTTAAAGTCTATTTTATCAGAGACTAGGATTGCAACCCTTGCTTTGTTTTGTTTTCCATTTACTTGGTAGATCTTCCTCCATCCCTTTATTTTGAGCCTCTGTGTGTCTGTGCACGTGAGATGGGTTTCCTGAATACAGCACACTGATGGGTCTTGACTCTTTATCCAATTTGCCAGTCTGTTTCTTTTAATTGGAGCATTTAGCCCATTTACATTTAAGGTTAATATTGTTATGTGTGATTTGGATCCTGTCATTATGATGTTAGCTGGTTATTTTGCTCATTGGTTGGTGCAGTTTCTTCCTAGCCTCAATGGTCTTTACAATTTGGCATGTTTTTGCAGTGGCTGGTACTGGTTGTTCCTGTCCATGTCTTTTGAAAAACTTCTGAATATGGGAGAGGGTAGGCTTCTTCTTCCTCAAATATCTTAGTTTTATTTTATTATTGTTATTTTGTTGTTGTTGTTTGGAGGAGGAGCACTATGAAAACTTCGACTCACGATTATATTTCTGCTTTTCACCAAAGGACAATTTAAATGCTTTTACATTCAAATTCTTTTCCTAGTGTCATTTAATGACTTTGGGGAGGCAGAGAGAGAGAGCCTCTGAGGACTCTCTGAGTCTCTGTAAAGAACTATAAGTTATTATTAAACCACTATCTCCACTGTGGTAGTTCTTTTTTTCTAGTAATAATTATTTCAGTAACTAGGGTGAGAGTTGTAAAAAGGTGGTATTATTACTTCAAACTTTAGGTTAACTTAGCCCTACAGATGACATAAAATATATTTGAAAACATCTCTAATTTCTGTACATCGTGCAAGTAAATGAATACAAAAAAATTTCATTGAGTCAGTGATTTCTTGACTTGAGACACAGCTAAACTACAAAAGATCTGAAAAGCAGAGTATGAGATCTCTTTCCAGAGAAGGCTTTGTGTGATACTCACTATTGGTGGGGTAGCATCTAGAAGCCATCAGAGGAATAGTAGATTGAAGACTTGTAAGAAGCTTGAGAGATTGCCTGATTTTCTTGGCTTTGGTACAATATATAATCCAGCAAGGATTAGTGGTTATTTTCCTTTTTCTGGAGCTTTCCAAGAAACTGATATGCCACATAACCTTCAGTTACCATTCTGGCAATTTATTACAACAACAAGCAAAAAGTTCCTTCCTATAACTGAACAGCTTTCTTGCTTTGATGTAAGTACAGTTCCTTGTATTGTGTATTTGCTACAAAGAGAATAACTAATCTCTATTCTCTTTTTAGAAATTTTTCATGCCTTTCAAAACCATGAATAAGATGACTCCAATCCTCATAATCTTCAGACTAAACAAAGCCTAATTTATTTTATGCTCAGTCTCTTATTTTTCTTTCTTTAATTTTCTTTAAGGACCCAAATAGGAACAGCCCTAGAACCTACTTTCTCTGTTCCTAGTCCTCAGAACTACTGAAGACTGATACAAACTGAATCTTTCACCAAAAAGTCATTATGTCATATCCACAATTGCTCATGGTAATTACCTAGTAAAATAAACAAAACAAAACAAAACGAAAACCAAAAAACGGGTATACAAAGAATCCTAAAGAGAGAAGGTGTATGTGTGTGTATGTGTGTGTGTGTGTGTGTGTGTGTTTCATTAAGGGTTAGAATTAAGTAGACATGCAAAGTTTGTGGCATTAACTCTAAAGTGAACAATTGAAAAATGGATGATAAATTAAGGGCAACTAATTTAGAGATAACATTGATAATAAAAAAAATTGGGTTTTCAAATTCCTAGAGAAAGGCAAATGACTATCAGTAAGAATTCCTACCAGGCAGAAGGTTCAATAGTATAAGGCAGATGTGAAAGAGTGGAGAAAAGGGAACGAGGTTCATATTTTGTTAGATGTTGGCTAAGTCTGTTAACCTATATTATCCTATGATAAACACCTCTTAGAGTGGCACCCCAACTTACAATTCTCAATCTGAGAATGGCCTCAATATGCATAGGTGAATAGGCAACAAGTGGTCATGTTTATAGTATGGGATCTTGGTCTCTTGGCCATGTTTGTTGATCCAGGGGTGGGCACAGGATCCTAACCAGGTAAATGAGATTCTTTGTCTCATGAATTTAAAATCTAGAACAAAAAGGCACAGTGCATTGTATGTGGTACAGTGTCAAGTCCCTATTTCATTCTGCCTTGCTCATCTAATGTGAGCTGTTTACATGTCTCTCATTAGATACTAATTTCCTTGAAGGCAGGATCTTTGTCATATATCTCTCTATAGGATAACAGAGAAAGTTTTTGACATTGATGTAAGTGTTCATTATCTTAATTATGGTGATGATCTCATATGTGTATACATATGTCAAAAATCATCAACTTTTGTACTTTAAGCGTGTACATAAGTTAAATCTCAATAAACTTGTACAAAATTCTATGGAATCCCAGAAAAAGTAGTAACAAATTATCCCAGCTGGTATGAATATGAGTGAGATTTGTTTCAGAGGAGAAAATTGTATGGTTTTGCAGTTAGCTTTGTGCTAACACATTATCGGGCTGTTTTTTAAGAAAGAAATACCATTGATTGTATCAATAGTGGAACACCTAACTCAGGGATGGTTAATCTGATTGAATAACAAGCTAGACCAATCAAATTATTTCCAGCTAGAAACTGAATAAATATTAAGAAAATCTTCTTGTTGGTAGCTGTCTTAGTCTGCCTGGGTTGTTATTACAAAAAATACCATCAACTGTGTGTCTTATAAATAACAGAAATTTATTTCTCACAGTTTTGGAGGCTGGGAAGTCAAAGACCAACATGCTGGCAGATTTGGTGTCTGGTAAGGGCTCATTTCTCATTGAATGCACCTTCTCACTGCATCTTCACATGGTGGAAGGGGCAAACATGCTCTCTCAGTTCTCCTTTGTAAGGTCACTAATTCAATTCAGGAGGACTCTACTCTCATGACTCAATCACCTCCCAAAGGCCCCACCTCTTTTTTTTTTTTCTTTTTGTGATGGAGTCTTGCTCTGTCACCCAGGCTGGAGTGCAGTGGCGTGATCTTGGCTCACTGCAGCCTCCGCCTCCAGGTTCAAGCGATTCTCCTGCCTCAGCCCCCCAAGTAGCTGGGACTACAGGCATGTGCCACCATGCCCAGCTAATTTTTGTATTTTTAATAGAGACGGGATTTCACCATGTTGGCCAGGATGGTCTCGATCTCCTAACCTTGTGACTTGCCCACCTTGGCCTCCCAAGGCCCCACCTCTTAATGCCATCACCTTGGGATGCAGGTTTCAACATATGAATTCTGGAGGGATACAAACATTCAGATTCTAGCAGTAGCAGAAGGAAATATTGGGAAGTGAAGAGAGAGAAGCCAAGATACTGTGAGAGAAAGTGCAGCTTGACTAGTAACACCTTGGTATCCCAGAGAAACAGCACCAGAGCAGAGTTACTATGGCAAAGTACAACAACTCCATGATTTAGGGTAACTTGAGTGAAACTGTCACTTTCTAATTAAAATTATTCCAACTTGGTTTATACTATTAAGATATCTACATGGGTCCTGATGGATTCTGATGACATTTCTCTATCTTGCCTTTCCCACTTCTTGCCAAATCTGAACATTTATTCAGCAACAGCAAACATACTGGAGGCTTGCAGAATCAAGGGAATCTGCCCTAAGAGATGCTGCACATCACTAGTTTCAAACAAGTTGTTTTAGATGATTTTTCAAACAGATGTTTTAAACTTACCTATTTGGATATGAAATGGTTTTGTTCCTATCTGGTGTGACGGAGGGAGGTTAAAGAGGATGTGTCAGATATTCTCTGTTTGCCCATCTAGATACATCCTCTACCTTTCTCTAGCTTGTTTTAATCTCTGGAAGACTGACTTATTGGGCAGCCGATCCAGGCCCTTATCCTCTGGCTCTTATTTGGGTTTCGTTATGGGGACCTCTGGCAAAATACTGGAGAGTCAGCAGTGGCTATTGTCGGGCAGTGGCTATATTTCTCTACCTAAAGCCACTAAGCCTGTGTGAAGGCCTGTTTTATTCAGCTCTCACTTCATTCCGGTAATGGTTGCCTCCCATTTTCCCTTTAGACCTAGGGGTGATAATAGTTTTCAAGGCTTCCACCATGGATAATTCTATCCTTATTGGTTACCTTTGCCTTTATATAGTTCCTTTCCTAACCTCTCTTAATAAATACTCTTTTCAAATGTGCCATATATTTCTAGTGGGATCCTGACACAAGGGCTTAATCAATTTTAACTTCACTGTGTCACTGTTGGATACCTATAAACTTCTCTTTTTTCCTTAAAATTTCTTTTTCTTTTCTTTTTTTTTTTTTGAGACAGAGTCTTGCTCTGTCGCCCAGGCTGGAGTGCAGTGGCATGATCTCGGTTCACTGCAAGCTCGGCCTCCCGGGTTCACGCCGTTCTCCTGCCTCAGCCTCCCAAGTAGCTGGGACTACAGGCGCCTGCCACCACGCCCAGCTAATTTTTTGTATTTTTAGTAGAGATGGGGTTTCACCATGTTAGCCAGGATGGTCTCGATCTCCTGACCTCGTGATCTACCCGCCTCGGCCCCCCAGAGTCCTGGGATTACAGGCGTGAGCCACTGCGCCCGGCCTTTCCTTAAAATTTCTAAGTGACTGTAAGAGCCAACATGCACCTCCTATTCTAGACACAAGGATCCTACTTGCCTTTGTATCTTTCACTCCTAACATAGTGCCTGGCACAGAAATGGGGCTTAACAAAAGTGTGCTGAAATAATTTTGTAAATGAATAAATTAGTTTGAATTTATTTGCCCTCTGAAATTAACGCTTGCATAAAGGGTTTCTGATATTTTATATGAACCATTAGAATTTGTGACAAAAACCAACTGTGTATAACCTCAGTAGTAATTTAAAGAATGCAAATTAAGACAGCAATAATATATAACGTTTTACACATATTAAATTAGCAAATTTAAACCAAAACAACAAATGCCTATATTCTAATAAAGCTATATGCTTACATACTGCTGGTAGCGGTATAAATTGTCATAGCCCATTTGAAAAATAATATGGCAAAATATATCAAGAGTCATAAAAATGACCCAATAATTTCACTCTTGGGGATTTATCCTAAGGAAATAATTGAGAAGAAACAAAATGCCATGTGCACAGAGATGCTCAATGAAGCATTATTTGCAACAGCAACACTGGAAATAACCAAAAATGCCCAATAATGGAGAACTGGTTAAGCACATTTCTGTACATCAAACAGATGGAACCCTCTTCCTCTCATCAAAACATGCTTTCTGTAATCCCAGCACTTTGGGAGGCCAAGGCAGGTGGATCATGAGGTCAGGAGAGCAAGACCATCCTGGCTAACACAGTGATACCCCGTCTCTACTAAAAATGCAAAAAAAATAGCCCGGCATGGTGGCAGGCGCCTGTAGTCCCAGCTACTAGGGAGGCTGAGGCAGGAGAATGACGTGAATCCTAGAGAGGTGGAGCTTGCAGTGAGCCAAGATCTTGCCACTGCACTCCAGCCTGGGTGACTGAGCAAGACTCTGTCTCAAAAATAAATAAATAAATAAAAATAAAAAAATAAAAAATAAAATAAAACATGATTTCTACAATGGCGACCACAAAAAAACTTTCAGATATTAAAATAAATGGTGAAGAGCAAAAATTGAAAGAGGCTGTTACGGACTGAAATGTGCCCGTAACCCAAAATGCACGTGTTGAAATTCTAACCCCGAGTACCTTTTTAAAGACCTAATCTCTTAGGTCCTAAGAGTCTTTAAAAGGAGATTAGGTCTTTAAAAAGGTAATAAGGTAAAATGAGGTCTTAAGGGTGAGCCCTAATCCTATATGACTGGTGTCCTTCTAAGAAGAGGAGATGTAGGCACAGAGCGACACAAGACACAGGTACACTCAGAGGAATGAACATGTTAAGACACAGCAAGAAGGCAACCAGCTACAAGCCAAGGAGAAAACAACCCAAACCTGCCAACACCTTCATCTCAGACTTGCAGCCTCTAAAACTGTGAGAACATAAATCTCTGTATTATTTTGTTATGGCAGCCCTAGCAAACCAATATAGAGGCAAATATCAAGATGGTGAATGCATTCTAACTATTTGTGTATGTATATATATCCATGTATATATGCACACACACACAGCAATAAAGACAAAAAGTGAATATGCAAAACCAAAATGTGCTATTTAATTATGGTAGAGGGATATGGGTTATTCCTTTACCTTGTGAAGTATTTTGATAGCTATATTTATCCAGTTAAAAAAAAAGCCACAGGAGGGTAGAGCAAGATGGCTGAATAGAAAGTTCTACTGATCCCCCACTCCCCAGTAAGGACACCAAATTAACAACCATCTACATAGAAAAAGACACCTTCACAAGAACTAAAAATCAAGTGATCACTCATAGTACCTTGTTTTAACTTAATATTGCTGAAAGAGGCACTGAAGAGATAGAATAAACATTTCTGAATTGACATTGCCATCCCCCCTCCACCCACCCCCTAGCAGCAGCCACATGGTGCAGAGAACATATCTGGGTACAGAGGAAGGGAGAACACAGCAATTGTGAGACATTAAACTCAGTGCTGTCCTGGTAGAGCAGAAATGAAAACCAGCTGACCCCCATACACAGAGGGAGCATTAAATCCCCTGGCCGGAGGGGAATCACGGATCCCAGCAGTGAGAACTTAAGTCCTCACAAACCTCACTGCCATGGGCTACAGCACTGTGTTTCTCCAAGTAAACTTGAAAGGCAGTCTAGGCCAGGAGGACAGCAACTCTTAGGCATGGCCCAGTGCTGAACAAGGCCCAGAGACAATGGACTTGGGGAAGCACACAACATACTGAGACATCAGCTGAGGCAGCCAAGGGAGTGCTAGCTTCACCCCACCCCTAAAACGCACTTCAAAAGAGACCCCATCCTTCCACTTGAGGAGAGCAAAGAGTGGGGAGGAATTTGTCTTGCATCTTGGATACCAGCTCAGCCACAGCAAGATAGGGCACTGGTCAGAGTCGTGAGACCACTGTTCCAGGCCACAGCTTTTGGATCACATTTCTAGACACACCCTGGACCACAAGGGAACCCACTGCCTTGAACAAAAAGACCTAGTGTTGGCAGCATTCATCACCTGTTAACTGAAGAGACCTTGAGCCCTGAATAACCAGCAGCAATACCCAGGTACTATGTAGAGAGCCTTGAGTGAGACCCATGATTCATTTACCTCCACCTGGTCTCTCCCTTAACACATGGGGATCATGGGGATTATGAGGATTACAATTCAAGATGAGATTTGGGTGGGGACACAAAGCCTAACCACATCATTCTGCCCCTGGCACCTCCTAAATCTAATGTCCCTTTCACATTTCAAAACCAATCATGCCTTTCCAACAGTCACTCAAAGTGTTAATTTATTCCAGCATTAACCCAAAAGTCCAAGTCCAAAGTCTCATCTGAGACAAGACAAGTCTCTTCCACCTATGAGTCTGTAAAATTAAAAGCCAGGTAATTACTTCCTAGATACAATGGGGGTACGGGCATTGGATAAATATACCTATTCCAAATTGAAGAAATTGGCCAAAATGAAGGTGCTAAAGGCCCCATGAAAGTGAGAACTCCAGAGAGGCAGTAAAATCTTAAAGCTCCAAAAGGATCTCCTTTGACTCCATGTCTCATGTCCAGGTCACGCAGATGCAAAAGGTGGGCTCACATGGCCTCGGGCAGCTCCACCCCTGTGGCTTTGCAGGGTACAGCCCCCGCTCCCAGCTGCTTTGACTGGTTGGTGTTGAGTGTCTGTGGCTTTTCTAGGTGCATAGTGCAAGCCGTCTGTGGATCTACCACACTGGGTTGTGAAGGATGGTGGCCCTCTTCTCACAGCTCCACTAGGCAGTTCCCCAGTGAGGACTCTGTGTGGGTGCTCTGACCCCACATTTCCCTTCCTCACTTCCCTAGCAGAGGTTCTCCATGAGGGCTCCGCTCCTGCAGCAAACTTCTGCCTGGCAGAATCCATGCTCTTAGATTAGAAGAATCAATATTGTTGAAATGTCACTACTACCCAAAGCAATCTACAGATACAGTGCAATCCATATCAAAATACCAATGGCATTCTTCACAGAAATAGAAAAAAAATCCTAAAATTTGTATGGAACCACAATAGACTTAGAATAGCCAAAGCTATCCTGAGAAAAAAGAGTAAAACTGGAGGAATGACATTACCTGACTTCAAATTATACTACAGAGCTATAGTAATGAAAACAGCATGGTACTGGCATAAAAACAGACACATAGATCAATGGAACAGAATGAAGAACCCAGAAATAAATCCATACAACTGCAGTGAACTAATCTTCAACAAAGGTGCCAAGAACATACACTGGGGATAGGACAGTCTCTTCAATAAATGATGCTGGGAGAACTGGATATCAATATGCAAAAGAATGCAACTAGACCCCTGTCTCCCACTGTATACAAAAGTCAAATCAAAATGGATTAAAGACTTAAATCTAAGACCTCAAAGTATGAAACTACTGCAAGAAAACATTGGGGAAAAAATCTCCAGGACATTGGTCTGGGCAAACTTTTCTTGAGCAGTACCCTACAAACACAGGCAACCAAAGCAAAAATGGACAAATGATATTACATTAAGTTAAAAACCTTCTACACTGCAAAGGATGCAATCAACAAAGTAAAGAAACAACCCACAGAATGGGAGAAAATATTTGCCAACTACTCATCTGACAAGGGATTAATAACCAGAATATAACAGGTGCTCAAACAACTCCATAGGAAAAAGTCTAATAATCTGATCAAAAAATGGGCAAAAGATTTTAATAGACATTTCTCAAAAGAAGACATTACAATAGCAAACAGGCATGTGAAAAGGTGTCAACTTCATTGATCATCAGAGAAATACAAATAAAAACTACAATGAGATATCATCTCATCCTACTTAGAATGGCTTATATCCAAAAGACAGGCAATAATAAATGCTGGTGAGGATGTGGAGAAAAGGAAACCCTTCTGCACTGTTGAGAAGAATAGAAATTAGTACAACCAATAGGGAGAACAGTTTGGAGGTTCCTCAAAGAAACTAAAAATTGAACTACCATATGATCCAGTAACCCAAATTCTGCATATGTACCCCAAAGAAAGAAAATCAGTAATATTGAAAAGATATCTTCACTCCTATGTGTGTTGCAACACTGTTCACAAGAGCCAAGATTTGGAAGCAATGTAAATGTGCATCAACAGATGAATGGTAAATAAAATGTGCATAGACACAATGGAGTACTGTTCAACCATAAAAAAGAATGAGATCCAGTCATTTGCTTCAACATGTATGGAACTTGAGATCATGATTTTAAGTGAAATAAGCCAGGCACAGAAAGACAAACATCACAAGTTCTCACTTATTGGCGGTATCTAAAAATCAAAACAATTGAACTCATGGACACAGAGAGTAGGATGGTTACCAGAGGCTAGGAAGAGGCTAGGAAGGGTAGTGGGATTGGGGTGGAAGTGGAGATGGTTAATGGATACAAAAAAATAGAAAGAATGAATAAGACCTAGTATTCAATAGCACAATAGGTTAGTACACTCCATAATAACTTAATTGTACATTTTAAAATAACTTAAAGGGTATAATTGGGTTATTTGTAACTCAAAGGATAGATGCTTGAGGGTATGGATACCCCATTCTCTGTGATGTGTTTATTTCACCTTGCATGCCTGTATCCAAACATCTCATATACCCCATAAATATATACACCTACTATGTATCCACAAAAATTTTAAAAGTAAAAAAAATTAAAAGCCACAGTGACAGTGTTTTAATGAAACACTGGTTCTATTAAGCCATTAATATTTCTAAAATATTTCCCTAATTTGGAGAGAAAAAAACATGTTTTTAAGGTTGTATTGCAGCAGCATCTATGAGAAACAGACTTTGTGGCAGCAGACTATGTATGAACCTATGAATAAATGCGTCCTAAATTCCCTCTCCCCTCTTCCACACTAGTTCAGTAGACCTGTGTGCTGTACCTGGCATCTTTGTTGTCATGACTGGTATAGTCAATTGTGAGTGTTGATGTAGTGAGTGACTAAAACAGTGAATTACCTTGGTGTGTTGTGGTTCTAATTTGATCTCCTGAGGAATGAATCTTTCATGCCTGGAAACAGTTGAAAATTTCATGGTGTTAAACCACAGCTCTACAACAGGGCCTCTATCCCTACTTAGCAACCCTGTTATCATCCATCCCTAGAGAACCCTGCCTGGCTTCCAGCTTCTTCTGACCTCTGCTCCCCACACCTGGGGCCACCAGCTCCTCTACCTACAAACTCAGCCTTTTAAACCAAATCTGACCTCAAGTAAGGGAAGGTAAACATTTCAGCCATGTACCTCATCGTGAGTACACTAATAACTTTTTGCACAGCTGTCTCTCTTAAATGGATCTTTGTTTTCTTTGTGCCTGGAGCTATGTATTAATAATGTGTGAAGTACTCCAACCCTCTCAGAGGTCCCTGTCTTGTTCTATCCAACACCTGGAAGCAGAGTCCGAACTCTGATCCTCAATCTAGAGTTTGTGATTCTGTTATCTGCAGCAATAGCATCCTATCTGCTGTCCCTGACTCTGGAATTTCCCCCACCCTAATCACTACCACCAAGTCCATCTGAGGACCACTTGAATCTGAAAAAAATTATGTGTTCTAAAAGTGCGCATGCATGAGCTCCATACCCTCTTCTCTGGAGGTAAGAGCCAAGAATCTGCATCTTACAAGCTTCCCATGTTATTCTGAGAAACGCTTAAGTTCAAAAACCATTGTTCTGGACAGCAGCTGGGCTCTTCCTAAAATTCAAATCTGACCACCTCACTTGCCTGCTTTAAAACTTCCAATTGCTCATTACGTTTTGGTTTAATAAGTCCAAACTACTTAAAGCAGCTTGCATGGTCTTCCAGGACCTGGCTCCTATCTGCTTGTCCACCTTCATCTTTTATTGTTCCCTGTTGATCCAGTAATACCCAATTGCTGGTAGTTTTCTATACCTACTATACTGTCACAAGATTCCGTGTTTCTGCCTATTCCCTGTTTCCCTGGTGAATGCCCATTCTTCAAACTCTGCCCAAATGTCCTGTACCAACCCTGTAAAGCCTTTGCATACACAAATACACTCACACACACACACACACACACACACAAACAACCACACATTCCCCAGAGTTAATTGCTCTCTATGCTTGTTGTGTACCTAATTTTGTTACTGCATTTTTTTCAGAAACACTGTATTTCTCTTATTTATTTATACATCTCCTCTACCCACCTCCATTCACTACTCCACCCTCTCATAGGCTGCAAATTTTTCAAAGGCAGGGACCCTTAATAGTAATGACTTAATATCATTAACCCTGATAATTCCAGTTAATAATCTCCATACTCAGAGTGTCTCACATATAATAGGTGCTCTGCAAATATTGACCAGAACTCAGTTGCACTCCTTAAATCACCCAGATTCCAACCAAACTCTTCTGTGCACTGATCCATGGCAATCCTTCCCTGTCCTACCTCCTGACTTCTATGCATGCTGCTTCATCTCCATAAAGTTCACTTACTCCACATGGCAAAATTAGATACATCTTCGAAGTCTTTCTCCCAGTGCACAACTTGTCTCTCTGTACCCCATCCCAACTGTTGTGATTAACATGCTGTGAGTTTAACTTCATAGTTAATTGAGGGCCAGTAGTTACTCAACATCACATATTCTGGTCTTTACCTGAAACAGTGACTGCCACATAGTACGTGCTCAACATTTAGTTAATGTATTAATAGCTGGCCATAGACATGATGTTCTTTTGCAAAGGCCATGAAATCTTATTTGATCAGCAACCTAAAAATGGTTTCTTTCATTCGGCAAAGGCTGCAAACAACATGTGACATGGATTTCACCATATATGGCTTCCCACTGTCAGTTCTTGATCACATGGTTGAATGAAATCCATCATTTATTTTAGTATTTGATAATTCTGAAAAAAATAATTAGCTTCAAGTCTTCATGATTCATAGGCCACCATTTAGGAAGCATAAATACTGTTTCAGATTTGAAAATTGATGCCTTTAGATGTTTTCTTGTGAATATTAAACTTTAACTTGTTTCACACTGAAAAGTGTTTTGGAATAAAAGGAAAAGGGTGGGAAAGAAGTCAATTAACGTTCCCTTGATCTCCTTCAACATCCTGATTGTAACCCAACAATATAGGTATTTCTGTCCCAGTAGATGTGAAGACAATGCAGCTATGATATCTATTTCCACTTTAGAAATTTTTACAATGAGAACAAAAGGATATTAAGGATATTTCTCACTACCACTCAATAGTGGAAGAGTGAAGATTGAAATCCAAGTCTGACAGCCACCAAGACTATACATTTTCTACCTATCCAACTGCATCATATGCCTTGGAGCTGGTAATTTTTTACTAGTAGTAAGAACAATAATAAAAATCCATCGTGAGACAAAACTTTTGAATGAAAGAGATTGATGTCTGAGCTTGTATGTGTGTGAATTCAAGGTGGTACTTTTATGGTAAGATCTGGAGGATGACAGAGCTGACTAGGCAAAGGAGGATAGAGAGTGCATTACAGACAGTGAGAAAAGCATGTGAAAGTCCTTGCAGGCAGGAGAGAACATGGAATTTTAGTGGAACTAAAAGGGGAAACAAAAGGCAGACAAAGGTAGGAACTGGACAAATATTTGCATTCTTTGTCTTTGTCCTCTACCTCTGCATTGCTAAGCTACTCCAAGTTAGCACTGGGTCCAGCCACCTAAGGTGAAGAATATGCCTACACTCGGTTGCAAAGAAAACTGAGATAGCTGGTAAGATGAGCAAGAAAGTGGGTACATGCCACAGTTCGTTTACCCTGGAAACTAACCCAACATGACAGAGAATTCCAGGCCCTTCATCTGTGATTCATCAAAACCATTCTGTGATTCCACGGAACATCAAGGCTGTATGCCAGTATCTTCTAATAAAAGCTGCCCAGCTTCCTTCTTATCATGTCTATTTTTCTTTTTTTCTTTTGAGACGGAATCTTGCTCTGTCACCCAGGCTGGAGTTCAATGGCGTGATCTTGGCTCACTGTAACCTCTGCCTCTGGGTTCAAGCAATTCTCCTGCCTCAGCCTCCTGAGTAGCTGAGAATACAGGCACATGCCACCACACCTGGCTGATTTTTGTATTTTTAGTAGAGATGGGATTTCACCATGTTGGCCAGGATGGTCTTGATCTCCTGACCTCATGATCCACCCACCTCAATCGTCTATTTTTCAGTCTACTCTGAGTATCCATCACCTGAACTAAACCTAGAAGGGTCAGCCCACTCAGTTCCTAGGTTAATAAGGTCTTCTCTGTACATTCTCTATTTGGTCATGAATGGTGAAATGCAATCTCACAGGGCCACATTTAATATCAAATAGGCATAGATCACTGAATAATTATTGTTTTCTGAGCCTCTGTGCCTTCAACAATAGGGGAGTCAACACAGTGCTGACCTGTGAGGATTACAGTATAAACTGAAGTTGATCAAATCCTTGGGAACCCAATCATCAAGAAAGAATACATTTAGATATGTCAAAGTTGTAACTCAAGGCCTGACAACAGAATAAGCTTTGTAGCCTTTCAGGCCCATCAATTTTCAATTCTTATTCTTAAATAAATACTGTAAAATGATAATGTTAAATTTAACAATGATATGTGTAATCATTTTTCTTACAATTCAAAAGGAAAATTAATTTAAATATTGCTCCACTTGAAGTGCACAACTAGCAAAGTTTTGGAATGGTCCCAAGTACAGTTTCAGTCTTAGCTCTTCAAATAAAAGCAGACATATTTTTAGACAGTAGAACTGACTGAGATGTAAGTGGTTTGCAGTTAAAGTAATTGCATATCTGGTAGTGGTAAGTGAATTACAGGAGTGACAAATGCTGGTACTTAAATAATTTGAGGCAAACAACGTCTCCCTTCTGCACTGAGTAGATTCAAATGAGAAGAAGACAGTAAAACATCTGCCTCATTTATTCTGCTCTTGTCTACATGGCTGAGGCCTGGTTCCTGGTTTGAGCTGAAGCACGCAATATAGGCAACAATGCCCTCCAAAAACCATCAGTAAAAGAGAAGTATGTCAAGACTGATTTCTAGCAGCAGCCAGCTTTGTTTTCTTAAAAGTGAAAAATATATATAATGAAAGTAGTGCTAAACATACAATATTTAACCTTGACAAAAAGAGTTTTTTCCTCATTTCAATGAAAAAGGATTCCAATGTTCAAGGAATATGAAGAATACTGCTATAAAATTCTCCCGTCTGCCCAGAATGCTTTTTATTTCCAACTTTCCATGTCAGCATCCTTTCTAGCCTTCAAGGTCTTCTCAAATTTCACCTTTTTCTTCAACTCCTGTCACAGTGAATTTTCCCTCCCCTTGCTTTCTATAACCCTGGGTTATTGTCTAGTGATTATCATCCTACATTCTGTTAGCTACTCAAGGATTCATCTGTCTTCCCTAGTAAATCAGAAGGTCCTGAAAAACAGGGACCCGGATCCTTACCCCACCTCCAATATCTAAAATAGTTTCCGACACATAGCAGTATTTAATAGAGGCTTATTGAATTAGATACCAGAATTTAAAATCTTCTTTAAGCCAATCATTCTGACATTTTTGCGGTAATAGTTTGAAGACTTATTGTGTCAACATGTGTATCGAAGAAACTATTTTTTAACAATTCGACTGACCCTATTAGTCAGAAACCAATCAGCCATGGTGTGACCATGCAGCAGTATAAACCTAGGGGTCTACCTTCCTGAGTCTCTGTCAATCATATTCTTCCAGAAGGTCCCCAGCTGTTATGCTTGACAGCTTCATAGTTGAATAGGTTTGGGGATTGTTCTCCTGCCCATCTGGTAAACAGGACTTCTGTGTTAAAAGAAGGCAATCCATAACTTCCGAAGACTTTTCTAGGGGGAGGAGGGGAGTAAACAACAAAAATTGCAAAAGAAAAATTCTGGTATTTTTCTGTTCTTTAAGTTTATAAATATCTATTTCTTATTTTTCTGTTTTTAAGTTTAGAAATATCTATTTCTTTTTTCTTTTTTTTCTTTTTTTTTGAGACGGAGTCTCGCTCTGTCGCCAGGCTGTAATGCAACGGCGCGATCTCGCCTTATTGCAACCTCCGCCTCCTGGGTTCAAGCGATTCTCCTGCCTCAGCCTCCCGAGTAGCTGGGACTACAGGCGTGCGCCACCACGGCCAGCTAATTTTTGTATTTTTAGTAGATATGGGTTTCACCATGTTGGCCAGGATGGGAAAATAATAGCCTAAATAGCATTAACCTGCCCTTGAGAATAAATTATGAACATAAATTTGTTTGATGTGTATTTTTAAATGATTACAGTCATTGCACTGGTTCCATTAAAATATGCAACCTGATTATTGATTAAATGCTTGTTTATGCATTTGGCTAAGCAAATAGGTTATGTAGCTTCATCAGCAACATTGCAGCTGGATCTCTGAAATATGAAATTGGATCAGCGTAATATAACTTTTTGCTAATAAAATATGCAGAAAAGGTAACAAACTTTATACCCTGAGTATTAAACTTGGAGGCTCAGTCAGCATAAAATGTGATCATGTAAGTACACGGCAGGATCAGTGTAGGGTACCATGCAAGCCACACATTGTGCAGCATGATCCTCAAATGACACCCCTTGTTTCTCAATTTATCTGACACACTACAAAACTGAATCAAAAAGTAGAAATAGATACCTGTCCATATGACACTTATGGGTCTTTCAGAAGAGGAAGTTCTTTAAATCTTGTTTCTC
Organism: Homo sapiens; assembly: GCF_000001405.40. Lineage (NCBI taxonomy): Eukaryota > Metazoa > Chordata > Mammalia > Primates > Hominidae > Homo > Homo sapiens. The sequence continues at coordinate 141,304,129 of NC_000023.11, forward strand.
TCTTCCTGAGATTTTGCTTGGAAAAATACCTACACTTAGTGAAACTGGAAGAGTTGTATCTAAATATGTGTACAATTTAGCTAAAATTAGGCATCACTCAAAAAAAAATTGCCTTACACCCTTTTTAAACTTTCTTTTGGATCAAAGGAGGTAGAAGCTTTTTACCTCTCCATCTACATAAATAATTGTTTGAAGGTCAGACAATCAGGAGGCTTTAGTCAAACAAAATATTATTAAATACAGTCATGTGTCACTTATCAACAGGGATATATTCTGAGAAATGCTTCATTAGGCAGTTTTGTCATTGTGTGAACATCATAGAGTGTATTTACACAAACCTACATGGTGTAACCTACTACATAACTAGACTCTATGGTACAGCCTGTTGCTCCAGGCTACAAACCTGTACAGCATGTGACTGTACTGAACACTGAAGGCAATTAGAGCATAATGGTATGTATCTAAATAGAAAAGATACAGTAAAAATACAATATAGATGATTAAAAATGGTACCATTGTATAGGGAGGGTACTCATTATGAATGGTGCTCACAGGACTGGAAGTTGCTCTGGGTGAGTCAGTGAGTGAGGAGTGAATGAGTGTGAAGACCTAGAACATCACTGTACACTACTGTAGATTTTATAAACACTGTACACTTAGGCTACACTACATTTATTTAAAACCTTTTTTCTTCAATAATAAATAAGCTTACTGTAACTTTTTAACTTCATAAACTTAAATTTTTGACTGTTTTGTAATAAAACGTAGATTAAAACACGTGGTACAGCTGTACAAAAATATCTTTCTTCTGTCCTCATTTTATAGGTTTTATCTATTTTTAAAATTTTAATACATTTCTTTGTTTTTCATACCTTTTTCTTAAAATCTAAGACACAAAGACACATTAGCCTAGGTCTACATAGGGTCAGAATTATCAACATATCACTTGGTGACAGGAAGTTTTCAGCTCCATTATAATCTTATGGGACTACCATGATAGATGTGGTCCATTGTTGACCAAAACATCATTATGCAGAGCATGACTGTACTTAATAATTTGATTATTTAATTTAAAGTTATGTGATGCAGTGAGGCCACTGTACCTTAATCCAGGTATTGGCCTTATTTATTCTCGAAGCATACTTCAGGATAAAGAAAGAAGACTTCTTTCTTTCTTCCATCAAAGATATTACTATGCCATCATCACTCTCTCTTTTACCTCTACCTTGTACATTACTGAGATATACAGTTGGATGAAAAGCTAAACCTTACCCCAGCCTGGGGAAATTTAGAAGTACAAATAAAATCCAAATATCTAACTCTTTCTTGAGGCTAGAAAATATTACAACATTTCTATCCTAAGATTTACATATTCCTTTTAAAGGTAACTCTCAAATATCCACATTTAAAAAATATTTTAAAAATTGCATCCTCTTTTAATATTAACAACTTCTTTTATCTTTACCCTTCCTATTTGTAAGTTAGGTTTGCTCCCAAATTCATAATAATCATTATGTATAGATGGGGTATTCAACTCTCAAAAAATCAATGCTGAACACAAAGAGATAAAGCAATACTATTCATTCAGTGTCTTGTGATATGGTTTGTAAGGAATGCGTATGTGATCATTTGCTTATAGCTTGTTAGTTTTAGGAATCTGTACCTATAATAGCAATATTGTTTTAACATCTTGAGGCAGAACCCCAGTACATTTTATTTTGGATTCTTATATTTGGTCGTTTATCTATGTATGCTATGCTTTAGTCTTTTTCAGTTATTTTTTTCTTCCAAAATTGGATCTGCATGCATACATTTCAGCTGTTACTTGAATAATCCAGTCTCACAAAAATCAGTTGAAAGATGTAAGTGTAGATTTACTGTGCTACTCTCTACTCCTCTGCCTGGTTGGCCTGCCTCAGGGTGATGGTAGGCATGGAGAGCAATCCAAATGGCAGGCTGTCTCAATCATTGTGAACTGCATACAATGTATCAGGCCAGTGAGCATCTCTTCTTCCAACCCAGGTTTCCTAGTGATAAGGGAGGGGGACAGGAAGTGCTGAGTAGAGTAGGGCAGGGTCTCTGGCGAGGGCTCCACCCTTGGGCCTGTGCCGACGGACCTAAATGAGAACAGTCACTCCTGTTTTCATGCCCAAATGCTGCATTTTCCAAGACCACTCTTGTCTGTCATGCCTCCCATCCTGTGCCCATAAAAACCCAATACCCTAGCAGGCACAGACACGAGTGGCTGGACGTTGAGAGGAACAGAATAACACACCAACAGACACCAGCACACATCGCAGGCCATCAATGGTGGGATGGCATGGAACTTGGCTGGGGGAGATTGGCGTAGAGTCTGGCTGCTGAGCGGCCTGACTCCAGGGGAAGACCACCTTCCCATGCCATCTCCTTTCTGGCTCCCCATCCACCTCACTGAGAGCTACCTCCACCACTCAAAAAATCCTTGCACCCATCCTCCAAGCCCAGGTGTGACACTAGGGCAAGAACCCGGGATACAGAAAGCCCTCTGTCCTTGTAATAAGGCAGAGGGTCTAATTGATCTGATTAATACAAGCCACCCAATTGAGCTGATTAACACAAGCCAGCCGCAGACAGCAAAGCTAAAAGAGCACACTATAACACACGCTCACTGGTGCTTTGGGAGCTGTGAACACTTAACCTTTAGCACTGCTATGGGGTTGGAGCCCCAGAATGCTCCCCACAACCTGCTCATCTGCATGCTCCCCCTAGGGATTTGAGCAGTGGGGCACTGAAGAGGCGAACCACACCCCTGTTGCACACCCTGCAAGTGGGATAAGGGAACTTCTCCCATTTCACTAGTCTCTGGGGTTTCTTTCCAAGTACCGTTGCCAGAGTAAACCAGGGACGCAACAGGGATTTCTAACTCCATTAGTTTTAGCGAACACTGATTCCACCAAAATCAGAGAGAGGCGCAACAACGCAGTAAGTACCTGGAAGTCCTCTCAGGAATATAGGCTCAAGTTGACTCTTTTATACTTAAATTCCCTTTCGTGACATTTTTTTTTTTCTTCAGCATGTACCTCTCCCAAACTCCTTTCCTCAAAGAGGAACTCAATAGAACATGTGTCACTCCAGCCCCAACTATCGTTTATTTTATTTACATGCAGTTTTCTTATTTTGATGCTATTAACATAAAAAGGAAGATCTAGTGCTAAAACAACGGAGAATGAAATATGGGCTGTGCAGCTTTGACCAAGACCTACAACCTCATGTATTCAGATTCTTATTCTCCTCTTGACCATCAGCATTCTTGTCATTAGAAGAATGCAAGCCGTTCCTCAGCTCTGTTTACTCTGTATGTTTGTCTTTTTCCCCCGGAGGTCTCTGTGTTGCCTCAAGTTCCAGTTGACCTAAATAATTAGTCCTCAATTTACTAATTTCACTCCTATTTCTATTAACTAATCCAAATGCTTTTCTTTCCTCCTAGTCCATACTTTTCCTTTCTGATCTATTCTTTCCACCTAATATTAAGTCCATGTACTGACTGAATGGAAAGAGCTCTGAATTATTAAGTCTTGTACATGTAATTTTAGTTTTTAATAAATGCAATTATAAAATAACAAAAGCAAACAAATATGATGATAATCTAAGACTAAAAAGTATTTTGAAAGGCAAAAACAAGATTGCTAATTTTTAAGTGGCAGTAATTAATAAAAACATACCTCAGAGACATTGTGAGTTCAGTTCCAGAAACTTTAATAAAATGAATATGGCAATAAAACAAGGCACACAAATTTTTTGGTTTCCCAATGCATATTAGTTAATTTTCATACTGCTATGAAGAAATACCCAAGACTGGGTAATTTGTAAAGAAAAAAAGGTTTAATGGACTCACAGTTCCACATAACTGAGGAGGCCTCACAATCATGGAGGAGGTGAAGGAGGAGCAAAGGCCCGTCTTACATGGCAGCAGGCAAGAGAGTGTGTGCAGGGCAACTCTGGTTTTTAAAACCATCAGATCTTGTGAGACTTATTCACTATCATGAGAGCAGCATAGAGAAAACCCGCCCACATGTTTCAGTTACCTCCCACTGGTTCCCTCCCACTACACATGGGAATTACAGGAGTGACAATTCAAGATGAGATTTGAGGGGGGACACAACCAAACCATATCAACATAAAAGTTAGGTTTACACTATACTGTAGTCTATTAAATATGCAATGGAATTTTATCTAAAACAAAACAATGTACATACGTTAATTTTAAAAATACTTTATTGATAAAAAATGCTAGCAATCATCTTAGTCTTCAGCCAGTCATAATTTTTTCCTGGTAAAGGATCTTGCCTTGATGTGGATGGCTACTGTAAGAGTGATAGTTGCTGAAGGTTGGAACGGATGTGGCAGTTTCTTAAAACAAGACAGCAATGAAGTTTGCTTCATCGATTGACTCTTCCTTTCACTAAAGATTTTCATTTAGCATGTGATGCTGATTGATAGCGTGTTACCCACTGTTGAACTACTTTCAAATTTGGAGTCAAAAATCTCAAACCTTGTCACTGCTTTATCGATTAAGTTTATGAAATATTCTAAGTCCTCGATGGTCATTTCAACAATGTTTAACCTTCACCAAAAGTAGATTTCATCATTTCATCTAAAGAAACCACTTTCTTTGCTCTTCCACAAAAAGCAACTCTTCATCCATCAAAGTTTTATTGTAGCAATTCAGTCACATCTTCAGACTCTACTTCTAATTCTAGTTTTTGTTTTTGTTTTCCACCACATCTGCAGTTACTTCCTACCCTGAAATCTTGAACTCTTCAAAGTCATTCATGAGGGCTGGAATCAACTTCTTCAAAACTCCTATTAATGTTTATATTTTGAACTTCTCCCATGAATCACAAATGTTCTTTTTTTTCTTTTTTTTGAGACAGAGTCTCGCACTGTCGCCTGGGCTGAAGTGCAATGGTGTGATCTCGGCTCACTGCAACCTCTGCCTCCCAGGTTCAAGCCATTCTCCTGCCTCAACCTCCCGAGTAGCTGGGATTATAGGCATCCGCCATCATGCCTAGCTAATTTTTTGTATTTTTAGTAGAGACGCGGCTTCACTATGTTGGCCAGGCTGGTCTCAAACTCCTGACCTCGTGATCTGCCTGCCTCACTCTCCCAAAGTGCTGGGATTACAGGTGTGAGCCACCGTGCCCAGCTTCACAAATGTTCTTAATGCCATGTAGAATGATGAAACCTAGTCAGAAGGTTTTCAACTTACTTTGTTTAGACCCGTTTATCAGAGGAATCATTCTTTTAGCCTTATAAAATATATTTTTTAAATAATAAGACTCAAACTTCAAAATTATTCCATTATTCATGGGCTGCAGAATGAATGTTGTATTAGCAGGCATGAAAACAACATGAATCATATTGTAGATCTCCATCAGATCTTCTAGGTAACTAAGTGCATTGTCAATCAGCTGTAGTATTTTCAAAGGAATCTCTTTTTTTGAGCAGTAGGTCTCAATAGTGAGCTTAGAATATTTAGTAAACCATAGAATATTTAGTAAACCATGCTGTAAATAGATGGGCTATCTTTCAGGCTCTGTTGATCCACTTATAGTGTACTAGCAGAATAGATTTAGCATAATTCTTTAGGGACCTAGGATTTTTGAAATGGTAAATGAGCATTGCCTTTAACTTAGTCACCAGCTGTATTAGCCTCTAACAAGGGAGTCAGCCTATTCTTTGAGGTTTTGAAGCCAGGGATTGACTTCTCTCTAGCTATGAAAGTCTTAGATGATACCTTCTTCTAACAGAACTAGATGTTTCATCTACATTGAAAATCTGTTTTGTAGTGTAGCCATCTTCATCAATTATCTTAGCTAGATCACCTGGATCACTTACTGGATCTTCTACATAGGCACTGGCCACTTTATTTTGTGCTTTTATGTTATGGAGATGGCTTCTTTTCTTCAGTCTCAAAAACCAATTTATTCTAGTTTCAAACTTTTCTTCTGCAGCTTCTTCACCTCTATCAGGCTTCGTAGAAGTAAAGAGAGCTAGGGTCTTGCTCTGGATTAGGCTTTAGTCTGAGGGAATGTTGTAGCTGATTTCATTTTTTATTCAGATCATTAAAACTTTCTTCATATCAGCAATAACGCTACCCTTCTTTCTTTCTGGAGAAGCACTTTAAATTTCCTTCAATAACTTTCCCTTTGCATTCACCACTTGGCTGTTTAGTGCAAGAGCCCTAGGTTTTGGCCAATATCAGCTTTTGACATGCCTTCTTCCCTAAGCTTAATCATTTCTAGCTTTGATTTAAGTGAGAGATACACAACTCTTCCTCTCACTTGAACACTTAGAAACCATTGTAGGGTTATTAACTGGCTTAGATTCAATACTGTTCTGTCTCAGGAAATAGGAAGGCCTAAGGACAGGAACATACATTCGGGGGACGACTGAGCAGTGGAGCAGTCAGAACACTCACATTTATTAACTTTGCCATCTTATTTGGGTGCAGTTCTTGGTGCTCCAAAACAATTACAATAGTAACATTAAAGATCACTGACCACAAATCACCATAGTAGATATAATAATGAAAAAATTGGAAATATTTTGAGAATTAACAACGTGTGTCACAGAGAAACAAAGCGAAGACATGCTGTTGGAAAAATGGTGCCAATAGACTTGCTTGATGCAAAGTTGCCACAAACCTTCAATTTGTAAGAAATGCAATATATGCAAAGCACAGTAAAGCAAAATGCAATAAAATGAGGTATGTCTGTACTTCTTGGAGATGACAAAAAGACAATCAAATGATTTAAAGATTAACAAAAGACAAACAGGAACCTTTTCATATTTACCCTGAAATGTTTTTTCCAAATCTATTAAATATTTTCAAACATTAAATATATGTAGATCAGGCCAGGCACAGTGGCTCACACCTGTCATCCCAGCACTTTGGGAGGCTGAGCCAGTCAGATCACTTGAGCCCAGAAGTTTTAGACCAGCCTAGACAACATGGCGAAACTCCGTCTGTACAAAAAATATAAAAGAATTAGCCAGGCATGGTGGTGCATGCCTATAGTCCAGCTACTTGGGAGGCTGATGTGAGAGGGTCATATGAACCCAGGGAGGTTGAGGCTGCAGTGAGCCATGACCATGTCACTGCACTCCAGATTGGGCAACAAAGTGAGACCTTGTCTCAAAAAGTATATATATATATATATATATATATATATATATATATATATATATATAATGTATATATATATATATATATATATATATATATATATATATAATGTATATATATATATAATATATATATAATTTATATAAATATATATATTTATATATATATAAATATATATAGTCAAAGTAGTAATATTACAAACCAAATACTTAAATTACATGAAATAAAATGAGAAGCTAAATTTAAAAAAATAAAGCACAAAATCTCTTGAAAAATGTTATAAGGCCCTTCGAAAATAACTCTTGAAGAAAGAAAATCAAAATGCCAAATACATGCTATTTGGTACATAATGATAAAATGACTGCATGCTAGCTCATTTGAGCTGCCATTAAATATATATTTAAAGAAAAACTTACAGCTTTAAATAATTTTATTATAAATACCAATTTTTTTTCTTAAAACTTTCACTCAGCATTCTATTCACAAAGCTAAAAATAAAATCAATACTAAAGAATCTAGAAATAGGCCAGGTGGCTCGCGCAGTGGCTCACGCCTGTAATCCCAGCACTTTGGGAGGCTGAGGTGGGTGGATCACGAGGTCAGGAGTTCAAGACCAGCCTGGTCAAGATGGTGAAACCACGTCTCTACTAAAAATACAAAAAAAAAAAAAAAAAAAAGGTAGCCGGGCATGGTGGTGGGCACCTGTAATCCCAGCTACTCGGGAGGCTGAGGCAGAGAATTGCTTGAACCTGGGAGGCGGAGGTTGCAGTGAGCAGAGATTGCACCACTGCACTCCAGCCTGGGGGACAGAGCGAGACTCCATCTCAAAAAAAAAAAATGACTCTAGAAATAAAAATTACACAGTTTAACACAAAAACAAAATCAAAGGCAGGAGGAAGGAGCCAATAATGATAAAAGTAAAGAACAGCAATTGGGATACAGAGATGAGCAGCAGAAAGTACAAAATCCAAGAACTGGTTATTTCAAAATACTAATAAAATGGACAAATATCTGCCAAGTTTAATCCATTCAGGATCAGCAATAACGTGGTTGGAGGACAGGCTATAGCCACTGTACCACATTATTTTGTAAAAATAGTAGTTAAATATAATGTTAAATGGTACAAATTTCTTAAGGAAATAGATAAAGTTTATTTAAAAATTATTACAACTGGCTCAAGAAGTAGAAAATTTGTAATAAATGTGGAGGAGTTGAAAAAGTTATCAAAACCATCTCAATAAAAGCACCAGATCCCTGTTGTTTTACAATTTGTTTAAATCTTTAATAAATGTGTAATTTCAGCTGGGCACAGTGCCTCACGCCTGTAATCCCAGCACTTTGGGAGGCCGAGGCAGGTCGTTCACCTGAGGTCAGGAGTTTGAAAGCAGCCTGGCCAACATGGTGAAACCCCATCTTTACTAAAAATACAAAAATTAGCTGGGTGTGGTGGCAGGTACCTGTAATCCCAGCTACTCAGGGGGCTGAGGCAGGAGAATCGCTTGAACCCAGGAGGCAGAGGTTGCAGTGAGCCAAGATTGCACCACTGCACTCTAGCCTGGGTGACAAGAGTGAAACTCTGTCTCAAAAATAAATAAATAAATAAATAAGTAATTTCTATGCTGTTAAATTTTTCTAAAGCATATGAATAGATGTATGTTTTCTCTTCAAATTTGAGTAATTTATATTGTATAATGAATTAAAAGTCCTGGCTCTTGCATCAGGCATGGTTTTCAATAACCACTCCATAATTTATCAGTTTTGACCTCTTTCTTGTTTGTCTTTAACATGTTCCCTATATTGGCTCTTTACCTTTAATATATAAATACGCTTCCATCTCTGCCATCTGAAAATCCTTTCCTACATTGATCCTAAATTTCCCTCAAGTTACTGTATGTACCTTCTTGCTTCCTTTCCCTCCCGGCCCAATTTTTATCTGCCTAGATCACCACTGTCCAATAGAATTGTAATGTGAGCCACTGTGTGAGCCACATAGGTACTTTAAAAATTTCTAGTAGCCACATTTTAAAAGTATGAAAAGAACAGATACAATTAAGGTCAAGATTAATAACATATTTTAGTACAGTGTAGCAAAAATATTATAATTTGAATAAGTTATCAATATAAAAATTACAAGGAAAATATTACATATTATTTTTTTACTAAGTTTTCAAAATACACCGTGTCTTTTACAGCTCAATTAATATACAATTGCCACATTTTAAGTAGTCAGTAGCCATGTATGTCTAGTCACTATCATACTCAATAGCATAGTCCAAGGACATTACATAGTAACTATTTGGGATGGAAAACATTGATCATTTACATGCTAAATTCAATGAGTATTTTTAACTCTTACTAACTTGAACTTTCTAGAACAGTTAACTCAGTTGACTGCTTCTATCTTAGAACTTGTGTTTTAAAATACCATTCTTTTTTGGTTTCCCTCCTATCTTTCTACGGCTTCTTAGTGTCTTTTCCCTTTTCCCAAACTTTACATTTTAGTTTTCCTTGGGGCTGTCTTTATCCAGAGGTCTAACACTGGTGGACCTCAGGCTGAAACCTGCTGAGGACTTCTCAAATCTACCTCTGTGCTTTAACACATTGCTATTCCAAGTGGGTGCCCAAGACAGAGAGCATCAGCATCACCTGAGAACTTTGTTAGAAATCCACAATCACAGGCTCCACACCATACTCACTGACTCAAAATCAGTTTTTTGACAAGATCTCCAGGCTACTTATATGCACTAAGAAGCACAGGGCGTGGTGGCTCATGCCTGTAATGCCAGCACTGTGGGAGGCTGAGGTGGGCAGATCACCTGAGGTCAGAGGTTCGAGACCAGCCTGACCAATGTGGAGAAACCTCGTCTCTACTAAAAATACAAAATTAGCTGGGCTTGGTGGCGCATGCCTGTAATCCCAGCTACTCGGGAGGCTGAGGCAGGGGAATCGCTTGAACCCGGAAGGCAGAGGTTGTGGTGAGCTGAGATCACGCCATTGCACTCCAACCTGGACAACAAGAGTGAAACTCCGTCTCAAAAAAAAAAAAAAAAAAAATAGCATAGATCTCTAGAGCTATTCCATCTGTCATACCAGTTCCTATTATGTTTTCCTAACAATCGCCTTGTTACTCTATAAAAGTTAGCTAAGGTTTTATTTCTTCTGTGAAACCTTTTTAAAGAGCTCCCCCTCAATTTCTCCAAAACGTAGAGCTAAATAGCCTCACTTCTCTTCACTCCCTTCATATAATGTATTTATTTTAGCATCTATTGCATTGCAGCTATTTTTCTACTTGTGTGTCTTTTGTAGTAGAAGATAATTGCCTTGAGAACAAGCATTTAGCTTAGTCATTTTAGGATTAGTCATGTTCATATCTTCATATCACAGTTTCTTGCATATATTATGGGCTCAAAAATGCTTATTTAATAAAAAATGGAACTTAAGCAAATAACTTGCCCTCTCTGAGCTCCAGTACCTTTAATTGTAAAATAAATACATTAGTAACAGTTTCTTTAACCACAAGAGGTTGTTGTGAATAATAAATCAGACCAAATCCTAGCTCCTTGTTTCCCAAGGAAAACTACCTTAACAACATTAAGTAAACAAATCAAATCAATGTCAATAAAGATGTCAAAATACTTTTGTATTATTTAGTTTCCATAAGTATGCGCACATTCCAAGTCCCCTCAGTGACACCTGGTTATTACATCCAAATGCAACTCTGTTTAAATTCTGGAGTTACTTATTTCCACCCCTACATCCATCACCCACAAATCTTAAATTTCTGGACTGGAAATAAGTGTTTTGACTCATTAAATTCTTTCATCATTAAAGTGCCTGGTGATGAAAAGCAATCATGACCAATAACCTTGGGTTGAGTTCCTTTCCATAGCTGTTCTGCTAAGTCCTTTTCCGACTTAAAAAAGCCATCTTCCGTCTCAGTGTTTTCAGAAATTTCAGAAAGAATTGTGTCATATTTTTATCATCAGCTCTCCCTTGAACATTCAGAAAATGAGTAGTAAAAATTTCCCTCTGATTTTCTAGCACCTCAATTGTACTTTGAAATGCTCAGTTATCTCTTGCAAATCTGTTTTGCACATTAATGACTTGCTTTATATTCTCCTTCTGAATCTAGAAATTGGCATCATTTTTTCCTGAAGTTGTAACTTTACTTCATCCATATTTTGCAGTGGAATAATATCTATTTCATTCATCTATTCATCTTCCCTTGACGAGTTTGTACTGTATAGCTTCCCAGCTAGGAAGAAAGATAATGATCAGATAATGATCAGACTGAGCAGATTTTTTTTCCAACTTTTAAGTTCAGGAATACATGTGCAGGATGTGCAGGTTTGTTACATAGGTAAACGTGTGCCAATGTGGTTTACTGCACAGATTATCCCACCACCCAGGTATTAAGCCCAGCATCCATTAGCTGTTCTTCCTGATGCTCTCCCTCCTGCCAACCCACACCTTCCGACCCGCCACATGTGTTACTCCCTCATGTGTGCATGTGTTCTGATCATTCAGCTTCCACTTATAAGTGAGAACACACAGTACTTGGTTTTCTGCTCCTGTGTTAGTTTGCTAGGGATAATGGTCTCCAGCTCCATCCATGTCCCTGTAAAAAACATGGTCTTGTTCCTTTTTATGGCTGCATAGTATTCCATGTGTACCACATTTTCTTTATCCAGTCTATCATTGATGAGCATTTGGGTTGATTCCATGCCTTTGCTATTGTAAATAGTACTACAGTCAACATACACATGTATCTTTATAACAGAGTAATTTATATTCCTTTGGGTATATACCCAGAAATGGGATTGCTGGGTTGAATAGTATTTCTGCCTTTAAGTCTTTGAGGAATTGCCACACCATCTTCCACAATGGTTGAACTAATTTACACTCCCACCAACAGTGTATAAGTATTCCTTTTCCTCCACCACCTCGCCAGCATCTCTTGTCTCTTGACTTTTTAATAATAGCCATTCTGACTGGTGTGAGATGGTATCTCATTGTGGTTTTGATTTGCATTTTTCTAATGATCAGTTATGTTGAGATTGTTTACATATGCTTGTTGGCCGCATGTATGTCTTCTCTTGAGAAATGTCTGTTCATGTCCTTTGCCCACATTTAATGGGGTTTGGGTTTTTTTTTTTGTAAATTTGTTTAAGTTCCTTATAGATGTTGGATATTAGACCTTTGTCAGATGCATAGATTGCAAACATTTTCCCCCATTCTGTAGGTTGTCTGTTTACTCTGTTGATAGTTTCCTTTGCTGTGCAGAAGAAGCTCTTTAGTTTAATATAGTTTCCTTTGCTGTGCAGAAGAAGCTCTTTAGTTAAATTAGATCTCATTTTTCGATTTTTGCTTTTGTCAAAATTACTTTTGCTGTCTTTGTAATGAAATCTTTGCCCATTCCTATGTCCTGAATGGTACTGCCGAGGCTTTCTTCTAGGGATTTTATAGTTTGGGATTTTACATTTAAGTCTTTAATCCATCTTGAGTTAATTTTTGTATGTGGTGTAAGGAAGCAGTCCAGCTTCAATTTTCTGCATATGGTTAACCAATTCCCCCAGCACCATTTATTAAATGGAAAATCCTTTCCCCATTGCTTGTTTTTGTCAGGTTTGTAGAAGATCAGGTGGTTGTAGGTGTGTGGTCTTACTTCTGGGTTCTCTATTCTGTTCCATTGGTCTGTGTGTCTGTTCTTGTACCAGTACCATGCAGTTTTGATTACTGTAGCCCTATAGTACTATAATTTGAAATTAAGTAGCGTAATGCCTCCAGCTTTGTTCTTTTTGCTTAGGATTTCCTTGGCTATTTGGGCTCTTTTTTTGGTTCCATGTGAATTTTAAAATAGTTTTTTTTCTTCAAATTGTGTGAAGAATGTCAATAGTAGTTTAATGGGAATAGCATTGAATCTATAAATTACTTTGGGCAGTATGGCCATTTTCATATATTGATTCTTCCTATTCGTGAACATGGAATGTTTTTCCATTTGTGTCATCTCTGATTTCTTTGGGCAGTGGTTTGTAGTTCTCCTTGAAGAGGTCTTTCACTTCCCTTGTAAGCTGTATTCCTAGGTATTTTATTCTTTTTGCGGTAATCGTGAATGGGAGTTCATTCGTGATTTGGCTGTCAGCTTGCCTGTTGTTGGTATATAGAAATGCTAGTGACTTTTGCACATTGATTTTGTATCCTGAGATTTTGCTGAAGTTGTTTGTCAGCTTAAGAAGCTTTTGGGCTGAGACGATGGGGTTTTCTAGATATGGGATCATGTCATCTTGGGCAGATATCTTGATCTCTAGAATGGGTCACTCATGCTCGTCACCAGCATTACTAAAGCTTACCTGACACATCTTTTGTCCAGTGGCAATCTTGATACACATTCACATTTTTTTTCCTTTTTGAAGAGAGACTGTTAAGTACACAGAAAAAGCTCCTTTTTCTTAAAATCTCTAATTCTTGTTTGATAATAGTAGCAAAAATATGCCATACTTCACTGACACGGCAACCGGGCTGACTGGCAATCTAGGAGAAGAACGAGCAGATGAAAAGATAGAAAAAATAAAGTCAGAAATCAAGTCACGTGATAGGATGTGACCTATTCTTTGGTTTTTACAGTCTAGACTTCAGTTATCTAGTCAGAGAGAAAAAGGCAAAGGCTTATTTTCATTTTTCATTAAAAATTATCTGGAAGTTTATTAAAATTTTACAAATATTCAACACATTCACTTCAGTGAGAAAGAAAAGAAACAAAACTTAGAAGTTGAATCTTTATCCCCAAGTTCTGAGTAGTACTTGGTAAGGTTGGTTCTAAACTTTTTTTTCTTTTACAGTTATGCAAAGTCATGGTCAATTTTCAGCTCTGTAATTTATTAGCTATATGGGCATGGCCAGTTACTTCACTCCATAAACCTCAGTTTCCCCTTATGTGAAATAGAGAAAGCAAGCCTACCTTTAAAATTGTTTTGAGGATAAAATGGATGTCATTATACTTTCTAACCTGGGGAGCTATAAAGGTTTTATTAGTAATAGCAGGTCCTCACAAACAAAGTGGCCATTGAATAAGAAACTGACAGATGGGCCAAGTGGGCAAGGGCCAAGGTGAGGGGAAAACATCCAGGGACCATTCACACAATGCCAACTATTTGCCAGGCACTCTGCCATGCACTTTCCCGTGTGTGTTACTTTGTTACTTTCTCAAAGATGATGAGTGAAGGACTAGAGGTAGGAATTTACAAAGTGTCACTGAGTGAAGAAGATTAAAAGAATGAGGCAAGGAAGATAGGTTGGAGCCAACCAGCTGTGTTCACAAATACCAAACTCAGCTTTTAGTGAGAATTGCTGTTGATGAAGGTAAATTTTCTTGCCAAGTGATGAGAAGAGGCAAAGGAAACAGTAGTATATATAGAATGCTCTTGCATTAGCATGGGGTTAAAGGAACCTGGAAATTCTTAAGAAAAAAAAAAAGACAGAACCTTGAATGTAAGATGAAATTAGTTTTAATTAGAAATAAAACCGTGTGTGTGTGTGTGTGTCGCATGGATTGCTTCTTAAAATTCATGTGGAAAAGTCATCATGTGTAGTTTACTTAGACTAGCGCAGTTGGGCCTGACTACAAACTTCGCATCTATGCCAAGAGGATCCAGGCTGCACACCTAACCCAGCATTTTCCATTGCTCCTCATCTCTTTATGTCTGGTCCCCTGGTCTTGTTACATCAGTGATGAAAAAATGGTTGTTCCTAAAAGGGACAATCTCTGAATAGCATTTAAGGAAGGAAATGAGGTCTCTAAGTCTTCATAGCCAATATTTATTCATTTTTCAATGCTCCCACATAAAGCTGTGTTTATGGAGTGAAGAGTCATCACCTTTGCAGGTAGGCCATATTTGAAAAGTTCATCTGGAAATCCAAAGTCTTTGTACAGTCCTCAAATAAGCTTCTTGACAGGCTATGGGGACGCAACAGAGCAAGGAGTCATACCTCAGTGGCAGACTTGGCCTAGCATGATTGAGCGTCTTTTAGATACAGTCAAATAGCAGAAGCACAGCATTCCAATCAGCAAGATGATCAGCTGTCACATAGCTGCTTCCTCACACTGCCTCCAAAAATGTACCTAATAGATGGCTGGTTACACTATAGAGACTGGCACACCTGCCTCCATGAGCCACATATAGAAACACGTGCCACTGAATATGCAGAACCTCTAAAAGCCAGCTCCAGAGCCTAGTAGTTGTTTGTTTCATGTTAACTTGAAAGGGAGTTTCCAAGAATGAAATCCTGCATCCCATTAGTGCAAAGATGCTCCCTGGTGCTTCTCTTTATTAGCTTTGCATCCAAGACCCTCAGCCAGATGTAGAGATGTTGGCACCAATGGTAGATAAATGTTCATGTACAAAGCAATGTACTATTGGCAGCCCAGATACCTCTCTGGAACCTGCTTTGCCTTGACCATGGCAAAGTGAAATTGATTACTTGCTTTTACATTATGAAGCTTTTTTACATGTTTGCCACAGTTTTTCAAAAAGGTGGCAGTTGGTCTTTGCTTTACTGAAAGAACTGGAAAGTCTTTGAGTGGGAAACATCAGCCTTTATATTTTGGTACGTTGAAACTGGGAAATTATTTTCCCCAAATTCTCTGTCCTGCCATTCAAGGCGTTGGCAAGGGTAGGCCTGAGGCAGAGAAGGAATATGGGAAAAACTCCTCCAAATATCCCCTGCAACGATGAATGTAGGCCTTCACTTTGAAGGTTTAACATTGCCAGCTAAAGTCCTAGCCCAAGGAAATAAAAGTTCATGTTGATTTTTCAGATCATAAAACCAGCTAGAAAAGCAAATTTAACAAAACATGCAGCATTGTCCATATAAGAACACAAGTAACCATAGTGTCATGCTTTTTTTTCCCCCATTAAGGGGAATAAGAGAGCTATTTAGATGCTTAAATGAAGTGATAAAATGGATGAGTGAAGAAAAACATAAGACACATTGTAAAAATACACAATCTTCTCAAATCAATTTTAAGGTACTACATATAACTGCTTTCCTCTCTGCATCACCCACTAATGATAATACATGAAAATCAGGCCTCTCATACCTCTATATCACTGGATGTGCCCCTCCAAGGTAAACATGAACTATCTTCCTAGAATATTACATTAACTTAAAGGTGTGAAGTGGAAAGACATTTTATATGGAATAAAAATGAATATATTGTAGGGTAAATTTTTTAAATCATGTATTTTTTAAGATAATGAGAAGTCTTCAAAAATTTCAGGGCTTGCATCTGCTGCTTCATGCCGTACCTAACTCCGTCAGGAGTATACGTTCACATTCCTCTGCCATTGGAAACTTTTACTTGGAAGAATTTTCAAATCGCTGCGATGAATCTAATTCCCTAGCTCCAAGAATTTTTCTGGGTTTTTAAGCCATAAAATTTTACAGTGTTTCAACTTATATCAGAATACTTTTGTAAAAAAGCCTTCTCTAAAATGTGATTCAAAAAACTAAAGAATTTGGAGGCTAGAAGCAAAACCCACTGTAGGCAGGGAGGGCAGTTATTTAGTCATTATCTTAATTTTACAGATGATAAAGCAGGCTCAGAGATAGAAAATGGCTTGCCCAAGAGCACAAAGCTAGGAAGCATAAGAACTATGACTCAAACCTAGATTATTTCAGGAAAAGTTTTGCCCCACAGCATGCTAAGTTTCAGGAAATGGCACATGCCAAATGTGCTGTCTCATGGCAAGATCACAGCTAGTTAGGAACCTTTCAAATACCTCACTTTCATCTTCAAATGATACGTCATGATACTGTTTATGAGAATACACTGACCTGACAGTCACAGAGTATGTCTCTGAGAGAAAAATTTCCTCAAGGTTTCACGTTTTTGTTGGAGAGTCAATAGAAAGGTAGGATAAGCCATGGAATACTATGCAGCCGTAAAAAGGGATGAGTTCATGTCCTTTGCAGGGACATGGATGAAGCTAGAAACCATCATTCTCAGCAAACTAACGCAAGAACAGAAAACCAAACACTGCATGTTCTCACTCATAAGTGGGAGCTGAACAATGAGAACACATGGACACAGGGAGGGGAACATCACACACTGGGGCCTGTCGGGGGGTGGGGGGCAAGGGGAGGGATAGCATTAGGAGAAATACCTAATGTAGATGATGGGTGCAGCAAACCACCATGGCACGTGTATCCCTATGTAACAAACCTGCACCTTCTGCACATGTATCCCAGAACTTAAAGTACAATAAAAAAAAGAAAAAAAGAAAGATAGGATAGCAAAGCAAATTCCTTAGCTAAGTAGTTACGGTTTAACCTTCAGTTTACTCAGCTTTTGCCTCTAGTTTCTCATTAGAGAATAATAATTAAACAAGTCTCCAAAATAATCACAATTCATACCATAAATGGATAAATAATAATAATACTTGCCTTTAGTTCTTAATGTAAAACAGGTTTTGTGCTAAGTGCTGACTAAGCCTGAGAAATTTGGAAAGGGCTTCCTGGAGAAGGTGACATTAGACTTATGTCTAAAAAGAAGTAAAAGGATTTTGACATATAAAAATGGAAAGAACATTCTAGGCCAAAGAAGTAACATATGCAAAGGAATGGAAGAATAAACAAGCATGGTGTACTGGGAGAAATTCAGTGTTGGAAAGGTAACCTGGGCCAGATTTTAAAAGGTTCTGCTTACTTGATAAGGCTTTTGGACTTCATCCTGAAGAAAACAGAGAATAATGGACAAATTTTATTCGGGATAGTGTCGTGTTCAGCTTTCTGATTCAGAAAAGCATTCCACAGGTGAGATGGAAGGTGAAATGGAAGGGTAAGAGCATTTCAGGATAGGGGAGCAACGGGAGGCAGGAAACCAGGTTGAAGGTTACCACAAGAAAATTACTCGTAATGAGTAATGATTATACAAATACTTATTATTTATTGAAGCCTAGTTATATGCCACCTGCTGTTCTATGGAAATAGCAGTGAATAAACCATACCTACCTGAATCAAATCTCCAGGATTGGGTTCCTGATAACTGAGATTTTTGAAAGCTTCCTGGGTAATTTTTGATACACAGCAGGGTTTAGGAAGAACTGGGCCAGTATAGTGCCTCCTAAATTTTATCAGTGAGCAGCAAATATTTCCTCATTTATCAAATCATCATTGAGCATCTATTATATAGCATTTAACAGAAAACAAGAAAAAAATGTAAGAAAAACAGACAATCTTCTTACATTCTTGGGAAGCATTTCCTTAAAAGAAGAGAATATCTCATGGCATGGGACTGGCTAAGGGGAGAAGCAGAGGGAGTTACTCTAGATCAGGTGGCTTATAATGGCTTTCGAGAGAAGGTAATGACTAAGAAAGAAGCAAGGGAAGGAAGGAATGATCAAATGGTGGTCATGTATACAGTCATGCACTGCTTAACGGTGAGGAAATGCTCTGAGAAATACATCACTATGCAGTTTTTGTCATGGTGTGAATTTTTTTTTTTTTTTTTTTTTTTTTGAGACAGAGTCTCGCTCTGTCGCCCAGGCTGTTGTGCAATGGCGCGACCTCGGCTGACTGCAACCTCCGCCTCCCAGGTTCGAGCAATTCTCCTGCCTCAGCCTCCTGAGTAGCTGGGACTACAGGCGCGCGTGTCACCACGCCCAGCTAATGTTTTGTATTTTTAGTAGAGACTGGGTTTCACTGTGTTAGCCAGGATGATCTCGATCTCCTGACCTCGTGATCTGCCCACCTCGGCCTTCCAAAGTGTTGGGATTACAGGCGTGAGCCACCGCACCCGGCCATGATGTGAATATTATAGTGTACTTACACAAACCTATAGCCTAGTACACACCTAGGCTATATGATATAGCCTATTGCTTCTAAGCTACAAGGCTGTACGGCATGTTGCTGTACTGAATACTGTAAGCAACTGTCACATGATGGTATCTATGTATCTAAATGTATCTAAACATAGAAGTGGTATAGTGAGAATGCACTATTCAGGATAAAACATGGTACACCTGTATAGGGCACTTAAAATGAATAAAGCTTGCAGAACTGAAGGTTTCTCTGGGTGAGTCAGTGAGTTAGTGGTGAGTGAATGTGAAGGCCTAAGACGTTGCTATACATTCCTGTAGACTTTACAAACACTGTACACTTAGGCTACATTAAATATATTAAAAATATTTTTCTTCCTTCGATAATAAATTAACCTTAGCTTCCTGTAACATTTTACTTTTAAATTTTCTTTAACTTTTGATTCCTTTGTAATAACACTTAGCTTAAAGCACAAACACATTGTACAGCTGTACAAAAATAGTATTCTTTTTTATAGCCCTTTACTTTAAGCTTTTCATTCTATTTTTATTTTTTCTTTTTAAATATTTTGTTAAAAAATAAAACGCAAACACACACATTAGCCTAAGCCTACAGAGGGTCAGGTTCATCAGCATCACTGTCTTCCACCTCCACATCTTGTTCACTGGAACGTCTTCAGGGGAAATAACATACACGGAGCTGTCATCTCCTATGATAACAATTCCTTCTTCTGGACTACCTCCTAAAGGATCTGCCTGAGGCTGTTTTACAGTTACCTTTTCTTTTTTCTTTTCTTTTCTTTTCTTTTTTTTTTTTTTTGAGACAGAGTTCCACTCTTGTTACCCAGGCTGGAGTGCAATGGTGCAATCTCGGCTCACCGCAACCTCTGCCTCCCCGGTTCAAGTGATTCTCCTGCCGCAGCCTCCCGAGTAGCTGGGATTACAGGCATGCACCACCATGCCTGGCTAATTTTGTATTTTTAGTAGAGATGGGGTATTTCCATGTTGGTCAGGCTGGTCTTGAACTCCCGACCTCAGGTGATCCGCCCACCTCAGCCTCCAAAGTTCTGGGATTACAGGCGTGAGCCGCCGCATCTGGCCCAGTTAACTTTTCTTTATGAGTGGAAGTATACTCTAAAATAACAGTAAAAGTATAGCATATTAAATACATAAACCAGTAACATAGTCATTTATCATCATCACCAGGTATTATGTATTCTACATAATGGCATGTGATGTACTTTTATAGGACTGGCAGCTCAGTAGGTTTGCTTACACCAGCATCACAACAAACGTGACTAATGTTTTGCACTACAATATTATGACAACTACGGCATTACTAACTGATAGGAATTTTCAGTTCTGTTTATTACCTTATAGAACCACCACTGTATTTATGGTCTGTCATTGACTAATATGTCACTATGCAGTGCATAACTATATTAGTTGCTTGTAAGCGTGTCTTCATGAGTTGGGAATATGTTATGTTTTATATGCATGCTTATTTATTTGCAAAAGGATGCTTCTTCTAAACTCAAACTTAATGTGTGACTTTACATTCAGACATTCAGGAGCACATAAACACACAAATGCACAAGTGCACATACACGTGTATGCACACACACACTCATCTCATAGCATCTATTTAAGGCAGCCAAAATTGGACTGCTGTGGACATTATGAAATTTCCATTATAAGACAGTTTTAAGAATTAAAGCCAAGATTTCTGAAGAATGTTCTTCCTTCAAATACCAAAAAAACTAATGCCGATTTTAGAACAGACTACTACTAATAAATTTCAGGAGGCCTATAGCCATGTCACAAAGTTTAATGGTATGATAGAAGAGTCAGGTAATCATAATTGTTATCAGTGGATGAAACACCTAAAATAATTTGCTATGCAAAAACTGTAATGATTTCTCAATTTAGGAATGAACAGCTAGTTTGTAGCTTCTTAAAGACAAATATATATATACATATATATTTTTTAAGTTGTTACATCATCCTGATTAATTGAGCCCTTTCTCATTAAATAATAACCTACTTTGTCTCTTTTAATAGTTTTTGATTTGAAGTATATTTTATCTAAGTCTAGCCACTCTTGCTTTCTTTTAGTTACCATTTGCATGGACTATCCTCTTCTATCCTTTTACTTTCAGTCTACCTGTTTTCTTCAGGTTAAAATGAATATATTATAGGAAGCATATAGATATTAAATATATATATATATTACATTAAATATATGTATATTTAAGTTGTTACATCCTCCTGATTAATTGTATATATATTTAATATGTATATATATAAAGTTGTCACATAAATATATATATATATGCAGTCATCATAGCACCTAAATATACAAAGCAAATATGAACAGACAAATGGAGAAATAAATAGCAATATGATAACAGTAGAGGACTTCAGTATTCCACTATCAACAATGGACAGATCATCCAGACACAAAATTAGTAAGGAAATACTGGAATTGAATTGTACTTTAGGCAAAATGGACCTTAAAGATCCTTAAAGGACCTTAAAGATATATACAGAACTTTCCTTCTAACAACAGCAAAATACACATTCTTCTCTACTGCACATCGAACTTTATTTAGGACAGACCATACAAGAGGCCACAAAACAACTCTTTTCAAATTTAGGAAGATTAAAATCATACGAAGTATTGTTTCCAACAAAAATGATATGAAACTAGAAATCAATGACGAGAAATGTTTGAAAATTCACAAATAGGTGGAAATTAAATGACATGCTCCTGAATAGCCAGTGTCTCAAAGAAGAAATTAAAAGGGAAATTAAAAAATAACTTGAGACAAATGAAAATGAAAACACAACATGCCTAAACCTGTGGGATGCAGCAAAAGCAGTTCTAAGAGGTAAGTTTATAGCAAAAAAATGCCTAGATTAAAAAAGAAGAAAGTTCCCAAATGGTCTAATATTACACCTCAAGAAACTAGAAATAGAAGAACTAAACCCAAACCTAGCAGAGGGAAAAAAATAAAGATCAGAGTAGAAATAAATAAAATAAAGAATAATCATTTAAAAAGTCAAAACTAAGTTATTTTATGGAAAAAAATTATATATCATGATCAAATAGGATTTATTCTTGGTATGCAAATTTGTTAAACATATGTAAATAAATCAATGTGATGCATTACATTAACAGACTGAGAGACAATCATATGATCATATCGATTAATGCAAAAGAAGTATTTGACAAAGTTCAACATACTTTCTTAATAAAATCTCCTAGCACTCTATGTATAGAAGGAAAGTTCCTCAACATAATCAAGGACATTTATGGAAAACACACAGCTAACATTATAATCAATGAGGAGAAACTGGAAGTTTTCCACCTGAGATCTACAGTGCAAGGATGTTCATTTTCACCACTTCCATTCAACATAGTACTGGAAGTTCTAGCCAGAGCAATTAGGCAAGAAAAAGAAATAAAAGGTCTACAAATCAGAAACGAAGAGGTAAAACTATCTGTTTTTGCAGATTACATAATCCTTTATATAGATAATCCTAAAGATTCTGCCAAAAAACTGTTATGTATAATAAATGTATTCAGTACAGCTGCAGAATATAAAATCAATATACACAAATCTGTGGCATTTCTATACACAAACAACAATCCGGACAATCAGTTGTCTCTAACATTGGACAATGGTGGGGGTAGCTTTCCAGATTGTTGTTAATTTAGAAAATAAGCAAAACATGTCTTGATAATATAAAACCTTGCCAGGAAGGTTTATGAGGGCAAGATGGCTGACTAAGCACAGCCAGGTGAAAAGGCTCTCACCGAGGCACTAAGACAATAGGTGTGCTTTTAACAGATCTTTAGAGGGAAGGCACCAAGAGTGGATGGAGGGAAGACACAGAAGCTGGACTGAAGGCAGAGAAAGCTGGGAACCCTGCCTGGGGCTACCGAGCACTGGAACTCATTTTGAGGCCACAACAGCTCCGAGGAAATGGGTGAGTTAAATTGGCAGGGAGCAACCCGTTCTTGCCACAAGCCTCTGGAACCCTGGCAGGAGGAGACCACTCGACCACCATGGACACTCCAGTTGGTAGGGAATGCTGCTCAGAGAAGTGGTAGGGGCAGCAAGCCGGGTGATGTGGATCCCTGAGAGTTTGATGTGGGAGCATCTATAGTAGAGCACAGCCATGGACGGCCATCCCCCTAGGCTCAACTTGCTCCCATAGGAGACAAGTCCTATGGGAACTGTTGGAACCGATTATCTTGCCCATCATATGGGGCTGATCTGACCCGAGCACCCCTTGTTTGGCTGGCCTCTTCCAGAGCTCCAACCTGGCCAGACTTGCTTACAGGACAGTCTTGGGCACCCTGGAAGCCTGCACCTTAGCTTCTGCACTGGCGGACCATGCCTGACCAGTGGACAGCTCCAGTGAGGTGGCCCTATGGCCATGCACCAGCCCACCTGCTCCCTCCCCATACTGCAGCTTCCCAATAGATGCAGAAGAGGATTTCGATAAAATTCAACACCCTTTCATGTTAGACTCTCAATAAACTAGGTATTGAAGGAACATACCTCAAAATACTAAGAGCTATCTAAGACAAACCCATAGCCAGCATCATATTGAATGGGCAAAAGCTGAGAGTATTTCCCTTGAAAATCGGCACAAGACAAGGATGCCCTCTCTCACCATACCTATTCAACATAGTATTGGAAGTCCTGGCCAAGGCAATCAAGCAAGAGAAAGAAACAAAGGGAATCCAAATAATAAGAGAGGAAGTCAAACTATTACTGTTTACAGACAACATGATCCTATATCTATAAAACTCCATAATCTCAGCCCAAAAGCTGCTGAAGCTGATAAGCAACTTCAGCAAAATATCAGGATACAAAATCAATATGCAAAAATCACTAACATTTCTATACACCAAAAGTAGTCAAGTCAAGAGCCAAATCAGGAATGCAATACCATTCACAATTACCACAAAAGAATAAAATACCTAGGAATACAATTAACCAGGGAGGTGAAAGATCCCTACAATGAGAACTACAAAGCACTGCCAAAGAAATCAGAGATGATACAAGCAAATGGAAAATCATTCCGTGTTTATGGATAAAAAGAACCAATATCATAAAATGGCCATACTGCCTAAAGCAATCTATAAATTAAATGCTATTTCTAATAACTATCACTGAAACTCTTCACAGAACTAGATAAAACTATTTTGAAATTCATATAGAATCGGAAAAGAGTCCAAATAGCCAAAGCAATCCTAACCAAAAAAGAAAAAAGCTGGAGGCATCACACTACCTGACTTCAAATTATACTGCAGAGCTGCAGTAACCAAAATAGCATGGTACTGGTACAAAAAGAAACATGTAGACCAATGGAACAGAACAGAGAACTGAGAAAGAAGACCACACACCTACCACTATCTGATCTTTGACAAACCTGACAAAAACAAGCAATGGGGGAAGTATTCCCTGCTCAATAAATGATGTTGGGATAACTGACTAGCCATATGCAGAAGATTGAAACTGGACCCTTTCCTTACGCCATATACAAAAATTAACCGAAGATGGATTAAAGACTTAAATGTAAAACTCAAAACTATACAAACCCTGAAAGACAACCCAGACAATATCATTCAGGACATAGAAATGGGTAAAGATTTCATGACAAAGACACCAGAAGCAATTGCAACAAAAGCAAAAATTGACAAATGGGATCTAATTAAACTAAAGAGCTTCTGCACAGCAAAAAGGAACTATCAACACAGTAAACAGGCAACCTACAGAGTGGAATAATTTTTTTCCAAACTATGCATCTGACAAAAGTCTTATACCCAGCATCTATAAGGAACTTTAAACAATTTACAGAAAAAAGCAAACAACCCTGTTAAAAAGTGGACAAAGGACATGAACAGACACTTTGCAAAAGAAGACATACATGCAGCCAACAAGCATATGAAAAAAAGCTCAACATCACTGATCATTAGAGAAATGCAAATCAAAACCACAATGAGATACCATCTCACACCAGTCAGAATGGCTATTATTAAAACTTTTAAAAATAAGAAGTGCTGTTGAGGTTGCAGAGAGAAAAGAAATGCTGATACACTGTTGGTGGGAGGGTAAATTAGTTCAAACCATTGTGAAAGGCAGTGTCGTGATTCCTCAAAGACCTAGAGGCAGAAATACCATTTGTCTCAGCAATCTCATTACTGAGTATATACCCAAAGGAATATAAATCATTCTGTTATAAAGATACATGCACGTGTATGTTCACTGCAGCACTATTCACAATAGCAAAGACATGGAATCAACCTAAATGCCCATCAGTAAGAGACTGGATAAAGAAAATGTGGCACATATACACCATGGAATACTATGCAGCCATAAAAGGAACAAGATTAGGACTTTTGTGGGACTTTCATTCTTAGCAAATTAACACAGGAACAGAAAACCAAATATGACTTGTTCTCACTTATAAGTAGAAGCCAAATTATGAGAACACATGGACACATAGAGGGGAACAACACACACTGGACCTATTGGAGGGTGGAAAGTGGGAGGAGGGAGAGGGTCAGAAAAAATAACTATTGGGTACTATGCTTAATACGTGGGTGATGAAATAATCTGTACTGCAAACCCTCATAACACAATTTACCTATGTAACAAACTTGCACATCTTTCCCTAAACTTAAAATAAAGGTAAAAAAAATTAAAATAAAATCTACCTGAAAAAAACTTTTAAGAAAATCCCATTTACAACAGCATCACGAAAATAAAATATTTAAAAATAAATTTAACTAGGAAGGTAAAAGACCTGTATAGTTAAAACTGAAACAATGATGAAAGAAATTGAAAGAGATACAAATAAATGGAAAAATATTCCTTGTTCATGAATCAATTAGCATTATTAAATGTCAATACTACTGAAAACAATTTATAGATCCAATTTATTCCCTGTCAAAATTCCAATGTCATTTTTACAGAAATAGAAAAACAATTCCAAAATTCATATGGACCTATAAAAGAACCTGAATAGCCAAGATAATCTTGAGGAAAAAGAAGAAAGCCACAGTCATCACACTACTTGACTTAAAACTACATTACAAGGCTATAGTAATCAAAACAGCATAATACTGGCTTAAAATTGGACATGTTGTCCAATCGAACAGAAAAGAGCCCATAAATGAATCCTCACATTTATGGCCAATGGATTTTTGACAAAGTTGACAAGAAAATACATTGGTAAAAGGACAATCTCTTCAAATAAGGGTGTTGGGAAAACTGGATATCCAAGTGCAGGAGACAAAAATTGGACCTTAACCCCACAGCATGTTAAAAAAAGTCAATTCAAAATGGATTAAAGACTTAAATGTAAGACAAGAAACTAAAACTACTAGCAGAAACACAGGAAAAAAGCTGCATGTCATTTGTCTGGGCAACTATTTATTTTATTTGACTCCTAAAATACAGGCAACTAATATAAAAACAGACAAATAGGATTGTATGAAGCTAAAAAGCTTCTGCACAGTAAAGGAAAGAATCAACAGAATGAAAGAGACAATTGGGACAATTTCTCCCAATTAATAGAATTAGGAGGAAATATTTGCTAACCATATATCTGATAAGGGGTTAATATCCAAAATACAGAAGGAACTCAAACATCTCATTAGCTAGGAAAGAAATAACCCAGTTAACAATGGGCAAAGCACCTAAATGGACATATCTCAAAAAATACATTCAAATGGCCAACAGATATATTTAAAAATGCTCAATATCACTAATTATCAGGGGAATGCAAATTAAAACCACAATGAGTTGCCACCTCACACCTGTTAGGATAGCTATTATGAAAAAGATGAAAGAAAAAGTGTTGGCGAAGATGTGGAGAAAAGGGAATATTTGTATGTTGGTGGTGGGAATATAAAGTAGTATAGCCATCATGGAAAACTTTGAAGGGTCCTCAAAAAACTGAAAATACAACTACCATATAATCCAGCAATTCCACTTCTGTGCATATATCCAAATAATTTGAAATCAGTGTATCAAAGAAATATCTGCATTTTCATGTTCATTGCAGCATTATTCACAATAGCCAAGATATGGAACCAACTAAGTGCTCATTGACAGATGACTGAATAAAGAAACTGTGGCATATGTACATAATGAAATACTATTCAGCCTTCAAAAAGAAGGAAATTTTGTCATTTGTGACAAAATGTATGAACCTGGAGGACACTATGCCAAGTTAAATAAACCAGACCAAGAAAGACAAATACCACATGATCTCATTTATGTATGGAATCTAAAACAATTTAAATCATAAAACTGGAGAGTAGAATGGTGGTTACCGGAGCCAAGGGGCTGGGATGAATGGAAAGATGTTGATCAAAGGGTACAAAGTTTCAGTTAGACAGGGGAATAAATTTTTTGAGATCTATTGAACAGCTGTGGTAACTGCAGTTAATAGTTGTATATTTCAAAATTGCTAAGAAAGTACATTTCAAATGTTCTCACTACAAAAAAATTTCAATAATTGCTACAAAAATAGGCTTTAAAGATGCTACAGGATGCAAAAGTATTTTATATTTATTTTCAAAGGATAATAAATATAAATACTCTGGTGCCCAAATGCAGTTAATTACATTATATCTAGACATCTCAATTTTGTAAAGTACTTTCTCTTTTTGTGTTTGCTCCATTTGTTAATCACCAGGAAAAAGCACATGCATGTTGCCTAGGTGATAAAGTTTTTTTCAAATATGATAATTATCGCAAACATTCAGATTAATGATTGAACTTAATATATGCATTGAAACAAAACTGATACATTGTAAGGCTTAGTTTTATTACGATAGAATAAAAACAACCACTTGAGCCTCTAACAGTATTATTAATAATAGTCATTATGATAATAATAGCTAACATTTATGAAGTGCCTGTTATAGTAAAAGACACCATACTAAATGCTTCATATGCATGATCATATTTTTTCTTCACTCTAACCCTATGAGGCAGTTACCATCACCTATCTCCATTTTTCCAAAGGAAGAAACTAAAGTTAAATATTTTATGCAAGATCATTCATCTACCAAGTGGGATTTGACTGCATGCTGTCTGATCCATGCACTAAATGCTTACCTAGCATACGGTACCACCTCCTCTACAGAGAAAACTGAGGTGACACCTTATGTCTCTCCAAGAACTCTGAATTTGGTAGGTTTTGAGAAATTCTGGCATCAATATTTCTGGCTCAAAGCAGAATGCAATAATTTCCAGGAATTATTCCCTTTTCTACGCCTAACTGTTCTCCTGGAACAACAATGGAGATACACACATACACACACACACACACAGTTTAACACATTATTTCTGACTGGATAATACGGGAAGACTTATGGAGGAAGTGATATTTGAGCTAGATTTTCAAGAATGGAAAGGACACCTACAGAAAAATACGAGGGGGAAAGTTACAGAAAGAGGGAACAAGAAATAAGACACGGAAATGAGACTATAGAAAGAAAAAATTCAGCCGGGCGTGGTGGCTCACGCCTGTAATCCCAGCACTTTGGGAGGCCGAGGCAGGCGGATCACGAGGTCAGGAAATCGAGACCATCCTGGCTAACACGGTGAAACCCCGTCTCTACTAAAAATAAAAAAAAATTAGCCGGGCGCGGTGGCGGGCGCCTGTAGTCCCAGCTACTCGGGAGGCTGAGGCAGGAGAATGGCGTGAACCTGGGAGGCGGAGCTTGCAGTGAGCCGAGATCGCGCCACTGCACTCCAGCCTGGGCCACAGAGCGA
This sequence comes from Homo sapiens, assembly GCF_000001405.40. NCBI lineage: Eukaryota > Metazoa > Chordata > Mammalia > Primates > Hominidae > Homo > Homo sapiens. The sequence goes on from NC_000023.11 coordinate 141,332,922, forward strand.
GACTCCGTCTCCAAAAAAAAGAAAAAAAAAGTCAGGAAATGTATTAGCTCATTCAACAGATACCTATACTGAGAACTATACTGAGAATGTACCATATACTAGACATTCTTCTACTCCTGGAGGACAGAGCTGCAAACAAAATCTCTAAAGATCTGACATAATCTGACATGGAACTTGTACATTTAAATCAGAGGAAATATTCACCAAAAAGTTAAAAAAAAAAAAAGGAAGACAGTCAGCAATCATAAATAATATGCAGATAATTAAAATAATTATCTGAGATAATTGAGATAGAGATGGAGAGGGTGCTACTTAGATTAGGTGAGAACAGAAAGCTCTCTGAAGACACTTACCAAATTAGGGTAAAAAGTTCTCTCCTCTTGCACCCAGTATTTTTGTTTAATGAGGTCAAGTCTCATGCCCTCCAAAGCAGAAATCAAGTGGTAAATGTGTGGAAGTTGGTGATAAATTCCTCGTCTTACACCCAGTGAGCTCCTGTTTTAGGTAATTGGTCCTGGGATGCATTAACCCTACAGTAGATGAGATGGATCGATGTCCTTGGGGGTATTCTAAACCAGGCGTGTGGGGCTTTTTTGGGAGCGGTGCTGGCGGAGCCCATACAGTACCTTTAAGGAGCTCCCTTTATCATTCTGGCCATGTGATCCAAGTGCATCAGAACACAATCATACCACATGGTTGTACCAGTGCTGGAGACTAGGTTTTCTCTGAACCAGGAGTCACACTGCCTACTCAGTTCTCTCTTTGTCCTTCCTTGTAATCTTCAACTTGTTCTTGTCCTAGTGTCTTTGCCTCATAATTTCAACTTTACACCCTTTCTGTTTCACATGTGATCTAAGCATTTCTTGTGATAATACTCTGCTCTCCACTGTAGTTGAATAAAGTATCCAGGCTGTGACCCTCCAGACTTGAGCCATCCTCAAGTGCCCTCTTTCCCCTATATGCTGACTTCATGGGGATAGCTTTTCACCTGGCCTGTTTCAGCCTTGACACTTTGATGATAATGGTAGCAATGTAGCTATAACATTTGTTTACTGAGCACCTACTATGTGCCAGTCTTCTCAACAGCCCTGTGAGTGAGGTATTATTATTCCAATTTCATAGCTGAGGAAATCAGGCACAGACATTTGAAGAACTGCTCAAAGATCACAGGACTTATAATTGAGGGAATGTGGCTTCAGATGGAAGTGGGCCTGAAGCCAAAGCCTGTGCTCCTAACCAACATTCAACATGAAAACCACTTGTTTGGGGGAAGAATAAATGTGAACAACCAAGGCTAACAATCCACTGGGTGCTGGTTCTCTTAAATACTCAGCACTTTACCAAAAGAATTTCTAGTTACTTTTAAGAAATGCAATTCAAATACCAAATCAACAACAAAATCACATATGCATACACATTACACACACACAGGTATGTACTGAATGTTTTTAGTCCCCCTGCCTCCCCAAAAAATGTTAACATTATAATGCCCAATGTGACAGTATTAGAAGATGAGGGACTTGGGAGGTGCTTTGGTTATGAGAACAGAGCCTTCAGGAATTGCACTAGTGCCCTTATAAAAGAGGCCCCAGAGAGCTCTCTTGCCCTTTCTACCATGTGAGGACAAAATGAGAAGATGGTTACTTATGAACAAGTAAAACGGCCCTCACTAAACACTGAATCTGTCTGCACCTTGATCTTGGGCTTCCCCACCTCCAGAACTTTAAGAAATAAATTTCTCTTGTTTATTAGCCACCTGGATTATGGTATTGTGTTATAGCTGCTGGAATGGACTAAGACACACACATACACACACAAACACACATACACACACATACACCCTTTCCTCTATTGTGAACAGGTAGTCTATCATTTTGGTGCTTTTAAAAAAAAAAGACTTATGCTGGAATTAGAGAGAAACATCATACTACCTCCTTTTGGAGGTAGTATGGCCTGGCCTTTAGAGACTATATATTACTTATAATAGTCTTCATTAATAGCCCATCTGGCAGATAATTAATCAAAGGTTATGAGGTCAACCCAATCATCATTGATAAGATTAAGAAAAAAATGAAAAACTTTCAAAATACACACGTATTTTTAAAATATACGTTTCCTTTTTCTATTTAAAAAATGCTCTCATATACCTGATATTCTAATTACAGAGTGATATACTGCACCCACACACTGTGTATTCAGTATCGTTTCAGTGCACTTTATAAGAATGTAAAATTATATCAGATGCTAAATGCCTGAAGCATCAGGTTCCTCGGGTTTCTATTATTAATTTTTGTGCTGAATTTCATATTTGGGTCTGGATTTCATATGAATAAATTATTCTCCAAATACATAATTAAAAAAATTAATATTCAGTCTTTAATACCGACTAGAATCTAAGCTAAATTCATCTGTGAACAAGAATGTTTAGTAGTAATGCTATTTAAAACCCCAGAAGCTTCTAGTCAGCAAACATGTAAGTTATTCTGCTATAGCATTATTTAGGATCAATGCCCCCAAAGCCAATTACTGCATTCTTTGCTGATGTCTTTCTTGGTATTATAGACAACGATAATACCTTCTGATTTAAGTTTTTTCTTTACCCTTTGTTTCATGGAACTAGTGATCACAAAGTACCTTTAGGCCCTGACAATCATATCCCTTAGTCATTTCCTGTTGAGACTCCTACACATTTTACAGAATGGTATTCTGCCTCTCTGCCCTATTCAATTATTTTCATGATTGTAGCCTTTCTCTACCTGCTAGTCCATCCTCAATTCCATTTTTTTGTTTACATTGGATTATAATCGTCTCAAGAATAGGGAACACTTTTTAAAAGTAATTGTATAGCATTTAGGAAAATAATCGTTTCCCAATAAATGCTGAATCAGTAGGTAAGGGATCTATTTTCTAGTCAATTGAAGTCCATCTAATTTGGATAGAGAATAAGTGGTGAAAGATTAAGGCCATTTAGGGTCACACTGAAGAAGGTGTTACATACAAACTCAATAGGCAATATTGGAGTCAAAGTTTTTTCTTGTTTTTTTTTAAAGTCATAGATGACTTGATCACTGTGGAGTTTCAAGATTAATCTCTCAGGATTATAAGAAGAGACAAAAGATGGAATTACATTTTTTTCCTGCAGGTTATGCAAATAAACAGAATAAAAATTCCAAAGCACAGATTTAAAACAGTATCAGTGTATGTTTAGATAGTTTACTGTCTCACTATTTATAAAGGAGTCACTTTAACATGACACAACAATCTTAAACGCATATGCACTTAATAACAAAGCTTCAAATTGCATGAGGAAACAATTGCTAGAATTGAACACAGACATCAATGAATCAACATTTTTCACTCATAGACCCTCACATTCCTCTCTCACTAATCAAATAAACAGAAAATAAGTAAGGTTATATAGAACATCAGAACAATGCTATCAACCAGCTTGACACAATGAGATTTATAGAACACCCCCAAACAACAGCAGAAGAATATACCTCTTTTTTACTGCACTGCATATAAAAATAATCCACTAAAAGAGACTATAATATGCACTATATACCAAACTATAACAATTTCAAAAAGAGATAGTAAGAAGCAGATTCTTGGAATATGATAGAATTAAACTAGAAATCGGTAAAAAAAATCAGGAAAATATCCAAATATTTTGAAATTAAAAACATGCTCCACAATGCATAGATCAAAGAAGAAATCACAGGGGAAATTGAAAAATATTTTGAACAGAAAATAATGAAAATACAACATATCAAAATTTGTGGGATGTCTTTAAAGTAGTACTTAGAAGTTTATAGCATACTATTAAATGTTTACATTAGAAAAGAAGAAAGTGCTCAAATCAATGATATAAGCTTCTACCTTAAGAAAAATGGGGAAAAAAGAGAAATTAAACCCAAATCATATATAATAAAGGATATTATAAAGGTAAGAGTGAAAATCAATGAAATTGAGAGCAGAAAATCAATACAGGAGATCAATGAAACCAAATCTGATTATTGGATGAAAATTAAATATTTATAAAGCTTTAAATATACTTACTAAGAAAGAGGTGACACAAATTTTACATATTGGGAATGCACAACCAGATATCACTACACAGCCTACAAATATTAAATAATAAAAAAGCTTTTGACAAAATTCAAACACAACTTATTTTCACTTTCAGCTTTATTAAGGTATAATTAAAAAATAAAAAGTTGTATATATTCAAGGTAAACAACATGATGTTTTGATATGCATATACATTGTGAAATGATTACCACAATTAAGGTTATGAATGTATCCATCTCCTCACATAATTATTTTTGTGTAGAGTGTGGTAATAATACTTAAGCTCTACTCTCTTAGCAAATTTCAAGTATACATTAAGTGTAGTCACCATGGTGTACATTAGTCTCCAGAATTTAGCTTATAACTCACAAGTTCGTACCATTTGACCAGCATCTCTCCATTTTTCCCATACCCTAACCTATGATAATTACCTTCTACTCTCTGTTTCTATATATTTGACATTTTTAGTTTATATATATAAGTGAGATTATGCAGTGTTTGTCTTTCTGTCTCTGGATTATTTCACTTAGCATAATGTCCTCCAGGTTTGGTGTAAATGACAAAATTCCCTTCTTTTAAAAAGCTGAATAGTATTCCATTGTGTATATGTACCAAATTTTCTTCATCTGTTTATCCATTGATGGACTTTTAGGTTGATCCCATATTTTTGCTATTGTGAATAGTACTGCAATAAACATGAAAGTGCAGGTATCCCTTAGATGTATTGATTTCTTTTCTTTTGGGTGGATACCCAGGAGTAGGATTGTTGGATCAAATGGTAATTCTTTCAATATTTTAAAAAACCTCCATACTGTTTGCCAAAATGACTGCACCAATTACATTTCCACCAATAGTGTATAAGAGTTCCCTTTCTCCACATCTTCACCAATATCTGTTGGTTTTTTGTCTTTTTACTAATAGCCATTCTAACTGGAGTAAGATGATATCTCATTGTGGTTTTCATTTGCATTTCCCTGGTGCTTAGTGATGTTGAGCATTTTTTCATATATTTGTTTGCCATTTGTATAAAAAAAAATCTGTTCAGATCCCTTGCCCATTTTTGAATCAGGTTATTTGTTTACTGTTAGTGAGTTGTAGAAGCACCTTATACATTTTGAATATTAATATCTTATCAGATATATGGTTTGTAAGTGTTGTCTCTCATTCTGTGATTTTGTTTATAATTTTTTTTTTGCTGTGCAGAAATTTTAGGTCTCCAGAATTTATTCATCTTATAACTGCAAGTTTGTACATTAGGTGTACATAACTTATTTATTTTATAACTACATTTATTTGGATTTTCTCTCTTCTTGGTTAATCTTGCCAATGGTCCATCAATTTTACTTATCTTTTTAAAGAACCAGCTTTTTGTTTCATTTATTTTTTGTACTTTTTGTGTGTTTCAATTTAATTTAGTTTTGCTCTGATCTTAGGTATTTCCTTTCTTCTGCTGGGTCTGGGTTTGGTTTGTTCTTGTTTCTCTAGTTCCTTGAGGTGTGACCTTAGCGTGTCAGTTTGTGCTCTTTCAGTCTTTTGATGTAGGCATCTAGGGCTATGAACTTTCCTCTTAGCACCACCTTTGCCCTATCCCCGAGGTTTTGATAGGTTGTGTCATTATTGTCATTCAGTTTGAAGATTTATTTTAATTTCCATCTTGATTTCGTTTTTGACCCAGTGCTTATTCATGAGCAGGTTATTTAATTTCCATGTATTTGCATGGATTTGAAGGTTCCTTTTGGAGTTCATTCCAGTTTTATTCCACTGTGGTCTGAAAGAGTGCTTGATATAATTTCAATTTTCTTAAATTTATTGAGGCTCATACAATTGAGGCTCATATCTCCAAGATATGGTCTATGTTGGAGAAAGTTCCATGGGCTGTTGAATAGAATGTGTATTCTGTGGTTGTTGGATTAAATGTTCTTTATATATCTGTTAAGTCCATTTGTTCCAAGGTATAGTTTAAGTCCATTGTTTCTTTGTTGACTTTCTGTCTTGATGACCTGTCTAGTGCTGTCAGTGGTGTATTGAAGTCCCCCACTCATTTTTAATGGGCAAAAAATTTGGACAAATACTTTAACAAATATTATATACAAATGGCAGTTAAACACAAGAAAAGATGCCAAACATCATTAGTCATTAGGGAAAAAAATTAAAACTACAATGAGATATCACTACACTCATGTGAGAATAATTACAAAATAAGAAAAAACATGAAGACACTAAGTGCTTACAAAGATATGCAGCATCTAGAACTCCTACACTTCTGGTGGGGATGTGAAACCCTCCCTAATGAAGCCAACATCACCCTAATACCAAAATCAAGGAAGGATATAACTAAAAAAGAAAACTACAGACCAATATCCTTGATGGACATGGATGCTAAAATCCTTAACAAAATACTGGCTAAGCAAAATCAACAACATATCCAAAAGATAATCCAACATAATCAAGTGGGTTTCATACCAGGGAAATAGTATCAAACACTTTTTTAAAAGCACTTTGTCAGTTTCTTAAATAGTTAGACCTGCGCTTACCATATGACTTAAGAACCCCACTCCAAGGTATTTATCCGAATAAAATGAAAACCTGTAGTCACACAAAGGCTGCATGCACAATTTTATATTGGCTTTATTCCTAACCACCAAAAACTAAAAAGAAACCAAATGTCCTTCATCTGGTGAATGGGTAAACAGATGTGGTACACCCCTTACGATCGAATATTACTTGGTAATAAAAAGGAAGGAACTAAGGATATATCAAAAAATAACAATGAGTCTCAAAATAATTACACTAAGTGAGGAAAGCCAGAAAAGAAGCATACAAAGTGTATGATTTGCTTTCTTGGCAGGCATTCTAGAAAAGGCAAATTATAAGAGATGATATCAGCTCAGTATGTTACCTGAAGCTAGGGTTGGTGATTGGGAATATAGAAAAAAGGCATGAAGAATCCTTATGGAATAATGGAAATGCTTTAAAATAGAATTTTGGTGATTGCTGTACAACTCTGGAATTTACTGAAAAATATTGTGTACTTACCATGGGTTAATTTTATGGCACACAAATAAATCTCAATACATTCGATTTTAAAAATAAAACATAAAAGGAGATATTTGTGTGCTCTCTCTCATATGTGTGTGATATATATCACACATAAATGTATGAATACAAACAACTTCATAGCCAGACTCTTCCTATAAATCACTAAAAAAAAAAAAAAAGACAAAATCCAATAGAAAACAGGCAAAAAAGTTGAACAGATAGCTCAAAAAGGAAGATACCTATATGGTCAATGAAGGACATGAACAAATGAAAAAATAAGCACATGAAAAAATGCTCAACATGATTAGTCATAAGAGAAATAGAAACAAAATCACAATGAAATACCACTATACATATACCAGAATGGCTCAAGTTAAAACAAATGACCGTACAGTGTGTTGAGAATGATGTAGAGCAACGGAAACCCTCATGCGCTGCTAGTATGAATGCAAATTGATGCAACCATATTGGAAAACTCTTTGGCAGTATTTGCCATATTAAATGTACTCATATCCTATGGTGCAGCAATTTCGCTCCAACATATATACTTAACATACATGTATACATATGTTTACTTCTAAGAAATGTTGATATTAGTGCTATTTGTAGTGGCATAAACGAGAAACAATCCAAACATTCATGAATAATAAAATGGCTGAATAAATTGTGGCATATTGATAAACAGCAAACTACACAACAGTGAAAATTAACGAACTACTGTTACAGGCAAAAACATGGCTGAATCTTCCAAACGTAAATTTAATGAAAAGAAATCAAATACTAAAAAGAACATACTGTATAACTCCATTTATGTCAAATTCAAAACCATTTAAAACTAATCAAAAAGAGAAGATAACTTCAGGATAGAAGGCGATAGTGCCTGGCATGGGGCGGCAGCAGGGGAACGTCTCAGGGTATAGTTAGTATTTTTTTTTTAATCCGAGTAGTAGTTGTAGAATAATTTTACTGTGGGATAAGCCATCAAGCTGCACAATTACGATAAGTGTTCTTTTTTGTATGCATATCATTTTTTCAGTTAACCAATTTTACTTAAAACGAACATTAGTTTAACAATTAAAACTATTATTTCCATCATTTCTCTTCCCAAGTAGCCCAATTTAGTCATAAATATTTTTAGTAATTAGCCACAAGTGTTCTAAGCATTTTTCGAGTGCTTAAGGCAGTAATTTACGTGGACTTTTGTAACATCAAAACACAAGATTTTCACAAGTTATTCCAACTCATTTTACTCGCGTAAATTCACCTTTTCCATTTTAAGAGAAACTTTATTTCAGCAAAGCAAGCTTCTAAGTCATCAATAGCCTGACTCTGACTCTTCCACTTGACATTTTATAATAGCAACATTAAGTACTGTGACTAATCATGAAGAAATTCTTAGAATTGGCAGCAATAGTGCTTGGGCTGGAGTGCAGTTTACAATCTTGGAATCCTTTCTCGGATGTCTTCCATTTCCCTTCTGCTATCTCTGGCACAAATTTCCTCTGATAAATGGAACCAAGAAGCTCAAACAATAGCATGCTTTACTCTCAGATCAAATTGAAAGTCTGTTTGATTTCCCAACCATGGTCACTCAGAAAACCGGCCTCTGGCTGACCTTTGCACGCGTATCTTGCTAGATGCAGAGATGACATTCTGCTTTTCTATCTCCTCCCTTTATCCACGTAACTGGAAACAGCCATGAAGGTAATCTATCTTACATGGACTCAGCAAGGTAGAAACATATGGGAGCTCCTGGGGTATTTCTTTTTGTGCTTTTGCTGACATCTGTCGTCACCTTCCCTCTTCCCAAGGAAAGGTACAAGCCCATAAAAATAAATATGCACATATTTTTGGTGGTATCTGCACAATTTTTGTGTATTCAATTAGGATACACTGTGTTTAGGATTTCAGCATGATACAGCAGAAAATGCTTGAGAACTTCACTTTGATTTTTAAAACACTGTTGAGTAAACATGTGACTGAATAAAAGTAGCTCTAGTCAACTACAATACGTAAAATGTCTCAAAGTCTTTTCCTCAGACTTCAACATTTGAAAATGGGAAATTTAAGTGATTTGTTGGGATTACAGAAGTTGCATGGTTAATGACAATGGCAGTTTGGGGAGCATGACTCGTAAGTTCTAAAATGCTTTGTTTATTATTAACTTTTTTAAAAATTTCTGATGTTATGTAATCTTTCCTTTAAGTGTTCATCTAATGCTTATGTATATTGGGCCTTGTCCTAGGTGCTGAGGCATGGTTCTATGCACTGGAAACATAGCAATAAATGATACGGACGATAATCTCTGACAGTATGGAGATTATCTTCTGCTGCATGTATGGACAACCAAATGCAGGCAATAAGAAATGAGTAAATAGTAAACATTAAAAGATTGGTATGTCAGATCAGAGATAAGTACTATGAAGAGAAAATAGGGCAAGAATGTTAGGGAATGCCAAGGGGCCTATTTCAAATAATGGGATCGTGAAAATCATTACTGAAAAAGTGACTTCTGCACAAGACTTGATGGAATCGAAGGAGAAAGCCATGGAGCTCTCTCAGTAGGAAGCTGTCTAGTGGGAGAGCTTTCGAGTCCAGTGAGAAGTGAGCGCAGAAGTCCTTAAGTGGAGCTCATGTGGCCTATTTGAGGAAAATCAAGGAAGCCAGTGAGGTTAGAAGAAAGGTGAATTCACTTCTAGGGCTGCTATAACAAAGTACTCCAAACTGTGTGGCTCGAAGCAACGAAAGTTTACCCTTTCAAGGGTCTGAAGTCCAGAAATCCCAAATCAATTTGTTGGCAGGGCCATGCTCCCTGCAGAAGCTTTAGGGGAGAATCTGTACTTTGCTTCTTCTAGCTTTTGGTAACTGGCGGCTTTCCTTGCCTTGTCTTCTGCCTTCATCTTCACACCCCCACCTTTCCTTCATATGTCTCTCTCTGCGTCTACCTAATCACAGGAAGTCTGTGATGATATTGGGCCCACATGAATAATCCAGAAGCGCCTCATCTCAAGATCCTTAACTTAATCAAATCCTTTGCCATATGAGGTGCCATTCACAGGTGTTAGGAATTTCACATGGATATCTTTAGGAGGGTCATGTTTTGGCCCACCACAAAAGGGAAAATGTAGGCTGGGCACGGTGGCTCTAGCCTGTAATCCCAGCACTTTGGGAGGCCGAGGCGGGCGGGTCATGAGGTCAGGAGATCGAGACCATCCTGGCTAATACGGTGAAACCCCGTCTCTACTAAAAATACAAAAAAAGCCAGGTGTGGTGGCGGGCGCCTGTAGTCCTAGCTACTCGGGAGGCCGAGGCAGGAGAATGGCGTGAACCCGGGAGGTAGAGCTTGCAGTGAGCTGAGATCGCGCCACTGCACTCCAGCCTGGGCGAGAGAGCAAGATTCTGACTCAAAAAAAAAAAAAAAAAAAAAAAAAAAGGGTGGGGAAAGTAAAAGAGGAGGAGAGGTCAGAGATTCAGTCAGCTGGCAGTTCATGTATGGACCATAGGCTACCACATGGCCCTAGGTTATTTTTCTGAATAAAATGGGAAGTTTGGTGACACTCTCCAACTTACTCTACATTTCATACTGCTTAAGTAAACCCATTCAATGGAATATCTGTAGAGTTGTGATAAAGGAAATTTTGATTCTTTCTTGGTTTTTTAAAGGCTCTCACTGATGCATTTTTTTCTATTTTATTTTATCTTATTTTAAGTTCTGGAATACATGTGCTGAACGTGCAGGTTTGTTACATAGGTATATATGTGCCATGGTGATTTGCTGCACCCATCAACCCATCATCTAGGTTTTAAGCGCTGCATGCATTAGGTATTTGTCCTAATGCTCTCCCTCCCCTTGCCCCCAAGCCCGCAACAGGCCCCAAAGTGTGTCCATCCTTCACACTGCAGCCTTAGTGATGTTTTAAAAATGAGAGACAACCCTGGCTATGGCTACTGAGCATGCCCAGCTCTTAAAAGTTTCCAAGGAAAACTCAGGGACACAGCAATTGTTATCAGGAAGGATAAGAGAGCCTAAAAAGAGCCCAAAAATAAAATGAAAATGAGGAAAAATTGGCACTGTGGAGAGTGCCCATAATGTAGATAAAATCTGTTATGTCCATTTCGCCCCCACTCTACCACCACACCTCTGTCCCCATTAATGTATCCTGAGCTAGGATTTATGCCTGATCAAAAAAATTCTTGTCAACCAGGTTAAGAAGCTTAGGTTTTGCCCTAAGGACAATGGGAAACCATGGAAGGGTTTATAAATAAGAGTTAACGTGGCCTTGTTTTTGTTTCAGAGACATCATAAAGGCTGTAGTGTAGGGGTGCGTTGAAGAGAAGAGAGAATGCAAAGAAGGGTAAACAGTTTTGCAGTATTCCAAACAAGGGATCAGGAGAGCCTGCACTACACTGTGGCAGGTACTGCTGCAGGGCAGAGTGCAGAGGATGAAAGAAATCTTAATACTTATCACTGTCATAGCCAACAGCGTTGTAGGAAACTACATAATAAAATACTGTTATATTACTTCATATATATTAAAGAAAATGGGTCATGTGGGTCAACCCATGTTTTTACATGTAAAATAATTGTTCCTGACAAATAAGAACATTGATACATGAGGGGCCCATATGTATGTCTCTAGGAAGAAAATATGTCTCTAGGAAGAAAATTGTGCCATATGTACCGGCATGGACTAAGGCAGAAAAAGCTGTGTATCAGTAGGTAGATACATTTCAGGCTATGCCCACAATCTATCTCTCCTTAAGTGGCTGCTGCTGTTTTTGCTCTGACAATCAAGTCCAGATTCAAGGAAACATTTTTAATTGACTACAGTACATCATTGTTATCTCTGAACAAACCTAGAGGGGAAAAATGACCATTGAAGTGGATAATAGGCTTGAGATAAGCAGGAAAAATAGTATTCTTCCTAATTCATGGGTGAGAAAACTACATTAACATGTACTAAGTGCCTATTAGGTTCCGGGTACTATGTGAAGTGCTTTCACACATTATAGCATTTAATTCTTACAATAACTCCAAAAGATATGTTTAATTATTCTCATTTCATAAACAAGGACACTGAGGGGCAGATAAGTTAGGAGACAAACACATCCAATAAGTGGTGGAGCTGAGACTTGAACCCTGGCTGGCATGTTGTCTTCATAACACCACTGGGATCTCCATTCAGGTAAAACAATACATCTGCTTCCCCAAGAGACATTTGACCGCATAATTCACTAGGTGGTTTTTGGTCAGACTCTTGGCTACTATTTCATCTCTGGACCTGGGGGAGTCAATATAAAAAGCTATGGAGGCTGCTGAGTAGAAGAGACAAGAAGCCAAGCTTGCTATCTCTCAGGCCAGAATTAAACCTTGGGCAGGGAGGCCTCAGTAATCACCCTGAAGGAATTTCACTTTTCTTCCTTTGAGACCTGGACACTGCATTGTCTCAGAGCCTTGCAGTAACTTCAAATAATCACTTCTGCAAATGCAATTTTCAGCATCAAAGAGTCTTAACACGCTTTAGAGACAAAGTGTCAAATTAGTTCTATGTAATGTCTCTAACGTTTATCAGATGAATGAATCCTGAGGAGTCTGTCATAATGAATACTATTTATTCCATGTTGTAATGTTGCCAAGCACTTCCGTACTAGATGCAGTTTGGAATATAAGTATAAAGCTCTGTAGTGGCTTCAAGAAAAGTAGTATATCAACAGTGGGGAACATAGACGAGATACAGACCTTGTAATAAACAGAAGTGATTTTGCAAGATCAGAAGGAATATTCTGTGTGTCAACAAGAATGAAGAAATTGATTCCACTGACAGCAGAGACTATGCTAAGGCTGGTGGCTTTCAAATATATAGTATACATCAGACCTCCCACTGTTATATACACATTTTTCTCACACAAAATAGAGACACATTGTTTTTCTGAGAGTTCCTGAGATTAAATAGTCAGGATTAAATTGAAAGTAATGTGGCCTTATCTCAAGAGTGAAGGCATCAGTATTTTTGTTGTGTTCACACATATCTGAGACAGGATGCAACTGCAAACCAGTTCAGGGAGCCCAGTCATTACTTTTCTCATGTCTTCTAATGTCACCAAAACAAAAAAAGAGTTGTACCCTTCCATTGCCTCCGTTCCCTTCTCAAGTGAAAAGAAGGTAGAGATAAAAGCACAGCTTCCTTCCCATTAGTACCAACAACTGCACTTCTCTCTTTACAAATTTCCTTCTTAGAAATTCTAGTTATAAGTGCTTGAGCACCAAGTATTCTCACTGAAGGAAAAGCTATAATTTTTACCAGAAGTGCAACCTTCCAGCTGACTTTAGTATAGTTGAGAGGCAACAGAAAAAACTTAATATACAAGATTACTCTATTTAAATCATCGCTGTTGGGAAATAATTACGTGTCATATGTCTTCTGTTTATGGGGAAGCTTTTTATGTATGAACAATTTGAAAATTGGGAGAATCTACTTCTTGCCAGATAGGGAATATGAATATGGCAAGCTGAATAGGACCAGAGGTTTTAAAGGTTCCTACTTAGGGTTGCATTCCTAGTTCCTGAAAAACGGACTTTAAACCAATAAATATCAAAAAAGACAAAGAAGAACATTACATAGTGGTAAAGGGTTCAATTCAACAAAAAGATTTAACCATTTTAAATGTCTATGCACCCAGTACAGAAGCACACAGATTCATAAAGCAAATTCTTAGAGACCTTCAAAGAGACTTAGACTCACACATAATAATAGTGGGAGACTTTAACACCGCACTGTCAATATTAGACGGACCATCGAGACAGAAACTAACAAAGACATTCAGGACCTGAACTCAGCGCTGGATCAAGTGGACCTGATAGATATCTACAGGACTCTCCACCCAAACATAACAGAATATATATTTTTCTCATCACCACATGGCACTTTTTCTAAAACTGATCACATTATTGAAAGTTAAATACTCCTCAGCAAATGCAAAAGAATTGAAATCATAACAGTCTCTTGAATCACAGCACAATCAAATTAGAACACAAGGTTAAGAAATTCATTCAAATCCACACAACTACATGGAAATTGAACAACCTGCTCCTGAATAACTTCTGGGTAAATAATAAAGGCAGAAATCAAGAAGTTCTTTGGAATTAGTGAGAACAAAGATACAATGTACCACAATCTTTGGGACACATAGCTGAAACAGTGTGAAAGAGGGAAATTTATATCATTATATGCCCTCATCAAAAAGCTAGAAAGATCTCAAGTTAAAAATTTAATGTCACAACTAAAAGAACTAGAGAACCAAGAGTGAACAAACCCAAGGCTAGCAGAATAAAAGAGATAACCAAGATCAGAGCTGAACTGACGGAGATAGAGACACAAAAAGACACTTCAAAAAAATCATCAAATCCAAGAGCTGGCTTTTGAAAAAAAAAAAAGAATTAATACAGACCACTAACTAAGCTAATGAAGAAGAAAATAAGAGAAGATTCAAATAAGCACAATCAGAAATGTTAAGGGAGATATCGCCACTGACCCCAAAGAAATACAAACAACCATCAGAGAATACTATAAACACTTCTATGTGCATAAACTGGAAAATCTAGAAAAAACTAATAAATTCCTAGACACATACACCCACCCAAGACTGAACCAGAAAGAAATTGAATCTCTGAATAGACCAATAATTTGTTCTAAAATTGAGACATTAATAAATAGCCTACCAAATGAAAAAAAATCCCAGGACCAGACAGGTTCACAGCTGAATTCTACCAGAGGTACAAAAAAGAGCTGGCAGCATTCCTACTGAAACTATCCCAAAAAATTGAAGAGGAGGAACTCCTCTCTAACTCATTTTATGGGGCCAGCAGAATCCTGATACCAAAACCTGGCAAAGATACAGCAAAAAAAAGAGAAAACTTCAGGCCAATATCCTTAATGAACATTGAAGCAAAACAAATCCAACAGAATATCAAAAGACCTATCCATCACAATCAAATAGGCTTCATCCCAGGGATGGAAATCTGGTTCAACATATACAAATTAATAAATGTGATTCATCACATAAAAAGAACTAAAGACAAAAACCACACGGTTATCTCAATAGATGCAGAAGAGGCCTTCGATAATATTCAACACCCCTCCATGTTAAAAACTGTCAATAAATTAGGTATTGAAAGAACATACCTCAAATTAATAAGCCATATATGACAAACCCACAGCCAATATCGTACTGAATGGGCAAAACCTGGAAGCATTCCCTTTGAAAACCAGCACAAGACAAGTTTGTCCTCTTTCACCACTCCTATTCAACATAGTATTGTAAGTTCTGGCCAGGGAAATCAGGAAAGAGAAAGAGATAAAGGATGTTCAAATAGGAAGAAAGGAAGTCAAACTATCTTTGTTTGCAGATGACATGATCCTATATCTAGATAACCCCATTGTCTCAGCCCAAAAGCTTCTTAAGCTGATAGGCAATTTCAGGAAAGTCTCAGGATATAAAATCAATGTGCAAAAATTGCTAGCATTCCTATACACCAACAACAGGTAAGCCAAGAGCCAAATCACAAATGAACTCCTATTCACAATTGGCACAAACGAATAAAATACCTAGGAATACAGCTAACAAGGGAAGCGAAGGACCTCTTCAAGGAGAACTACAAGCCACTGCTCAAGAAAATCAGAGACGACACAAATGGAAAAACATTCCTTGTTCATGAATAGGAAGAATCAATATAATAAAAATGGCCATACTGCCCAAAGCAATTTATATATTCAATGCTATTCCCATTAAAGTACCATTGACATTCTTCACAGAATTAGAAAAAAAACTATTTAAAAATTTTTATGAAACCAAAAAAAAAGCCTGAATAGACAAGGTGATCCTAAGCAAAAACAACAAAGCTGGAGGCATCAGGCTACCCAACTTCAAACTATATTACAAGGTTACAGTAACCAAAACAGCATGGTATTTGTACAAGAACAGACACATAGACCAATGGAACAGAATAGAGAACCCAGAAATAAGACTGCACACGTACAACCATCTGATCTTTGACAAACCTGACAAAAACAAGGAATGGGGAAAAGACTCCTTATTCAATAAATGGTGCTGGGAGAACTGGCTAGCCATATGCAAAAAATTGAAGTCAGACCCCTTCCTTACACCATATATAAAAATTACTCAAGATGGATTAAAGACTTAAACATAAAACCCAAAACTATAAAAACCCTAGAAGAAAACCTAGGCAATACCATTCAGGACATAGGCACAGGTAAAGATTTCATGATGAAGATACCAAAAGCAATTTTGACAAAAGCAAAAATTGACAAATGGGATCTAATTAAATTGAAGAGCTTTGGCACAGCAAAGGAAACTATCAACAGCGTAAATAGACAACCTACACAATGGGAGAAAATGCTTGCAATCTCTCTGACAAAGGTCTAATATCCGTCATCTATAAGGAACTTAAATTTACAAGAAAAAAATGAACAGCCCCATCAAAGAGTGGGCCAAGGACATGAACAAACACTTCTCAGTAGAAGACATGCATGTGGCCAACAGACATATGAAAAAAAGCTCAACATCACTGATCATCAGAGAAATGCAAGTGAAAACCACAGTGAGATACCATCTCACACCAGTCAGAATGGCTGCTATTGAAAGTCAAAAAACAACAGATGCTGGTGAGGTTGTGGATAAAACAGGAACACTTTTACACTGTTGGTGGGAGTGTAAATTAGTTCAACCATTGTGGAAGACAGTGTGTTGATTCCTCAAAGACCTAGAGGCAGAAAGACCATTTAACTCAGTAATCTCATTACTGGATATATACCCAAAGGAATATAAACTGTTCTACTATAAAGACACATGCACGTGTATGTTCATTGCAGCACTATTCACAATAGCAAAGACATGGAATCAACCTAGGTGCCTATCAACAGTGGATTGGATAGAAAAAATAAATGTGGTACTTATACATGATGAAATACTATGCAGCCATAAAAAGGAATGAGATCATGTCTTTTGCAGGGACATGAATAGAGCTGGAGGCCATTATCTTTAGCAAACTAACCCAGGAACAGAGAATCAAATACCATGTGTTCTCACTTATAAGTGGGAGCTGAATGATGAGAACACATGGACACATGAAGTGGAACAACACACACTGATGCCTGTCAGAGGGTGGGGGTTGGGAAGAGGGAGAGCATCAAGAAGAATGACTAGTGGATGCTGGGCTTAATACCTAGGTGATAGGATGATCGGTGCAGTAAACCACCACGGCACACATTTGTCTATATAACAAAACTTGCACATATTGCACATATAACCCTGAACTTAAAATAAAATTTGAAAATAATAAATAAATAAATAAATATAAATAAATAAATAAATAAAAGTCCCCACTTGAATGACAGCGAGAATTGAATTTTCTTTTTAATACCAATAAAGCTCTTGTAGAGGGTACCAAGCTGGACACACTTGGTCAGCTCTATGGTGCTGAAAAGGAGGGAAAATTACTAGAGGCTCCCATTTTCTAACCTCTTCTTGAATATGGCCTTACTGTCATAGCATGAAAGTAGCCTTATTTTCTTCCTCTGGAAACTGAGCCCAACTCCTGACTTGCAGGACTCTTGAAGATTAGGTAAAATCATGATGCAACATGCCTAGTGCTCTATAAATAGTAGCTGCTGTTATTATTATTGTTATTATTGTCATTATTATTAAGAGAAGAGGGTCAATGTCACAGTACAACCAGAAACACTATTTGCCTCAGGGATGTTTCCATCGTAGCAAAACAGAAGTGATACGATGTCAGAACCTCTAAAAGAAGCCTGAAGATTAAAGACCAATTCTCAACATATTGATTGAACAGCTGTGGGACTCTGACCTGCTGAAAACAGCATCCTCTGGCACTGTTGCACTGTGACAACACAGGCTCACAAATGTTCCTCTATCATTTGAAAATCATCATATTATAAATGTAAGTTGATGGGCATGTTCATATCAGCATTTCTTTTATTTTCTGCATTACACACTAACAGGTTTCTACCCAATTATTCTTTCTGTAATGGGGAACTTCAACTTCTTTCATGACACTTTTGTTTTGCTACTTGACACATAAAGGCTTTTACTGAAAGCAAAGTACAATTTACAACCTAGAACATTTCTAAATTACAGGTTGTGTGCAACTCAGGTCACTGTTTCAGAAAGACAAATTTCAGAACCAAAGAGAAAGAACAGAAAATAATAGCAGTTGGTGACACAGATGCCAAACAAACTGGAGGTGACATTTGGATCTCCATTTTAATTCTGTATTCCTGAATAAATTATCTTTCTCACTAAATCTTTGTAACTTGGTACTCAGCTTTTATGCTGTGAGCTGTCTAGCATTCCTCAGATCACACCTCTATAGATTAGAACCTTGACAGACCTGCCTCCTTGCAGGAAAATGTGTCATTATCCCAGAGCATATATCAAAGATGGAGGGCACAGAATATTTTACCAAACACCCTGTCCAATATTCTCTCCTGCTTATTTGCATGGCATCCTATGATTATCAGCAAAGACCAAGGATACATCAGGCTTAGATAAGAAACTAAAAGTCTTGGTGTATTAGTTCTTTCTCACTCTGCTATGAAGAAATACTCAAGACTGGGTAATTTATAAGGGAAAGAGGTTTAATTGACTCACATTTCTGCAGGGCTGGGGAGGCCTCAAGAAACTTACAATCATTGTGGAAGGGGAAGCAAACACATCCTTCTTCACGTGGTGGCAGCAAGGAGAAGTGTAGAGTGAAGCAGGGCAAAAGCCCCTTATAAAACCATCAGATCTCATGAGAACTCGGTCACTGTCACAAGAACAGCATGGAGGTAACCACCCCCATGATTCAATTATCTCCCACTGGGTCTCTCCTACCACACTTGGGGATTATGGGAACTACAATTCAAGATGAGATTTCAGTGGGGACACAGCCAAACCATATTACTTGGTAACACAAGTTGTGTTTTTTTCTCTCTTTTCTGTTGCCCCTTGAGACCTGAAAAGAGAGATGGCTTTGGTTGGTGAAAGGCTTCCAGGAAAGTCAAACTTCCTAAAACGTAAATCAGATTACATCAATGCCCCCCCATTTCCTGTCTACAGCTATCCATTGGCTTCTTATGGACCTAGAATAAAATCCACAGTCCTTGCAATGACTGCCACAGCCCCATTATAATCTGGCTGCTATTGACCTCTTAAAACTTACCTTTCTTCCTCCTGTTTCCTACTTTGCTCTTGCTCTACTGTCCTTTTTTATATTTATTAAATAAGTTCAATCTCATTCCCACATTAAGACATTTGCAGTAGCTGAGCACTCTCTCTAGAAAGCTCTTCTCTGAGATCTTCACGTGGCTGGCTCCTTATGTTCAGATCCAGCTCCAGCACCACTTTATCAGAGATTCCTTTCCTGACAAGAAATAAGATGCCCCTGTCAGGTACAACATTATCCCCTTCCCTTATTTTACTATCTGCCCAACATTAATTACTCTGTGATATTTATTTGTTTGTATGTTGGTCTCCTGCTTTCAGAATGTAAGCTTTGTGAGATCAACGGCTTCACCTGCCCTTTTTAGCACTGTATCTCTAAGGGCCCAGAAGAGTGCCTGGCAAGCCCAGTGGATACTCAGTAATGCTTGCCAGTTGGGAAAAAAGGTATGAGTTTTGGAACTATAACCTTAGACACCAGACGAGTGGGTTCTTTGTTAGAGCTAGAATACATCACAAAGGTATCAGAATAAATATACTTGTGTGGATTGAGTGTGCGAAAAGAGGAAAAAAATATGACCTGATAAACACATGAAACCAGTTACTAAAGGGACAAAAGAACATTTCCAAAACATAAATAAATAAATAAGTAAAATAAAATTTAAAAAATTCATGTGAGAGGTACTAGGGGTTAACACGAAAAAAATCTGAGTGAATATAGGGCTTCCAATATGTAGATGCCAACATATCACACAAAAATAACAAACAGGATGAACCTGAGTTTATACAAATAATGTGATGAAAATGGTCTCATATGGAGCATCAACTTTTAGTGGAATGAGAATCTACAGTAGAATTCATGATAAAAGGTATTCTCTACGCACTTGATATTTTTGTGGCACTCACCAGGAGAGCATTCATGAAATGGTGAAATGAGAGAAGTGGTATTAATATGTACAGTTTCCAAGGGTGTGAAAAAATTCCTAATAATCAAATGCAAAAAAGATTTTAATGATGTGTAGATAATTCTTCTCTCCCCAAACAAATCCAGCAGCACAATCCAGGAGTAATTGGTCCTTGATCAGGGCCAGGAGGCTGGCCGTGTTTACCACTTGGGGCAGGGGCATTCATAGCCCTTGGTTTCGGAGCAGTAAAGGAGAAAGGAATGAAGAAACAGTTGAGCAGAGAGAGCTAAAAGTGCAGATGAATAAGTTGGGGGTGGCACACAGTTCTTCCAAGATGGAAAAAATTGTTTCTATTGCCTGTTCCTGGGATTTGAGGAGCCCCAGCTTTCAGGTCACTTAAATGCAGTTAAGGAGAAATTTGGCTTGAGGAACAGTTAGGGAAAGCTCTTTACCTATGCTTGATATGTTTTTTTTTAAAAAATAAGCTTAAAAAGGGGGAAAGAATAAAGAAAAGTACTGAATAACTATAATTTGTATGAATAATAGATAATGGGAAGATGGTTAAGTATAATTGAGGTGATTTTTAAAAAATATGGTAGATTTTTCTTCCACTTGCCTTTCTGAGTATAAGCCTTTTTTCTTAAGTGGCCTGAAGCATCCATTTTCCTGGAAGGAGGTAAAGATTTGTTGTAGAAGGAACGAACCAAGAATATATCACATTGCTTTTGGCGCAGTGAGCCAGTATCTTTATAAACCAAACTGATGGTTTAAAATGGGAACTTTTAAGTTCCTTACTCTCCTTTTTTAACCTTTAGGACTCAGTTAACATTTTTGCAGTGTAGAAAATATTTCCTGGATTAGCTGGAGTCTGGAAAATGTATATGACATAGGGGAAATAAGAGATAAAGAAAAGGTAAAAAGGACAAGGGCACAGCAGTCAGACTTGTTTGTGTCCCAACTAGGAAGAGGAACACTGAGCATAAAGAGGGTCTCTTCCACCTATGAGTGAGTGAGAATATGCGGTGTTTGGTTTTTTGTTCTTGCGATAGTTTACTGAGAATGATGACAATGAGAACACATGGACACAGGAAGGGGAACATCACACTCTGGGGACTGTTGTGGGGTGGGAGGAGTGGGGGAGGGATAGCTTTAGGAGATATACCTAATGCTAAATGACGAGATAATGGGTGCAGCACACCAGCATGGCACATGTATACATATGTAACTAACCTGCACATTGTGCACATGTACCCTAAAACTTAAAGTATAATAATAATAAAATAAAAAATAAAAAAAATAAAAAAAAGAGGGTCTCTTGCCCTCACTTCCAATGTGACACTCTAGTATGCGTTCAATTAGGGGCTATCTGCATCAAAACACACCTGGCCATGCAGTACGGTCAGGCAAATGAAGGCTCTGAGGTGTCTCCAAGCTTTCCTTGATTTGTAGGTGGCATGCACACTGAAGGGGCCTGCCGTGGGAACCATTATGGTAGAACAAGTTAATCCCACCACCACGGAGGTGGGAGCAAACTACACTAGGCAATAGAGGCACAAAGAGGACATGAGAGAGACCTCAAGACTATGCACTCAGGGAAAGCTGAGTAATATTTAGCCAGCTGAACGTGCCAGGGAGGATTCTCAGGCTTTGAACAAGGCAAGAGAGATCCAGGTGCAGGCTATAGGTAGCCTTCAACATAAATGCCAGCAGAGCAAGCAGCTGCCGGAGTTATCACCAAGGTGGACCAGAGATATCACCATGTGACAAGAGCAGAGGATTCTAATATTCTGCTCCTTGTATTAGGCACATGAAATCCCAGCACGTGCAAGCGCGCGCACACACACACACACACACACACACACCATTTTACCCAGATAACATTTTTTTTTTTTTTTGAGACGGAGTCTCTCTCTATTGCCTAGGCTGGAGTGCAGTGGCGCAATCTCAGCTCACTGCAAGCTCCGCCTCCCGGGTTCACGCCATTCTCCTGCCTCAGTCTCCCGAGTAGCTGGGACTACAGGCGCCCACCACCACGCCCAGTTAATTTTTTTGTGTGCTTTTAGTAGAGACGGGGTTTCACCGTGGTCTCGATATCCTGACCTCGTGATCCGCCTGCCTCGGCCTCCCAAAGTGCTGGGATTACAGGCATGAGCCACTGCGCCCGGCCCAGCTATCATTTTTAAAATAAGCTGAAGTGGAGATGTGAAAGAATGAGAAATCTGAGATGATGGGATTTTTTTTTCTTAAAGGGACTGGGCATTAGTTGAAAATGACTCTTTAAATTATTATATTTCAATGAGGTTTAAGCAGAGAAGACTAAAACTTCTTTTCCCTACCAGAAAGTGGGGAGAGAGCTTTAGAGAAAGGCCAAGCTAGATACAGAGAAAATAAAAGAGTTGCATTTTCTCTGCACATGATTTGTTCTGTGAAATATTTTCGTGATTCTGCTACATGAATTGATAGCTGGAGTTTAGGAAACACTGCAATAAGGTTTAGCACAGACCAGCTGGCAGATGCAGATGATGCCTTCCTGGCCCAGGTTCCAAAGCTTACCCAGAAATTAAATATATTTCAGATATAACCTTTCACTTTTCTGGAAAACAATTGGAAGTACAATTCAGCAAAGATCAGAATATCTGACAAGGTTTTGACTTGCTGTGCTAAGAAATTCGCCTCCAAAACAGATCTAGGTGCAGCTAGGGGACTTGCTACTATTCTGGACCTAATTCTGAACAAAATAGAGGGCTTGGGGAAATCCACAAACCATGAGAGAAAAACTCCATGTTCTCTCTGGCTCATTCAAGTCAAGAATAGAACACTAATACTAATAATTAATACATCCATGACCAGCGTTTCCCAAAGACAGTTTTATGAAATATAAGCCCTAAGAGATGCTCCTTGCAAAAAGAGTTCTGCAGTCTCAAATATGAAAGTGAGGCCAGGTGCAGTAGCTCACACCTGTAATCCCAGCACTTTGAGAGGCCTAGGTGGGTGGATCACCAGAGGTCAGGAGTTTGACACCAACGTAACCAACATGGTGAAACCCCGTCTCTACTAAAAATACAAAATTAGCCAGGCGTGGTGGCACACACCTGTAATCCCAGCTACTTGGGAGGCTGAGGCAGGAGAATTGCTTCAACTCTGGAGGTGGAGGTTGTGGTGAGCTGAGATCACACCACTGCACTCCAGCCTGGGCAACAGAGTGAGACTCTGTCTCAACAACAACAACAACAACAACAACAAACCACACACACACACAATATGAGAGTGAGACTCATACTGTTTTCTCCTCTTGAAGATTCAAAATACACATGATGTACTTATATGTACTAAAGGCTCCAAGAACCTTACCTTCGTTTTTTTTTCCTTACCTTCATTTAACCTGATGTTTCCTAACTTATTTAGCTTCAGAATATTTTTTTTTCTTTCTTTTTATTATTATTATACTTTAAGTTTTAGGGTACATGTGCACAACAGGTTAGTTACATATGTATACATGTGCCATGCTGGTGTGCTGCACCCATTAACTCGTCATTTAGCATTAGGTATATCTCCTAATGCTATCCCTCCCCCCTCCCCCCACCCCACAACAGTCCCCAGAGTGTGATGTTCCCCTTCCTGTGTCCATGTGTTCTCATTGTTCAATTCCCACCTATGAGTGAGAAGATGTGGTGTTTGGTTTTTTGTTCTTGCGATAGTTTACTGAGAATGATGATTTCCAATTTCATCCATGTCCCTACAAAGGACATGAACTCATCATTTTTTATGACTGCATAGTATTCCATGTTGTATATGTGCCACATTTTCTTAATCCAGTCTATCATTGTTGGACATTTGGGTTGGTTCCAAGTCTTTGCTATTGTGAATAGTGCTGCAATAAACATACGTGTGCATGTGTCTTTATAGCAGCATGATTTATAGTCCTTTGGGTATATACCCAGTAATGGGATGGCTGGGTCAAATGGTATTTCTAGTTCTAGATCCCTGAGGAATCGCCACACTGACTTCCACAATGGTTGAACTAGTTTAGAGTCCCACCAACAGTGTAAAAGTGTTCCTATTTCTCCACATCCTCTCCAGCACCTGTTGTTTCCTGACTTTTTAATGATTGCCATTCTAACTGGTGTGAGATGGTATCTCATTGTGGTTTTGATTTGCATTTCTCTGATGGCCAGTGATGGTGAGCATTTTTTCATGTGTTTTTTGGCTGCATAAATGTCTTCTTTTGAGAAGTGTCTGTTCATGTCCTTTGCCCACTTTTTGATGGGGTTGTTTGTTTTTTTCTTGTAAATTTGTTTGAGTTCATTGTAGATTCTGGATATTAGCCCTTTGTCAGATGAGTAGGTTGCGAAAATTTTCTCCCATTCTGTAGGTTGCCTGTTCACTCTGATGGTAGTTTCTTTTGCTGTGCAGAAGTTCTTTAGTTTAATTAGATCCCATTTGTCAATGTTGTCTTTTGTTGCCATTGCTTTTGGTGTTTTAGACATGAAGTCCTTGCCCATGCCTATGTCCTGAATGGTATTGCCTAGGTTTTCATCTAGGGTTTTTATGGTTTTAGGTGTAACATTTAGGTCTTTAATCCATCTTGAATTAATTTTTGTATAAGGTGTAAGGAAGGGATCCAGTTTCAGCTTTCTACATATGGCTAGCCAGTTTTCCCAGCACCATTTATTAAATAGGGAATCCTTTCCCCATTTCTGGTTTTTGTCAGGTTTGTCAAAGATCAGATAGTTGTAGATATGTGGCATTATTTCTGAGGGCTCTGTTCTGTTCCATTGATCTATATCTCTGTTTTGGTACCAGTAACATGCTGTTTTGGTTACTGTAGCCTTGTAGTATAGTTTGAAGTCAGGTAGCGTGATGCCTCCAGCTTTGTTCTTTTGGCTTAGGATTGACTTGGCAATGCGGGCTCTTTTTTGGTTCCATATGAACTTTAAAGTAGTTTTTTCCAATTCTGTGAAGAAAGTCATTGGTAGCTTGATGGGGATGGCATTGAATCTATAAATTACCTTGGGCAGTATGGCCATTTTCACGATATTGATTCTTCCTACCCATGAGCATGGAATGTTCTTCCTTTTGTTTGTATCCTCTTTTATTTCATTGTAGCTTCAGAATATTTTTAAAGTATATAAATAGCCATGGACATACAATGGAATGAAGTGTATTAATGATACACTTTGGGAAGTGCCATATTGTGATTCATTTTAATTCTGACAAAAAAAGACATGAGTATAATTTCATGGTTTTAGAATCAGGAAAAAAAGTGACTCAAGAAGTTTGATAAAGCAGTGGCATCACTAAGCGATGAATGATAAATAGGTTTTACCTCTGCCCTTCTCTATCAGCCACTTCCCAAACCACCCTAAACACATCTGCAGTCTTGGTAAAAGCACTGAGATTGAAAATGCCCCTAGCAGTCCTCGACTTAAGCCCATGTTATAGCAATTCTGATGCTACTATTGAACAGGCCAGTACTGTAATTATAAATAATCATAATAGCAGGGGTAAAGCAGAGGTATTAAAGAAAGCTGGTGTAGTTACAAAATTATCTCTCTGACGTTCTAAAATTAGAATAGAGTATATTGAGCAAATGGCAGCCCTTATAAACATCAAGGCAGGCATTTTGTAACACAGTGCCTAGCATAAAGGACATCTCTAGTAAATATTAAATAAATGAACGACAGTGTAATGGCAAATACATTTATTGTGGTATTTGCCTAATAATGACACATATTAATGACACATAAGCATAATGACACATACTTTCAAAGGTCTAGGTCCCATTGAGAGCAAATAATCTGGATCATCCTGGATGGAAACTGGGTAAGTCTTTCTTTTTCTTTCTTTAGAGGTAGCAGAGAGACATGGCTTAACAGGAGACTGAGAGGGAAAGGTGAATCTTTGTTTTGTTTTGTTTTTGAGACAGAATTTTACTCTTGTTGCTCAGGCTGGAGTGCAATGGCACCATCTCGGCTCACTGCAACCTCCGCCTCCTGGGTTCAAGCGATTCTCCTGCCTCAGCCTCCCGAATAGCTGGGATTACAGGCATGCGCCACCACGCCTGGCTAATTTTGTATTGTTAGTAGAGACAGTGTTTCTCCATGTTGGTCAGGCTGGTCTTGAACTCCCAATCTCTGGTGATCTGCCCGCCTCGGCCTCCCAAAGTTCTGGGATTACAGGCATGAGCCCACCGTGCCCGGCCTGAAAGGTGAATCTTTTAGGAGTGGAAAGGAGAAAGGTGAGTTGGCAAAGTGGTTGAGACTTGTGCCCAAATCCCATGAAGCATCCTAGAGGTATTGGTGTATTGAAATGAGTATACCTGTGTGGATGACACCAAAGACCATGTTAAATGCTAAGGGTCCTTCAGATCATTCTGACTTAGAGGAACTATAGCACCAGTAGCACCACATAGCTTTAAGAGCATTTAAGTTTAGGCATTTAAATTTAGGCAACATCCTCAGCAGTGACTATGGAATGATTACCAGAAAGGCCTCTAATCTACTGCCCTGCGCTATTCAATCCTGGTGCAACCAAATGAGGAGAAAGACATGAATAAAAATAGAGATTCAATAAACTATTCACCATATTTGACAAGTGGAGGTCTTGGAGCCACATTTGATTTGATTTCAAAAAACGAAACACAACAATTCTGTACATTAGGTGTTGTGGGAAAAATTTACATTTGATCCTGAGCATTTATTCATAATTAATTTCAGATAAAGCATATTATTTGCTGTCTGGTGTATATACTTTAAGACCTCACATTGTATACTGGCAGCTTCAAAATCTTCACCAAATTTATATAAAACCCCACTGTTAAACTTGCCTCTTGAAGTGTTGATCTGGTTTATGTAGTCACCTATGACAGTATAAATATTGCCATTGTCGTCCTATTCGGTTTGATAACTTTCTTTGAAAATTACACTAAATGTGACCTTGATCTTCAAGTCTTAAAATTAATTTCAATTGAATGTAATCTAACTTGAAAATTTGAGAAATGTTTGTATCTTGCTCAGAATCTTTCAGGCAAGGGATGAGGGTAGGGAACAGAAATTTACTTCTTTAGTGGATAGTATCTGTACCCATATTTAGGAACCACTGATACAAATTATCTGAAGAAACAACAGTTTTCTCTTTTAAGGGAGCATAATGCCTTCATGCAATTTGATATATATTATTGAATAATTCTATTCTACTTCTTAATTGTGCAGAAATACAGAGGTGACAGAGGATATACTTCTTTTACAATCTATTATTGAATACACTACATCCCCAGATTCTAAGATAAAAATCAGTGGGCAATTCCATACAAGAGAAATGACAGGGAATAGAAGAGCTTTCAAAAAACACGGAAACAGAAAGGACAGGTTGCCCCTGACAACAGTTCTCTCCCACAATCCCTCCCTCATTTGTAATGGCAATAGTGACCACAAGGAGACACTTCCTTCAGAAAAATTCCTTCACATTTGTAAAAACAGGTGTCTCTGGTAGGCACCTGGGTAGCTGATTGCAGGATTAACAATGAATAAAACAGCTCTGCATATAATCGAACTACCCTAGGTTCGGACATAGAAATAAATTAGACAAGGATTAAAATTATATTTTAGTTATCTTTGGGTGATTTAAATTTCTTTTATTTATTCATCTGTACTTTTCCTGTGTAAGCATATTTATTTTTATAATCAGAAAAAAATAAGAATAAAAGAAATATAAAAATCGTTCAAAATGTCAGTATTAGACTTCACCTTCCAGCCCTGGTGAAATGACTGATTTCAGATTTGCCACCTAGCCATAAACAACTAGAAAACTGAAAGAAAAAGATGAAATATCAAACAGCTGTTTCAGATATTAGATAATAGACAATAGAGGACTTTGACCCAGGGCATAAGATAAATAAACGTGGTGAGGTATACAATTGCCTCAACATTCTGTTCGGAGGTTGTATTAGTCCATTTTCATGCTGCTGATAAAGACATACTGGAGACTGGGAAATTTACAAAAGAAAGAGATTTAATGGACTTACAGTTCCACATGGCTAAGGAGGCCTCACAATCATGGCAGAAGGCAAGGAGGAGCAAGTCACATCTTATGTGGATGGCGGCAGGCAAAAAGAGAGCTTGTGCAGGGAAACTCCTGTTTTTAAAACCATCAGATCTTGTGAGACTCATTTACTATCACAAGAACAGCGGAGGAAAGACCCAGCCCCATAATTTAATAATCTCTCACTTGGTTCCTCCCATGACAGATGGGAATTCTGGGAGTTACAATTCAAGATGAGATTTGGGTGGGGACACAGCCAAACCGTATCATTCTGCCCTTGGCCACTCCCAAATCTCATGTCCTAACATTTCAAAACCAATCATGCCTTCTCAACAGTCCCCCAAAGTCTTAACTCGTTTCAGCATTAACTCAAAAGTCCACAGTCTAAAGTCTCATCTGAAACAAGGCAAGTTATTTCTGCCTGTGAGCCTGTAAAATCAAAAGCAAGTTAGTTACTTCCTAGATACAATGGGGGTACAGGCATTGGGTAAATACAGCCATTCCAAATGGGAGAAATTGGCCAAAACAAAGGGGCTAGAGGCCACATGCAAGTCTGAAATCCAGGAGGGCCGTCAAATTTTAAAGCTTCAAAATCATTTCCTTTGACTCCATATCTCACATTCAGGATGCGCTGATGCAAAAAGTGGGCTTCCACAGCCTTTGGCAGATCTGCCCCTGTGGCTTTGCAGGGTATATCCCCCCTCCTGGCTTCTTTCACGGGCTGGTGCTGAGTCTCTGTGGCTTTTCCAGGCACATGGTGCAAGCTGTCAGTGGACCTACCATTCTGGGGTCTGGAGGACGGTGACCCTCTTCTCACAGCTCCACTAGGCAGTGCCTGAGTAGGGATTCTGTGTGAGGGCTCCAACTCTACATTTGTCTTCTGCACTACCCTAGCAGAGGTTCTCTATGAGGACCCCGCCCCTGCAGCAAACTTCTCCCTGGGCATCCCGATGTTTCCATATATCCTCTGAAATCTTGGCGGAAGTTTCCAAACCTCAATTATTGACTTCTGTGCACCTGCAGGCTCAACACCACATGGAAGCTGTCAAGGTTTGGGACTTCCACTCTCTGAAGAAACATCCTGAGCTGTACCTTGGCCCCTTTTAGTCACGGCTGGAGCAGCTGGGACACAGGCCACCAAATCCCTAGACTGCACAAGGGAGAGGGACCCTGGGCCAGGCCCACAAAATGACTTCTTCCTCCTATACCTCTGGGTCTGTGATGGGAGAAGTTGTGGCAAAGGTCCTGACATGCCCTGGAGACATTTTCCCCATTGTTTTGGGGATTACCATTTGCCTCCTTGTTACTTATGCAAATTTCTGTAGCCTGCTTGAATTTCTTCTTAGGAAATGGGATTTTCTTTTCTATTGCATTGTCAGGCTGCAAATTTTCCAAAGTTTTATGCTCTGTTTCCCTTTTAAAACTGAATGCCTTTAACAGCACCCAAGTCACCTCTTGAATGCTTTGCTGCTTAGAAATTTCATCTGCCGGATACCCTGAATTGTCTCTCTCAAGTTCAAAGTTCCACAAATCACTAGGGCAGGGGCAAAATGCCACTAGTCTTTTTGCTAAAGCATAACAAGAGTCACCTTTGCTCCAGTTCCCAACAAGTTCCTCATCTCCATCTGAGATCACCTCAGCCTGGATTTCATTGTCCATATCATTATCAACATTTTGGTTAAAGCCATTCAACAAGTCTCCAGGGAGTTGCAAACTTTCCCACATTTTCCTGTCTTCTGAGCCCTACAAACTGTTCCAGCCTCTGCCTGTTACCTGGCTCCAAAGTCACTTCCATGTTTTCAGGTATCTTTTCAGCAATGTCCCACTCTTTTGGTACCAATTTACTGTATTCGTCCATTTTCATACTGCTGATAAATACATACCTGAGACTGGGCAATTTACAAGAGATTTATTTAATGGACATACAGTTCCACATGGCTGGGGAGGCCTCACAATCATGGTGGAAGGCAAGGAGGAGCAACTCACTCACATCTTATGTGGATGGTGGCAAGCACAAAGAGAGCTTGTGCAGGGAAACTCCTGTTTTTAAAACCATCAGATTTTGTGAGACTCATTCACTATCATGAGAACAGCGCAGGAAAGACCCATCCCCATAATTTAATCATCTCCCGCCAAGTTCCTCCCACGACATATGGGAATTCTGGGAGTTACAATTCAAGATGAGAATTGGGTGGGGACACAGCCAAATCATATCACAGGTACTTTCAGACTGTGGCACAGAATGGAAGACAAGAAGCAAAACATAACAATCTTTATCAGTTGGAAATACAGATGTTAAAGTTTGAAGAAGCAGATGCATATGGAATTTGTGGGAAATGGTTCTGGAGACAAGATTGTTGAGCTACAGAGAGAATGAATTTGAGAAATCTTCACAGAAGTTTTGCTGAGAATGTTGCTGAATACTAAAATGTGCATGTGTAAGCTGAAACGTCATGATGCTGGGTAAAGCACTTATGGAGAGCTGTAAACTGAACTATTCCTACAGCATACAACAGGGCTGGAAGTCATTCAAATTCTAACCAGTCAAAGTGGAGATACTTTGTTGAAAAACTGGAGCATTCAGGCAACTTCTGGACAATCACATTTTAGTAGAGGTGAAACTAGACTTAAAGTAAAGGATACTTTAGATCCATCCTAACAAAATTGATGTGAAAGTTATTTAACTGTCTGACAAAACTAAGTTCAACATTTCTTAAAGATACACAGTGGGATTCTGATATTTAACAATATAAAATGTTCAGTATTCAATCAAATATTCTTCACCATGCAAAGCAGTAAAAGAAGAAATACATAGCCAGGAGAGAAATCAGCCAATGGAAATGTTCAGAAATGACAAAAATTACTGTATTAAAAAACAATTTTAAATAATTATTATATATATGTTCAAATATTTGAAGGAAGTCATGCACACTATGAAGAGGTAAATGGGAGGTTTAAGTTGGAAACAAAAAGAAGTTGTAGAGATGAAGAATACAGTATCTGAAACAAAATATTTAGAAGATGGGTTTAAAAGCAGTTTAGTTACTGCAGAATAAAAGACGAAGGTGCAACAATAGATGACTCTCCAAACTGCACTTGAGAAAGAAAAAGAACTTAAAAAATCAGAATCTTAGAAATCTGCAGGACAATATAAAGCAGGTTTAACATGTGTGTAATCATATTAAATGCACTTAGAGAAGACAGAAAATATATTTGAAGTTGATTTATTTTTCTTAATTTCATGAAAACTATAAAACCATAGACCCACAAAGTTTAACAAACATAAAAGACTATAAACAATAACAGCAACAACAAAACACATCAAGATACATTGTAACAAAATAGTTGAAAACCAATGATAGAGAAAAATTATAAAGCAGCCAAAGGGGGGAAAATAATAGCTTTCATACAAAGGAAGGAAGGTAAAAATACATATTCACTTCTCATCAGAAACTATGCAAGCCAGTAGGTGATATGACATCTATAAATTACTGATAGAAAAGTGCAACCTAGAATTCAATATACAGAAAGAAACTCCTTTTAACATCAAGAGAAATAAGATTTCTCAGACAGACAAAACTGAATTTTTCCAGCAAATATGTATGTAATACTAAATATGTGAAAGAAAGTTCTTCAAGTGAGAACACAAGGATACCACAGAAAACCCTGGATCAACATAAAAAGATTAGAGCAGCAGAAATAATAAGTATGTGCAAAGATATTCAGAATTCTTTCCTCATTGAAAAAAGTTAAAGTTAAATTTATTTTAAAAATAATTGACTATAGCAAGTAAAAATAATAATATATCTTGGGATTTAACATATGTAGATTTAAAACGCATGACAAAAACAAGGGATTTGAGGAGATAACTGGAAGTACGCCATTGTAAGGATCTTACATAACACTATATCTATATATGGCATACATATATATATGCTATAGTGCTATATGACTTTAAGATAGATGGGCATAAGTTAAATGGGGTATGTTTTAAACTCTACAGCAACCACTGAAAACACTGAACAAAAAGTATACCTAAAAAGTTAATATTGGACATGAAATACAAGAAAAAGGCAAGAATAAAGGAATGGATGAACAAAGAATAGTTGAAACAAGTAGAAAACATATACTAAGATGGTAGAATTAAACTTAACCCTATCAAAAATCACACTGAAAGTGAATTGTCTAAACACAAGTAAAAGGAAAACACTATTAGACTGCATATAAAAGCAAGACCCTACTATGAGCTATCTACAAAAATCCTACTGTGATGTCCTTAAAAACCTGCCTCTTAAATCTCTGAGTGCAGTAAACATAATTGAACAAAGTCCCCAGTTGCCATGCTGTAAAATTCATCATATTCATGCCACACTTTCCATGTGCTGCTCACAGCCTATGACTGAATGCAGCAAAAATACTAAGTTAGGCCCAGTATTGTTAGGCACATAAATCCTCTAATAGGCAACATTGACTCAAGAACTGTCCATTGCCTTTGCAGAAATGGCCAATATCTGAATAAATATAAAAGAAATTGCCAATATGTGGGAAAATATAATATAATATTTTTCTCCTCTTAAATTTTTAAAAAATATTTATCACTGTTGAAAGCAAAAAATATTATGTAGTGGAGTTTTCAATGTATATAGATGCAGTAAATATGATGACTATAACTTAAAGGGGGAAGGTAAATAAAAATATGTGGTTGAAAGGCCTATATTTCACTGGAGGTTGGTAAATGTTAAGTTGACCGTGAATGGTTAAGTATGTATATTCTAATCCATTGAGCAAATACTAAATATTAACAATAATATGAAGAGGTATAGCCAAGAAGTCAATAGATAAATTAAATAGATATATATACATATACAAAAGGCCGGAGTGCCTCTTCTCCTGCAAATTATCACAACATCTCTACAGCAAGGGTACAGAACTGGATGTAGGATGAGATAAACCAATTGACAGAAGTAGCCTTCAAAAGATGGGTAATAAAAAACTATGCTGAGCTAAAGGAGTATGTTCTAACCTAATGCAAAGAATATAAGAACCTTCATAAAAGGTTAGAGGAGCTGGGCGTGGTGGCTCAAGCCTGTAATCCCAGCACTTTGGGAGGCCGAGGGGGTGGGGGGCGGATCACGAGGTCAGGAGTTCGAGACCAGCCTGACCAACATGGCGAAACCCTGTCTCTACTAAAAATGCAAAAATTAGCCAGGCATGGTGGTGCACACGTGTAATCCCAGCTACTCAGGAGGCTGAGACAGGAGAATTCCTTGAACCTGGGAGGTGGAGGTTGCAGTGAGCTGAGATCATGCCACTGTGCTCCAGCCTGGGTGACACAGTGAGACTCTGTCAAAAAAAAAAAAAAAAAAAGTTTAGAGGATATCCTAACTAGAATAACCAGTTTAGAGAGGAACATAAATGACCTGATAGAGCTGAAAAACACAGCACAACAACTTCGTGAAGCATACACAAGTACAGATAGCCAAATCAACCAAGCAGAAGAAAGGGTATCAGAGGTTTGAGACCACCTTGCTGAAATAAGTCATAGAGACAAGACTAGAGAAAAAAGAATGAAAAGGAATGAACAAAGCCTCCAGGAAATATGGGACTTTGTAAAAAGACTGAACCTGCAATTGATTGGAGTACCTGAAGGAGATGGGGAGAAGAGAAACAAGCTGGAAAACACACTTTAGGATATTATCCAGGAGAACTTCCCCAATCTAGCGAGACAGGCCAACATGCAAATTCAGGAAATACAGAGAACACCGCTAAGGTACTCCATGAGAAGATCAACCCCAAGATATATAAACATCAGATTTTCCAAGGTTGAAATGAAGGAAAAAATGTTAAGGGCAGCCAGAGAGAAAGGCCAGGTCACCTACAAAGGGAAGCCCATCAGACTAACAGCAGACCTCTCAGAAGAAACTCTACAAGCCAGAAGAGATCAGGGGCCAATATTCAACATTCTTAAAGAAAAAAAAATTTCAACCCAGAATTTCATATCCAGCCAAACTAAGCTTCATAAGCAAGAGGGAAATAAAATCCTTTCCAGACAAACAAATACTGAGGGATTTCATTACCAGCAGGACTGCCTTGCAAGAGCTCCTGAAAGAAGCACTAAATATGGAAAGAAAAAACCGGTACCAGTTACTGTAAATACACACCAAAATGTGAAGACCAATGACACTATGAAGAAACTGCATCAACTAGTGTGCAAAATATCCAGATAACATCAGGATGACAGGATCAAATTCACACATAATATTAGTAACCTTAAATGTAAATGGGCTAAATGCCCTAATTAAAAGACATAGAATGGCAAGCTGGATAAAGAGTCAAGACCCATTGGTGTGCTGTATGCAGAAGACTCATCTCACGTGCAAAGACACACATAGGCTCAAAGTAAAGGGATGGAGGAAAATTTACAAAGCAAATGGAAAGCTAAAAAAAAAAAACAAAAAGGATTTGCAATCCTAGTCTCTGTCAAAACAGACTTTAAACCAACAAAGATCAAAAAAGACAAAGAAGAGCATTATATAATGGTAAAGGGAACAATTCAACAAGAAGAGCTAACTATTCTCAGTATATATGCACCCAATACAGGAACACCCAGATTCATAAAAAAAAGTTCTTAAAGATCTACAAAGAGGTTTAGACTCCCACACAATAATAGTGGGATACTTCAACACCCCACTGTAAATATTAGACAGGTCAATGAGACAAAATTAACAAGGATATTCAGGACTTAAACTCAGCTCTGGATCAAGTGGACCTAATAGAAATCCTCAGAACTCTCTACCCCAAATCAACAGAATATACATTCTACTCAGTGCCACATGACACTTATTCTAAAATCAACCATATAATTGGAAGCCAAACATTCCTCAGCAAATGCAATAGAACTGAAATCATAGCAAACAGTCTCTCAAACCACAGTGCAATCAAATTAGAACTCAGGATTAGGAAACTCACTCAAAACCACAAAATTACATAGAAATTGAACAACCTGCTCCTGAATGACTACTGGATAAACAATGAAATTAAGGCAGAAATCAAGAAGTTCTTTGAAACCAATGAGAACAAAGAGACAATGTACTAGAATCTCTGGGACACAGCTAAAGCAATATTGAGAGGGAAATTTATAGCACTAAATGCCCTCATCAGAAATCTAGAAAGACCTCAAATTGACACCCTAACATCACAATTAAAAGAGCAGGAGAGGCAAGAGCAAACTAATCCAAATGCTAGCATAAGACAAGAAATTTCTAAGATCACAACAGAATTGAAGGAGATAGAGACACAAAAATCCCTCCAAAAAAATCAATCCAGGAGCCGTTTTTTTTTTAAATGAACAAAATTGATGGCTAGTTAGACTAATAAAGAAGAAAAGAGATAAGAATCAAATAGACAGGCCGGGCGTGGTGGCTCACGCCTGTAATCCCAGCACTTTGGGAGGCCGAGGCGGGCGGATCACGAGGTTAGGAGATCGAGACCATCCCGGCTAAAACGGTGAAACCCCGTCTCTACTAAAAATACAAAAAATTAGCCGGGCGTAGTGGCGGGCGCCTGTAGTCCCAGCTACTCGGGAGGCTGAGGCAGGAGAATGGCGTGAACCCGGGAGGCGGAGCTTGCAGTGAGCCGAGATCCCGCCACTGCACTCCAGCCTGGGCGACAGAGCGAGACTCCGTCTCAAAAAAAAAAAAAAAAAAAAAAAAGAATCAAATAGACACAATAAGAGATGATAAAGGGGATATCACCACTGACCCCACAGAAATAGAAACTACCATCAGGGAATACTATAAACACCTCTATGCCAACAAACTTGAAAATCTAGAAAAAATGGATCAATTACTGGACAAATACACCCTCCCAAGACTAAACCAAGAAGAAGTTGAATCCCTGAATAGACCAATAACAAGTGCTGAAATTGAGGCATTAATTTATAGCCTACCAACCAAAAAAAGCCCAGGACCAGATGGATTCACAGCCAAATTCTACCAGAAATACAAACAGGAGCTGGTACTATTCCTTCTGAAACTATTCCAAACAGTTGAAAAAGAGGGACTCCTCCCTAACTCATTTTATGAAGCCAGCATCATCCTGATACCAAAACCTGTCAGAGACACACAAAAATAGTCAACTTCAGGCCAATATCCCTGATGAGCACTGATGCAAAAATCCTTATTAACATACTGGCAAACCGAATCCAGCTGCACATCAAAAAACTTATCTACCACGATCAAGTTGGCATCATCCCTGGGATGCAAGGCTGGTTCAACATGTGCAAATCAATAAATATAATCCATCACATAAACAGAACCAAAGACAGAAATCACACTATTATCTCCGTAGATACAGAAAAGGCATTTGATGAAATTCAACATCCCTTCATATTAAAAACTCTCAATAAACTAGGCATTGATGGAACATATCTCAAAATAAGAAGAGTTATTTATGACAAACCCACAGCCAATATCATATTGAATGGGCAAAAACTGGAAGCATTCCCTTTGAAAACCTGTACAAGACAAGAATGCCCCCTCTCACTACTCCTATTCAACATAGTATTGGACATTCTGGCCAGGGCAAACAGGTAGGAGAAAGAAATAAAGGGTATTCAAGTAGGAAGAGAGGAAGTCAAATTGTCTCTGTTTAGAAAACCCCATCATCTCAGCCCCAAAACTCCTTAAGCTGATAGGTAACTTTAGCAAAGTCTCAGGATACAAAATCAATGTTCAAAAATCATTCCTTTACACCAACAATAGACAAGCAGAGAGCCAAATCATGAATGAACTCCCATTCACAACTGGTACGAAGACAATAAAATACCTAGGAATACAGCTAACAAAGAATGTAAAGGACCTCTTCAAGAAGCACTACAAACCACTGCTCAAGGAAATAAGAGAGGACTCAAACAAATGGAAAAACATTCCATCCTCATGGATAGGAAGAGTCAATATCGTGAAAATGGCCATACTGCCCAAATTAATTTATAGATTCAGTACTATTCCCATCAAACTACCATTGACATTCTTCACAGAATTATAAAAAACTACTTTACATTTCATATGGAATCAAAGAAGACCCTATATAGCCAAGACAATCCTAAGCAAAAAGAACAAAGCTGGAGGCATCACACTACCTGACTTCAAACTGTACTACAAGGCTACAGTCACCAAAACAGCATGGTACTGGTAACAAAACAGACATACAGACCAATAGAACAGAACAGAGCCCTCAGAAATAACGCCACACATCTACACCCATCTGATCTTCGACAAACCTGACAAAAACAAGCAATGGGGAAAGGATATCCTATTCAATAAATGGTGCTAGGAAAACTGGTTAGCCATATGCGGAAAACCGAAACTGGACCCCCTTTTTACACCTCATACAAAAATTAACTCAAGATGGATTAAAGGCTTAAATGTAAAACCCAAAACCATAAAAACCCTAGAAGAAAACCTAGGCAATAGACATTCAGGACATAGGCATGGGCGACGACTTCATGACGAAAATGCCAAAAGCAATTGCAACAAAATCCAAAACTGATGAGTGGGATCTAATGAAACAAAAGAGATTCTGCACAACAAAAGGAACTATCATCAGAGTGAACAGGCAACCTACAGAATGGGGAAAAGTTTTGCAATCTACCCATCCGACAAAGACCTAATATTCAGGATTTACAAGGAACTTAGACATATTTACAAGAATAAAACAACCCCATCAAAAAGTGGGCAAAGGATATGTACAGACACTTCTCAAAAGAACACATTTACTCAGCCTACAAACATATGCAAAACAGCTCAACATCACTGATCATTAGAAAAATGCAAATCAAAACCACAGTGAGATAACGTCTCACACCAGTCAAAATGGTGATTATTAAAAAGCCAAGAAACAATTGATGCTGGCAAGGCTGTGGAGAAATAGGAACACTTTAACACTGTTGGTGGGAATGTCATATTAGTTCAACCTTTGTGGAAGACAGTATGGTGATTCCTCAAGGATCTGGAACCAGAAATACCATTTGACCCAGCAATCCCATTTCTGGGTATATACCCAAAGGAATATAAATCATTCTACTATAAAGACACATGCACACATGTATGTTTATTGCAGCACTATTTACAATAGCAAAGTCATAGAGCCAACCCAAATGCCCATCAATGATAGACTGGATAAAGAAAATGTGGTACATATACATAATGGAATACTATGCAACCAGAAAAAGGAATGAGATCATGTCCTTTTCAGGAACATCGATGAAGCTGGAAGCCATCATTCTCAGCAAACTAACATGGGAACAGAAAACCAAACATCGCATGTTCTCACTCATCAGTGGGAGTTGAGAAATGAGAACACATGGACACAGAGGGGGACCAACAAACACCAGGGTCTCTTATGGGGTGTGGGGCGAGGGGAGGGAACTTAGAGGAGGAGTCAATAGGTGCAGCAAACCACAATGGCATATATATACGTATCTAACAAACCTACACGTTCTGCACATGTATCCTGGAACTTAAAGTTTTAAAAAGCCATTTTAATAAGTGTGCGGTAGTATCTTATTATAAGAGAACTAAACATTGCAACAAAGTATATTTTAAATAACTGAAATTCTGTTATTTTCAAAATATTGTTAAAAGACAGCTGTACTGACAAGAATATGTTCCTTATTCCCATAACACTTTTTGAGCTGGGTACACCATGATATGGTTTCAGCTTTTCTTTAAGCTCACACTCTATTTGACTTATTTTCATTCCATTCTTACTCTCTCAAGACCAGCGTCACTTCATAAATTCTTGCTGCAAGAGCTGCTTGCGGAAAAAATCTATGTAACTTCTTGAGAGTTTGTGTTCCTTTTACTCCAACATCAACTTCCCAGTACTGGAACACACTGTTAGCAGGATCTAAACCTACCAAGCCTACACCTTGATGATAATCTGTAGAAAAGGCCTGTTTTTAAGAATACCTACACCAACCCCAAAAGCCAGAAACACATTTCAAACAATATGTCTTAGGGTGCACATTGCCTTTAAAACATATATGTTTTAAAAAAGTTTCTTTGTAATAACGATTTTCATTATGACAAAAGTAGGTGGGTAACAGATAACATGTCTTAGTATGTGAAGAACATTTAAAAGGACAGGAGATGTATATATACTCTTGGAAATTTTCCTTCATTCAGAAAAGAAAATTAGACTACTCAAATAAACTGATTTTAAAACTGATGATTTTTTTCCTAAGCAAAAGTCAATAATGTATGGCTCATATGTTAATGAATCAATTTTCATTGCAGATCCTAAGTATAGTCCTGCAAATTCTCCTGGCTAAATCTCATCATGAGATAGTTGACTGATTGCATACTGCAGCAGCA
The DNA here is from genome assembly GCF_000001405.40 of Homo sapiens. Classification (NCBI taxonomy): domain Eukaryota; kingdom Metazoa; phylum Chordata; class Mammalia; order Primates; family Hominidae; genus Homo; species Homo sapiens. The sequence continues at coordinate 141,372,595 of NC_000023.11, forward strand.
TAATGCTAGAGGAACTAATCTTGACTGATATTGTAGCTTTCTTAAAGGACACTTTAAAAACAACTGGTCTCGAGATTATAAGTTCTTTCTAAAATTCAATTCAGTTTATTGTTCAGGGTAAAAGAATTAAGAAAGGTCACTGGATGCATTGGTTGTGGTGGTCCCAATTTAGTCACACAGACAGGCTCGTTCTTTGCCTAATTGTGTCATCCCAAATGAATAGCTAGATTTAATCAATTCTGATAACAAAGAAAAAAGTTATTCTCAGTAAATGGATTTTGCAAAGCAATCAAATCAGGTTTTATATCTATCAATCCTAACCCAGAAATATTCAACAAAAAGCTTTATAAAATGAAAATTTCTAAAAATTATAGAAATATTCTACTTCCTTATAATATTTACTTTTTTCATCTTATATTCTCTTTTTAATTTAAGGAAATCAAGGATTGCACAAAAGGTCAATTATATTACAGTATTTCTACTGAAGAAAAACCAATCTAAGTGTCTTAATGGCAGGAAAATTATTTTTATGAATATTATGATTTTACCATATTTTTAATTGCAGTACAAAATTCTTTTCTAAAGTAATTATATGATAGAGAACTAAGAGTAACATATAATTCAACAAGCTTCTCTTCATAAAAGAATATTAGGGGATTATTTTTGAGTGAATTGGCAGTTTAATATATTTGATTTTCTTTCCAAGTCTCACTGCGTGCATCTTTTGTACTGCAGCTGCAAAGTCTGTAGATTGATCTCATCAAATCTCACATGCAAATTACAGTTCTACCTCCACACACATTGGGTTTAATAATGATAAAAGTAGATGACAAATATGAAAGGGAACTAGTGCAAAAGTCTTAGTATAGCAACAAGCTTAGCATGTTTCAGGAAAAATAATATGATGTAGCCCAAGGACAGTAGACAAGGAGTGGAAGATGAGATAAAAGTGGTGGCCAGAGGTCCAGATCCTGCAGCATATTGAAGGACATGGTAAGGAGTCTAGATTTTATTCTAAAGGTAATGAAAACACAAAGGAGTGTTTTGTGCAGGAGAATTACATGATCTGACTAACTTCTGAAAGGATCATCCTGTCTGCTTTGTGGCAAATCGGCCAAAAAAGGGCAAGGGAAGAAGCAGGTAGATCAATTCAGAAGCTATTGCAAGGGTTCAGGAGAGAGATGATTGTGACTGAAACTAGGTTTGTAGTACAGAACACAGTAAGAGGTTGAATTCAGGAAATATTTTGGAGATAGAGCCTCCTGGGATTTACTGATAGATTGGATGTGGGGATTGGAGGAGTTAGGAGAGATGAGGATACAGCTAGGTATTTGAACTGAGAAGATGGGTGGGTGACACTGTAAAGAAAAAGTCTGTGGAGGACCAGGTTGCCTATGGGGTAGGCATGGATTAAGAGTCCTATTTACAAATTTTAGGATTGAGATGCTGATAGGTTTGGCTCTGTGTCCCCACCCAAATCTCATTTTGAATTGTACTCCCATAATTCCCACATATTGTGGGAGGGACCCACTGGGAGCTCATTTGAATTATGGGGGTAGTTTCCCCCATACTGTTCTCGTGTTAGTGAATAAGTCTCATGAGATCTGATAATTTTATCAGGGGTTTCTGCTTTTGCATCCCCCTCATTTTCCCTTGCCGCTGCCATGTAAGAAGTGCCTTTCGCCTCCTGCGATCATTCTGAGACCTCCTAGCCATGTGGAACTGTAAGTCCAATTAAATTTCTTTTGCTTCTCAGTTTCCCGTATGTCTTTATCAGCAGCATGGGAACGGACTAATACAGATGCCTACTGAACATTCAAGTAGAGATATTGATTAGGCAGTTTCATATATGTCTAAAACTGAAGAGAAAGATCTGCACTTGGGGCATGTGTAGAGCTATGGAATAGATTGAGATTGATTAGGCAAGAACGTAGGTTGGTAGAGGGCCAGGGGCAGATTGCAGATACTCTAGTATTTAGAGATCGTGCAGAGAAGAAGCAAGCAGACAATGAAAGAAGCCTGAAACCATGTGCCCAGCAATATAAGAAATAAACAGATGAAAAGGCATCTTTGAAAAGTATTGCTTTTTTGTAAAAGGCAACCGAGAAATTCGGCTGTAGCTGGAGGGTGATATAGAGTAAAGTACATTTTTTATTTTTGCTTCTAATAATAGAAAAGGTACTTAGTTTTTTAAAAATTGTTTGTCCTTCTATTTTTATTTCTGATGGAAATGACATAGTAGAAAGGGAGGAATGTTTGATACACAAGAGAGAAGGAAACACTTATTGCAGCAGTGATTTCTTCCACAGGGTGAGAGGATATGAAATCCAAAACGCAGTTGAGGGGTTGGTCTTAGATAGTCATAAAGTGCTACTTTCACAGTAGCAGGAAGAATTTAAAGGAGTTTTAATACAGATGCAGGGAGGTTGAGAGTTAATTTAAAGGAGTTTTGATACAGATGCAGAGAGGTTGAGAGTTTGGGATTTGGAAAGATGTCAAAATTTCTGATTTAGCTATGCAAGGGAAAAGAACTCAGGGGCATAAAAGATTATCGTAATCAGTTCTACAAATTCAAACATCCAGCTTAGACCTTGACTCAGACTCCCTAGTTATAAGTCATTGCTGCATATACTCTTGCACAAGTTATTATAACATTCAAAGTATGTGTTCATGAAGCATGTGTTAGAGAAATTAAGTCAGTAAGTACTTGTTTTCATCTCACAATCTAATTTGCTGAAAGCAATTCCAAATTCTCTGGAAATTATTTTTATTTCAGTGGCTACAGAATGGTTTGCTTTAGAGAAAAAGGTCCCATAATCTTTGATAAAATTGAAGGTAGAATCAATGATATTTGATTCTGATTAATCTAGAGCTTAGTGGACTGTAAAACTCCCGGGCCATTTTCTTAAGCAACCTGGAAGCTCTTTATCCCCTTTCATCACATCCTAGGAAACCTGCCAACTGCATGTTTTGGAAATAAAAAGTTTATTCAGAGTTTTTCAGCTCACAATACAGTCAATTATTTTCAGTGTGCAGACACTATATGCTCACACAGTAGAAAGTTATTTTGGGAAGCAGGGTCTCCAATCTGTATTTTCAGGCATTGATTAGAGACTCTAAGAATAGAAACATGATGCAATGTGCTAGGAAACAAGAGAGCTAATTTATTCCAGTCGGTCAATCACTAGCTCAAGTCCTACTATCCTCTATTCCCACACACAAAAAATAATTCTCTGTGTTGCAAGTTAAGATGACATTTTCAGAATCCAGCACATCAGACCTCTTAGACGTTATCTAGTTTAGCACCTTCTATGTATAAATAGGTAAACCTGAGACCTCCATGAGGCTAGGGACTTACCAACGTTTACCCAGCATATGCACGGTATAATCCAGACTTCCTGACTCCTTATGCATCACTCTCTTCACCATGCTTTTCAGCTTCTCTTTCTTATCTCTTTACTATAGCAAAGAATATTCTCCGAGCAGGCAAAGTGGTGAGGTTGACTCCTAGTATGACATGTACTACAAGCTTCTAGAGCAGCTGCCCCAGAAACCATAACAAAACCCACTTTAAGGATAAAGAGCAATAACCAGAAAATCATAAGGCAGAAGAAGCAGGAAAGTAATATAAGGAGAGAAATAATGGGATAAAATGTCCTAAACTAAGGGTAGGAAAAAATCTAGCATGGGGAAAAATTAAGAAGAAAAAATCTGGCATGAGAAAAATGGAAGAGGGATCTACAAATTGTTTGAGATAGAGGGGCAGAGAGGAAGATGAATTGTGCAGTGCTCTCTATCCGACTGATGAGGACAACCCAACCTAGCTGCCCTGACTCTTCCAAAGGCCACTGTATTTCATGCTTTTGATTTATCTTACCACTGACAGAGATAAACTTTCTACCTACCTACTCTTTTTCCCGTTCCCTACTTTTGCTGTAATCTTTTTGTTTGGGAACTCATGGCCTTAAAACTAAAGATTTCATTACAAGTATAAAGAAATCAGAGTTTATAAAGCGCTTACACATATATTATTACCTTTGGGTCTCACAATACATTTATGAGGTAGATACTATCTATGACTCTCCAAAAAGGTATGTGGGTAGACAAAGAGAAGCTAGAGATTAGGAAGGGTCATTAAACTAAGTATTCTATGGAAACACACCAAATCAAGGAGGACTTTCCAAATGGGGCTTGGAGAAACTCAAGGCTGCAAGCAAGAACAAACTAAATTATATATCCAAGGGCCATGAAGACAGTAGGAAGATAAGGAGTTGTAGACCAAGGAAATTGAGGTACTGGGTCAAAGAATAAGGGTGAAAAGTGGATGAATCTAATTGATTCAGAAATGTTGGTATCTGCAAACCTTAACAATGTCATAGAATGCCCCTTTAATGTAAACTCAGACCGCCACAATGTGGGGTAACATTTCAAGAGAGCCATGCTAGGGAATGACATCAGCAAGATGGCAGAATAGAAAAATCTTTGTCTCCGTTGCTGCCACAGAAAGTTCAACTAGCAACTACCCACAGACCAGAACATTTTTTGAAAACTCCTCTACATGAAAACAATCCTAAGACATAGGTGTGGTTGAAAAACTGAATGAAATCCAAATTGGAAGGTAAAAAGGATGCCCTTATTCCAACCATGTCACCCCTCCCACTCCCTCAAGTTGACACACCACAAAGAGGATTTCCCTGGTCCCAAGGTTTCTACAGAAGGGAAAGAGAACAAGAGACACCTCCAAGGATCACTCTGTTCTTACTGGATAGGGAATACTAGGGGAAACATTATGGTTAGACCACTGCATGTTAGATAGAAACAAAGAAAGGAGGCAGAGGTCATAGTGAACAGCAGGCAGTTATTGGTGGTACCTCTGTGCTTCTGTCAGCTGTGGTGCCAGATCAGAGATACTAGCTAACATAGCACATATTTAAAGATGAGCTGGTTGCATCAAAAACATGGTAGAAAGTTCAATCTAGCTTGAATTTCTAGATAGCTAGTCTCCATGCCCAGCTTCAGATCCCACCTCAATGACCCTGCCCAAGTGAGGAGAATCCCACCTTCACACATTTCAGAGAAGCAAAGTGATTAGACGGCTTGACCCAGGAAGTCAGGCAGTGGCTTCACTTAGCCAAAAGCTCATTCAGTGTCCCTGCCCAGGCAGGGAGACTCTCACTTCTGTGCATTTCATAGAAGTACAGGGGATATAACTGCTTGACCAGGAACATCTAACAACTGTTTAACTCAACCAAAAGCCCACCCCACTGCTCCACCCTGAAGGGAGGCAATCTGAAACTGTGCATTTCTAAGGAGTATAGCTTCCCATGCTGCCCATCCTGAGCAGCAACTCTACCTAACCTCAAAGCCTAGCCAGAATTCCTGCCCAACTGCAGAGCCCAAGTAGTAAAATTACCCAGCCAAAGTATACGTGTTGTGACCAGCCTCAACAGAAGTCATCACTATACCCACCCAGCAGCTCTGTCTGACAGTAGAGCCCAGCCAGTGTTCTCACCGATAGCACAGCCCAACAAGCAGCCCCACTCAAAATCAGAACAGCGGCAGCAGCTTAGCCAACTATAGAACTTACAAGAAACTCTGCCTGTCCAAGGTTGTCACTGTCTGGTCATAACAGAAGCACAGGCTAGACTAAATAATGAAGGACTGTCCCTTCAAAGAACACCTATAAAGTCCAGAAAAGATGTTGTCCCCTCAGATGTGCAGACAACAATGTAAGGACACAAAGATTACCAAAAAAAAAAAAAAAAAAAAAAATAGAGAAACCTGACTCCTCCAAAAGAAAATTATAAAGTTTCAGTAGAAAGCTTCAACAGCAGACTCTCTCAAGCAGTAGAAAGGACCACTGAACTAGAAGAGAGAACATTTGAAAGTATCCAGTCAAAGGAACAAAAAGGCAAAAGAATAAAATATAATAAGGAAAGCCTACAGGAATTATGGAATATCATCAAGAGACCAAACATCACCTAAGAGGAGCTGCAGAAGGAGAAGAAACACAAAAAGCAGAAGGAAGGAGATAAAGATCAGAGCAGAATTAAATGAAACAAAGTCTGGAAAAACAATATGAAAGATCAACAAAAGAAAAAGTTATTTTTTGAAAAGACAAACAAAAATGATAAACTTTTATCTTCATTACCTAAGAAAAAAGAGATGTCTCAAGTAAAATCAGAAATGAAAGAGATGTTACAACTGATACCACAGAAATACAAAAGATTGTAACAGATTACTATGAACAGTTATATGCCAACAAATTTGAGAACCTAGAAGAAATAGATAAATTTATAGACATATACAACCTACCAAGACTGAATTATAAAAAAGTAGAAAATTTGAATAGTCCAATAACAAGTAAAGGTATTAAATCAGTAATAAGAGGTTTTCCGTCAAAGTAAAGCTCAAGACCTCATGGCTTCACTGCTGAGTTACATCAAACATCTAAAAAAGAAATAATACCAATCCTTCTCAAACCTCTTCCAAAAATTTCAAGAGGAGGAAATATTTACAAACTCTTTTTGTCAAGGTCAGCATTACCCTGATACCAAAGCCAAACAAGGACATTATAAGAAAAGAAATTACAGGTCAATAACCTTGATGAATATAAACGCAAAAATTCTCAACAAAGTACTATTACAGCAAACCAAATTCAACAACACACTAAAAGGGTCATCCACTATTATCAAGTGGGATTTAACCCTGGCATGCAAAGTTGGTTCAACATTTGCAAATCAGTACATGTGATCCATCACATTAACAGAATGAAGGACAAATTCATATGATCATCTCATTTGATGCAGAAAGAGCATTTGACTAAACTCAACATATTTTCATCATTACAATTGCTCACCAAATTAGGTGTAGAAGAAATGTACCTGAACACAGGAAGACCACATAGAAGCCCACAGCTAATATTATGCTCAATGGTGAAAAATTGAAAGCCTTTCTTTTAAGATCTGAAACAAGACAAGAATGCTCACTCTGGCCACTTCATTCCTCATAGTATTGGAAGTCCTTTCCAGGGCAATTTGGCAAAAGAAAGAAATAAAAGGCATTTAAAAAAGAAAGGAAGAAGTGAAATTGTCACTGCTTGCTGATGATATAATTTTATATGTAGAAAACTTTACAGACTCCACCAAAAACTCTGTTAGAACTAATAAACAAATACAATAATCCTGCAGAATATAAAATGAACACACAGAAATGAGTGGCATTTCTGTATGCTTAACAATAAACTATCCAAAAAAGATCAAGAGAACAATTTTATATTCACGTGCTACAAAAAAAAAAAAATAGCAATGAATTGAACCCAGGTGGTGAAAGTCTTGTACACTGAAAACTACAACACACTGATGGAAGAAATTGAGTAAGATATGAATAAATGGAAAGATATCCCATGTTTATTGAGTAGAAGAAGAAATATTGTTAAAATGTTTATACTACCCCATCTACAGATGCAGTACAATCCGTATGAAAATTGCAATGTGATACACAGAATTTAAAAAATTATGTGATCTTCTAAATAGATGCAGAAAAAGTATTTGATAAAATCCAGCATCCCTCATGTTAAAAGCCCTCAACAAAATTGGCATAGAAGAGACATACTTTGCCAGGCGTGGCGGCTCACACCTGTAATCCCAGCACTTTGGGAGGCCGAGGTGAGTGGATCACCTGAGGTCAGGAGTTCGAGAACAGCCTGGCCAACATGGCAAAACCCTATCTCTACTAAAAATCCAAAAAAAATTAGCCGGGCGCAGTGGCACGCGCCCCTAGTCCAGCTACTCGGGAGGCTGAGGCACCAGAATCACTTGAACCCGGGAGGCAGAGGTTGCAGTAAGCTGAGATCGCACCACTGCACTCCAGCCTGGGGTGACAGAGTGAGACTCCATCTCAAAACAAAACAAAACAAAAAACATACTTCAAAGTAATAAAAGCCATCTATGATAAACTCACAGCCAACATCACTCTGAATGGGGAAACGTTGAAAGCATTCCCCCTGAGAACTGGAGCAACACAAGAATGCCCAGGTTCACCACTTCTATTCAACATAGTTCTAGAAGTCTTAGCCAGAGCAATCAGAAAAGAGATAAAAATAAAAGAAATCTAAATTGGGAAAGCGGAAGTCAAACTGTCACTGTTTGCCAATGATATGAACATATATCTAGAAAATCCTGAGTTGAGTGTCCTGAGAGGTCAGATTGTTGTCAGACATGGACTGTGGACATGGACATGAACATGAAGAAAGTAAAATGGAACTTCCAGATTATAAACAATGGAAAATAGAAGGGACACCATTAGAAACTGTCCAGATGCTGGCTGCATAAGGGCTAAGGTATCCATGGGGCTGCAATGAAACTTGGAGATACGTGGGTGGCTTTGCAAACAATGTTTCCTTTGTTGGTGTCTTATTAAAAGCATTCAAATGAGGATTTGCTGCATTTTTGGTAGCTGTGGGGGCTGAATATTACCTGGAGTCCCAGAATAAAAATAAGAAGCATCACTGAAGATAATATATAGAAGTATGTTAGTTGGTTTTTAACTCTCCAAAATAAGAGTTTTTTACTGTAGCCTACTCATTTGAGTTTGTCCCTTAAAACATGCTAGTAAGATTTCATAAAGTTAAAAAAAAGTAAAAAAAAAGAAAATCCTAAAGATTCATCCAAAAAGCTCCTATATCTGATAAACAAATACAGTAAAGTCTCAGGATACAAAATCAATGTACACAGATTAGTAGCACTGTTATACACCAACAACCAAGTTGAGAATCGAATCAAGAACTGAATCCCTTTTACAACAGCTGCAAAAAAATAATAAAATACTTAGAAATATACTTAACTAAGGAAGTGAAATATCTTACAAGGAAAGCTAAAAAAACACTGCTGAAAGAAATAATAGATGACACAAAATGGAAGCACATCCCATGTTTATGGATGGTTAGAATCAATATTGCAAAAATGACCATACTGCCCAAAGCAATCTACAGATTCAATGTAATACCCATCAAAATACCATCAACATTCTTTACAGAACTAGAAAAAATTATAAAATTCATAGGAAACTAATAAATAGTCTGCATAGCCAAAGCAAGACTAAGCAAAAAGAACAAATCTGGAGGCATCACATTACCTGACTTCAAACTATGCTACAAATCAATAGTTACCAACGCAGCATGGTCCTGGTATAAAAACAGGCACATAGACCAGTGAAATAGAATAGGGAACCCAGAAATAAAGTCAAATCTAATACTTACAGCCAACTGATCTTCAACAAAGGAAACAAAAACATAAAGTGGGGAAAGGACACTGTATTCAATAAATGGTCCTGGGAAAACTGGCAAGCCACATGTAGAAGACTGAAACTGGATCCTCATTTCTCACCTTATACAAAATTAACTCAAGATGGATTAAAGATTTAAATCTAAGACCTGAATCCATAAAAATGCAAGAAGATAACATCAGAAAAACCCTTCTAGGCATTAGCTTAGGCAAAGATTTCATGATCAAGAACCCAAAAGCAAATGCAACAAAAATAAAAATAAATGAATGGGACCTAATTAAACTAAAAAGTCTTTGAACGGCAAAATAATAATAACAATAAATCAACAGAGTACAACAGACAACCCACAGAGTGGGAGAAAATCTTCACAATCTTTACATTCGACAAAGGACCAATATTCAGAATATACAAGGAACTCAAACAAATTAGCTAGAAATGAACCAATAATCCCATCAAAAATTGGGCAAAAGATGTGAATAGAACATTCTCAATAGAAGATACACAAACATATGAAAACAAACATAAGAAAAAATGCTCAACAACACTAATTATCAGGGAAATGCAAATTAAAACCACAGTTAGATACTACCTTACTCCTGCAAGAATGGCCATAATTAAAAAGTCAAAAAATAATAGCTATTGTAATGGATGTAGTGAAAAGGGAACACTTTTACACTGCTGGTGAGAATGTAAACTAATGCAACCACTATGGGAAGTAGTATGGAGATTTCTTAAAGAACCAAAAGTAGAACTACCATTTGATCCAGCAATCCCACCACTGGGTATCTACCCAAAGGTAAAGAAGTCATCATATGAAAAAGACACATGCACATTTATGTTTATAGCAGCCCAATTCCCAAATGCAAAAATATGGAGCCAACCTAAATGACCATCAACCAATGAGTGGATAAAGAAAATGTGGTACATATACACAATGAAATACTACTCAGCCATAAAAGGAATGAAATTATGGCCTTTGCACCCACTTGGATGGAGCTGGAGGCCATTATTCTAAGTGAAATAACTCAGGAATAGCCAACCAAATATCATATGTTCTCACTTATAAGTGAGAGCTAAGCTAAGAGAATGCAAAGACATAAGAACAATAAATATAATGGACTTTGGGGACTTGGGGGGAAGGGTGGGGGGGGGGTAAGGGATAAAAGACTACATATTGGATATAGTGTACACTGCTCGGGTGATGAGTGCACCAAAATGTCAGAAACTACCACTAAAGAACTTATCCATGTAACCAAAAACCACTTGTACTGCTACAACTATTGAAATAAAGACAAAAATACAATGTGATTTTTCATAGAAAAACAATCCTAAAATTTATATGGAACACAAAAATCAAATATCCAAAGCATCCATAAGCAAAAGAAAAAAGCTGAAGGTATCACATTACCTGATTTCAAACTACACTAAAAAGCTATAGTAATAAAAACAACATGGTACTGGCAAAAGAAAAAAAAATAGGCACGTCAACCAATGTAACAGAAATGAACCCATGCATGTACATTCAACTGATTTTCAATAAAGGTGCCAAGAATACGCAATGCAAAAAGAACAGTCTGTTCCATAAGTGGCATTGGGAAAATGAGATATTCATATGCAGAAGAATGAAATTAGATTTTTATTCAACACCATATACAAAAATCAACTCAAAATGGATTTAGGACTTAAACATAACACCAGAAACTATAAAACTACTTGAAAAATGTGTACGGGGAATAATACATATTTGTCTAGGCAAAGATATTTTTGATTTGACCCCAAAAGTAAAGGCAAGAAAAGCAAAAATAGACAATTGGGATTACATCAAACCTAAAAGAAGCAAATAACAGTGTGCAGAGACAACATACTTACAGGTAGGAAGGAAATATATGCAAACAATATACCTGATAAAGGGTTAATATTCAAAATATACAAGGAATTCAAACAGCTCAATAGTAAGTAAACAAAATACCCAATTTAAAAATGGGCAAGGGACCTGAATAGACATTTCTCTAAAGGAGACATACAAATGGCCAACAGATATGAGCAAAATGCTCAATATTGCTAATCATTTAAAAATCACATTAAAACCACAATGAGCCTTCACCTCATGTCTACCAGAATGGATATTATCAAAAAGTTGAAAGATAAAAAGTGTTGGCGAGAATGTGGAGAAAAGAAACCCTTGTACACTTTTGATGGGAGATATAAATTTGGACAGCTTTTCTGGAAAAATTCATGGACATTCCTCAAAAAAGTAAGAATAGAAGTACCATATAATCCAGCAATCTCACTTTTGAGTGTTGAATATTTGCCCAAAAGGTTTGAAAACATTTTGTTGAGGTGATATCTACACAACCATGTTCATTTCAGCACTATTCACAGTAGTCAAATTATGGAATCAACCTAAGTGCCCATCAACAGGCTAATGGATAGAGATTATGTGGAATATATAGACAATTGAATATTATTTAGCCTTTAAAATAAGAAAAATCTGTCATTTGTGACAACATGAATAAACCTGGAGAACATTATGCTAAGTGAAATAAGCCAGGCACAAAAAGACAAATACTACCTGTTCTCACTTAATTGTAAAACCTAAAATAATTGAACTTATAGAAGCAGAGAGTAGAATGGTTGTTATAGAGGCTGGAGGGTGAGGGGAAAGGGAAGATAATGGCCAAAGGGTACACAATCTCAGGCAGGAGAAATATGTTTTTGAGATCTATTGCACAGGATGGTAAATATAATCAATAATAGAGGATTGTACATTTTTAAAGTGATAAAAGAGTAAATTTCAAATGTTCCCACTGCATAAATATGTTAACTATTTGAGGTGATAGATATGTTAACTAGTTAATTTAATTATTTCACATTCTATTCATAAAGCAAAACATCACTTTGTACCCCATAAATAGATGCAATTATAAATTGTCATTTACAATAAGAAATTTAAAAGAAGACCATGCTAGACAGGATTTTTAATGTTAGTCCCATTTTAGACATGACAAAATGAGGTAACACACAGTAGCTAGATGGCAGATAAGAAGCCTAAAGCACATCTACATGTTTTCAGGGTTTTGAAAGGTTATCTCCTCTAAGAAGCAGTTCCCAATCCCCATAGCCTCCCAATATAATACCAAACAGAGCACATTTGTGCACAACTCTCTTAGCTTACTTCTGGTTTATTCTTAGGGTTTCTATTTAGATTCAGAGTGTATACGTGCAGGTTTCTTTCCTGGGCATATTAGGTGATGGTGAGGTTTGGGATGCAGATTTTTCTGTCACCCAAGTACTGAGCATAGTAACCAACAGTTTTTCAACCCTCGCCCCTGTCCTCCCTCCTACCTCTAGTAGTCCCCAGTATCTATCGTTCCCATCTTTATGTCCATGAGTACCCAATGTTTAGCTCCCACTTGTAAGTGAGAGCACGAAGTATTCGGTTTTCTGTTTTTGTGTTAATTCACTTGTGATAATGGCCTCCAGCTGCCTCGTTGTTGCTGCAAAGGACATGATTTTATTATTTTTTATGGCTGCGTAGTAATCCATGGTGTATTTGTGCCACATTTTCTTTATGCAGTCCACCATTTTTGGGCACCTAAGTTGATTCCATGTCTTTGCAATGGTGAATGGTGCTACAATGAACATGTGAGTGCATGTGTCTTTTTGGTAGGACGATCTGTTTTCTTTTGGGTATATACTCAGTAGTAAGATTCCTGGGTCAAGTGATAGTTCTAAGTTCTTTAAGAAATCTCTAAATTGTTTTCGATAGTGGCTGAATTAATTTACATTCCCACAAATATTGTACAAGCATTCCCTTTCTCCACAGCCTCCACAGCATCTATTATTGTTTGACTTTTAAATAATAGCCATTCTGACTAGTGTAAGGTGATATCTTACTGACATTTTGATTTCCATTTCTCTGATGATTAGTGGTGTGGAACATTTTTTCATATGTTTATTGGGTGCTTGTATGTCTTTTTCGAGGAGTGTCTGTTCATGTCCTTTGCTCGTTTTTTAATGGGGCTCTTTGTTTCTTGTTTGTTGAGTTGTTCCTCATAGATTCTGGGTATTAGGCCTTTGTTAAATGCATAGTTTGTGAATATTTTCTCCCATTCTGTAGGGTGTCAGCTTACTCTGTTGCTAGCTTCTTTTGCTGTACAGAAGCCCTTTACTTTAATTAGTTTCCACTTGTCAATTTATTATTCTGTTGCAATTGCCTTTGAGGACTTAGTCATAAATTCTTTCCCGAAGCCAATGTCCAGAATGGTGTTTCCTAGGTTTTCTTCTAGGGTTCTTATAGTTTGAGGTCGTACATTTAAATCTTTAATCCACCTTGAGTTAATTTTTTATATGGTGACTGGTAGGGGTTCAGTTTTATTCTTCCGAATATGGCTAGCCAATTATCCCAGCACCGTTTATTAAAAAAACTGTCCTTTCCCTATCCTTATTTTTGTTGACTTTGTTGAAGATAAAATGTCTAATGGCAGCTTGATTTCTGGTTTCTCTATTCTGTTCCATTGGTCTATTTTTGTCTGTTCTTCTCTGTTTTTATACCAGTAGTATGTTGTTTTGGTTATAGTAGTCTTATAGTATAGTTTGAAGTCAGGTAATGAGTTGCCTCAGGCTTTGTCCTATTTGCTTAGGATTGCTTTAGCTATTCAGGCTGTTTTTCTGTCCCATATGAATTTTGAAACAGTTTTTCTAGTTCTGCAAATAATGACGTTGGTAGTTTGATAGGAATAGCATTGAATTGGTAGCTTTCTTTGGGCAGCATGGCCATTTTAACTATATTGATTCTTCCAATCCATGAGCATGGAATTTTTTTTATTTGTGTAATTTATGATTTCTTTGAGCAGTGTTTGTAGTTCTTGTAGAGATCATTCTCCTGCTTGGTTAGATGTGTTCATATGTAATTTTTATGGCTATTGTAAATGGGATTGCATTTTTGATGTGGCCCTTAGCTTAAACATTATAGATATATAGAAATGCTACTGATTTTTACACATTGATTTTGTATCCTGAAACTTTACTGAAGTGGTTTATCAGCTCCAGAAGCCTTTTGCTGGAGTATTTAGGGTTTCCTAGGTATAGAATCTATATATTTCTATATTATTTATTCACTCTCCATTGCCCCAAACTTCAGAATCAATTTCTCTTTTGTCCACTTCTTAGTTTGTCAATCATTCAGTGGAATCATTCGTTAGTGGTAGGCATTGAGAATGCAAAAATAAAAACGATATGGGACATGCCCTATGTTATCTTCCTATCAGCTCCCTCCAGCCCTACTGACTTTTTGCTATATCTCCAACAGACAAAATGCCCATGTTCTTTAAAGTATTTAAATTTTCTAATCCCTCTGTTTTGAATGCTGTTTCACCTCACACCCATATCTACATTGCTTACTTTTTCATGTTTGCATAGAGTAAGTATGTCTTCAGATGAAATGCTGCAATGTCACCTTACTACTGAGGCCTTCCTCTACCTTCCTATAGAAGCAGCACACGCCCTTCCTCTTCTTTATATTACATATAAAATTATATCTACTTAGATATAGATACAAACATAGATGATATATCTACACACACATACTCCTTTGTATTAGTCTGTCTAACTTATAATGTGGTCATGAGGGCAGAAATTTTTGTGTCTTTTATTCACTGTCTTTCCATCCCCAGGAACAGTGTCTGAAAAGAGAACTCAATAAATATTTGCTGAACAAAGGAATAATTACATTTCCCTGTCTATCTGTGCAGCTAGACTGTGAATTTCTCAAAACAGAAAGAGCATATCTGTCTTCACTATCATATCTACAGTGCTTTGGAGGGGACCTAAGACATTCTTGGTGCTCAGCTGAGATTGGTAGAGCAGAACTGGGCAATCTTTCATATTCCTCTGTATCAAGTTGCAGTATAACCTTGAATTGTTTCTTCTGACAACCTCAGATTTACCCCTCCTCCTTCAACTCCCCCTGAGCCTCATTATTCTTATGGTGTTCATTATCCTTACCTAATAACTTTTCCAACACTAATCCAGAATGAATATAGCTTTATTCTCTGAGGACTTAGTTTACTGAGGGTCTTTTGTATCTGCCAAGTATTCTGTACTTCATGAGATATTTGTTGATTAAGTTACAAGAGAGGACCAATAACTTCATATATGTGAACATCAGCACACTAGTGTCTTGAAATGCTATTTGGAGCAATACAGTTTTAAACTAGAAAGACATAAAAAATACCTTCTAAATATAAAGCTAGCTAAATGAATTCCCCAATCAAGATTTTGCAAGTAATTACAGAACTGGATACATTCTGTATTTGAGTTAATAGACTTCCTTTTTTAGGGCATAACATCCTTAATATCCACATCATGCTTTCTATGTGTTCTTTATGCTGCCTAACACAGTTTGAATGCTCAATAAATAACAATCAAATTAAAGCCATGGCAACCCTAAAATTAGTAAGTCCAATAGAGTGGTGCTTGGCTCTTTCTCTTTCAGAGGCAGGTGCCTGCCAAAAAGCTTGCATAACAAATGCAATATAACCCAAGTCATTGGTATTTGCTCCGTTTTCTTACAAGAAAAATATTTACAATCCCTAAATAGTGGAAGGAAGGATACACAGAAAAACAATAACAAAATTATTGGAGTTTTGCTCAAAATGACAAAATAATAAATCAGAATTACAACAAGCCACTGACCTTTAAATATTCTTGAAAACAGATTGCAGGAAACACCCTGACTTAGGAGAGGACAAGAAGGACCATCAAATGGCTCCTTTTCACTGGTGACTTTCTCTTTCCTCATCGGCCTGTCTGCCACAGTAGCTGCCAGTATAATGGAACAATAAGATTTGGATAAGGACAAGCACCGCTCTACCCATACCCTCTCTTTGCTAATGAGTAGGTATTGTTGGCTAACAACAAAAGGGCATCATAGTTATGCCTTTGTGTTCTTGTGATTTGCTATAAACCAATTTATAATTGCACACACACTCTAACATACACAGATAAACTTACTAATGTTTCATAATCTATTTCAAAGGTTGGATTTCACACTTCTCAACTGAGACTTCTGTGGTCCTTGTGAAGTCCTGAGAAGAGAGTGCACTTTAATACAAATATGTTCCACATCACATGTTTTAAATAATATTTTAATCCTCACAATGCCTCTCTGAGGTAAATGGATAATGATATCCTCATTGAAAATGATAAAATTAAGAATCAGATTGTCATGTACACTGTGTTATACAATCATCCATTATTCAAGTAATGATTCAAAATCCAATAGATCTGACTTCAAAACCTATAATCTTTCCAGAATAGCATGGTAACTTCAAGTACTATAAAACAATATCTGAACTGAAGGTCCATTAAATGGTTGCAGTCATTGTCCTGATGTTCTATTTGAATAGAATAAAAGGACTACATCTATTTGGGTATGAGACCCTTTATGTTTTCATACACATTATTCCATACAATTTCCCTGTCTGCTTAGTCACAAATGATGGGCCTAAGGAAATAAATGTGTTTACTGCCACTATCATCTCAGAATCAAGAGAATCACTTTATGAGAATGGAGTGGAAAGTCCTGTTCATGGACCTATATTTCCTCAATATTTTCCCACTCGGCCAGCTTCCCCAAACACCTGTTGCCTATTCTTTGAACAATTCACTAAATATCAGTAATAACAATATCACTGTGCATTATTACTGCTATATTAAGGATAAAACAACCAGACACTTGATACGGTTAAGTAACTTATTCATGGTTACGCAAGAGGCAGAGCCAAATATTAAATTTTAGTCTTCCAACTCAGATCTGTGCTTTGCCATGACATATCTTTGTTTTACTATTGATCTTCATGTAGGTGTATACACGTGCACACAGGCACACCTGCTTTGTCTCCTTAATTAGACTGTAAGCTATTAAAATGTAGGGATTGTTTTTTATATTTATTTATATGTTATATTATACCTTGTTAAGTTGTACCTTATACACGATAATCAAGAAATGGGAATATATCTTTACTGGTAGTACAGAAATGATTTAATAGAAATGTCAAATAAAAACTGATTTCTACTAATAAATGGAAAAATGACAGAAGCTACTCAAAATAATACAAATATTTTCAACATACTCTGGTATTTAACATAGTAATCAATACAAAACACCACCAAAAATATTTATTTTTGAGAAATTGGTATGATAACATCAAAAATAAACTTACATAGAACTCTAACCATTTAATCTTAAGCTATAGCTCAATATAACTAAAGCATGTTATATGTGAAAGAAGTATGTAGCCAAATAAACTGATGACAGGGCCTTGGTTTGTGCAATACCTACATCAGATATCAAAAGAATATGTGCAAAATGACCTGTTTTATTTTTCTATCCTATGTAGTTGCTCCTTATTACTACAAGGCAGAAGAACTTTTCATGATCTATCAATAATTTATTCTAATACATTTATATCATCATTTATTTTTTGAAATTTTATGCAAATCTATGTGTAATACTATAAAATTAATCCAAAGTAGGAAATAAGGAAATTGTTTAAGTAGATTCCTGGGGAGGCAGGCTGAATGAGAAAATATGGAGATAATGTAAGTCCATGAAGAGGACACATTGAGTGATTCTCTATATTCCGTGATGATAGAGGCAGAAAACACATTTCCTTATGTACGTCATTCATGAATGAACAGAATGAAATAAAATACTAGTAATTTAATTCTATAGAAAATTTTTGCTCTTTAGGCAGGCTCAACATTACCATTTTTTTCTTAATCCTAACTTAAACATAAACCCAACTTTCACTGAGTAGGGAGCACAATACCAATTGCAATTCCTAAGACAGCTGCCATCATATATTAATTTTCACTTTTACTTTAGGTTCAGGGATATATGTGCAGGGGTGTTATACAGGTAAATGGCATGTTGCAGGGGTTTGGTGTGTAGATTATTTCATCATCCAGGTAATCAGCTTAGTACCCCATAGGTAGTTTTTTACCTTACCCTCTTCCCACCTTCCACTCCAAATTAGGTCTCAGTATCTGTTGTTGCCTTCTTTGTGTCCATATGTACTCAATGTTTAGCTCCCACTTATTAGTGAAAACATGCAGTATTTGGTCTTCTTCTCCTGTGTTTATTTGCTTAAGATAAGGCCTCCAGCTCCATCCACGTTGCTGCAAAGGACATAATCTCATTATTTTCTTCCGCTGCATAGTATTCCATGGTGTATAAGTACCGCATTGTTTTTATCCAATCCACTGTTGATGGGCACCTAGGTTGATTCCATGTGCTTTCTATTGTGAATAGTGCTGCAAAGAACATTTATGTGCATGTGCCTTTATAATAAAATGATTTCTGTTCCTTTGGGTATATACCCAGTAATGAGATTGCTGGGTCGAATGGTATTTCTGTCTTGAGGTCTTTGAGGAATAACCACACTGCTTTCCACAATGGGTGGACTAATTTACATTTCCACTAACAGTGTATAAGTGTTACCTTTTCTCCTGAACCTCACCAGCACCTGTTATTTATTGGCTTTTTAATAATACCCATTATGGCTGGTGTGAGATGATATCTCATTGTGGTTTTGATTTGCATTTCTGTAATGATCACTGATGTTGAGTTTTATTTCATATGCTTGTTGGATGCATGAATATCTTCTTTTGGAAAGTATCTGTTCATGTCCTTTGCCCACTTTTTAATGGGGTTGCTTGTTTTTTGCTTGCAAATTGACTTAACACAAAGTTTGCAAATGTTTTTCACATACTGTAGTTGTCTGTTTACTCTGCTGATAGTTTTTTATTCTCTGCAGAAGGTCTTTAGTTTAATTAGGTTCCATTTGTCAATTTTTGTTTTTGTTTCAATTGCCTTTGGCATCTTCATTGTGAAATATTTGGTTATTTCCAGGATATTTTAGTTTTAGGTTTTGCGTATAAGTCTTTAATCCATCTTGAGTTGATTTGTATATATAGTGTAAGGAATAGGTATAGTTTTGATCTTCTGCATATGGTTAGCCAGTTATCCCAGCATCATTTATTGAATAGGGTGTCCTTTCCGCACTGCTTGTTTTGGGTGACTTTATGGAAGATCGGCTGTGTATAGGTTAGGTGTGCAGAATTATTTCTGGGTTCTCTATTCTCTATTCTTGAGCACCTGGCTTTGTTATTTGACCTCTCAAGGTTATGAACCTTCTGCATCAAAGGGACCAAAGTGTTTTCGGACTGCTGGTCACAGCACTCTGATGGGTGGCACCTGCTAAAGCACTTTTTCAGGCTATGGTGGTGGTATCCATGCTCATTCACATGTGCCAGCAGCAGTGGCAGCACAGTGAGGTGCACATTTATTGAATGAGTTGGGGTGCTGGTGGGCACAGGGGTACCAGTCTCCTTGCAGATGTTTGCAGTGGTAGTGGTGGTGGCGGCGTGGTACAGGTTGTCCTATTACAGACACCAGCTTTCAGTTATTCAAGGAAATCAGCATGGGAGATGAGAATATTAATTTATTATCGTCAGTCATTAGATTTGTCAGACACAATTTTAGTATCAATGTTCTGCACTCTTGATCCCATGATTATTAAAAAGCCACTGAAATCCCAGCATTTTCCCTCTCTTTGCATCCACGTCCCTGTGCTCTATGCCTCTGTCAGTCAAAATTAAAGCATTACTAAGTCACATAAATGTGACAGTCTCTTTAACCTCTAGTCCTTTGTACACACTGTTTCTGTGAAGAAATTCTTTCTGCCCAAATTTGTTCAAATTAACAAATTGACTTATTTTTGATACTTAGTTCTGTGAATTTTAGCACATGTATAGATACATGTAAAAATTACCACAATCAGGAGAGAAAACAGTTCCATCGCTCCCAATACTTCTTGGCACCATCACTTTAGAGTTACACCTTCCCCACCCCTCTAACACCTAGAAAAACCACCGATGTAGTCTCTGTCACGTCGTCTTGCCTTTCCAAGAACCTTACAGAAATGGAATCAGACAATATCATATATTTTGAGATTGGCTTCTTCCACTTGGCATAATGGTTTGATATTAATGCCAACTAGCCAACTATTGTGGAATCAGTAGTTTAATTTCTTTTATTACCGAGTAGTATTTGATTGTATTAATATACCACAGTTTATTTATTGTTATCCATTGAAGGGCATTTGGATTGTTCCCACTTTGGTATATTGTGAATAAAACTGCTATGAACTTTCATATTCAAGAGTTTGTGTGAACATAAATGTGGCAGGCTGAATAACAGTCCCCGAAGGTATCTATGTTTTAATCCCCAGAACCACTAAATATGTTACCTTATATGGCAAAACATACTTTGCAGATGTGATTAAGTTCAAGACCTCGAGATGGGAAGATTATCCTGAATTATCCTGGTAGGCCCTAGGTCTAATCACAAGCATCCTTATAAGAGGGAAGCAGAGTAAAAATTGCCCCAGAAAGAAGAGGAGTAGGTAGTGTGACCATGGAGGCGGATAGTGGAGTGATGTTGCTAAAAACCAAGTAATGCCAGCAACCACCAAAAGCCGGAAGAATCGAAGAACAGATTCTCCAATGGAACTTCTGGTGGAAGTGAAGCTCTACCAACACTTTGATTTCAACCCAGTGAAATTGATTTTACATTCCTATTATCCTCTGCAGAACTGTGAGAGAATATATTTCTGTTGTTTTAAGCCACTGAGTTTGTGATAATTTGTTATAGCGGCCAAAAGAAACCAATTTAATAGGACTTCATTATTCCAGGTTAAATTGCACTCCTGGGAGTACAATTGCCAGGATGTACAGTAAGTACGTGTTCAACTTTAAAAGAAACTGCAAAACTCTTTTCCGAATAACTGTAAAATTTTGCATTTCCATCAACAATGTATGAGAGGTCCAGTTCCTCAGCTTACTTTTAAGTGCTTGATGTTATAGGTATTTTTTATTGTATCCATTTTAATTAGCGTGTAATGCTATTTAAATGTGGTTTTAATTTGCATTTCACTAATGGCAAACAATTTTAAACATTTCTTCATGTGTCTGTTTGCCATTCACATATCCCCTTTGGTGAAGTGTAAATTCTACTCTTTTGCCCATTTTCTAATTAGATTGCCTATTTTTTAACCGCTGAGTTTTGAGAGTTCTTTATGTACTCTAGATACCAGTCCTTTTTTGGGTATACAGTATGCCTGTCTTTACATTCTCTTAACAGGGTTTTTCACAGATTGAAGCTTTTTAAATTTTGATGAGGGACATATTAACACTTTTCTTTTATGGATCTTGTTTTCAATGTCATTTCTAAGCTTTTCATGAAACCCTCAGATACTAACAAAAATCTTACATTTTTCTTTTAAAGATTTTATCATTTGTCATTTTACATTTAGATCCATGATTCATCTATTTTAGGTTCATTTTTGAGTAAGATGTGAGATTTAAGTCAATGTTCGTTGTATGTCTATGATTGTCCAATTGTTGCAATATATTTGTTGAAAAGAGTATCCTATCTCCTTCAAATTGCCTTTGCAAGTTTGTCAGCTGTCAGTCAGTAGTACTTCGTAGGTGTATTGATGAACTCTGTTTTCTATTCCATTGACCTACATGCCTATCCCTCTACCAATTCCACAGTCTTAATACTGATAACGGTAGCTATATAGAAAGTTTTAAAATTAGGTAGTGTGGTTCCTCCAACATTATTTTCCATATTTAAAATTGTTTTAGTTTATCTAGTTTATCTGCCTTTTCTTATACATTTTAAAATAAGCTTGTATTATATATATAAACGATTAATCCTGTTGTGTTTTTGTAGAAATTGCATTAATCATACAGATAAAGTTTGAAAAAGATTGACTGTTTTTATTATGTTGAGTCTTCCAATCCAAAGCCACATGATTTATTTCAATTTTCCTCGATATGTCCCAGCTGCATTTGGTGGTTTTCAGCATAAAGATCCTGTTTATGCCTTAGTAACAAAACCAGACAAAAATATTACAAGAAAGGTCAACTATAACATCTCCCATAAACATAGTTGCAGAAATCTTCAACAAAATACTACCAAATGAAACTCAACAATGTATAAAAAGAACTATATTACAACTGAGATTTATTTCAGCTATGCAAGGCTGGTTTAAGTTTCAAAAATCAATTAATGCAATCCGTCACATCAAGGGTGTGATACAAATTTGGACAGCTTTTCTGGAAAAATTCATGGACATTCCTCAAAAAAGTAAGAATAGAAGTACCATATAATCTCAAGGGTGGGGAGGATTACAAAGAACCTTCTTAAGGGTGGGGGAGATTATGAAGTACATTGATCAGTTAGGGTGGGGCAGAAACAAATCACGATGGTGGAATGTCATCAGTTAAGGCTATTTTCACTTCTGTGGATCTTCAGTTGTTCCAGGCCATCTGTATGTATATGTGCAGATCACGGGGGATATGATGGCTTAGCTTGGGCTCGGAGGCCTGACATTCCTGTCTTCTTATATTAATAAGAAAAATAAAGCAAAATAGTGGTGAAGTGTTGGGGCAGCGAAAATTTTGGGGGGTGGTATGGAGAGATAATGGGCGATGTTTCTCAGGGCTGCTTTGAGTGGGGTTAGGGGCAGCGTGGGAACCTACAGTGGAAGAAATTCAACTGAAGAAAGATTTTGGGGTAAGGGGTGATATTGTCGGGTTGTTAGAAGGAGCATTTGTCATATAGAATTATTGGTGATGGCCTGGATGTGGTTTTGTGTGAATTGAGAAACTAAACGAAAGACACAAGGTCCAAATAGAAGGAGAAAAATAGGTATTAAAGGACTAAGAATTGGGAGTACCCAGGACATCCAATTACAGAGTGTCCAAGGGGGTTCAGTGTAATTATTTGCTTGGTTGGCGAGTTTTTGGGCTGTATCCTTGAGTTTTTTTATGTTGTCATATACCAGGCCAGATTGATTTAGGTAAGAACAACACTCTTCATTTAAAAATATACAGAGTCCCCCACCAGCTTTTTTTTTTTTTAGCAGTGAGTAAGTCAGGGCCTCTGCGATTTTGGAGGAAGAAGAAATGCAAAGTCAGCAACTGCTTGTTAAAGCAGGATTAGAAACGGCTAGGAGAGAGTGAGATTGATAGTGTGGTGGAGATAGTTGGGGAGAGGTAGAGGGTGGCATAAGATGGTGAAGCATTTTAAAAAATCTTTTGCCTATGTTTTGATTGGATTGTTTATTTGCAATTGAGGTGTAAGAGGTTTTTGTACATTCTAGATACAAATACCTTATCAGATACATGTTTATACATATTTTCCTTTCTTTCTATTTCTTGTCTTTTTTAATTAAATTTTTTATTTTGAGATAATTGTAGATTTACATGCAATTGTAAGAAATAATGCAGGGAGGTCCCATATACTCCAGTTTTCAAAATGGTAATATCTTGACGAATCGTAATACAATATCACAACCGGGATATTCACATTGATATAGTCATGTAAGAAAACACTTTCATCACCACAAAAATCCTTCATATAGTCCTTTTATAGCCACACCCATTTTTGTCCTGCCCCATCCCTCCTTAAGCCTTGGCAAACAGTAACTTGTTAAGCTGTTGAATATTCCATATTTTCTTTCTCTAGTGGCACGTCCTAGTATTAAAAACAAAAAAGCAAACAAAAAAATTTTTGAATTAAAATTATTTCCAAGAAATCTGGAGCAAGAGAGTTCCCCTTTCAATATTACTATTGTGGCAAAAGTTTCTGAAGCCCCCATCCAAATTTATTTTAAAATATGTTTATGAACTTAGGGTTTTTTTGTTTTGATTTTTTGTTGTTTTTCACAAACCAGATGCCACCATATGGCTTCAATGTGTTCTACTTCGGTGTTAGAAACAAAGTGAAATGGCTGCCAGATTTCCCTGGAGTCCTCATATTATAAAGGAAATGACTTGTGAAGCCAGGAGACTCAGTATTATGATAAGCCCTCCAAAATGGTTTAGATCTGAAGTTCAGCATACCCAACAAAAACAAAAAAGAACATTAGATGGTGCCTGCACAACAAGGTAGCCATCCCACCCAAATGCCTCAAAGGGATGCAAGCTGATGGTGTTAAAAGCTATTTTTCTTCAGTGGTTTGATTCAGTCTGAGTTCAATTTTAGAATCTCTTTTTCCTGAGTTGCTACAGGTATACCCTTCCATTAGTCAAAAAAGTTTCATTTGTAAATCTGACACCATGTATTTATATGAGATTGAATGCTAAACTTGGTTGAATTACGTCACTATAATTATCAAGTATAAAGATTCAGGCAATTGCAGCCTTAAATTCATTTACCTTGGCCTATTACCTATGCTCTTTTTCTTATATGCTCTTAACATCATCTTTTAAGAAAACGAAAGTGGCTATATTTATCACTCAGGATATGCTAGGTTATGCTGTAGGAATAGACAATCTTAAAATCTCAGTGGCTTAATAAAGCAAAGGTTCATATCTCATTCATGGAATGTCTGCTGCTAAATATGATACTGAAAAAAAGGTAAGCAAGCATATACCAGATTTCAAGATAATGCAAAATTTGATGGTATAATAAGGTGCACAAGTCATATACATAGGGTAAAACGTTTGAAAATATAATTTAGGATAATGGCTCCGTTTAACATGGATGGTGAGTACCTAGGGATTTACTACCTTTTATTCTTTATATGTTACATATACTTTTGTGCATGTATGAACTATTTCATAAAAAATGGTTGTTCAAAATGGCACATTTTCAGTGATAAATTTGAATTTTTCAAACATTGTAGAAGTCCTATTTGAGAGTATTAAGTAATGACAGCTACAGCTAGTTTATAGGGCTTAATCAAAATAATAGTCTAACCCTGGCTATCCTGATTATACGTTTTCATAAATTCTATAGACAAAATTTACACTTTTGAATGACACAGAACAGGAAATATATGACTGTAATCAACAGCATGGACTGGAGACAAAATGTCCTGGATTTGATTCAGGTTACATCAACTATAGACATCAATAATATAAATAAAACTGTAAAGATGCTTTAAGACTGAGAGGTGTGAGTTCTTGGTCCATTCTAAATTTGAACTGAAATATTATTCTATGATCATCGTTGGAAGAAATAATATAGTTCCTTTGAGATGTGGTTCTATGTGGAACTGTTTAACCAATGCTAATTACATAGGATTCCAGAGTCTGGAATCAACTCTGGCTTTTGTTTTTAATTCCCACGATAGTCTAGAATTGATGCTAAGTCATTATATGCATCCAAGGAGATTTAGTTTTATAGAGGAAGTTTAAAATCTCAGCTTAACGGTTGTTTGTTTATAGGAATGCTAGTGACTTTTGTACATTGATTTTGTATTCTAAGGCATCACTGAAGTTGTTTATTAGATCAAGGAGCTTTTGGGCCAAGACCATGGGGTTTACTAGACACAAAATCATGTCTTCTGCGAACAGATAGTTTCAATTCCTCTCTTCCTATTTGGATGCCCTTTATTTCTTTTTCTTGACTGATTGTTCTGGCGAGGACTTCCAATATTACATTGAATAGGAGTGGTAAGAGAGGGCATCCTTGTTTGTCTTGTTCCGGTTCTCAAGGGGAACGCTTCCAGCTTTTGCCATTCAGTATGATGTTGGCTGTGGATTTGCCATAGATGGCTCTTACTACTTTTGGGTATGTTCCTTCAACATTTCCTTTATTGAGAGTTTTTAACATGAAGAGATGTTGAATTTTATCAAAAGCCTTTTCTGCATCTATTGAGATGATTATTTGGTTTTTGCTTTTAGTTCTGTTTATGTGATGAATCACATCTATTGATTTGCATATGTTGAACTAACCTTGCATCCTAGATATAAAGCTGGTTTGATTGTGATGGGTTAGCTTTTTGATGTGCTGCTGGATATGGTTTGCCAGTGTTTTGCTGAGGATTTGTGCATTTATATCCATCAAGGATATGGCCTGAATTTTAGTTTTTTTATTGTGTCTCTGCCAGGTTTTCGTATCAGAATGATGCTGACCTCACAGAATGAGTTAGGGAGGAGTCTCTCCTCCATTTTTGTTGGAATAGTTTCAGTAGAAATGACATCAGGTCTTCTTTGTATATCTAGTAGAATCTGGCTGTGTATCTCTCTTGTCCTGGGCTTTTTTTCACTTGGTAGGCTATTTATTACTGACTCAATTTTCAAGCTTGTTTTTGGTCAGTTCAGGGATTCAATTTCTTCCTGACTCAGTCTTTGGAGGGTGTATTTGTCCAGGAATTTATCTAGTTCTTTTAGATTTTTTAGTTTCTGTGCATGGAGGTTTTCATAATATTCTATAGTGGTTATTTGTATTTTTATGGGGTCAGTGTTAGTATTCCCTTTGTTATTTGTAATTTTATTTATTTGGATCTTCTTTGTTTTCTTCTTTATTATTCTAGCTAGCAGTCCATTTTATTAATTTTTTCAAAAAACCAACTGCTAAATTTGTTGATCTTTTGAATTTTTCTTCATGTCTCAATCTCCTTCAGTTCAGCTCTGATTTTGCTTATTTCTTGTCGTCTTCTGCTAGGTTTGGGGTTGGTTTTCTATTGCTTCTCTTTTCCCTCTAGTTGTGATGTTAGGTTTTTAATTTGAGGTATTTCTAACTTTTTGATTTTGGCAAATAGTGCTATAATTTTTCCTCTTAACACTGTATTAGCTGTGTCCTAGGGATTCTGAAATATTGTATCTTTGTCCTCTTTAGTTTCAAAGAACTTTTTGATTTCTCCCTTAATTTCATTACTTACCCAGAAGTCATTCAGGAGCAGGTTATTCAATTTCCCGGGAATTGTATAATTTTGAGTGAATTTCTTAGTATTGATTTCTTATTTGATTGCACTGTGGTCTGAGAGAGTGGTTGTTATGTTTTCAGTTCTTTTGCATTTGCTGAGGACTGTTTTATATCTGAATATGTGGTCAATTTTAGAGTATGTGCCCTGTGCAGATGAGAAGAATGTATATTCTGTTGTTTTGGGGTGGAGAGTTCTGTAGATGTCTGTCAACTCCATTTGAGCCCGTGTTGAGTTCAGGTCCTGAATGTCTTTGTTAATTTTTTGCCTTGATGATCTGTCTAATATTGTCAGTAGAGTGTTTAAGTCTCCACTGTTTTATTGGATGGGAGTCTAAGTCTCTTTGAAGGTCTCTAAGAGCTTGTTTTATGAATCTGTGTGCTCCTCTTTTGGGTGCCTATATATTTAGGATAGTTAGGTCTTGTTGAATTGAAGCCTTTGTTATTATGTAATGCCTTTCTTTCTTTTTTTGATCTTTGATGGTTAAATGTCTATTTTGTCTGAAATTAGGTTTCCAACCTCTGCTTTTTTTTTTCCATTTGCTTGGCATATTTTTGTCCATCCCTTTATTTTGAGCATATGGGTGTCATTGCATGTGAGATGGGTCTCTTGAAGACAGCATACCAATGGGGTTTGGTTTTTTTTGTTTGTTTTTTTGATTTTTTTTAACCTATATTGCCACTCTGTGCCTTTTATTTGGAACATTTAGCTTGTTTACATTCAAGGTTAGTATTGATATGTGTGGATTTGATCCTGTCAGCACGATGTTAGCTGATTATTTTGAAGACTTGTTTGTGTGGTTGCTTTATGGTATCACTCTCTGTACTTAAGTGTGTTTTTGGAATGGCTGGTAACGGTCCTTCCTTTCCATATTTAGTGCTCCCTTCAGGAGCTCTAGTGACAGATCTAGTGGGAACAAATTCACTCAGCATTTGCTGGTCCAAAAAAGGATCTTATTTCTTCTTTGCTTATGATGCCTAGTTTGGCCAGATACAAAATTCTGAATTGGAGTTTCTTTTCTTTTAGAATGTTGAATATTGGCCCCAACCTTTTCTGATTTGTAGGCTTTCTGCTGCGAGGTCCACTGTTAGTTTCATGGGTTTCCCTTTGCTGGTGACCTGGCCTTTCTCTCTAGCTGCCTTTAACGTGTTTTGTTTCATTTTGACCTTGGAGAATCTGCGCAAGAACCCTGACAGTCTTCCTGGTCCCTGAGTGGCAGCTGTACCACTTGGCTGTGTCCAGGCAGCTACCTTTGAATCCCCAACTGAGTGTTCTTATTTTGTCGACAAGACTTGTATAGGTCTCAGGCCTATAGACTAATGCAGAGATTCTTGACTCCTTTATGATAATGGTTAAAAAAATAGACAATGATTATGTGCCTTGGGATAGTCTTCTTGTGAATATTTTTGTAGGGCTTCTCTGTATTTCCTGAATTTGAATGTTAACCCCTCTAGCTAGAATGGGAAAATTCTCCTGGATGATATCCCAAAATATGTTTTCTAAATTGCTTTTATTCTCCCCATCTCTTTCAGGGACAGTAATGAGTCATAGATTTTGACTCGTTAAATAATTCCATATTTCTCAGAGGTTTCATTCTTTCTTTTTCATTCTTTTTCCCTATTCTTCTTTCACAGTCTTTTTTCAGAAACCCAGTATTTGAGCTCTGGGATTCTTTTTTCACTTGGTCTATTCTGCTATTAATACTTGCAATTGCATTATAAAATTCTTGTAGTCTGTTTTTCAGCTCTATCAGGTCAGTTACATTCTTTTCTATACTGGTTATTTTGTCTGTCAGTTCCTATATCATTTGTTGGGATTCGTGGCATCCTTGGATTGGGTTTCAATGTACTCCTGCATCTCAATGATCTTTGTTCCTATCCACATTCTTAATTCTATTTCTGTCATTTCAACCATCTCAGTCCAGTTCAGAACACTTACCGAAAAGGTAGCACAGTCGTTTGGAGGAAAGAAGGCACTCTGGGTTTTTGAGTTGTCAGAGGTCTGACACTGCTTGTTTCTCATCTTTGTTGGCTGGTGTTCCTTCAGTCTTTGAAGTTACTGTCCTTTGGGAGGGCTTTTTTTTTGTTTGTTTTATCTTGTTTGATGACCTTGAGGGTTTGATGGTGGTATAAAGTGGTTTATTAGTCAGGGTTCTCTAGAGGGACAGAACTAATGGTATATATATATATATATATGTATGTATGTGTGTGTGTATATATATATGTGTATATATATATATGTATATATATATGTGTATATATATATATGTATATATATATGTGTATATATATATGTATATATATATGTGTATATATATATGTATATATATGTGTGTATATATATGTATATATATATGTGTATATATATATGTATATATATATATGTATATATATATATGTATATATATATATATGTATATATATATATATATATATATGTATATAAAGGGGAGTTTATTAAATATTAACTCACACAATCAAGGTCCCATAATAGGCCATTTGCAGACTGAGGAGCAAGGAGAGCCAGTCTGAGTTCCAAAACTGAAGAACTTGGAGTCTGATGTTCGAGGGCAAGAAGCATCCACACCAGAGAAAGATGTAGGCTGGGAAGCTAAGCCAGTCTCTCTTTTCACATTTTTCTGCCTGCTTATATTCTAGCCACACTGACAGTTGATTAGATTGTGCCCTCCCAGATTAAGGGTGGATCTACCTTTCCCAGCCCATTAACTCAAATGTTAATCTCCTTTGGCAACACCCTCACAGATGCATCCAGGATCAATATTTTGTATCCTTCAATCCAATCAAATTGACACTCAGTTTTAACTATCACAGGTGGGTTCAGTTAACTATCTTCATTTTTGGAAAATTTTAGGGGCCAAGGCTCAGTTCTCAACTTTTGTACTGCGTGCTCCAACTCTGAGGGACTTGTATCAGACCCCAGTGTTATTCTCTGGCTTCTTGAGGTTATCAACCCACTGCACTAGGGGACCAAAATGCTTTTGGACCAGTGGTCACTACACTCTGATGGTTGGTGCCAGCCAAAGCGTTTCTTAGGGCAATGGTAGCGGGATCTTTTCTCATTTGCACATCCGAGCAGCAGTGGCAGTGACAGTATGAAGGGGTGCATGTAAGCAACAACATGGACGGGTGCATGCTAACTGGCTGCAGCAGGGTGTTAGTGGGTGCCAGGGTGCCTATCTTCTTGTGGGCATTCACAGCAGTGGCAGAGGCCGCACAGCTGGTATAGGGGGAGTAGGAGGGGGGCCTGTTGGTGGTTGTGCATGCTGTCACACTTGTGGTGTTAGCACAGGGGCAGAGCATTGGTGGGCACAGGTCTGTGTGCACCCTCTGGCTGCTCAGGGTTGTGGAGGGCTTGCTGTTCTGCATGCCTACTTTCACTCCAGCAGCAGTGTTGGCACAGGGGCAGGGCGCTGATGGGGGCAGGGCTAGCAGCATCTGTGCCTGTCAAAACTCTGAATGAAATGGTGATAAGGCAGGGGAGTGGGGGCAGAGTGCACTCCCACCAGCAGCAGAAGCAGGGCAGGTTGTGCATACAAACGTTCACTGGCAGGGCAGGTAAGGCAAAATCCACTCACAGACACACGTGCTGACAGATATGAAGGGCAGCCATAGGCCTGGGGAAGCTACAGTGGTGGGAGGGAGTAGGCAGGATGGTGCCTGGCCATGGGGGCTGCCCCACCGAAGCTTCCATCCATCAGACACAGTCCACTAGTGCAGGAGCTATGATGCGGTGCCTTGGGGCACCCAACGCTGCATTGCAAGCAAGTACAACCAGGATGGGGTCCTGAGAGAGGCCAGCAGACCAAGGAGTGCTCAGGTTGGACCAGCCCCATTTGATGGGCAAGACTGCCCTGCAGAGTTCAGGTCTGACAGCTCCCCTAAGGCTAAAGTCTCCTATGGGAGCAAGTCAAGGCTGAAAGGATGGGCATCCGTGGCTGTGCTCCACTACAGACACTCCCAAACCAAACCCTCTGGGCTCCGCATAGGCTGGTGTACTCACCTTAGCACTTCTGGAAGAAGCTCTCCCTGCCAACTCAAGTGTCCATGGTGGTCTAGGGATTTCCTCCTGCCAGGATTCCAGAGGCCCAGGTTGCTCCTTGCCAGTTCAACTCACTCATTTGTACCATTCGGGACCGGGAATGAGTCCCAGGGTACAGTAGCCCCGTGCAGAGTTCCCAGCTTCCTCTCTCTTTTCAGCCCATCTTCTGTGCCTTCCCTCCATCCACTTCAGTGCCTTCCTTCTGAAGATCTGTTAGGAGTGCATCAGTCATCTTGATCCCTCAGTGGCAGCTATACCATATGGCTGCATGTAGTCAACTATCTTCGAATCTTCAACTGAATCTTCTTATTTTGTTGATAAAACTTGTATAGGTCTCAGGCCTATGAATTGATGCAGATTTTCTTGACTCCTATATAATAATGGTAATAAATTAGACAATTAAAATTTTTTCCTCCCCTTTTAATTATAGTGTTCTATTCAGTTATCACTGTGTTTTCTAACACTGTAATCCAGTAGTATGCTTAAACTAAAATTCTTTGTTATGTTTATATGTCCATTCAAAAATACTTTATGATCACCTGTTGGGTGGCTGGCACAAATACTTATAGGATATATGAGTAAACAAAACAGATACAATTCCTGCTTTCATAAGGTTCAATTTTCTTAGATCCCTACATGCTAACCCTCCTGAACAATATAAGAAGGGCAGAATTATAAAGCCCTTTTCTATGATTTGAATGTATGTGTCTAAGTAACTTATGTGGCCATAACAGAATACCTGATACTTGGTAGTTTATAAAGAACATAAATGCATTTCTTACAGTTCTGGAGGCTGTTAAGTCCAAGATCAAGGCACAATTATCTAGTGTCCAGTAAGTGTTCAGTCCCTGCTTCCAAGACAACACCTTGATAGTGTGTCCTCAGGAGGGGAAAAACAGTGTGTCCTCACAGAGCAGAAGGCAGAAAGGCAAAAAAAGACAAACTCCCCTCAATCAAGCCCTTTTGTCACAGTATTAATCCATTCATCGGAGCAGAGTTATCAAGACCTAAATACGTCCCAAAAGGCCCCACCTACCAAAACTGTTGCACTGGGGATTTAATTTCCAACGTATAAATTTGGATGGATACATTTAGACCATAGCAGTGTCCTTCCAAAATTTATATGTTGGAACTTTATACCCACTGTGATAATATTAAGAGGTGGAGCCGTTGGGAAAGTGATTAAGTCATGAGTGTTCATGAATAGGATAAGTGATCTTATAAAATATGTTGAAAGGGGCACCCTAGTCCTTTTTTTCCCTTTTGTCCCATCCACCATGTGAGGACACAGTGTTTATTCCCTCCAGAGGATTCAGCAACAAAGCACCATCGTGGAAACAGAGAGTGAGCCCTTACCAGACAATGAATCTGCTAGTGCTTTGATCTTAGATTTCTCAATCTCTATAACTGTGAGGTATAAGTTTCTATTATTTATAAATTGCTTGGACTAAGGTATTTTGTTATAGCAGCAGGAATGGACTAAGACATTTTTCAATAAAATTATTACAATGAGAAAAAACATGGAAACTATTGATGATAAATTAACCTAAAGCAGCAGAATGGAAAATAACTTCTGTACTTAATAATGTAATGCATATAATAATAATATCTACCATTAGAGGAGCACACATAAATAAATAACAGCTATAATTTATTGAGGTCTCTAATAGCACCATGTACTTTATCT
Source organism: Homo sapiens (assembly GCF_000001405.40). NCBI lineage: Eukaryota > Metazoa > Chordata > Mammalia > Primates > Hominidae > Homo > Homo sapiens. The sequence continues at coordinate 141,405,415 of NC_000023.11, forward strand.
GATTGAATTCCTATCTCAAACATGTAATGTAATTACAATTATTACTGAAGCTCACTGGTTAAGGCAAGGATGGGAAGAGAAGAAGAGCGGAACTCTCTCAAAGGCACAGAGATAGTAAATGGCAAAGCCAGGACTCCAAACCTATTGCTTATCTTACCTCACTAAAACAATGTCAGTCAAATACAAGGATGAATAATACATCAAAAGCATTTTCCACTCTCCAGGAGCTCATGAGTCACCCAAAGTTGTAGACAACTAAAAACAATAACATTTACTATGCACTTACTATCACCTCAGTGCTGTGCTAAACCATTTAAAAATACTTTATTTCACTTAATCTTTACAATGAGACTATAAAATAAGTACTGTTAGTATCTCTGTTTTAAAGATAAGGGAACCAAGGGAAACTTGCCTAAGGTCACACAGCTAATAAGGAAGCTGGGACAAGGATTGAGACATACAAAAAACAACATTTTTTTGTACATTAAGGTAAACAGATTATTGGTGAGATTCCTTTGGAAAACTGCCTGTAATAACTTGCTTTCATCCTTTTTCCAGCAGAAAACACAGCACTGAAGCAGATTATATTTTCATGAGTCATTTTCTACTTATGCTACTGAGAGATTTATTTGTTCCATAAACATTAGCTACCATCCTCAATCCAGTGGTATGCAATATTGTGTAAGTGCAGCTCTCCCACACCTGCAGAGGAGTGACCTCAGGGAGCAAACAGAGGTTGCCTCAGCAGTCTCTCTTTCTCTCTCTCTCTCTATTTCATAGACCTATGATCCTGTTCTCAGCAACACTTAAAGTAGCTCTTCTCCTGTGCTTTAATGAAAGCTTGCTCTGACACTGCTATTGATAAGGGGTATTTGATGTCACTTTGGAACGAGTGGACATGTGTATAAGTATATATTTACAGGAAATTAATCCATCCTCTGGTCATGGAAGTTGGAAGAACATAAAAGCATGTAAGCAGCCTGAGATGGTTGACTCACAAGGAAATGACTAAGAGTCACCAAAATGCTATGACTTGGACACCTAAACTATCTAGCATGAGGATATACGCTCTCTTAGAGACTATAAAACTCCACTATGTATTTTATGAGCAGGATTGTGGAAGCTTCTAAATATGGCTACATTAGAAATATTTCAGGGAATGTAAAAAGTTGCCTTTTAAATCATGATTATATAACAATTATTTAGAATGATTAAATTCTGATTTTCCTTGAAAAAATATAAAAGCTAAAATGTATACATCTATGATGAGCTGTTATGTGGAGCAAATAGAAAAGGATAAAATAGAGTAGTTCAAAAGGACTTAGAAATAAAGAAACTAAACCAGAAAGAGTAAAATGGAATTTACTGAGATAGTGGCACAGTTAAAACTGGATGCCCTTTTTACAATAATGTATGTAGAAATACATTCTACAATGCCCCTCCCCAAATTCCAAACCAGAATCATTAACTTGAAAGTCACTCTCAACAATAATTAAGACTCTATGGTTTAAACAATTAATTTGGGCAATGGTAGTTGAAATGGAAACATAATTCATCTGTTTGCTAAGTGTTATGCATTTCCCTGAAAACTGAATCAAATTCTAGCTATCTACATTATAAAATGTAGAATGGTAGAGCTTAGAGAGCGTCATCTGAAATTTTCAGGCTTTACATGAGGAAGCAGAGTTTCCACATAGGGGTTCACTGATTAGTCCTAGGGCACACGATAAGTAAGCACAACTGGAGCTAGTACCCAGAACTCCAAGTCCAGCACTCTTCTTTTTATTAGCTGTAATTTAGGTTTCTTTAGATTTTGTAAAATGGGATCAGAAAAGTATGTTCCTTGAAAACATTTTGAAGGAGGGAGGCTCAGTTTGGTCTTGGCTTCCCACAGCATTTTCATTTTGTTCGCAAGCTCAGAAGTGCTGCACTCCACACAGTCCAATCCTTCTGGGCAATGTTGCATATTCCAGACCTTTGTCATTCCACTCCTTAAGGTTGCCACAGATTTTAATGAAAAAAAAAAAAAACTTCAATAGTGGAATTTCAGGCCTTAGAAAAGAGCTTGGAAAAGAAGTGAATGTATATCCTCGAATCACAAATGGTTTCATGTACTAATCTTGTACTTCTGTGACATACCCATCTCTGACTACAATTTTTTTCACAATTTTATCTTAGTATTTTCCATAGACAGTAATGCAAGCCCTCAATACAGAGTCCCAGATTAGCTCGCCAATGAACATTTGCAGCAAGGCTATTTTGGACAACTTAATGACCCAATGGCTCAGTAATCAAATCAATTGCTCAGCACCTGACCTTTAACTAGATAAAAATCTATAACTCTGACAAATCACTCGTCTCACTGTCTTCTTTACAAAATAATAAGAAAAAAAGACCAGAGCATGAGCCACTATGAGATACCAGAACAAACTCCCTTATAATTTAATATAATATAGAATCACTTTTTCTCTCTCATAAATGGATCAGTACACCTACGGATTCAGTTCTGGTCAAGCAACTACAACTGCACAAAGAAGCCTAAGACTTCTGTCTTTTTATATAAAATATAGCTTACTGAAAAAGTGTCACAGAATATGGATTAATCACACTCTCTGCTCCAGTAATAGTGTATGCCTATATTACGACTTTACAGAACAATAATTTTCTTTATCCCAAAAATCTAAAGAGAGAAAAATGGCTCATGTCACTAAAACATATTGCCATGAAGTATTTTCTGTCACATAAGTGAGTGGAACTCTTTCTGGTTTTTACAAGGCTGCCATTTAATGGTATTTTTTTTAAAAATAATAATAATAAGTCATAGCCATGCAGGTATTCAATGTTCAGTGTATTTTTTTCTACTGTGCATGATAATGGCCTTTCCTTAAAGCTCTTTGATAGGATTGGTCAATATAAGCCCTGAAACCAATAGAAACAGCTCACAGACAACATTCTAATTAGCAAAGGGGCCTATGTGACCCTCAAAGTATCCCTGTTTCTCTTGGCACAGCCTAAAAATCAATATGCATTTTCCTACAGAGACACACAAATGCCATTTAAAAAAAAAACTCTTTTCTCTCTTTCTCTGAAAGTAACCTGAGCTGTGAGAATTGTTATTCTTACTCTGAAAACTATCACCATTGTTTGCTTAGAGGTTCTGTGATACAGTGAACATATATAGGCTTGGAATCACACAGATCTGAGTAGAAATACTAGGTCCTCTACTGGCTAGCTGCATAATTTGGAGGCAGGTCATTTTACCTCTGTAAGCTTCAGTTTTCTCTTCCCAACATAAAGTAGGTATGTGTAAATCAGCACAACCGATTTACTGAAGGGAGAACTCTGCTTCAGTTCCCATTCATGTTCTATATTTGGAGAGAGAAAATGAAATAATTCATCTTATATCAATTCTGAATGAGGCCCAAGTTTTTTATTTATTAATTAGCATTTGAGATGTCAACAGATGTGCTCTACATATGAGTGAAAAATAGCTCTCATAGTTTATCTTCTTGATGCTCTCCAACTGCCAGGCACAGCAGTCTCTAGAATATTGAACAAGTTAATGGAGGTGCCGCAGTGATGCACTGTTGTAGTTAGGAGCAGAACATTAGGCACGGAGTTCTTTAAGTATTTAGTTGTAGGCATATATCCTCAATCCTAATGAAAAAGAATAAAATTTCTCAGTATCTCATTGCAACAGTTAATAGAATTAAATACCCCAAACCAACACTGTAAAGTTGAGGGAACAATGCATCACATAAAAACAAGGGAATGTAATATTTTATTATCTGTTGCCCAACCAATATGCCTCTTTCCATTGTAATTAAACTTTTGGTTTGAATGAGTTTTTTTTCTTTTGTAATAATTTAGTACATTTGCATGTGCATAATAAGTATAAAATTACAATTATTATCATGTAATGCATTTAATGTTCAGTCAATCGTATTATCTTCTGGTCTAAAACCTTAATATCTATTGAATTGAGAGTCCTGAACACAGAGTCCCAGATTAGCTCACCAATGAACAGAAAAAAAAAAACAGAGAAAAGGGGAGAAAGAGGATAAAGAGAAAGAGAAAGCAAGTGAAAGAGAGCAAAAAGGAGAGAGCAAGAGAGCATGAGAGCAACAGTTGCTGTTCAGGACCATAACTGAAAGCTAACAGGATTTTTCATTACTATCCAGATGCGATCCAATTCCACCTATAATTTTATACTGAGAGAAAAAAGGATGCTTTATGTTCAATTAATTCTGAAGAATTTTTTATTGTTTGTAATACTTTTATAATTTACTCTGTAAAGGTATTAAGTTGTGTCATTTTCCATTTGGTTTCTACACTCTAATCAGCTTGCGATAACAAGAAGCATTATGAAGTGGCAATGCAATCTTGAATACATGGAAACAGACAGCACCACAAATCTTCCTGCCTATTACTTTCAGTGAAGTTAATAATCAAAAGTGCCTCTTATAAAAAGTACTGCATATTATAGCTTCAGAGACTTCAGAGAGCATCTCAGAAAATTGCTATGCATGACTGTTCATGAAGGTCAGATAATTAATATAGCACAAAATATGTCTGTTCAGGGAAAGGGAAGTATTTTAGGTCTTGCAGAGGCCCACGAGTCCATAACCCAACATTATTTTAGGGTGATAAAACAAACACAATGAAAGATTGCTCAACAAAGGAAGGAACTGATCAATGCAATTATAAGAATGAATTAACATGGATCAGTTATTTCATATACATTATTTCAATGGTTTTCAACTGTATTAATTAGAATTTTCTTCAGCTGTTATTAAAAAAATAGTATAATAGTGGCTTAAAATTGATTTCTTTCACATAACGGTCCAGTTTGGTGGATCGGACTAGTATGGATACTCCACAATAAGGGGTCCAGGATCATAGTGTCTTATCGCTCTCCCTTTCACAACATGGCTTTTCCATTCACGATCCAAAACGGCTGCTCCGGATTCCACACAACTTCTGCATTCCAGTCAGTAGCCAAAGGGACAAAAGATATAGAGTCCAGCTGGGTGCCGTGGCTCACACCTGTAATCCCAGCACTTTGGGAGGCCAAGGTTGATCGCTTGAGGTCAGGAGTTCGAGACCAGCCTAGCCAACATGGTGAAACCCTGCCTCTACTAAAAATACACAGAATTAGCCGGGCATGGTGGTGGGCTCCTGTAATCCCAGCTACCATGGAGGCTGAGGCAGGAGAATAGCTTGAACCCGGGAGGCGGAGGTTGCAGTGAGCCCAGATTGTGCCACTGAACTCCAGCCTGGGCGACAGAGCAAGGCTTCATCTCAAGAAAAAAAACAATAAAAAAATGTTTTAAAAAGCTTTTTCTTAATAAGCATTCCCAGATGTTGCACATTTCACTTATGTTTACATTCCATTCGTCATAATTTAGACACATGACCACTTATAGTTGTATGGGACGTAGGTAGCCTTTGGAATCACACAGACCTAAGCAGGAATCCTAAGTTCTCCATTAGCTAGCTGCATAATTTGGGGACAGGCCACAGAGTGAAATCATTAGGTAGCTCTGTGGCCAACTAAAAGTTATTTGATCGCATAAGAAGATGAGAATGGGTATTGAAAGCCAATCAGCGGGCTCTATCACAACAAGTGGTCTGTGGAGCTCAAGTGATCGGACAGTTATGGAAAACAGACCACAAATTCACGTGTATACCAAATATTAACTAGAGATTGAACAAACAATTTATCTCCTAGATATACATACTGTTATATAATAAAATGTAAATGTATTTAGAAGTATTATTTAATTCTGGACAGCATTTTAATCATTGGATATTTTCCCAGTCATTAGGTAGTAACACATACCTACTTTATGTTGGGAAGAGAAAACAGGCTTAGAGAGATAAAAATGACCTGCCTCCAAATTATGCAGCTAGCTAGTAGAGGACCTGGTATTCCTGCTTAGGTCTGTGTGATTCCAAGCCTGTATATGTTCACTATATCACAGAACCTCTAAGCAAACAATGGTGATAGTTTCTTGTGAAGTTTTCTACACAGATAGGGAAAAGCAAATAGCACTAAGCAAACTCACTTGTACACCATCCTCAATACTAAGCTAAGTAAAAAGATTTTGGGGTAAGATTTATCACGCCTTATCTAAGGAAATGGACAGAAATAGGCAAGATAAGTCAAGATGGGGAATATAGTTAGAGCCAGAACTCTTACTTTGACTATCAAGAGCTCTTAGCCACAGGGTAAGACAAAGATTCACAGAGATGGGCAAGGACTAATCTAGCAAGCAGCACTAGAGGACACTAATATAAAGACTATGGATGTTGATTCCCCACTTTAAGGCCCAATTTTATATTCCCTGCTCAAACTGAAGGTCAAAATATAAGCATAATATACTGGAGAGAATTATGCTTTTCATTCAGACACACAGAGTTTGGAATATTCACTCTACTAGCTGTCTGACCCAAAGCCAGTACTGTTTACAGTGTGTTCCATCCAATGTTACACATATGATACAACTAACACTTCCTAAGCAAAAACTATGTGCCGGCCACTGTGCTCACCTCTTTACAAGCATTGTCTTTAAATCCTCAATGCTGAGAGCAAAATACTATTTTTAACCCCCTTTTAAAAGATGATGAAAATAAGTTTTGGAGACGTTGAGTGATTTTCCCAAGATCATGCAACTACTAAGTGGCAGAGAAAAAAAATAAATTTAAGGGCATTGTACTTCATAGCAGTAAGTTTACAGCTCACCACAGAATATTTGATAAGGGGTGTGATGGATTCTCAGCTGTGTTTTAAGAAAAGCACCTGTTTGGCAGCATGAAAAATGAAGGATTCCTTGATTAGAGATTGGGAGTCCAATTATAAGGCTGTTGCAATAGAATTATGGCAGTGGCAGTGGAGAAGAAGGGAAATGTACTGTAGTTGTTGCTGAAATTGCTGCTGTAGAACCAGAGAGCTAATGCGACTCAGAAGGGCAAGGTAAAGAAAGGGATTTCTGGATTTGAAGAACTGGGAAATTGTGGTCATTAAGAACTGAAGTAACACCAAAAGGAGGATGATTGATCATCTTTGGTGTATGTGAAATGGATGGTAAGCAGAAGATGGGGAGGGAAGGGAGAAAGTATATTCCGTTTTAGACAGGTTGCATTTGAGTTGTTGGTGTTGGGCATATATGTTTATTACATGCGCAGCTATTTTGCAGTTAATAGAATAGGAAGATAAAAGATTATTTTAAAAAATTCAACTGTGAAAGTAAAGCACCTTGTAAAATTGAATTTATAATAGTAAATATAATTAAAGGTGGTTGAAAATTATAGCCTAGCCTATCTCAGAGAGTCATTGTAAAGATTTAAGTAGATAGATATGAAAATGTGCTGTAAACTACAACATGGTATACAAATAGGAATAATTGGCATATGTTTATGAATGTTTAATGGACAAGTGGACACTGCAGACAAGCTGCTAAAAAAACAAAATCAGTTTGAATGATAAAGATCTGAGAGTTGTTAGTATACAGGGACTCCAAGTGGTGAAATATATTTTATCTTTTAACCACCTTATTCGTATAAGTTGAAAAAAGATCAAATCAGAACCAAGAAATATGAATTGGAGTATATTTGTATTACAAACTTCAAAGTGTAGCCACCCTTCTAAAGTCACCCAGGGTAAGAAGCATCCCATTTACTGGGTCTATTAGGAAGAAATTTATTTTTTGTCCCCCCACTACCTAGTGCCTCACATCACAGGAGTTACCTCATTTATGGTGCTCTTTCTTTTGCAACCCTGGAAATGAGAACGAGCTAGATATATCCCATAAAATGGCTTTTGCAGATTTAAAAATAAAGATAGCATTTTGGCTAAGTAATAAATCATTGCGAAAGAATTTCCAATGAAAAAAGTATATTTAAAACAGTTATGTGGGAAGAGTAGTATATAGAAATGTTACTGTTCTATAAGTACACATGATATAGTGCAGGAATATTACAGAGAAAATTATTACATGAGCAGAAGGAGTTAATATGCAATTGAAAGCATATCTAGCTACATAATTAAATGGGAAAAGTCATCTTTATTTAAAAGCACATGGCATAGGCAAAATGAGTAGGGTCATTTTCATAATGTCTTTGTGGGTTATGAGCCAAACCTTCCCTAAGAATATGAAACAATGAAAATGAAAAGTTACTCAGTCTCCTGAAGCTTCTCTCATATGTAACTGCCCGATTAGTCAGGGGTAATATCCATTCGTGTCTAAACTACCTGTATCTTTGCACACTAAAATGAAGCATTTCAGAGAAGCATCTGCTTGCAGCATTGCAAAGGCATTTCCTTTAGAGATTATGTATTTCAAACCTTACTTTACAGATAAGAGAACTGAGGATCAGAGGGAGGTGGCAACTTGTTCATGGTCACAGGAGAGGAGTAGATCTGAATGTAAAGTGCAGTGCTATTTTCAGTCTACCACACAGTCATATTTGTATTTTTTTTTATCTTATATATTAGCTTTTCCTACCAAAACCTCTGAAATCGGAAATGGTGGTTCCCGAAACGTGTTCTGCAACAAAAGCCTATAAAGCTCCAATTTGTCTGTCTTTCTGCTTTACCCTCCACCTATCCAGTGAGACGAAAGAGTAAAATTGAATTGAATTAAAATAATTAAAAGTTTAAAATTACAAGCAACTATGCCAGTTGAGGCAGCTCTATCATCTTTTGGTGCTTTGTTCTTGGTACAATAGGGTGCAAGAAACAGACTGTCACTCCAAGTAACCCAATGAACCCATAACTGGAATGTACAAAATTTAAATTTTTAGACAGTATGGATGTTACATACCTCAATGGTATCTTATTTTTCAGGATTATTTCTCCTTTTGAAAATTTGTCTGACTGAGAATAGTGTTCAAAATTACAGACTATTTTCCTAATTTTTACAATATCTGAAAGAACATATGTGGGGAAAAAAATCTTCAGTATTTTTAAAGCCAGAGGATGACCTGATTATAATGGTCTTCTAAAAAAATTTAAAAATATGATAATTACAATTTTTATTTTGAGATGGAGTTTTGCTCTTGTTGCCCAAGCTGGAGTGCAATGGTGTAATCCCGGCTCACCGCAACCTCCGCCTCCCAGGTTCAAGCGATTCTCCTGCCCCAGCCTCCTGAGTAACTGAGATTACAGGCATGCACCACCACGCCTGGATAATTTTTTTGTATTTTCAGTAGAGACGGGGTTTCCCCATGTTGGTCAGGCTGGTCTCGAACTCCTAACCTTGTGATCCGCCCGCCTTGGCTTCCCAAAGTGCTGGGATTACAGGCGTGAGCCACCACGCCGAGCCGATAATTACAATTCTTAAAAATACTGTTCTGTAATATGTACTTGAGAAAAATTGTTTGTGAAGTTCAACAGTCATATAAATCTTAAACACATTAAAAACTGATAGAAATACCTAGAACACAATTAATCAACTTGAGATCTTTGTTTTACGATGCCAATCATTTTGGATGCTTTTTACACAAAAATGACCAGTCACTTTAACATTAAGTAGACATGGTATTTAATATTTACCTCAGTAAAGAATCTGCTTGTTTACATGTTTTCACAGCCTAAAATGCAGATGTGTTTCAAAGAAATATACATTAGAAAAAAAAGGATTTATGCTACAGAGTTTTCCGGGGTATGTACATGCTATAATTTGTTAAAAATGCAGACCAAAAGTGACTCATTTGCAGCCAAAATGAAGCAACAGGAACCCAATTTACCTACCTCCTCAACACAGCTCATAAAGAAGAGAACAAAGTCTATTAAAGAAAGGCTTTCTGGCACTGGATATCTGGCAATGCAGGGCAGTGATGCTAGAAAGAGAAAGAAAAATTGAAGTGAGTCCTACAGTTACCCCAGCTTACTGCCTGAAGAGATTTTCTAATTTATGGCTCTGAGAGGGGGAACTTGGGCAGAGACCAACAATATCCCTGAGGTAAGGAGAAAGAGCTGGAAACCCAAGAAGTATGAGAAAACTAGAGTTCATAGGACAGAGTAGAAGAAGTTAAATTCCTGGTGAGTACAGTATAAAGCTTAAGTAACTAATCCCTTCCTTCACTCAATCTTTATTCGAAGGGCAGAGATAAAGAATACCTGCGCCCCAGTGACTCTCACTGCACCTTTCTCTTAGGGCGTGGATTCCATGCTTGGAGACACAAGCTGAAACAACCAGTAGCTACTACCCCACATAGTGCTGAACGTGGTCAATCAGAGTTTTTCCAGGGGTAGCAGCAGTCCACATAAAAAGAAAGCTCTGAGTAAGTCACAAAGAAGATAATTTTATTTGACACAGTGTGTATTCAAGTTTAAGAGCACTCTCAAAAACAACAACAACAAAACATTATAATTAAAAGCAGCAAGTTTAAACCGTAGGCAAGCTAATTCACCAGAGAGAACCAGGAAAAGAGACACCTACATAGAGCCCTACTGAGATGAAAATAAACCTCAAAAATTATCCCTGCCTAGGTATAATTGGATCAGACAGTGGAGCAATTTATGCCCCAGAGCACTGTCAAAACAATAAACCAGTAAAACAGTAAAAAAAAAAATTAAAAAAGAAATAAGAATAATTAGCAGAGCCTAAAAGTGGGGTAGAATAGAATTGAAGCAGACAGGTTAAAAAAGAGATCAGAAACAGAAACCTTCTAAAACCACTGTCATTCCTGGTGACTATGTGCATGCCCAAGGTTGCACCTTCTGAGGAACAACACAAAAGACTTCACACTGCAGGAGAAATTGACTTCACAAAAATTCACAAAAATACCCTACTCCAGCAACAAAACAAATAAGCAAATGAAAACGTAAATAAGCTCTAGTATTGAAGAAGTGGAATCAGTGTACAGAATTGCCAAAAGAAATTATCTCTAATGTTCATTTTTCAGCAAAATGTTATGATATGTTGCAAAGAAACTGGAACAAGTCGCTCACACAGAAGAAAAGAAAAGTAGGCAACAGAAAATAACTAAGAGAAAGACAAAATGTTATAATTAACACTTCAAAGTAGCCATTATAAATGTGTTCAAAGGACTAATAGAAGCCATGTTTAAAGAGTTAAAAGAAGCTATGAGAAAAAAAAATCTCTTCAAAGAGAGAGAGACAGAAATTATTTTAAAAGAAGTAAATGAAAATTATGGAGTTAAAAATTACAATAATCCAAATAAAAAATATGTAATAGAGGGATTCAACAGTACATTTGAACTGAAAATAGAGAGAATCAGAAACTTGACTATAAATAGAGATTATACAGTCTAAAGAACCAAGATAAACTAGAATGAAGAAAATAAATAGACCTAAAGTGAAATGTGGCACATTTTTAAGCACACCAACAGATATGTAGTGAGAGTACCAGAAGAAGAGGAAAAAGAAGTGAGAAGAAAAAAAAAGAATGGCTGAAAACTTCCTGAAGTTTTTGGGAAACATCAATCTTCACATCCAAGAAGCTCAACAAATTTTGAACAATAAGCTCAAGGAGATGCACACAGACCCATAGTAAAAATGTTCAGTATATAAGACAGAAAAAAAATATTAAAATTGGCGAGAGAAAAGTGACTCATCACATACAAGGAAACTTCCATATAATTGACAGTTAACTTCTTATCAGAAACAATGAAAGTTAGAAGGCAGTGAGATAACATATTTAAAGTGATCAAAGAAAATAAAAATTTCAAGAATATCAAAGAAATCAACCAAGAATTCTGTAGTCATCAGAAATATTTTGGTTGGGCGCAGTGGTCTGTAATTTCAACACTTTAGGAGTCCAAGGCAAGAGAATTATTTGAGGCTGGGAGTTCAAGACCAGCCTGGGCAACATAGCAAGAACCCACCTCTACAAGATTTGCTTGTTTAAATGTATGTAGCACCTCTCTTTACTCTGTCTCTCTCCTGCCACCATGTGAAGAAGGTACTCGCTTCCCCTTCACCCTCCTGCCATGACCGTAAGTTTCCTGAGGCATCCTCAGCCATGCTTTCTGTACAGCCTGCAGAACTGTGAGTCAATTAAACCTACTTTCTTCATATATTACCCAGTGTCAGGTAGTTCTTTATAAGAGTGTGAGAATGAAATACAGTGTGAACGTAAAAAATGGGGCAGCCGCTATAAGAAACAGTATGGAGGTTCCTTAAAACATTAAAAATAGGACTACTATATAATCCAACGATCCCACTTTTGAGTGCTTAGCCAAAAGAATAGAAATCAGGATCTTGAGGAGACATTTGAACTTCCATGCTCATTTCAGCATTATTCACAATAACCAAGATGTGGAAACAAGCTAAATGTCCTTGGATCGATGAACAGATAAAGAAAACGTGGTATCTGTTTATCTATCTATCTATCTATCTATCTATCTACACACAGAATGGAATATTATTAAGCCTATAAAAGGAAGGAATTACTTCCATATGTGACAACATGGATGAACCTGGAGGACATTACCCTAAGTGAAATAAACCAACCAAAGAAGGACAAATACTTTATGATTCTGCTTGTATGAGGTATGTAAATAGTCAAACTCATGGAAGCAGAGAATACAATGGTTGTTATCAAGGGCTGGGGAGAGAGGTAAATGATGAATTGCTATTCAACACATATAAAATTTTAGATACGCAAATGAATATGTTCTAGAAATCTATATACATTCTTATACTTAACAATGCTTTACTATACATTTAGAAATTTGTGAAGAAGACAGGTCTCATGTATTTTTTATCACCGTAATTTTACAAGGATGTATATGGTAAACCCCAGAGTAACTACTAAAGAAAAAAAAACCCAAATATAGTAAAAATATAATTAAATAAATTAAAATACTGCATTACAATATATTCACTTGATTCGAAAGACAGAGGAAAAGAATTAGAAGAACCAGAAAAACATAAGAAATATAGAAAATTAAAAGTAGGCTGGGCGCCTGTAATCCCTGCACTTTGGGAGGCCAAGGTGGGTGGATCACCTGAGGTCAGGAGTTCAAGACCAATCTGACCAACATAGTGAAACCCCGTCTCTACTAAAAATACAAAAAATTAGCCGGGTGTGGTGGCACATGCCTGTAGTCCCAGCTACTTGGTAGGTTGAGGCAGGAGAATTGCTTGAACCTGGGAGGCAGAGGTTGTGGTGAGCTGAAATTTTGCCATTACACCTGGGCCTGGGCAACAAGAGTGAAACTCTGTCTCAAAAAAAGAAAAAAAAGAAAGAAAGAAAGAAAAAGAAAAAGTAAAACGATATCCACCATAAATTCAACTATATCAACAATAACATTGGATGTAGATTAACTTTATAATCTAATCCAATAGGCAAAGATGGTCAGACTGGATAAAAGAAATATGGAATATAAAACAATAAAGAGAATCAGTTAAACCAAAAGTTGACTCTTTAAAAAAAAAAAAAAAAATCTCACAAACCTGTATCTAGACTGACCAAGAAAAAAGAGAAATAAAAACTGACAGGACTGAAATCAGAAGTATAACTTAGGACAAACCTTACAGAAATAAACAGATAAAAGAATACTATGAAAAACTGCACCCCAACACACTAGATAACCTAGATGAAATGAGCAAATTGTCAGGAGAATAAAACTGCCAAAACTGACACAAGAAAAAATAGAAAATCTAAGTACACTTTTACAAAGTAAAGATATTAAATCTATAATCAAAAATCTCCTAAGGAAAAGTCCAGAACCACAATGCTTCACAACCAAACATTTAAGGAAGTATTAACACTAATTCTTCTCAAAATTTTCTAAAAATAGAAGACACTTCCTAACTCGTTCTATGAGAACAATATTACCTGTATACCAAAACCAGATAAAGACATCATAAGAAGACAAAACTATAGGCCCCGCATGGTGGCTCATACCTGTAGTCCCAGCACTTTGGGAGGCTGAGGTGGGTGGATCACCTGAGGTCAAAAGTTCAAGACCAGTCTGACCAACATGGTGAAACCCCGTCTCTACTAAAAATACACAATTAGCTGGATGTGGTGGTCCATGCCTGTAATTCCAGCTATTTGGGACGCTTAGGTAGGAGAATTGCTTGAACCCGGGAGGCGAAGGTTTCAGTGAGCCAAGATCATGCCGTTGCACTCCAGCCTGGGCAACAAGAGCAAAACTCTGTCTCAAAAAAAATAAAATAAAATAAAATAAAATAAACAAAAAAACTATAGACCAATATCTGTTATGGACGTAGATGCAAAAATCTTCAACAAAATACTAGCAAATATTTCAGTAGCACATTTAGAAGATTATATATCATGGCCAAGAGGGATTTATTTTAGGAATACTAAGGTGGGTCAACATGCAAAGATCAAGCTTTATAATATGCTACTTTAACACAAGGAAAAAAGCTCATGATTATCCCAATTGATGTACACAAAAATGTAACAAAATTCAACACTGCTTCATGATAAAAACAATTAACTAGGAATAAAATGAAAGGTTTCAACATGATAAATTACAGTTATGAAAAAAAGCCCCACATTAATATTATACTCAGTTGTGAAAGACTGAATACTTTCCTCCTAACATCAGAAATAAGAAAAGCATGTCTACTTCTATTCAACCTTATATTGAAATTTCTAACCAGAATGATGAGGCAAGAAAAAGAAAGAAAATGCTTCTATCAGAATTGGAGAAATATAATTATTAATATATCTATTCAGAAATGAGATGATCTTATATAGAAAAAATCCTAAAGACTCTTTCAGTTGCCAGATGCAGTGGCTCAGGCCCATATTCCCATCATTTTGGGAGGCCAAGGCAGCAGGATAGCTTGAGGCCAGGAGTTTGAGGCTGTAGTGAGCTATGATTATGCCACTGCACTCCAGCTTGGGTGATGCAGTGAGGGTCTGTCTCTAAAAAGAAAAAGAAATGAAATGAAAAAAGAAAAAGACTCTCTCAAGAAAATATTAGAGATAATAAAGCAATTCAGCAAAATTACAGGATATAAGATGAACATATAAAAATTAGTGCATTTTTATACACAAGCAATAGACAATCTGAAATGGAAATTTTAAAAAAACAAAAACAATAAATTATAAGAAAGTATTTAACCAAAAATAAATAAGACTTGCATACTAAAAATTAGAAAACATGTCTGAGAGAAATTAAAGAAGACACAAATAAATGGAAACACATTCTTCATCGATAGACTGGAAGATTTAAGATTGTTAAAATGGTGATACTACCCAGGCATCTACAGAGCCAATGCAATCTCTATGAAAATTCCAGTGGCCTTTGTTGCAGAAATGGAAAAGCTGATCCTCAAAATTGTATGCAATTTCAATGGTCTCTGAATAACCAAAACAATTTTTAAAAAGGAAATCAAAGTTGGGTGATTCAACTTTCAAAGTTTACTACAAAGGGACATTAATCAAGATGAGGTGGGACTGGCATGTGAAAAGACATATAAGTCAATGGAATAGAACAGATGGTCCAGAATAAGCCCTCATATTTATTATTAATTTATCTTCAACAAGGGTTCCAAAATATTTCAATGGGAAACATATGATCTTTTGTACAAATCGTGCTAGGACAGTTGAGCTTTTATGTGAAAAAAATAAAGTGGTATACCTACCTCACACCACATACAAACATTAACTCATAATCAAAAACCTAAATGTAACAGCTAAAGTTTTAGCATACTTAGAATAAAACAGGTGTCAACCTTTGTGACCTTAAATTGGGCAATATTTACTTAGATATGACACAAAAAAACACAAGCAACAGAAATAAAAAATAAATAAATTGGACTAATCTAAATTTAAAACTTTTTTTTTTTTTTTTTTTTTTTTTTATTATACTCTAAGTTTTAGGGTACATGTGCACATTGTGCAGGTTAGTTACATATGTATACATGTGCCATGCTGGTGCGCTGCACCCACTAATGTGTCATCTAGCATTAGGTATATCTCCCAATGCTATCCCTCCCCCCTCCCCCGACCCCACCACAGTCCCCAGAGTGTGATATTCCCCTTCCTGTGTCCATGTGATCTCATTGTTCAATTCCCACCTATGAGTGAGAATATGCGGTGTTTGGTTTTTTGTTCTTGCGATAGTTTACTGAGAATGATGGTTTCCAATTTCATCCATGTCCCTACAAAGGATATGAACTCATCATTTTTTATGGCTGCATAGTATTCCATGGTGTATATGTGCCACATTTTCTTAATCCAGTCTATCATTGTTGGACATTTGGGTTGGTTCCAAGTCTTTGCTATTGTGAATAGTGCCGCAATAAACATACGTGTGCATGTGTCTTTATAGCAGCATGATTTATACTCATTTGGGTATATACCCAGTAATGGGATGGCTGGGTCAAATGGTATTTCTAGTTCTAGATCCCTGAGGAATCGCCACACTGACTTCCACAATGGTTGAACTAGTTTACAGTCCCACCAACAGTGTAAAAGTGTTCCTATTTCTCCGCATCCTCTCCAGCACCTGTTGTTTCCTGACTTTTTAATGATTGCCATTCTAACTGGTGTGAGATGATATCTCATAGTGGTTTTGATTTGCATTTCTCTGATGGCCAGTGATGATGAGCATTTCTTCATGTGTTTTTTGGCTGCATAAATGTCTTCTTTTGAGAAGTGTCTGTTCATGTCCTTCGCCCACTTTTTGATGGGGTTGTTTGTTTTTTTCTTGTAAATTTGTTTGAGTTCATTGTAGATTCTGGATATTAGCCCTTTGTCAGATGAGTAGGTTGCAAAAATTTTCTCCCATGTTGTAGGTTGCCTGTTCACTCTGATGGTAGTTTCTTTTGCTGTGCAGAAGCTCTTTAGTTTAATTAGATCCCATTTGTCAATTTTGTCTTTTGTTGCCATTGCTTTTGGTGTTTTGGACATGAAGTCCTTGCCCACGCCTATGTCCTGAATGGTAATGCCTAGGTTTTCTTCTAGGGTTTTTATGGTTTTAGGTTTAACGTTTAAATCTTTAATCCATCTTGAATTGATTTTTGTATAAGGTGTAAGGAAGGGATCCAGTTTCAGCTTTCTACATATGGCTAGCCAGTTTTCCCAGCACCATTTATTAAATAGGGAATCCTTTCCCCATTGCTTGTTTTTCTCAGGTTTGTCAAAGATCAGATAGTTGTAGATATGCGGCATTATTTCTGAGGGCTCTGTTCTGTTCCATTGATCTATATCTCTGTTTTGGTACCAGTACCATGCTGTTTTGGTTACTGTAGCCTTGTAGTATAGTTTGAAGTCAGGTAGTGTGATGCCTCCAGCTTTGTTCTTTTGGCTTAGGATTGACTTGGCAATGCGGGCTCTTTTTTGGTTCCATATGAACTTTAAAGTAGTTTTTTCCAATTCTGTGAAGAAAGTCATTGGTAGCTTGATGGGGATGGCATTGAATCTGTAAATTACCTTGGGCAGTATGGCCATTTTCACGATATTGATTCTTCCTACCCATGAGCATGGAATGTTCTTCCATTTGTTTGTCTCCTCTTTTATTTCCTTGAGCAGTGGTTTGTAGTTCTCCTTGAAGAGGTCCTTCACATCCCTTGTAAGTTGGATTCCTAGGTATTTTATTCTCTTTGAAGCAATTGTGAATGGGAGTTCACCCATGATTTGGCTCTCTGTTTGTCTGTTGTTGGTGTATAAGAATGCTTGTGATTTTTGTACATTGATTTTGTATCCTGAGACTTTGCTGAAGTTGCTTATCAGCTTAAGGAGATTTTGGGCTGAGACGATGGGGTTTTCTAGATAAACAATCATGTCGTCTGCAAACAGGGACAATTTGACTTCCTCTTTTCCTAATTGAATACCCTTTATTTCCTTCTCCTGCCTGATTGCCCTGGCCAGAACTTCCAACACTATGTTGAATAGGAGTGGTGAGAGAGGGCATCCCTGTCTTGTGCCGGTTTTCAAAGGGAATGCTTCCAGTTTTTGCCCATTCAGTATGATATTGGCTGTGGGTTTGTCATAGATAGCTCTTATTATTTTGAAATACGTCCCATCAATACCTAATTTATTGAGAGTTTTTAGCATGAAGGGTTGTTGAATTTTGTCAAAGGCTTTTTCTGCATCTATTGAGATAATCATGTGGTTTTTGTCTTTGGCTCTGTTTATATGCTGGATTACATTTATTGATTTGCGTATATTGAACCAGCCTTGCATCCCAGGGATGAAGCCCACTTGATCATGGTGGATAAGCTTTTTGATGTGCTGCTGGATTCGGTTTGCCAGTATTTTATTGAGGATTTTTGCATCAATGTTCATCAAGGATATTGGTCTAAAATTCTCTTTTTTGGTTGTGTCTCTGCCCGGCTTTGGTATCAGAATGATGCTGGCCTCATAAAATGAGTTAGGGAGGATTCCCTCTTTTTCTATTGATTGGAATAGTTTCAGAAGGAATGGTACCAGTTCCTCCTTGTACCTCTGGTAGAATTCGGCTGTGAATCCATCTGGTCCTGGACTCTTTTTGGTTGGTAAACTATTGATTATTGCCACAATTTCAGAGCCTGTTATTGGTCGATTCAGAGATTCAACTTCTTCCTGGTTTAGTCTTGGGAGAGTGTATGTGTCGAGGAATGTATCCATTTCTTCTAGATTTTCTAGTTTATTTGCGTAGAGGTGTTTGTAGTATTCTCTGATGGTAGTTTGTATTTCTGTGGGATCGGTGGTGATATCCCCTTTATCATTTTTTATTGTGTCTATTTGATTCTTCTCTCTTTTTTTCTTTATTAGTCTTGCTAGCGGTCTATCAATTTTGTTGATCCTTTCAAAAAACCAGCTCCTGGATTCATTGATTTTTTGAAGGGTTTTTTGTGTCTCTATTTCCTTCAGTTCTGCTCTGATTTTAGTTATTTCTTGCCTTCTGCTAGCTTTTGAATGTGTTTGCTCTTGCTTTTCTAGTTCTTTTAATTGTGATGTTAGGGTGTCAATTTTGGATCTTTCCTGCTTTCTCTTGTAGGCATTTAGTGCTATAAATTTCCCTCTACACACTGCTTTGAATGCGTCCCAGAGATTCTGGTATGTGGTGTCTTTGTTCTCGTTGGTTTCAAAGAACATCTTTATTTCTGCCTTCATTTCGTTATGTACCCAGTAGTCATTCAGGAGCAGGTTGTTCAGTTTCCATGTAGTTGAGCGGCTTTGAGTGAGATTCTTAATCCTGAGTTCTAGTTTGATTGCACTGTGGTCTGAGAGATAGTTTGTTATAATTTCTGTTCTTTTACATTTGCTGAGGAGAGCTTTACTTCCAACTATGTGGTCAATTTTGGAATAGGTGTGGTGTGGTGCTGAAAAAAATGTATATTCTGTTGATTTGGGGTGGAGAGTTCTGTAGATGTCTATTAGGTCTGCTTGGTGCAGAGCTGAGTTCAATTCCTGGGTATCCTTGTTAACTTTCTGTCTCGTTGATCTGTCTAATGTTGACAGTGGGGTGTTAAAGTCTCCCATTATTAATGTGTGGGAGTCTAAGTCTCTTTGTAGGTCACTGAGGACTTGCTTTATGAATCTGGGTGCTCCTGTATTGGGTGCATAAATATTTAGGATTGTTAGCTCCTCTTGTTGAATTGATCCCTTTACCATTATGTAATGGCCTTCTTTGTCTCTTTTGATCTTTGTTGGTTTAAAGTCTGTTTTATCAGAGACTAGGATTGCAACCCCTGCCTTTTTTTGTTTTCCATTGGCTTGGTAGATCTTCCTCCATCCTTTTATTTTGAGCCTATGTGTGTCTCTGCACGTGAGATGGGTTTCCTGAATACAGCACACTGATGGGTCTTGACTCTTTATCCAACTTGCCAGTCTGTGTCTTTTAATTGCAGAATTTAGTCCATTTATATTTAAAGTTAATATTGTTATGTGTGAAGTTGATCCTGTCATTATGATGTTAGCTGGTGATTTTGCTCATTAGTTGATGCAGTTTCTTCCTAGTCTCGATGGTCTTTACATTTTGGCATGATTTTGCAGCGGCTGGTACCGGTTGTTCCTTTCCATGTTTAGCGCTTCCTTCAGGAGCTCTTTTAGGGCAGGCCTGGTGGTGACAAAATCTCTCAACATTTGCTTGTCTATAAAGTATTTTATTTCTCCTTCACTTATGAAGCTTAGTTTGGCTGGATATGAAATTCTGGGTTGAAAATTCTTTTCTTTAAGAATGTTGAATATTGGCCCCCACTCTCTTCTGGCTTGTAGGGTTTCTGCCGAGAGATCCGCTGTTAGTCTGATGGGCTTTCCTTTGAGGGTAACCCGACCTTTCTCTCTGGCTGCCCTTAACATTTTTTCCTTCATTTCAACTTTGGTGAATCTGACAATTATGTGTCTTGGAGTTGCTCTTCTCGAGGAGTATCTTTGTGGCGTTCTCTGTATTTCCTGAATCTGAACGTTGGCCTGCCTTGCTAGATTGGGGAAGTTCTCCTGGATAATATCCTGCAGAGTGTTTTCCAACTTGGTTCCATTCTCCACATCACTTTCAGGTACACCAATCAGACGTAGATTTGGTCTTTTCACATAGTCCCATATTTCTTGGAGGCTTTGCTCATTTCTTTTTATTCTTTTTTCTCTAAACTTCCCTTCTCGCTTCATTTCATTCATTTCATCTTCCATTGCTGATACCCTTTCTTCCAGTTGATCGCATCGGCTCCTGAGGCTTCTGCATTCTTCACGTAGTTCTCGAGCCTTGGTTTTCAGCTCCATCAGCTCCTTTAAGCACTTCTCTGTATTGGTTATTCTAGTTATACATTCTTCTAAATTTTTTTCAAAGTTTTCAACTTCTTTGCCTTTGGTTTGAATGTCCTCCCGTAGCTCAGAGTAATTTGATCGTCTGAAGCCTTCTTCTCTCAGCTCATCAAAATCATTCTCCATCCAGCTTTGTTCTGTTGCTGGTGAGGAACTGCGTTCCTTTGGAGGAGGAGAGGCGCTCTGCGTTTTAGAGTTTCCAGTTTTTCTGTTCTGTTTTTTCCCCATCTTTGTGGTTTTATCTACTTTTGGTCTTTGATGATGGTGATGTACAGATGGGTTTTCGGTGTAGATGTCCTTTCTGGTTGTTAGTTTTGCTTCTAACAGACAGGACCCTCAGCTGCAGGTCTGTTGCAATACCCTGCCGTGTGAGGTGTCAGTGTGCCCCTGCTGGGGGGTGCCTCCCAGTTAGGCTGCTCGGGGGTCAGGAGTCAGGGACCCACTTGAGGAGGCAGTCTGCCCGTTCTCAGATCTCCAGCTGCGTGCTGGGAGAACCACTGCTCTCTTCAAAGCTGTCAGACAGGGACACTTAAGTCTGCAGAGGTTACTGCTGTCTTTTTGTTTGTCTGTGCCCTGCCCCCAGAGGTGGAGCCTACAGAGGCAGGCAGGCCTCCTTGAGCTGTGGTGGGCTCCACCCAGTTCGAGCTTCCCGGCTGCTTTGTTTACCTAAGCAAGCCTGGGCAATGGCGGGCGCCCCTCCCCCAGCCTCGTTGCCGCCTTGCAGTTTGATCTCAGACTGCTGTGCCAGCAATCAGCGAGATTCCGTGGGCGTAGGACCCTCCGAGCCAGGTGTGGGATATAGTCTCGTGGTGCGCCGTTTCTTAAGCCGGTCTGAAAAGCGCAATATTCGGGTGGGAGTGACCCGATTTTCCAGGTGCGTCCGTCACCCCTTTCTTTGACTCGGAAAGGGAACTCCCTGACCCGTTGCGCTTCCCAGGTGAGGCAATGCCTCGCCCTGCTTCGGCTCGCGCACGGTGCGCACACACACTGGCCTGCGCCCACTGTCTGGCACTCCCTAGTGAGATGAACCCGGTACCTCAGATGGAAATGCAGAAATCACCGTCTTCTGCGTCGCTCACGCTGGGAGCTGTAGACCGGAGCTGTTCCTATTCGGCCATCTTGGCTCCTCCCCCCAATTTAAAACTTTTTAATCCAAAGGATATTATCAAGAGATTGAAAAAACAACCTACATAATCAGAGTACCTATTTCCAGATCATATATCTGATGAAGGTCCAGTATTTATAATGTACAAAGAACACTTAAACTCTACAGCAAAAAAGAATAAAAGTAAATAAAAATAGGCAAGAATTTGAATAGATAAGTCTCCAAAGAAGAAAAACAAATGGCCAATAAGTACAAGAAAAGATGCTCGACGTCATTAGTTATTAGGGAAATGCAAATCAAAACCATAATAAGATATCACTTCACATCCACTAGGATGTCTAGATTATCAAAGATGTGGAGAAATTTGAACCCTTGCACATTGCTGGTATGAATAGAAAATAATGCAGCTGCTAGGAAAACAGTCTGATGGCTTCTCAAAATGTTAAACATAAAATGGTCATTCTATGTTTAATTCCCTGGCAATCGTACTCCTAAGTGTGTATTTAAATGAATTGCTAGCAGATACTCAGACAAATAATTGCACGTGAACGTTCATAGCAGCACTATTCACAATGGCCAAAAAGTGAAAAACTGCCCAAATGTTTTTCAGTGGATAAACTGATAAACGAAATGTCATATATCCATACAATGGAACATCATTCAGCTATAAAAACGAATAAAGTATTGTTACATTTTACAACATGGATGATAACAACATGCCAAGTGAGAGAAGCCAGACACAAAACATCACATATTATCATATTTCATCATATGAAATATCCAGAAATGGATAAGTCCAAAGACACAGAAAGCATGTTAATGGTTTCCAGGGCCTGTGGGAATTAATAATGAGACTAACTTCTTAATGGGCACAAGATTTCCCTTTGGGGTAATGAAAATATTTTAGCAATAGAGGTGATGGTGGCACAGCCTTGTGAATGTACTAACTGCTACTGAATTGTATATGTTAAAATGGTAAACTTTGTGTTATATGAATTTTACGTCAATAAAAATAAGTTACAGTAGGAAAATAAAGCCGCATCTTTTTACACTGGCATATGCAGCAGAAGTCTTTCTGTTCAGGAGATACTTCTCCCTTTCTCCATGCCCCATGACCAATTAATTTCTAAACTCTGTCCATTTTTCCTTTGAAAACCCTCTTGGTTCTTGTTTTCTCTGATTTACCACTTTACCATAGCCCTAGGTGAGGCCTCCATCATGTCACACCAAACAAGCACAGTGTCTTCTTCCCTGGTCCACTGCCACCCAGTCTGTCACCCCCTCCAAGGCATCCTGTATCCTGCATGAGGTATCCTTGCTAAATAACTTATTGGATTCCTTTAGTCCATACTCCTCTATCGAGAGCCTTCTATTGAACCCTGTTGCCTAGAATTACCTCACTTGTAAAACACAGCAATAATAATAATGAACTTTATAAGGTTGTTATGTGAATTCAATTAAATTATATACCTAGCCTATCTTCTGACACAGTTTGGCAATCAGTGAATGGTAGCTTTTTCTTCCTGAGGAAGAAGTCTAGTTAGAAGGTCTAAACGAGATGCTGAGTATTTTTCTGGAATCAATGTGAAGCTATTTAGAATTTATTTAGCTATTTAGAATTTATATCAGAATAGATTCAAGAAGACAGACTTCCTGCATATTTTAGAATTTTGTCATAAAATCAGACCAAAATGGTGTACATGAACAGAAGACTTAAGAAATAGCACCACAGGCCCGGGGCGGTGGCTCATGCCTGTAATCCCCGCACTTTGGGAGGCTGAGGCAGGTGGATCACAAGGTCAGGAGTTCGAGACAAGCCTGACCAACATGGTGAAACCCCGTCTCTACTAAAAATACAAAAATTAGCCAGGTGTGATGACACACGCCTGTAATCTCAGCTACTCAGGAGCCTAAGGCAGGAGAATCGCTTGAACCCAGGAGGGGGAGGTTGCAGTCAGCTGAGATCACGCCACTGCACTCCAGCCTGGGTGACAAAAGGAGACTCCGTCTCAAAAAAAAAAAAAAAAAAAAAAGAAAGAAAAAGAAAGAAATAGCACCATACACGTGGTAGATGAATGAGGGATTCAAGTAGATTCCGTGATATACTTATTACCCACAAGAAATAATGAACAGAATCACGAACCCTTAACTATCTTATTAACTACTTTTAACAAAATAAATCACATATTATACTTATTTTTAGTACGTTATATAAAACAGTGTACCTGAGGCAAGGGAAAAAGTAAGCGTCAATTTCAGAGGCATTCCTGGGCATGATGTTTATAGGAAAAACTCACTATTTTTCTCTACAAACTCAACACTTCTGGGTCCTCATGTGTGGGTTTTTCCACACATCGACCAATTCTAGTCTCTAGACACTAACTGGGTAACCTACAATTCAATTCTGATACTATCTGGAGTTAGTGCAGATCCTACAAGTTAAGGGCTCAATATCACAAAACTGTTGCCCATTTTAAATGCCAATCCCAATTAATAGGTCCTCAGTTACCCACATTTCTGTCCAACATGGCTACAAATCAGATTTTCATGATTCCCCCTTCAGGTTGACTATGACAGCTCACAGAACTTGGAGAAACATTTTTGTTTACTGGTTTATTATAAAGGATAAGATAAAGGACATAGATAAGTAGCCAGATGAAGGAGTAGATAGGGTGAGGTCCAGAAGGGTCCCAAGTTGAGAAGCTTCTGTCCCCCTGGGTTTGGGGTGCACCATCTTCCCAGCACGTGGTTGCATTCACCAGCTCAGCTTTCCAAACCCTGCATTCCACACTTCTGGGATTTTTATGGAGGTTCATGTACTAGGCAAGATTGATTAAATCGTTGGCGGTTGGTGATTACGTCAATCTCCAGTCTCTCTCCCCTCTTCAGTGATCAGGTGGTGGGGCTGAAAATTCCAACCATCTAATCACATGTTTGGTTCCCCTAGAAACAAGTCCCCATCATTAAACTGTACAGGAACCCCCAGTCACCAGTCATCTCATTAGCAGACAAAAGACACTTATCACTTGGTGGATTCCAAGGGTTTTAGAAGCTGTGTGCCAGGAAAGGGGGGTGGTTGGCAGAGACCAAATATATATATTATGTCACAGATGGCATCATTACATTGGTACACATGAAGAACAAATAAAATAATGCAGACGAAAATGGCTTGGTTTACATAAAATTAGCATTAAATTAACATGAACCTGAAAAAATACAAATTAATTCTTTATGAAAAAAAGCTTAAATTTTTCTGTAAGGTTGAGATTTATTTATCAAATTTCCCTTTTTTTTTTTTTGGAGACAGTCTTTCTCTGTCACCCAGGCTACTGAAGGGCAGTGGTGCCATCTTGGCTCACTGCAGCCTCGCCCTCTTGGGCTCAAACAATCCTCCCAACTCAGCCTCCCAAGTAGCTGGGACTAAAGATGCTTGCCACTGTGCTCGGCTAATTTTGGTTTTTAATTTTTTGTAGAGACAGGGTCTCACTATGTTTCCCAGGCTGGTCTCAAACTACTGGGCTCAAGCGATCCTCCCACTTTGGCTTTCCAAAGTGCTGGGATTACAGGCATGAGCCACTGCACCCAGCCTTACAATTGCCTCTTTAATAACACGGGCACCTGAATGTCTGAAATAGCCTCTCTGGGCTTCTTGTGATTAGTAGCACCAAAATGCCTTTAGACAAAAGTTCAAGAGTAGCACAACAGGCAATAGTATAGGGCGTGTCAATACATCTGTTCTGGTCTTATAATGCCATCCTTAATGAGATGTTTCCCTTTCACTCTCTTTTCATATTTTTTTTCCTCCTCTGCAACCCAGGTCCAGACCTGGTCACAGTCCACCTGCTCGCTTTATATAACAGCAGCCCCTGCACCGCCACTCCCAGATTCTTATGCTCCACTAGGAAGCCCTCCAAAGGCTTGATATTTTCTCATGGCCCGTTATGCATTTCCCTTCACCTAGAGATTCTTCACCCCACCCCCACTCACACACTCACCTGCAACATCTCTGTTAATTACAGTCTTTCAAAGTCAAGTTCAAATCTCATCTCCTTAAAATCTTTTTTAAAATCCCATATTCTCTTTAAGCATGATGAGCTATCAGTAGCTGGCTTCTATGTACACATAATCTACCTCGTTTCATGATACAATCTTCTTGTAAAAAATGGTGATCTCTGTCATACTATATCCTGACAACTAAACTTTTATTTTGGCACTTACCACCTTCGGCCGTGTCTGTAAGGACAGGACCTAGCACAATTCCTTGAATATGGCAGGAGATTGATGTATGTTTGTTGAAGAGTAATATTAAAGGTATAATTAAGATTATTCTTGAAAATATATTGTTCCTTTTAATAAATTCTTCTAGCCACGAGATAAAATTTCCACAAACATGCAAAGGTGTCGGAATTCACTTTCTGAAAAGTCAAACAGTATCTGGGATCAGACAAGTTCACCTGCATCATGGTTTTTGCTTGATTACACAAGATGGTGACAAAGTGGATAACATTTCCATCCACAAATTCCTTAAACTCAACTAAAATAAGTGCAAAATTTTTGTAAAAAATAATGCTGACATCTTATGCAATCAACTTTATCGGAGCAAAAGTTGTTCAGCAGAGATTTGAAATCAAGTAAGCACCACTCTAAGCCACTTTGAAAAAGCATTGACCATCATCAAGATGATCTTATCTGGAAAGAGTCATACAAAAATAGCTTGTTGAATGAGGCATGGGCAAGATGTAGTGATGATCGTCTTCTAATAAAAACAATTCCATTTCCACAGAAAAAGAAGAGCATTACTTGTGAACAGAAAGGGCCTACTGGTCTTTGTGAATAGCTTTAGCACCTTAGGCCACTCCATAGATTATGCATATTTTACTGCATATAGTAAGATGAGTATAGAAAGGTAATCACGTTATACACAGCACACTCTAAAATCATTTATTTGAAAACATGGCTACACAATATTCCTAGAACTTCTACCAAACTACATATTAATCAAGATAATGTAAGTCAGTGACTCTCATTTTTTATGACCTTTTATATTCATAAAAGTTACTGAGGACCCAAAAGACATTTTTTACTGGATTCTATCTACTTAACCTTACCACTTTTTAAAATAAAACTGAAACTTTTAAAAATATTCCTTTACTGTAATCCCAGCACTTTGGGAGGCCGAGGTGGGTGGATCACAAGGTCAGGAGATCGAGACCATCCCGGCTAACACGGTGAAACCCCGTCTCTACTAAAAAATACAAAAAATTAGCCGGGCGTGGTGGCGGGCGCCTGTAGTCCCAGCTACTTGGGAGGCTGAGGCAGGAGAGTGGCGTGAACCCGGGAGGCGGAGCTTGCAGTGAGCCGAGATCGCGCCACTGCACTCCAGCCTGGTGGACAGAGCGAGACTCCATGTCAAAAAAAAAAAAAAAAAAATTACTTTATCAGTTCATTTTTAAAAGTGACAAACTCATTACATGCTAACAATTTATTTTTATGAAAAGTTGACATGTTTTCCAAAACAACAAATGAGTTAAAGACTCACATTGTTTTCATTTTTACAAATCTTTTAATATCTGACCTGATAAAACACTGGCGAAGTGCCTAATTTGCTTCTGTGTTTAATCTGTTTTAACATGTCGTTTTGGTTGAAGTATATGAAGAAAATTTGGCCTCACATGTATATGTAATTAGAAAAGTGAGGAGCAGTTTCATAGCCTTTAAAAATAATTGCCTATGTTCGTTGACACTGTACCAAAACTCGGCAAGGAGTGGTTTCTTAAAAGTTAGTTTGAATGTGGAATCTAAAAATATATCAGTAAAATATTCGTTTACAGTAAAATTCTTTGGTCTACTTTGCATCTTGAATGAATCTTTTACTCATGCATGATTTTGTAACATCATTCGACGGTCACTTTGAAACCATTAATTCACAAGTTAAGCAGATCTTTATTACACAGTATCAAAAACATCACATTTGTTCATATCGCCATGAATCTTATCAGAAAAGTCTAAGTATTGGGTAGCTATTACATTCAAGGCAAGGGATACAAGTTTTTCAAAATTCTAATATTTACTTGAAATTTCAAATTTTACAATGAGTAACAGATATCATCCGTTGTTTTCCTTGAAGTAACAGCTCACTTTAACTTCAGAAAAAATGTTCTGCCAAATACCCAAGTCAAAAAAACCATAAATCCCAATAGTTTCTCTTTCATGTAAAACGATCTCACAACTCAAACAATTGCAAAAGCACTTTTCCTTGAGACGACCATTGTCTTATGCCATGCAGAAAAAAGTGCTTTATGCATACTTCCCATTTCTTCACACAGAATATTAATCTCATAAGATTAATACTATTATAGTTTTTACAAAGGATATTCTCAGGTGAAACTGGTAATTTTTTCTTTTCATTCTGAGTGTATGGTGTGAAAAAAAAATCAAGGACCAATAGTACAAGCAGGAACCATTGCCTTGATTTGTACCAAGCCACCAGCAGTTTTACCCACAACTGCTCTAGCATCATCAGTGCAACCGTAAACACACTTGTTTCAGGATAGAACCTGAAAGTCAAAAATATTATTCTATTTTAATATTTATCACCATTGTGTTTATTGCACAGCATTCAAATGAAAGAAGATATACTTTGCTGATTAGTCCATGCTCATACCAGATGAACATAAGCAAAACAGGAAGCCCAGTTACATCTGTAGATTTGTTCATTTGTAAGGCAAAAGTACACTTCTGAAGATAAGATATTAACTCAGTCTTAATGTTTGCAACTAAATATTTAAGACAATGAGTGACTATGTGTTTGGAAAGTGGCAGCACCATGATTGTTTTTACTGACTTTTCATTGAGCAGGTATTTGGCAAAGTGAAATGTAAAAAATTGTGTGTACTTCTCCAGACAATAAAACACAAGGAACTTCCCTATAAAATCCTTTAGTGGCTTTTCCATTTATGTTTTAAAAGTCTGTAATAAGCAATTTTTGACTTTTAAATAGTTTATCATGTCTATGTTAAAATATACAATGCCTTATTTATTTTTAACTTTATGTTTATTGTATATATTTAAGGTGTACAATATAATGTTTTGATATACATATACATGGTGAAAAGATTACTACAGTCAAGCCAATTAGCATATCTGTCTTCTCACATAGCGTAACCTTTGTCTGAGAGTGCGTGTGTGTAGGTGTAGTAAGAGCACCTAAAATGTAATCTCTTTTCAGATTTCTTAGACACAGTACAAAATAATATTAACTATAGCCCTGGTGATGTAAATTAGACCTTATCCATCATAAATGACTACAACATACTTCTTTATAAAAATTTTAAATTATTGGTTTCAAAATCATGCTCCAACTTAGCAGACTCCATAACACTATTCAAAATGTTTTGCATATGAAAAACTAAGATAATTTATTGCCACATATAAGACTGAAGAAAATAAATTTTCATCATATATTTTGTCTTATTAGTTTTTCACCGTTTCTTTGGAGTAGATTATTCTCTTCCCTAAAACAGGCAAT
Source organism: Homo sapiens (assembly GCF_000001405.40). Classification (NCBI taxonomy): domain Eukaryota; kingdom Metazoa; phylum Chordata; class Mammalia; order Primates; family Hominidae; genus Homo; species Homo sapiens. The sequence goes on from NC_000023.11 coordinate 141,434,747, forward strand.
TATCTAGAATGTCAGCTTAATATTTTTTTCAGCATCTTTATGTGTACATATTACATTGTAAGCTGAGAAAGGAATTCTAGTCTTTCTTTTTAAGGCAAGAGTGTATCTTTAAATATAAGAAATTATAAATATATTTTGTTTTAGTAAACCATATGGTTTAAGTTATAAAGTAACAACTTTAGACAAAATTTAAAAAGTAATTAAAAAAAAATTTTAATATATTGCCAAAAAAACCCAATAATATATATCCATTTCCAGTTGTGTTTCTCCTTAGGCCCAAGAGAAATGAAAATTTTTTAAAAATTTAATTTAATGCACGATTCTGAAATTACAGAGATTAGAGCACGTATAACCCAAAGATATGTAGTAATAGAAAAGAAGCATCAAGAACAAATGGAATTTATCTCTGAAGTGCATATTTACATCTTAAACATACTACATTCTAAAGTTCTAGAAAACAGAATACACAAGCACACATTCCAGTAGCCTTAAGGGCACTGATGTTATTACAGGTCATGTAGCCTCTGGAGCATTCTCTGTAAACTCATGACAAAATTAATGGAAAAAGCAAAGACTATTTTAGAATTTTGATGAAAATAATTGTTGTTTTGTGGGTCTTGTTAAAGGATCTTGGGGACCCCATACCAATGTTCTTTGGACACACTTTGTGATCTTCTGGCATAGGCAGTGTTTTAACAAAATGAAACTATATTCATCATTAACATACAGTTCAAATGAAGTCAAGTCATCTTCTTCTGAAAATTTAAAGGGCCAGTCCTAAAATAGGCTTATGTCAATTCCATACAAATTCCATTGGCCAGAGTCCAGTCATGTAACTGTAACCTAACTGAAAGGGAATCTAGAAAATACAATGTTTCCCATGAATTTATGGTGAACAATAAAAATACATGCAATAGAACATTCAACCATAAACTCCTTATGTACCAACTTTTCCCAAGGAGCTGCCCAATAACCCACACTGGATTTTAAAGACCTTGAATTCTAAAACTATGTTTTATTCGATATTATACCTAGGGTCCTTGGTACATGGTACAATGTGGGGTACAGATGGCTGAATAAAACATAGCAGGTAATGTGACTAAACAAAGTCTCTACATCAAGAATACCATCATCTAAAAAAGAGAAACTGAAAGTTCTCATTTTCTATTTCTCCTTGATCACTATTGACAGTAATAGCTTATATTTATTAGGGAACAGTACAATGTGAAATTTCCTGAAGCGTTTATCTAAAGTTATCATGACTATCATGTCATCAATATGTAACATCTCCTGAAATCTGTTATAATTGACTATTATTGGGGCACAATATAGTAGCATCATTGATGATTAGCTTCAAATTCAGCTCTTGACAGGTCAAGTTTTGCAAAAAAGAAAAAAACAATATTTCACAGGCTTGATTTGTTGCCACTCCAGATTAAAAAAAAATGACTTACGTTCTTTATTTACAAGACACTTCTGCACAGAGTTGTACCCCAACTTTGGTGTTTACTACTGTGTTCTGCCAAAACAGAATCCTGTGTTTCTAAGTCTGTGAGGTCAAAAAATACATAATTAAGAGAACTCCTACAATTCTGCTTTATCCTAAATAACGATGATTGATGATTAATTGGAAATATTGAATTCACATGCCCTACCAATTCCATAAGATGATAGTCCTTCTCTAGAATATTTCCAACCTGAGTAAGGAGTTAGTCCCTCTTGGATAATAGGAACTATAATATGTGAAATTTGGGGTCTGAGATCCCAAATTTGAGATACTATGCTCTCCACTATATAAATAAAGCAAGCCAGTATAAGGTAGAAAACGATAACCAGATGTAGAGAGAAAATCAAATGACCGCCAGAACAAAACTTCTGCTGCCAGTTGTTCTGAAGCCTTGTTGCTACCATGTTTAATTAATATATGCTTTTATTAGCTCTCAGAAATTCCTCTATTTTCTTTCAATGTAGTATATTTACAGCCTAAACTAATTCAAGTTGCTTCTTTGCCATCTATAAACCAAAAAGTTTTAATTAATATATCAGTATTTTAAGTACAATTTTCAGTAATGAACTCAATAGAATCTATTCACTAAAGCAAATTGAACATTTATTAACTCAGATAAAAAAGGTCACATGAATAAATTTGAAAGGCTTATAGGAGGTAAATCAGAATGAAGTGCTACCATTTGATATTTCTCTTATATTTTCTTATATTTAAGAAGAAGTTCTTAATTCTTCTGTAAAAGTTATCTAAAGCTTAAATTTTAATGCATCTATTTTTCTCAAACTCCCTTGGAGGAATAGAGTGTGTTATTTGAGAGTAAAAACATAGGAGAACTTGAGGAGAACATTTAACAGCCTATTTCTCACATTTTGTTCAAAATGTTACCCATTTATATACCTTGTCAACTTTAAGTAATCAAAAAGATCAGAATCCAGTTCTAAAGAGTTTATTCGATTGAAAACCTAGAAATGACCATTTGGTACACACAGACCCCAGAGAAAAGGGATCAGTTCTCCAAAATTAAAAGTTGAGTTCTTGCTTATATTGGCAGAAAACAAAGAAATTTAATAAGACTGAAACACTTTCTGTAAAAGGCTGGTTTAAGAATTACAAAAAGTAACAGTTTGCTTTCTTCCCATAAGGCTTGTTTTCTTTTCATTACGGCTGGTTTTCATTTCCTTTCCAATTTAAAACAGTGTATTTAACATTTCATCTGAAGACAGTGTGGTAGTCATGAAGCCCTGTGTGAGAAAGATAAGAGGGAAGTTAATCTATAATGAAAATTAAGTGAAGAGGGATAGGGTCTTTCCTGGCATTCTTAAGTCATTTACAACATTTTACAAAACAATGCAGGTAAGGAAGAAGATTTAATCTATAATCACAGAAAGAAAGGTGACAACTGTCTAGGTTATAGCTGCTTGTCACATGACTCAGACCCCATAATCACGTACCTTTAAGGCTCAAAATAATTTAGAGTTCCAACACCTTAGGTTTTGAATTACTTGTTTTCAGAATCTTTTGAAAGTGTCTCTGCCAAATTCCCACTAAAATACTAAGGGAGACATAGAAGAGAAACTAAAAATAAACAATCATAAGAAACCCCATGTAATTATTTATTTATTTATTTAGAGACAAGGCCTCACTCTGTCTGTCTCCTAGGCTGGAGTGCAGTGGCACAATCATGGCTCACCGCAGCCTCCACCTCCTGGGCTCAAGCAATCCTCCCACCTCAGCCTCCCAAGTAGCTTGGGACCACAGGTGTACACCACCATGCCAGGCTATTTTTAAAGTTACTTTGTAGAGATATGGTCTCACTATGTTGCTCAGGTTGGTTTTGAACTCCTGGGCTCAAGTGTTTCTCCCACCTCAGCCTCCCAAAGTGCTGGGATTGTAGGCATGAGCCACAATGCTTGCAACTCTTTTTTAAAAAAACTTTTTATTTCCATAGGTTTTTGGGGAACAAGTGGTATTTGGTTACATGAGTAAGTTCTTTAGTGGTGATTTGTGAGATTTTGGTGCACCCATCACCCGAGCCATATACACTGAACCCAATTTGTGGTCTTTTATCCCTCAGCCTCCTCCCCATACTTTCCCTAGTCCCCAAAGTCCATTGTATTATTCTTATGCCTTTGCATCCTCATAGCTTAGCTCCTACTTATGAGTGTGAACATACGATGTTTACTTTTCCATTCCTGAGTTACTTCGCTTAGAATAATAGCCTGCAATCCCATCCAGGTTACTGTGAATGCCATTAATTCTTTCCTTTTTATGGCCGAGTAGTATTCTATCACATATATATACAGAAGAGTTTCTTTTCCACTCGTTGATTGATGGGCTTTTGGGTTGGTTCCACATTTTTGCAATTGTGAATTGTGCTGCTATAAACATGCATGTGCAAATATCTTTTTTGTATAATGACTTCTTTTCCTCAGGGGAGATACACAGTAGTGGTATTGCTGGATGAAATGGTAGTTCTACTTTTAGTTCTTTAAGGAATCTCCACACTGTTTTTCATAGTGGTTGTACTAGTTTACATTCCTGCCAGCAGTGTAGAAGTGTTCCCTGTTCACCACATTCATGCCAACATCTAATTTTTTAAAAAATTTTTCGATTATGGCCATTCTTGTGAGCATAAGATGGTATCACATTGTGGTTTTGATTTGCATTTCCCTGATCATTAGTGATGTTGAGCATTTTTTCATATGTTTGTTGACCATTTGTATGCCTTTTTTTGAGAATTGTCTATTCATGTCCTTAGCCCATTTTTTTGATTGGATTGTTTTTTTCTTGCAAATTTGTTTGAGTTTATTGTAGATTCTGGATGTTAGTCCTTTGTCTGATGTATAGATTGTGAAGATTTTCTCCCATTCTGTGGGCTGTCTATTTTTCTCTGCTGACTGTTCCTTTTGCAATAGCTCTTTAGTTTAAGTCCCACCTATTTATCCTTGTTTTTGTTGCATTTGCTTTTGAGTTCTTGATCATAAAATCTTTGCCTAAGCCAATGTCTAGAAGGGTTTTTCTGATGTAATCTTCTAAAATTTTTATAGTTTCAGGTCTTAGATTAAAGTCCTTGATCCATCTTGAGTTGATTTTTGTATAAGGTGAGAGATGAGGATCCAGTTTCATTCTCCTATATGTGGCTAGCCAATTATCCCAGCACTGTTTGTTGAATAGGATGCCCTTTCCCCATTTTATGTTTTGATTTGTTTTGTCAAAGATCAGTTGACTGTAAGTATTTGGGTTTATTTCTGGGTTCTCTGTTCTGTTCTGTTGGTGTACATGCCTATTGTTATAACAGTACCATGCTGTTTTAGTGGCTATGGCCTTATAGTATAGTTTGAAATCAGGTAGTGTGATGCCTCCAGATTTGTTCTTTTTGCTTAGTCTTGCTGTGGCTATGTGGGCTCTTATTTTTGGTTCCATATGAATTTTGGGATTGTTTTTTCTAGTTCTGTGAAGAATGATTGTGGTGTTTTGATGGGAATTGCATTGCAATTCATAATAAGTACAAGGTCATTGCTTTTGAAAGAAAAAGCCCAATTAGTGATTTATAGATGCTTTCCTCCTGAAATAAGACAGCTCAGATGGTTGATGGCAAGAGAAAGTTGCTTCTGGCCTGTGTTTGGTAAACACTAGTTCTGATGGGATTACTTCTTATTCCAAGGGAAACAAAATAGAGACTTATGAAAAACCGTTGAAGAAAAGAAAAGAAATAATGACTCAGAGGAATATTATGCTACTGAATATTATCTACTACAGGATCCAAAGAAAGTTTTAGAGAATTATTTGGCAACTTTCATAAATGACAGGACAATATGTCCCCTGTGAAACACAAGAGAAGAAAATGCAATGAAACATTTATATATGTGTGTGTATGAGTGTGTGTGTGTGTGTGTGTGTGTGTGTATATATATATATATATATATATATATATATATATATATATATGTATATCAGCAAAAATCAATTTGGAAGTTAATGAAAAATATAGTTGGTTTGCAACAATAATAAACCTATAAAATGCTTACAAATACACAAGAAATGTGTAGGATATATATGAGGTGAACTACAAAACTTTATGGAAGAAAACAAAAGACATTCTGCAAAATTAGTGATATGCATCGTGCTCCTGGATGGAAAGATTCAGTATTGTAAATCTGTTTAATCCCTTTCACATTAATCTGTAAGTTTAAAGAAGTGGAACTTTTTGAAGTTTATTAGGCAGAATAAATGCCCAACATTTATATATAATTTTTAAAGTGATGTAACAGAGTTTAAGGAATTCAACTAGACATTAAAAATTTATTTTAATAGACAAATTTAAACAGTGTGACACTGCTGCAAGTTGAAGAGACATATCAACAGTAGTGAAAGTAATATATATTTTTGCCTTTATATTTTTTAAAGTTTATAAAATTAGCATGCATTATTTCTGTGTAAGTAACAAAAAATGAACATTATTAGTTTTAAATAATTGTTCATTCTCTCTCATCAAGAAATTCTTTCTCTGGGCTCTATTCCATTACTACGGGGAGATACACACACACACACACACACACACACACACACGGGGATGGATGTATGTGTGTGTGTGTGTGTGTGTGTGTGTGTGTGTGTGTATAGAGATATATATATTCCCGTATAATTCATGATTAGTCCTCCTTCATACCCGTTTTCCTGGTATCATTATTAATAATGCCCCATTGGCCAGGTGCAGTGGCTCACGGCTGTAATCCCAGCAGCTTTGGGAGGCTGAGGTGGGTGGATCATGAGGTCAAGAGATCGAGACCATCCTGGCCAACATGGTGAAACCTCATTTATACTAAAAATCCAAAAATTAACTGGGCGTGGTGGTGCGTGCCTGTAGTCCCAGCTACTCGGGAGGCTGAGACAGGAGAATCGCTTGAACCCGGGAGGCAAAGGTTGCAGTGAGTCGAGATTACGCCACTGCTCTCTAGCCTGGCGACAGAGCGAGATTCCATCTAAAAAAAAAAAAAAAAAGCCCCATTATACTCCCCTATGCTTCCCAGCTTGCACAACGAAGTATATGGTTGATCACTCTATTTATAAAAGCACCATCATCCATACTTCACATTTAGGCATCAGTATATTTTAAGGATGATATTTCTTCAATATGGCTCCCTATTAGACAAACAATTAGCATATAAAGACCGCATTAACATTCAAATTAAGATTTATCTGCTACAAAATATATGATATACCACTTCTGCAAACAATTATAAAGCTATTTCTTTATTATTTTCTTTAATTTTTGTGGGTACCTTGCAGGCATATACATTTATGAGGTACATGAGTTGTTTTGATACAGACATGAAATGTGAAATAATCACATCTTGGTGAATGGGGTTTCCATCCCCTCAAGCATTTATCCTTTGAGTTACAAACAACGCAATTATACTCTTTTAGTTATTTTCAAATATACAATTAAGTTATTATTGGCTACAGTCACCCTGTTGTGCTATGAAATACCTTTTAAACGCTGACAGGAGTAAAATTTCAATAGAAGACTGTGATACCGTGATAGTGTTTAAGAGGAGGACAAGTATAAGAGAAACATTTTAGATTTTCAAAGCTATAGTGGAGGATAACTGAATCCAGGATAAAACAAGGTCTAACTTATATAAAAGTCAATGCAATCTCATGATTACAGATGCTTTTCTGAGGCCTTATGGGCCATGTTATGCTGCCTCATAGTTCCCTAAGGTGAACAGAAGTGATAAAGATCTCTTTGCAAGTTAGTAATTGTTCCCATTCCAGGGTGGTAACCACAAATAAATCTATTTTTCAATTGTATCCAATTATTTTCACCTTCACAGTAACCTTGATGCACTGCTGCCTCTGTTATATCTTAAATGCAGCCAACTATTATTTTAGCTGATTTCAGCTTTCACTGACACTTCAAAAGCTTGTGTGCCATTGCTATCCTTGGGAGTTTTACTAATGGAAAAGGTGATTAGGAAGAATAAAAGCATAATGATAAAATTACTCTTTCTCCCAAATCTCTTTCTTTAGTGTCCCTTTGCTACCCAACATTGGTTACCCTCATGCTAATTTAAAAACAACAAAAAGAAGGCTCTTATATAAAACTAAATTACAGAACATCTTTCAAAATCAGTACCTGTGATGAGTCAGACATCAGGTTAATAAAACTCATTTTTCCTAAGGGCTTTATAAAATTGAGGGTTATTATTTTCTTCCATCATTTTCATTTACCTGGCTAGAAACAACTCAAAATGCTCAAGGTCAGTAGCTAGTGGACTGCACTGTGCGAATGACTATGAAGTAATTATGACAGCACCCTAGAGTATCCTATTATTTAACAAACAAAAGTAGAACATGCAACACTCCACATAAATACTGGTCCCTCTTCACTAAAGGGCTTTAGTTTGAGTCCCATTGCTTCCTGTCAGTTCAGGATTATGGTCTGTGAAATAGAAAATCAGTTACTGAATTTGAATGTGCTAGCTACCTGCTGCTCTTGCCTGAGTGTTGGTTGCTACAGGAAGAAGGAAAGTGTGTTTGGTAATTCCTTTGTGTTTCTCCTTGAAGTTTTTCCATAGACTCTGGGGAGAGGAATACATATCAATACAGATTCTATTCAAACATATCTATCTTTACAAGTGACTTTTTGTGTACTACTTTAATTAAGTTAATCATACAGGTATATTTAAAGAATATAACAATAGCTTGCCATTCTACGGTTACTCTTTATCACCTTATAAATTTAGCACAACCCCCCCACCAGCCTGATATTTAATAAACGTTCACATAAAAAATCGGCCAGGCACGTGGCTCATGCCTGTAATCCCAGCACTTTGGGAGGCCGAGGCGGGTGGACCACGAGGTCAGGCGTTCGAAACCAGCCTGGCCAACACAGTGAAACCCCATCTCTACTAAAAATACAAAAAATTAGCCAGGCATGGTGGCAAGCGCCTGTAATCCCAGCTACTTGGGAGGCAGAGGCAGGAGAATTGCTTGAACCCAGGAGGCGGAGGTTGCAGTGAGCCGAGATCGCGCCATTACACTCCAGCCTGGGCAACAAGAGCAAGACTCTGAATCCAAAAAAAAAAAAAAAAAAAAAAAAAAATTAACTATATACTCCCAGTTTATTACAACTGTCCATTCAAACCGAACACTTCATCCAAATAAAGCTATCTGGAGGATTTCTGTAATGACACACTAAGACCCTACCAGATGGAAGTCACTTGCAGAAAATAATTATAAAATGTAAACCTAATATAAAAACCAAATACTTGCAGGTACTGGATTGTCAATGGAAGCAAAAGACTCTGGTAGGAGCGCATACTCAGAAGAGGGCAGGTAGGTAGTTCCATGAAGAAGTTTCTGCATTGGTGGATTGTATCCTAGGATCAATTGCAGTTGATTGTGTGGTACATAAATTGGTGGGAATATAAAGAATATAATTAATGATAAGTGCCATAGTCCATGCAAATCACTATTATTTTGGCTTCCTTTCCTCTTTGTTTGTTAGCAATATGTGTGACTATTTAAAGGTAAATGTATAATATTGCTTTGTAGTGTTATAATGTAAGTACATTTAATAGATATAACAACAACTGTAGAATAATAGAAGAAATGGGGCATATGATCCTAGACTGTTGCAAGGTTTGTACATTTTATGTGAAGTAATGTGGTATTAACTGAAAATTAACTATAAAAAGTAAAGGATGTATATAAGAATCTCTACAGGAGAATTTTCAGAACTGCAAAGTATAGCTAAAATCTCAATAAGAAAAATAAAATACAATTCTGAAAATAAAATAAAAAATCTTATTAAAAGGCAGGAAAAAAGTAACAGGGACGTAAAACAAAATAAATAAATAAATAAATAAATAAATAAATAAAAGCCAATAGTTAAAAGGTAAACTGAAACCTACTGTTTTAGTTTGCTAGGGCTGCCATAACAAAGTACCATGAACAAGATGCCTTAAACAACAAAAATTTATTTTCTCACAATTCCGGAGTCTAAAAGTCTGAGATCAAAGAGTCAGCAGGATTGGTTTCTTCTGAGGTCTCTTTCCTTGGCTGGACGATTGTGGTCTCCTTCCTATGTCTTCACATGGTCTTTCTTCTGTAAGTGTCTGTATCCTAATTTTCTCCTTTCTTTTTTTTTTTTTTTAGACAGTCTTGCTCTGTCGCCCAGACTGGAGTGCAGTGGCACGATCTCGGCTCACTGCAACCTCCGTTTCCCTGGTTCAAGCAATTCTCCTACCTTGGCCTCCTCAGTAGCTGGGATTACAGGCCTGTGCCACCACACCCGGCTTATTTTTGTATTTTCAATGGAGACAGGGTTTTGTCACGTTGGCCAGGCTGGTCTCAAACTCCTGACCTCAGGTGATCCGCCCACCTCAGCCTCCCACAGTGCTGGGATTACAGGCGTGAGCCACCATGCCTGGCCTAATTTCCTCTTCTTAAAAGGACATCAGACATATTGCATTAGGACCCATCCTAATGAACTCATTTTATTTTAATTACCTTTTTAAAGACCCTATCTGAAAATACATTCGCATTCTGAAGTACTGTGGTTCAACATAGAAATTCTGAATAACACTATCAACCACAACAGCTTAATTGATATTTACAGAACACTGCACCTAACAATGGTAGAACAGCACATTCTTTTCAGTGGCATATGTTATATTAAGATCATATGTTCAGTGATAAAACAAGTCTAAATAATTTTAGAAAGATTTAAATAACACAGTCTTTTCTCTTACCACAAATAAATCACACTAGAAATCAATAATATAACTAGACAAACACTAAATACTGGTTAAATTAATAATGAGCAAAAGCAATACAAGAGACAAGAAATACCAAGGTGATTTAGGCACTATTTTGAAAGGAATAACAAAAAAAATTGTTGGTATATATCTAAAGCAATACTTTACAGGGAAATTATGGATTTGAATTATTATGTTAAGAATAGGAAAGATCTAATATAAGTGATATGAATTTGCATCACAAAAGAATAAGCAAAAAATGAGTAAATCAAAGCCAAAGGAAAAAGTAGAAGGAGATAATAGAGGTAATAAAATAAATGAAGTATTAATTGGAAAAATAATAGAGAAAAAAATCGATGTCACTGTAGTCTGGTTCTTTGAAAATAATAATTTTGGTAAGTCTCTTACTAGATTGAAAAAGATAAAAAAAAGAAAATGTAAATTACCATTATCAGGTCCAAAAGAGTGTCCTATATTATTAAAAAGCTAACAAAAAATGCTGTGAATAATTTTATGCCAATGAAATTGAAAAATTAGATGAAATTGACAAATTTCTTAGAAAGCACTAATTATTAAAAATGACGCTAGACAGGCTGGGCGCAGTGGCTCACGCCTGTAATCCCAGCACTTTGGTAGGCCGAGGTGGGTGGATCACGAGGTCAGGAGTTCAAGACTAGCCTGGCCAAGATGGTGAAACCCCATCTCTACTAAAAATATAAAAATTAGCCGTGGTGACACGCGCCTGTAATCTCAGCTACTCAGGAGGCTAAGGCAGGAGAATGGCTTGAACCCAGGAGGTGGAGGTTGCAGTGAGTCGAGATCGCACCACTGCACTCCAGCCTGGGCGACAGAGTGAGACTCCATCTCAAAAAAAAAACAAAAAAGAAAACACCCTAGACAAAACAGTAAACTTGGTAAATCCTAAATCAATTAGAGAAATTAAACTCATATCTTTTAATGCTAAATAACTTTATTAGAAAGTTAATTAGACAGAGAGAAATGAACAGTATTTTTACCAGTAAACAGAAGATACATATTGTATTACAATACTAGGGGGGATACATTAATAGCAAGGTGTAGGGCCCAACAAAGTCATTAATTTCATGAGAGCAGAAATTCAACAAATTATATATATATAAATTTTAAACTTTTATTTCCTTTCAGGGGGTACATGTGCAGATTTGTTATGTAGGTAAATTGCATGTCACTGGGGTTTGATTATTTCATCACACAGGTGATAAGCATAGTGCCAATAGGTAGTTTTTCGATCCTCACCCTCCTTCCATCCTCTACCCTCAAGTAGGCCCCATTATGTGTTGTTCCCCTCTATGTGTCCGTGTGTACTCAATACTTAACTCTCACTTATAAGTGAACACATGCAGTATTTGGTCTTCTGTTCCTGTGTTCATTTGCTTTGGATAATGACCTCCAGCTCCATCCATGTTGCTGAGAAGGACAGAATCTTGTTCCTTCTTATGGCTGCATAGTATTCCATGATATGTACCATATTTTCTTTATCCAGTCTACCGTTGATGGGCATTTAGGTGGATTCCATGTCTATGCTTTTGTGACTATTACTACGATGAACATACACATGCATGTCTCTTTATGGTAGAATAATTTATATTCTTTGGGTATTTACCCAATGATGACATTTTTGGGTTGAATGGTAGTTATCTAAAGTTCTTTGAGAAACTGCCAAATCACCATCCACAGTGGCTGAAGTAATTTACATTCTCACCAGTAGTGTATAAGCATAGCCCTTTCTTTGAAAACTCACAAGCATCTGTTGTTTTGAACTTTTTAATAATAACCATTCTGGCTGGAGTGAGATGGTTTTGATTCCCATTTATCCAATAATGAGTGAGGTTGAATATTTTTGTTATTTTTTTTCATTTGCTTGTTGGCTGCATGTATGTTTTCTTTTGAGAAGTGTCTGTTCATGTCTTTTGCCTACTTTTCAATGGGGTTGTTTTATTTTTTGCTTAAATATTTAAGTTCATTATAAATTCTGGAAATTAGACATTTGGCAGATGCAAAGGTTGCAAATAGTTTCTCCCATTCTGTAGGTTGTCTGTTTACTCGTTTGATAGTTTCTTTTGCTGTGCAGGAACTCTTTAGTTTAATTAGATTCCACTTGTCAATTTTTGCTTTTGTTGCAATTGCTTTTGGCATCTTTGTCATGAAATATTTTCCAAGGCTTATGTGTAGAATGGTATTTCGTAGATTTTCTAAAAGGGTTTTTATAGTTTTAGGTTTTACGTTTGTTAAGGCAAACTAAATATGTCCTGAAAAGGATTCTGAACTTCTATATTTGAGTCCTTGTGGATGAACTTTAACCTTGTGGACAGTCAGACAAAATAGAAAACCTAACTTAATAGTATACACCTGTATCAATAGCTGAGTGTTGGCCAATCCCAGAGGCCATACTTCAACTACTTATAGGCTGCTGAATGTTCAAACTGCGTTCAAATAAGGCAAAGGCCAAGCTGTAACCAATTTTGCTGTTTCTGTACCACATTTCTGATTCCTGTACGTCACTTTACCTTTTCTGTCTATGTATTTGTTCTGACCACAAGGCACTCCTGGAGTCTCTGTGAAACTACTGTGATTTTGGTGGCTGCACGATTCGCGAATCCATCACTGCTCAATTAAATTCTTTTAAATTTAATTTCGCTGAAGTTTTTATTTTAACACATTTAAACCTTTCTTTAAACCTTTCATCCATGTTCAGTTGATTTTTGTATATGGCCTAAGAAAGGGATCCAGTTTCAATCTTCTGCATATGGCTAGGCAGCTCCCCTAACATCATTTATTGAATAGAGAGTCTTTTCCCCATTGCTTGTTTTTGTCAGCTTTGTCAAAGATCAGATGATCGTAGGTATGCGGCCTTATTTCTATGCTGTCTATTCTGTTCTATATGTCTATGTGTCTGATTTTGTCCCAGTACCATGCTGTTTTGTTTACTGTATCCTGGTAATATAGTTTGCAGTCAGGTAATGTGATGCCACTAGCTTTGTTCTTTTTGTTTAGGATTGCTTTGAATATTTGGGTTCTTTTTTGTTCCATATAAAATTTTGAATAGCTTTTCCTAATTCTGTGAAGAATGTCATTGGTAGTTAGACAGGAATAACATTGAATCTTTAAACTGCTTTGTGCAGTGTGGTGGCCATTTCCTTTACCTGAACATGGAATGTTTTTCCATTTGTTTGTGTTATCCATGATTTATTTTAGCAGTGTTTTATATTTCTCATAGAGATCTTCCACTTCCCTGGTTACCTGTATTCCTAGGTATTACATTCCTTTTGTGATTATTGTGAATGGAATTGCATTATTGATTGGCACTAAGCTTGGACATTGCTGATATATAGAAATAGTATTGGTTTTTGTTCCAAGATGGCGAATAGGAACAGCTCCAGTCTACAGCTCCCAGTGTGAGCGACGCGGAAGACGGGTGATTTCTGCATTTCCAGCTGAGCTTTGAAGAGAGCAGTGGTTCTCCCAGCATGGAGTTTGAGATCTGAGAACAGACAGACTGCCTCCTCAAGTGGGTCCCTGACCCCCGAGTAGCCTAACCGGGAGACACCTCCCAGTAGGAGCCAACTGACACCTTATACAGCCGGGTGCCCCTCTGAGGTGAAGCTTCCAGAGGAAGGATCGGGCAGCAACATTTGCTGTTCTGCAATATTTGTTGTTCTGCAGCCTCCGCCAGTGATACCCAGGCAAACAGGGTCTGGAGTGGACCACCAGCAAACTCCAACAGACCTGCAGCTGAGGGTCCTGACTGTTAGAAGGAAAACCAACAAATGGAAAGGAATAGCATCAACATCAACAAAAAGGACATCCACACCAAAACCCCATCTGTAGGTCACCATCATCAAAGACCAAAGTTAGATAAAACCACAAAGATGGGGAGAAACCGAGCAGAAAAGCTGAAAGTTCTAAAAACCAGAGCACTTCTTCTCCTCCAAAGGATCGCAACTCCTCACTACTAATGGAACAAAGCTGGATGGAGAATGACTTTGAAGAGTTGACAGAAGTAGGCTTCAGAAGATCAGTAATAACAAACTTCTCTGAGCTAAAGGAGGATATTCGAACCCATCGCAGGGAAGCTAAAAACCTTGAAAATAGATTAGAAGAATTGCTAACTAGAATAAACAGCATAGAGAAGACCTTAAATGACCTGATGGAGCTGAAAACCATGGCACGAGAACTACGTGACGCACGCACAAGCTTCAGTAGCTGATTCAATCAACTGGAAGAAAGGATATCAATGATTGAAGATCAAATGAATGAAATGAAGTCAGAAGAGAAGTTTAGAGAAAAAAAGAGTAAAAAGAAACGAACAAAGCCTCCAAGAAATATGGGACTATGTGAAAAGACCAAATCTGCATTTGATTGTTGTACCTGAAAGTGACAGGGAGAATGGAACCAAGTTGGAAAACACTCTTCAGGATATTATCCAGGAGAACTTCCCCAACCTAGCAAGGCAGGCCAAAAATCAAATTCAGTAAATACAGAGAACACCACAAAGATACTCCTCGAGAAGAGCAACCCCAAGATACATAATTGTGAGATTCACCGAGGTTGAAATGAAGGAAAAAATGTTAAGGGCAGCAAGAGAGAAAGGTGAGGTTACCCACAAAGGGAAGCCCATCAGACTAACAGCATGAACAGTGGATCTCTTGGCAGAAACTCTACAAGCCAGAAGAGAGTGGGGGCTAATAGTCAACATCCTTAAAGAAAAGAATTTTCAATCCAGAATTTCATATCCAGCCAAACTAAGCTTCATAGGTGAAGGAGAAATGAAATCCTTTGCAGACAAGCAAATGCTGAGAGATTGTGTTACCACCAGGCCTGCCTTACAAGAGCTCCTGAAGGAAGCACTAAACATGGAAAGGAACAACCGGTACCAGCCACTGCAAAAACATGCCAAATTGTAAAGACCATCGATGCTAGGAAGAAACTGCATCAACTAACGAGCAAAATAACCAGCTAACATCATAATGACGGACCAAATTCACACATAACAATATTAACCTTAAATGTAAATGGGCTAAATGCCGCAATTAAAAGACACAGACTGGCAAATTGGATAAAGAATCAAGACCCATCAGTGTGCTGTATTCAGGAGACCCATCTCACATGCAGAGACACACATAGGCTCAAAATAAAGGGATGGAGGAAGATCTACCAAGCAAATGGAAAACAAAAAAAAAAAGCAGGGGTTGCAATCCTAGTTTCTGATAAAACAGACTTTAAACCAACAAAGATCAAAAGAGACAAAGAAGGCCATTACATAGTGGTAAAGGGATCAATTCAATAAGAGGAGCTAACTATCCTAAATGTATATGCACCCAATACAGGAGCACCCAGATTCATAAGGCAAGTCCTGAGTGACCTACAAAGAGACTTAGACTCCCACACAATAATAATGGGAGACTTTAACACTGCACTGTCAACATTAGACAGATCAATGAGACAGAAAGTCAACAAGGATACCCAGGAATTGAACTCAGCTCTGCACCAAGCAGACCTAATAGACATCTACAGAACTGTCCACCCCAAATCAACAGAAAGTACATTCTTCTCAGCACGACACCACACCTATTCCAAAATTGACCACATAGTTGGAAGTAAAACACTCCTCAGCAAATGTAAAAGAACAGAAATTATAAGAAACTGTCTCTCAGACCACAGTGCAATCAAACTAGAACTCAGGATTCAGAAACTCACTCAAAACCGCACAACTACATGGAAACTGAACAACCTGCTCCTGAATGACTACTGGGTAAATAACGAAATGAAGGCAGAAATAAAGATGTTCTTTGAAACCAATGAGAACAAAGATACAACATACCAGAATCTCTGGGACACATTTAAAGCAGTGTGTAGAGGGAAATTTATAGCACTAAATGCCCACAAGAGAAAGCAGGAAAGATCTAAAATGGACACCCTAACATCACAATTAAAAGAACTAGAGAAGCAAGAACAAACACATTCAAAAGCTAGCAGATGGCAAGAAATAACTAAGATCAGAGCAGAACTGAAGGAGACAGAGACACAAAAAACCCTTAAAAAAATCAATGAGTCCAGGAGCTGGTTTTTTGAAAAGATCAACACAATTGATAGACCACTAGCAAGACTAATAAAGAAGAAAAGAGAGAAGAATCAAATAGATGCAATAAAAAATGATAAAGGGGATATCACCACTGATCCCACAGAGATACGAACTACCATCAGATAATACTATAAACACCTCTATGCAAATAAATTAGAAAATCTAGAAGAAATGGATAAATTCCTTGACACATACACCTTACCAAGACTAAACCAGGAAGAAGCTGAATCACTGAATAGATGAATAACAGGCTCTGAAATTGAGGCAACAATTAATAGCCTACCAACCAAATAAAGTCCAGGACCAGAAGGATTCACAACTGAATTCTACCAGAGGTACAAAGAGGAACTTGTACCATTCCTTCTGAAACTATTCCAATCAATAGAAAAAGAGGGAATCCTCCCTAACTCATTTTACGAGGCCAGCATCATCCTGATACCAAAGCCTGGCAGAGACACAACAACAAAAAAAAGAATTTTAGACCAATATTCCTGAGGAACATAGATGCAAAAATCCTCAATAAAATACTGGCAAACCGAATCCAGCAGCACATCAAAAAGCTTATCCACTAAGATCAAGTGGGCTTCATCCCTGGGATGCAAGGCTGGTTAAACATATGCAAATCAATAAATGTAATCCAGCATATAAACAGAACCAAAGACAAAAACCACATGATTATCTCAATAGATGCAGAAAAGGCCTTTGACAAAATTCAGCAGCCCTTCAGGCTACAAACTCTCAATAAACTAGGTATTGATGGGACGTATCTCAAAATAATAAGAGCTATTTATGACAAACCCAGAGCCAATATCATACTAAATGGGCAAAAACTGGAAGCATTCCCTTTGAAAACTGGCACAAGACAGGGATGCCCTCTCTCACCATTCCTGTTCAACATAGTGCTGGAAGCTCTGGCCAGGGCAATCAGGCAGGAGAAAGAAATAAAGGTTATTCAATTAGGAAAAGAGGAAGTCAAATTGTCCCTGTTTGCAGATGACATGATTGTATATTTAGAAAACCCCATCATGTCAGCCCAAAATCTCCTTAAGCTGATAAGCAACTTCAGCAAAGTCTCAGGATACAAAATCAATGTGGAAAAATCACAAGCATCCCTATACACCAATAACAGACAAACAGAGAGCCAAATCATGAGTGAACTCCCATTCACAATTGCTTCAAAGAGAATAAAATACCTAGGAATCCAGCTTACAGGGGATGTGAAGGACCTCTTCAAGGAGAACTACAAACCACTGCTCAACGAAATAAAAGAGGACACAAATAAATAGAAGAACATTTCATGCTCATGGATAGGAAGAATCAATATCGTGAAAATGGCCATACTGCTCCAAGGTAATTTATAGACTCAATGCCATCCTCATCATGCTACCAATGACTTTCTTCACAGAATTGGAAAAAACTACTTTAAAGTTCATACAGAACCAAAAAAGAGCCCGCATTGGCAAGACAATCCTAAGCAAAAGAACAAAGCTGGAGGCACCACGCTACCTGACTTGAAACTATACTACAGGGCTACAGTAACCACAACAGCATGGTACTGGTACCAAAACAGAGATATAGACCAATGGAACAGAACAGAGCCCTCAGAAATAATACCACATATCTACAACCATCTGATCTTTGACAAACCTGACAAAAACAAGAAATGGGGAAAGGATTCCCTATTTAATAAATGGTGCTGGGAAAAATGGCTAGCCATATGTAGAAAGCTGAAACTGGATCCCTTCCTTACACCTTATACAAAAATTAATTCAAGATGGATTGAAGACTTAAATGTTAGACTTAAAACCATAAAAACCCTAGAAGAAAACCTAAGCAATACCATTGAGGACATAGGCATGGGCAAGGACTTCATGACTAAAACACCAAAAGCAATGGCAACAAAAGCCAAAATAGACAAATGAGATCTAATTAAACTAAAGAGCTTCTGCACAGCAAAAGAAACTACCATCAGAGTGAACAGGCAACCTACAGAACGGGTGAAAATTTTTGCAATCTACCCATCTGACAAAGGGCTAATATCCAGAATCTACAAAGAACTTAAACAAATTTACAAGAAAAAAATCAAACAACCCCATCGAAAAGTGGGCCAAGGATGTGAAGACACTTCTCAAAAGAAGACATTTATGCAGCCAACAGACACATGAAAAAATGCTCATCATCACTGGCCATCAGAGAAATGCAAATCAAAACACAATGAGATACCATCTCACACCAGTTAGAATGGCAATCATTAAAATGTCAGGAAACAACAGGTGCTGGAAAGGATGTGGAGAAATGGGAACACTTTTACACTGTTGATGGGAGTGTAAACTAGTTCAACCATTGTGGAAGAGAGTCTGGCGATTCCTCAAGGATCTAGAACTAGAAATACGATTTGACCCAGCCATCCCATTACTGGGTATATACCCAAAGGATTATAAATCATGCTACTATAAAGACACATGCACACGTATGTTTATTGCAGCACTATTCACAATAGCAAAGACTTGGAACCAACCCAAATGTCCATCAATGATAGACTGGATTAATAAAATGTGGTACATATACACCGTGGAATACTATGCAGCCGTAAAAAAGGATGAGTTCATGTCCTTTGTAGGGACATGGATAAAGCTGGAAACCATCATTCTCAGCAAACTATTGCAAGGACAGAAAACCAAACACAGCGTGTTCTTACTCATAGGCGGAAATTGAACAATGAGAACACTTGGACACAGGAAGGGGAACATCACACACTGGGGCCTGTTGTGCGGTGGGGGCAGTGGGGAGGGATAGCATTAGGAGAAATACCTAATGTAAATGAGGAGTTAATGGGTGAAGCACACCAACATGGCACATGGATACATATGTAACAAACCTGCACATTGTGCACATGTACCCTAGAACTTAAAGTATAGTTTAAAAAATAAATAAATAAATAAAAGTAGGCAAAAGACATGAGCAGACATTTTTGAAAAGAAGACATACAAATGACCAACAAACATATAAAAAATGCTTAACATCAGTAATCACCAGAGAAATGCAAATTAAAACCACCGTAAGACACCATCTCACACCAGTCAGAATGGCGATTATTAAAAAATGAAAAAACAACAGATGCTGGTGGGGATGTAGAGAAAAGGGAACACATGTACACTGTTGGTGAGAATGTAAATTAGTACAACTCCTATGGAAAACAGTATGGAGATTTCATAAAGAACTAAAAGTAGAACCACTATTCAACCCAGCAATCCCACTCACTACTGGGTATGTACCCCCCCACCGAAAAAAAAATCATTCTCCAAAAAGACGCATGCACCCCTATGTTTATTTCAGCACTATTCATACTATCAAAGTCATGGTATCAACCTAGGTGCCTGTCAACAGATAGCTGCATAAAAAATGTGGCACTTTGGGAGGCCGAGGCGGGCAGATCAGGAGGTCAGGAGATCGGGACCATCCTGGCTAACATGGTGAAACCCCGTCTGTACTAAGAATACAGAAAATTAGCCGGGCGTGGTGGCACGTGCCTGTAATCCCAGCTACTCTGGAAGCTTGGGCAGGAGAATGGCGTGAACCCTGGAGGCGGAGCTTGCAGTGAGGCGAGATCGCGCCACTGCACTCCAGCCTGGGCGACAGAGCGAGATTCTCAAAAAAAAAAAAAAAAAAAAAGTGGTACATGTACACCATGGAATACAATGTAGCCATAAAAATGAAGAAAAGCATGCCTTTCACAGCAACATGGATGGAGCTGGAGGCCACTATCATAAGTGAAATAACTCAGAAACAGAAAATCAAATTCTGCATATTCCGAGTTACAAGTGGAAGCTAAACAGTGTGTACGTGTGAACGTAAAGATAGAAGTAATAGACACATGGAGACTCCAAAGGGAGCGAGGGAAAAGGATGGAGATTGAAAATTACCTAGTGTGTACAATGTTTCCTATTCAGGTGATAGGTACACTGGAAGCCCAAATCTCACCATTACACAATATATCCATGTAACAAGCCTGCACATGTACCCCCTTAATGTATAAAAATAAAAAATTGCAGTGTACAAAATTAATAAAAATCAGATGGGGAAATGGGGTATGACTGATTAATGGGTATACGGTTTCCTTTTAGGGTGATGAATGTATTCTAGAACTAGACAGTGGTGATGGTTGCGCAATATTGTGATATACTAAATATCACTAAATTTCACATTTTAAGTTGGTTAAAAAGGTAAATTTTATGTTATGTGCATGCTACCAGGGTAAATAAAACCTATTCCTTCTGATCTTTATTGATAGATTTAAATACCAACTTGGAAACTTGTTAGCTGCATGATCTTAGGCAAGTTACTAGCCACTCTATGTCTCACTGTCCAAGACCACAAAATGGAGATAATACCAACCATGTAGGAATTTTCTAATGATTCCAAATAGTATATACGGATACAGTACTGACCTGAGCATTAACAGATACTCAGTACGTGGCAGTGCTGGTCGGGTATTGGTAATACTGATGGTTGTAATGGCATTTTATGACGTAATGTAATGGCATGGTACATCATGGTCTTTACTGGCAATTCTAAAGCCTAAAATCTAGCTTGGTCAACTAAAACAAAAACTAATTAAGCAGCATAATACCTTTCTCGATTTCCTGTGCAGAAAGTTTTACTTTTCTCAGTTTAACATGAGAGAAAGTTAAAATTCTGTGTATTCCCAAAAGACTACATGAAAATGTGATTATACATACATTATACGGTTTGTTATAGCTGTCTGCTTTTTTAATTGAGAGAAATGTACTTCACAGACAGCAAAATCAGTGAATAAATTGGATATATGCCTTATAGGACTTTTACAAGTTACAACTTTCAAGCTCTGAAAAATTATAAAATCAGACATCATGATCCATGATGGTCATGATCATTCCATGTGAGGCTGCTCACAATTAACTCTGGAGCTTTTTAAAAAAAATCTGAAGGCTTCACATGGACATCATTCGAGTATACGTTTTTAGGTGTTTCAGTTTCTTGGAAGCATTGTTGAAATATTTGAGTGCCAACAATATGCCAGGCACTACAATATGCTACATATTGAAGATGTATCACTGGTCAAAAATAAACGTAATTCCCTATCCAAATGGAATGTACAATCCACTACAAAAGACAGACATTAATAAAATTGCATCCAAACGTGTATTACTACAGCACTGGTAGGTAATATGAAGAGGCAGTACTTCTTCTAGACAGGATTTTTACTAATAAGGGAAGTCTAAAGGGCTCTCTTGGTAAAACAATTACTAAGATCAGTACTCAAAGAAGAGTAACCAATTCCAATAAGAGTACAGAATAATTGAAACTAAAGCTTAAGTTGTAACATTAGATTATATAGGTAATCCTATGTCTTTGAGAGTAGTAGAGACAAAACTAGAAATGAGAACCAAATGGAACTTCCAGAAGTGAAAGTGCAATATATGTAATAAAAGATACACTGGATGGCATTAATAATTGATTGGAAACTACAGAAAAAAAAGATCAGTAAATTAGAAGGGATAGAAATAGAAACTATCGAAACCAAAACACAGAGAGGGGAACAAAAAGACTGAAAAAATGAAATCATAATGAGTTGGGGGCATTTTCAAGTCTTATAATACATGTATCGTTGGAGTCCAAGGGAAAAAGAAGAGATGGGAATACACACAAAAAAATATGTAAAGCAGGTGAAGAAACTTGGTTACATAATTTTACTCTCTGCTTCCTGCCAAAAATGTTACAGTTTTGAAGTAATAAAACTGGTTTACTTGTGCAGAGAATGACTTGAAATGAATTTTCAAAGAGCAGCTAAAGATACCGTTTGAATGTTGTATATATCACTAGAAAGTGAGTTGACTGCCGAAAGACCTAGTTTGATGTGGATAACATGCTTTTAACTATATAAGATCACATTTATTTGTTTAAATATCAGGAATATTGCTTATCTGTGAGGAAAGGAAGGCCTGGTTGAAGACGGGAGCTTTAAGGGGGTTCGTATTTACGGAATACCTATGTTTTACAAAAAGTATCAAATTTAACCATCAGAACATCTCCATAAGTTAAGTCAGACCATTTTTATATTATAAATGGGGAACTGTGATCAAAGATTTAGCCCAAACGACTTAGAGTAAGTAGCAGTGTTGAGATTCAAATCCATGTGTATCTGGCTAACATATAAAAATAATGAGAAATTTACTGACCTAAAATTATGCCGCCCATCAAGTCTATGTAATTGAGTATTTTTTCTTGTTACTCTTCACTTTGAGGGTATATCTCCAGGTTATGCCAACTGAAGCATTGTAAATCTGAAATTAATACTTCATCAGTCATTTTTTAACAAAAGGAAGGAACCCAAGAATATATTTTGCCTAATACTACATCTAGAATCTCTTTTATGTAGCCTTTTTTCTTAAATAAAGACTCTCTTTTCAACCTCTACCAACAGGAAAAGGCTAAGGATGGAACAAAAGAAGAGTCTTTCATAAAAACTTAATGGAAAAATAGCATACAGAACCGAGTGGCATTAATTCTTTTAAATATTTAACCGAGGAGACCTTTTCTCCTGACTTCTAAGAAAACAGTATAAGCAGTCTACTAGACATAATCTCAGCATGCTTTATAAATGAAACTGGCTCCTCAATTATTTTTTTCATTCGAGAAAATGAAGATAATGTTATTTGCTGCCATTTCAAATTTTAGATCAGTAGTCGAAATTAGCAGCATGTCTCTCATGAATTTTATCCGCTAGTCATTATTATTTTTTCATGTAACCTATTTTTTTCCAACATCACCTTTGTTCATGGTTGTTTAATTTCATTATTATATATTCAAAATTCATGTTGTCCTAAACATTTTCATTTTTCAAATTAATTCAAATTTAGACTAGATTTATAAACAAATTTACTTTCCGATTCCAATTTGTTTCAGAATTTATTTAGTCA
The DNA here is from genome assembly GCF_000001405.40 of Homo sapiens. NCBI lineage: Eukaryota > Metazoa > Chordata > Mammalia > Primates > Hominidae > Homo > Homo sapiens. The sequence goes on from NC_000023.11 coordinate 141,458,099, forward strand.
ACAAGATATTTTATTGTAATCTACCAACAGTAATAGGCATATGAATTGACTAATTAAAATAACAATTTGGGAGCCACTGAAGGAAACTCAGCTCCATATGAACATCATAGCAGAAGTCACTTGGGCTACCAGTGCAAATGTACCTTGCATTTCCAAACAGAAGAAAAGACTGTTAAATAATCACTGTTTATAATAGTAATGCCATAACAAGGTACAGACCCATCCTGAGAATAGGAGCAGGCCAGGGTGAAGGCTGTGATTTCAGAGTAGCCCCAACCCCATCCACAAACACCTCCATTAACCAATTATGTAGTCCTGAAATTCTGCTTTTGGAGGATGTCTTTAATTTAAGGCTTTGGAGCCTATTAAAACATTAACTCTGAGTGAAGTCATACTCTAAGCTTAATGTGCTGATGGTGTTCATCATATCCTATCCTGAGAGCAGGACTAGAGAAAGAGAAGTGGAAAAACTGTGAGTACAGTGAGATCCAGGCAAAAAGTAAGTGGAAGGCCAGAGATTCCAGAAACAAGCCTAATTTTCACTTAGAAAACAAACTAAAACAAAACCCTTTTAGAAAGTAAGCTAAGGCTTCGTAAGTAGCAACATATGGAAGACAGGTCAGATTTAAAAGTCACAAAGGGAAGGTTGGTGGTTCAAAGACACTTTTGGCAAATAAGGATCAGTTATTTTTATAAAATACATTAAGAAACCTTCAATCTTTGAACATTTGCTGGGCCCTGTCAATAGGCCAGATACCATGCAAGGTACTGGGCATATACAGAGATTGCTGGTTGCCTCTCGGTATTTCTTTTCTTCTTCCTTAGTCACAGAACCCCAGTTGCAAGCTGGGTACATTACCACCCAAAGTTAAAACTACTGGCTGGCTTCCCAATTATTTTTTCATTTGAGAAAATGAAGATGACAATGTTATTTGCTGCCATTTCCCAGTCTGCCTTGCAGGAGGTGTGATTGAGTTCTACACAGAGAGATACAAAGGAGCACACTGTATAAAATATCCTTGATGTTTGCTTGAAGGGAGTGTATTCAACCGTTTGTTGATTGGCCGCAACAAAACAGAGATGTTTCTGCAGCATCTTGGGTGACCTTAAAGATGAAAACCATGATGGCTTCGAAACATAGGAATATTGTTTTGAATATTGAATATAATTAATTTATAAGAATTATAATTAATGGATTATACTTCGATAATTAGTATTTCTATTAATTAATTAATGGCAATACTAATTGTATATGAACAAAAAGCAACATAGAAGGATCTTGAGAATAAATCCTTACATGTTAAGGCTAAAAGAAAAACCTTAAAAGAAGAATCAACTCATCGAGTCATCAGATGAGTTTCATTTTGTGCCAAACCCACTTCTATGGGTTTGCCTTAAGGATTAGAGAGAAGGGGAGACTAAACTGACACTGAGCACCTAAGCTTGGTGTATTAAATATTGTGGTAGGCATTTGCTTTTTAAAAAAGTGTTACCCCTAAAGGGCAAAGGAAAAAAGGCCAACTAGGAAGCTACTGAAATGATTCCTGCCCCAAACAACCAAGCAAAACAATAAAGCAACAAATGACAGTGGTAGTGAAGGATTTGTTTCAATTCAATCTAACTTGGTGGTTAGTTGGACGTGTAAAGATGAAAAAAGAAGAAGGAAGGATAAGTGTAAGGTTTTACTTGGAAGATTGGGTGAGAATAGCTGGCAATGTTAATTCTTTATGAAATAAAAGAATTTGTGTGTATTGTGTAGGAGTTAGTGGATTTATAATTGAGCAAGTTGGGTTTATATCTGTGTGATACCTGTTTGGAGGTATCGGGAGGTCAAGAGAGTTATCTTAAATTAAGATAAAGGCAGACCAGGCACCATGGCTCACGCCTGTAATCCCAGCACTTTGGGAGGCAGAGGCGGGCGGAACATAAGGTGAGGAGTTCAAGACCAGGGTGGTCAACATAGTGAAAACTCGTCTCTACTAAAAATACAAAAATTAGCTGGGCATGGTGGCGCACACCTATAGTCCCAGCTACTTGGGAGGCTGAGGCAGGAGAATCGCTTGAACCTGGGAGGGAGAGGTTGTGGTGAGCCGAGATTGCGCCATTGCGCTCTAGCCTGGGCAACAGAACGAGACTCCATCTCAAAAAAAAAAAAAAAAAAGAAAGAAAGAAAAGAAAAGAAGAGATAAAGGCTTTGGAGGCATTTACACATAATTAAAACCAAGGGAAAAGCTTAGAAAATTTGTAGAAAATGTAATGAATAAGATGAAGACCCCAGGAAACAACATTTTAAAAATCAAACATGGGAAAGAATTCAGTGAAAGAAATTGAGGAACAACATACAATGATGTAAGAAGAGCACAGGAAAAGTGTAAAATCATGTAAAGCACAATAAGGGCATTTCAGGAAAGAATGATCTACAGTGATATTTTGGAGAACACTATCAGCAAATTGAGGGGAGCAGAAGCCAGATTTAAATATATTGAGGAATAAATGAAATTTAGGAAAATGCCAGAACTAGAATCTTGACTGAGGAAAGAAAGAGAGGTGTAGGGGAGTTGCTAAAGGCAAGGTGTTGGGTCAAATAAACTTTTTGGTTTGTTTTTTATTATATTTTGTTTAAGTGGAGGGGGCGGGAACTACAGTATTTCAAAAGATGAGGACAACAGAGAAGTGTAAGTTGAGTATATGGGAGGCAGTGAAGATAATTGATAATTTCCAGAGCAGCAAGAAGGGAATACAATTCAAAAGACAGGTTGAATGGCATATCCGGGACTGAAAGAAAAGAGAAAATCGTTGGTAAATGTGGATACAGAAAGCTTTATGTAAGAAGTCAGGAAATTGAAGAATTCTGTTCCTGGTAAAATAGAATAGTAAGCCTGAGAACAATAAAGGAAACTACTTAGAAACTTAGTGGTAGTAGTTTCTAAGAGGGATTGACTTGTCAACCTCAATTCTTCACCCTCCCCTGCAACTACACTTTGGCCACGCCATTGATGAGCAGAAAATGTACATTGTCTCCCTTAACTTGGGGCTTGGCCTTGTGAATTGCATTGGTCAATAGAATAGGGCATAAATAACAGTATGCCAGTTCTGATTCAATAACTTAAGAGGATTCACATGTTTCTGCTTGCCCTCCTATGCCTCTGCAATGACCATGAGAAGAATATCCCTGCAATAGCTGTTCACTTTTCAATCTGAGCCCAAGAAAAACAGATCTGGAGATAAATATCCCCAGCTGCTGTACCACTGAAGCAGAGACATCAGCCAATTAACAGATTGATGAAAATAATAGACAACTATAAGCCATAGAATTTGGAGGATTGTTACACATAATTATTGTGGCAATATTTAACTCACACAAGAGAACTGACCAAAGATAAGAAGAAGATGCCTCTTATGTATCCCACATGAGATTAGGAAGAAGGAAGTTAGAAAAGAGAATTATAAGGAGGGGATTGAAGCTCGGAGAGCCCAAGAAACTTGCCCAAAGTTGTGGACAAGGAAATTATGAAACAATGACTGGAATTCAGGACTGTCTGATTCCAACTCCATGTTCTTTTTGCTGTATCAATCTGTATGGTCTCAGAGGAGTCAACCTGACATTCCTGAAGAGTTCTGAATGGAGATGAGCTCTGAGAAGTACAGAAGTCTCCAGGCACCAGGGACCAGAACTCATATTCTATGGCTGATCGTGTATGAAGAAGTGCAATTTATATCACCCACTGGCTTTCTAGGGGAACTCTATATTTCTCTTTGGGGCACACATTTTTTTTAAATGTAGGTAGTATGGGAACATCAGAGTTTGGAAATCAGACAGGTTTGGATTTGAATCCCAGATACGCAATTTACTTACTATGCATATTTCAGCAATTGACTTAAACCTGGATGCACTTCAGTTTTATCATCTATGAAATGGACAAAATTTACCTTGCTGGTTTGTTCAGGGGATGGCTAAGCTTAGGCATCTTTCCCATAGTAGGTGCTCAGTAAGTGTTAGCTCCTCCCTACTTCTTATCACAAGGGCACTGCTGTCTACAAAATGAACCTTCATGCACAAAAATTAGAGAACAACAACAACGACAATAACAATAACAAAAGCTTCCTCCAGGTGTGAATTTTGTTTCCCTTAAAAGTAACAAGATACTGTCTTTATTATAAACAAATATATATTGCACCCCTCTTTTTTTCATCTTTCTTACTTCAAATTTATGTTTACCCTCTGTATTAGTTAGTTCTTGCGCTAGTATAACAACATACCTGAGACTGGGTAGTGTATAATGAAAAGGGGTTTCAGGCACAGTTCTACAAGCGGTACACGAGGCATAGCTGGCGAGGCCTCAGGAAACTTACAATCATGGCAGAAGGTGAAGAGGAAGGAGGCGTGTCTTCACATGGCCGCCAGGAAAATAAGAGACAGGGGGAGGTGCTACACACTTTTACAACAACCAGATCCTGTGAGAACTCACTCACTATCACAAGGACAGCAAAAAGGAAGTTGGCTCCCATGATTAAATCACCTTCTACCTGGCCCCTCCTCCAACTCTGTGAATTACAGTTTGTCATGGGATTTGGGTGGCAACACAGAGCCAAACCATATCACCTTTCTAATTTCCTCATGAATTACTGTGGCACCTCAACTACTACTCTGCAATATTTCTGCCAAGACTGGACAAAGGGCAACATGAGTGAGGTACTAGGGAAGAATCCCATTTCCTCTGCATCCTAAATCTTGCCATAATGTTAGCCTAAAGGTTGAATTCCAACAGCAGGGAAAGAAGGTGGAAAAGAATAATTTTTATTGATCTCTTCCCGCCGCAATTTTCTTCCTTCAGTTCGGCAGCAGTCATGTCAAGGGTAGCGGTGGAAAAATAAATGGCTTCTCTCTGTGATCTGTGTTTTATAACATCTCTGTACTCCTCTTTCTTCCTCCCTTTTTACTAGATTTACAGAAGAAAAGCAAAGGTGACAGATTAGTATAGTGATTTGTGTGTCAAACATAAAAAATAATAATGGTTCCGTGTAGACTATAATAATAATAGTAATAGTAACAATAATGGCCGGCATTTTTCAGGCTTTTAGAATGTGTCAGGTATTATTCTAAGGCCCTTACACCCATTAACTCATTGAATCTTCACACAAATTCTGTTGAGTAGGCACTAGTATTATTCCTATTTTAAAGAAAAGAAAAAATATCTCTGACTATAACATTGGATTTATCTGTTTCTCCTTGTAACTTTATCAGTTGTTGAATCATGCATTCTGATGCTCTGTTTGTAGGTGCATACACATTAAGGATTGTCTCTTTGTCCATTCAGGCTGCTATAACAAAAGCATACATTGGATGGTTTATAAGCAGGCATTAATTTCATACTCCTGGAGACTGGGAAGTCCAAGATCAAGGTGCTGATAAATTCAGTGTCCGGAGAGGGCCTCTTCCTGGTTTGTTGGCCCCTGACTTTCAGCTGTGTCCTCAAGTGGTGGAAGGGGGAAGGAATCTCATTGGGTCTTCTTATAAGGCTGCTAATCCCATTGATGAAGCCTCAGTCCTCCTGACCTAATCACCCATCAAAGGCCACACTTCCTAATACCCTCTTTTTGGGGATTAGGATTACAACATTTAAATTGTGTGTTAGGGGGAGGGTGGGGTAGGGACACAAACGTTCAGACCATAGCAGATTGTTATGTCTTCTTGGATGACTGACTCCGTTATCATTATGTAATTATTCAATTTATCCATGATACCTTACCTTGCCTGGTGGTCTGCTCTGTCTGAAATTAATAGAGATAGTCCCACTTTCTTTTGATTAGTGGTAGCATGGCATATCTTTATTTTTAGTTTTATTTTTTTTATTATTATTATTTTTTGAGATAGAGTTTCACTCTTGTCGCCCAGGCTGGAGTGCAATGGCGCATTCTCAGCTCACTGCAACCTCCGCCTCCTGGGTTCAAGTGATTCTCCTGCCTCAGCCTCCCGAGTAGATGGGATTACAGGTGCCCGCCACCATGCACAGCTAATGTTTTTTGTATTTTTAGTAGAGACAGGGTTTCACCATGTTGGCCAGACTGGTCTCAAACTCCTGACCTCAGGTGATCTGCCCGCCTCGGCCTCCCAAAGTGCTGGGATTACAGGCATGAGCCACCGCACCTGGCTGGCATATCTTTCTATATCTGTTTACTTTTAACCTGCAAGTGTCTTTATATTTAATGTGAGTTTCTTGTAAAAAGCATATGGCTGGGTTTTGTTTTTTGATACACTATGACAATATCTGTCTTTTAATTGCGATATTTAGACCATTGATGTTTAAGTGATTATTGATACAGGTGGGTAACATTGAACACATTTGCAACTGTTTTCTATTTGTTGCCCATGTTCTGTTTCTATTTTTGTCTCCCACACTTTTTCTGCCTTTTGTAGTTATAACTAAATATTCATATGATTCCATTTTCTCTCCTTTATTAATATATCAGTCATATTCCTTCTTAATCTTTTCTTGGTGGTTTCCCTAAAGTTGCAATATATGTTTAAAACCAATCCAGGTCCACTTTCAAATAACACTATACCACTTCATGGGTAATGAAAGTAATTTAAAATAACAAAATAATCTGAATTCCTCCATCCTGTCCTTTGCAACATTGCTATCATTTATTTTACTTATATATAAGCATATAAATACAGAAGTATATATATTGAATACATTGTTGCTATTCTTTTTTAAACAAACCATTATATGTTACATCAATTACAAATAAGAAAAATAAAAGCTTTTAGTTTACTTATTCTTTCTCTAATTTCTTTATGTAGATCCAAGTGTCTAATCTATATTATTTTCCTTCTCTCTGAATAACTTTTAACATTTCTTTCAAAGCTAGTCTTCTGGCAATAAATTCTCTCAATTTTTGTTTATTCAAGAAAGTCTCTATTTCTCCTTCACTTGTGAAGGATAATTTTATAGGATTCAAAATTCTAGGTTGGTGAAGTTGTTTTTCTACCAAAACTTTAAATATTTCACTCCACCTTTTTCTTGCTTGCCTGGTTTCTGAGAAGTCAAGTGTAATTCTTGTCTTTGATCCTATATAGGTGTCTTTTGTTTCTGATGGCTTGTTTCAAGACTCTTTTCTTATCTTTGATTTTCTGCAGTTTGAAAATGGTATGCCTGGCTGGGCGTGGTGGCTCACGCCTATAATCCCAGCACTTTGGGAGGCCAAGGCGGGTGGATCACCTGAGGTCAAAAGTTTGAGACCAGCCTGGCCAACATGGTGAAACCTCATCTCCAGTAAAAATGCAAAAATTAGCTGGGCGTGGAGTGGGCACCTGTAATCCCAGCTACTCGGGAGGCTGAAGCAGGAGAATCGCTTGAACCCGGGAGGCAGAGTTTGCAGTGAGCTGAGATCGTGCCACTGCACTCCAGCCTGGGTGACAGACTGAGACTCTGTCTTCAAAAAAAAAAAAAAAAAAAAAAATGGTATGCCTATGTGTATGTTTGTGTTTTTTTTTTTTTTTGGCTTTTATCCTGCTTGGTTCTCCAAGCTTACTGGATATGTGGTTTGGTGTCTGATATTAATCTGGGGAAATTCTCAGTTATTATTCTGTTACACATTTCTTCTGTCCCTGTCTCTCTTTCTTTTCCTTCTGATATCCTCATTATGTGTATGTTATACCTCTAAGAGTTGCCCCACAGTTCCTGGATATTCTGTTCTGGGGGTTTTCGGTATTTTTTTTTCTTTTTTCTTTTTAGTTTTGAAAGTGTCTATTCCATACCCTCAAGCTCAGAGATTCTTTCCTTAGCTGCATCCAGTCTACTAATATGCCCATCACAGGCATTCTTCATTTCTGTTGCAGTGTCTTTGATCTCTAGCATTTCTTTTAAATGCTATCTCAGAATTTCCATCTCTTTGCTTACATTATCTATCTGTTCTTGCATGTTGTCTACTTTTTCCATTAAAGCTCTTAGTACAATAATACGTATTTTCAAAAAAATTCCTCGTCTGATAATGCCACCATTCCTGATATATTTGAATTTTGTTCTGATGTTTGTTCAATCTCTTCAAACTTTGTTTTGCCAGTAATGTCCTTGTAATATTTTGTTGAAGGATGAACATCGTACATTGGGTGAGAGAAACTGCAATGAAGAGGCCCTGAATGATGTAGTGGTATGTGTTTGAAGGTGGCATGTGAAGTGTTCTATAGCTTTATGATTAGCTTTGTCTTTTTTTTTTTTTTTTTTTTTTGAGAAGGAGTCTCACTCTGTCACCAGGCTGGAGTGCAATGGGGTGATCTCGGCTCACTGCAACCTCCACCTCCTGGGTTCAAACGATTCTCCTGCCTCAGCCTCCCAAGTAGCTAGGACTACAGGCGCACGCCACCATGCCTGGCTAATTTTTTGGTATTTTTGGTAGAGACAGGGTTTCACCATGTTAGCCAGGATGGTCTCGATCTCCTGACCTCGTGATCCACCCGCCTCAGCCTCCCAAAGTTCTGGGATTATAGGTGTGAGCCACCGCGCCGGGTGATTAGCTTTGTCTTTTGGTGAACCTGTGCCCCTAAACTGTGAACTTAGCCAATACTTCTCAGCTTCTTCCCCCTTGGATAGGACAGAATGTTTATAGTGGTGAGAGTTGAGCATCTCCCTTTCCTCACATGAAAGGCTACAGGGAGCTGGAATTGGGTATTTTCCTTCCCACAAGTAGGTTCTGAAATAGTCCCAGCAGGTTAGACTCTTGTAAAATACTGTAGTTTCTCCTAAGGACATGTCTTCTGAAGAAGAACAAAATGCTTTGGTGTATTTCAGAATGTTTACTTTTCTAAAGCATGAGGGGACTTTCTGATGCTCATTATGAAGACCCAATAGAGCTCCAAAAGGTAAAAACTCACAAAATGTAAGTGCAGCCATATAACAGAAGTTTTTAACTTTCAGAGTTGTCCACTCTGAGCCTCCAGCGTTTCACCAATTACAGTTTACGTTTTCTTACTATGGCATTGGTTCTTGTGGAGGTTTCTGCTTTGGGGTTTCTGCTCTAGTAAGCTGTGATTCCCTTTGTCTGCCTGTTTCTGTCTCCAATTTTGGGGGCAGCAATTTACTCTGTGACCTCACTTCTTTGATGAATCTATAGCCTAAGAATAGTTGTTGATTTTCCCTTTTGTTCAGCTCTTCACATGTTGATAGGAAGGAGCAACAACTTCCAAGCACCTTACATGTTGGACCAGACACCAGAAGTGGTAGAAATTAAAATGAACAGAATAATGTTAAGGACATATCCAAGGTTATACACCTAAGAAGTAATGAATCCAGACTCAAAACTAATGTCAGAGCCCACTGTCAACCACTGCCCTAAGCTGATCTCAGACCACTCTGCTATACTTAAAAAGCGTATATTGGTTATATGTGGGCTCTAGAGCTAGACTCTTTAGGTATGAATCCAGTTCCATCACTTTTATTAGTTGTATGACTTTTTGCCTAAGTCTGTTGTAGGGATTAAGTGAGTTGGTTTCTGAAATGCACTTACAACAACAGTGACTAGAAGTGAGAAAGCGCTTACTAAATGGTGGCAGCTTTTGGTACTGCATGGAAGAGCCAGCATTCTTATCCCTCCAATACATGAAAAATGCACAGGTGTGGTATGGTGAATTTGTAGCATCTCTTCTGGAAATTCGGGCGGAAGAGATTTCCAAAGCATCTGTTTTCTTGAAATGCTGCACCCTATATAGTTTCTTGCTCTTCAAAGTCTGGTACATTAAACCAACAACATTGGCATCTCCTGGGAGCTAATAAAAAAATGAAAATTCTCAAGTCCCATCCCAGACCATTTGAATCAGAATCTGCATTTTAACAGGATTCCCAGGTGATTAATTGGTGCATTTTAGTTTAAGACTCTGATATAGCATAGTGGTTAAGAGCACAGGCTTTGAATTCAGACTCATTTGCATCAGAAGCGAAGTTCTGTCAATTATAAGCTCTGTAATCTTTGAGCAGTTTTCTTAACTATCTGTGCCTAATTTCCTCATCTATAAAATTGGAATAATAATAATACCTCTCTCACAGGGCTGTTGAGAAGATAGACACACAGTAGGTGCTCAGAAAACAAATGTTATAGCTACATTGCTACCATTATCATCAAAGTGTCAAGGCTGAAACAGGCCAGGTGAAAAGCTATCCCCATGAAGTCAGTATATAGGGGAAAGAGGGCACTTGAGGATGGCTCAAGTCTGGAGGGTCACAGCCTGGATACTTTATTCAACTACAGTGGAGAGCAGGGTATTATCACAAGGAATGCTTAGATCACATGTGAAACAAAAAGGGCATAAAGTTGAAATTGTGAGGCAAAGACATCAGGACAAGAACAAGTTGAAGATTAGAAGGAAGGACAAGGAGAGAACTAAGCAGGAAGAGTGACTGCTGGTTCAGAGAGAAAACCTAGTCTCCAGCACTGGTACAACCAAGTGGTATGATTGTGTTCTGATGCACTTGGATCACATGGCCAGAATAATAAAGGGAGCTCCTTAAAGGTACTGGAGGGGCTCCGCCAGCACCGCTCCCCACCCCCCAAAAAAACACACACCTGGTTTAGAATACCCCCAAGGACATCGATCCATCTCATCTACTGTATCCTTAATGCATCCCAGGAACAATTAACTAAAGCGGGGTTTCACTGGGTGCAAGAGGAGGAATTCATTCCCTATTTCCATACATTTACTCTTTCATTACTGCTTTGGAGTGCATGAAACTTGACCATGATTAAACAGAAACACTTTTTTGAGTATGCAATCCAAGGAGCTATTTTTCCCCAACCTACTGGGCTGAAAAATATTTATTCTTCCTGAAGGATGGAATGGTAGCCTCCGTGGTTTGGCTTCTTGCAATAACACTCCCTAAGGGTTAATGTGCTATTAATATGGCAAAAAAGGAAGAAACCCCTTTAAATAGCAGCTTATGCTTCTTTTTGATTTCTCTCCTGCAAAAGTTGATTTACTGTGTGTTTCTTCCATCTGGCAGGAAGCTAATCTGAATATGAATCAATCCTTGCAAAAATAACTGCAGGAAATTTTAGACATTCATAACTTTCCAAAGTTTTTTTTTTTCTTTAACAATAGCATTTTTGTCATTCTTTCAGTTGTGCAAAGTTTTTCAATTGAAATGAAGTATGACTATTTAAGGAATTCTGCCACCTCATCCTGAATGCCTCCTTTACTGTTATAGATTCACATTGCTCATCTTCTAGATATTTGCACATAAATGAATAATTGCTGTTATCCCAAAAAGTTTTAATCATGAGGGGAAAACAGATTAATGTGATGTTCCCAACTAGAAAAGCAACATAGCAAAAAAAGATAATTCTCAAATATCTAATTCTTCTTTCCTTGTAGTATATTTTGTAATAATGATGTTTTCTTCTAACACTGCTTGTACCAATTACTATTTCTGGAGCTGCTAAACAAAATGGGACAAGAAAAAGCTATCTTATAAATCTAGACTGGAGTCTTTAACAAGTAACTTGGCATTTTCAAAATCATTGCTTCTCAACCGTTGCCACATCGTAGCATACCTTAAAAATAATGTTTGTACAGCATACTGAGGTAAATAGATGAGGCTGCTTGGGCAGGAAATGACTGGCCCAGGGACTCCAGCTGCCTCAGGTCCCATCAAACCATCTCAACGCTTGGGGAATAAATATTTCATTACACCCACAGCCATTTTCACTAAGCACACAAGCTCTGCTCATGATGACCCTGTTCCTCTGAACTTAGAATTGGTGAAGGAACGGGCCAGGTGTGGTGGCTCACACCTGTAATCCCAGCACTTTGGGAGGCTGAGGCGCGCAGATCATGAGGTCAGGATTTTGAGACCAGCCTGACCAACATGGTGAAACCCTGTCTCTACTAAAAATACAAAAATTAGCTGGGCGTGTGGCACGCGCCTGTAATCCCAGTTACTCAGGAGGCTGAGGCAGGAGAATTGCTTAAACCTGGGAGGTGGAGGTTGTAGTGAACCGAGATCGTGCCACTGCACTCCAGCCTGGGCAACAGAGACTCTGTCTCAAAAAAAAAAAAAAAAAGAAAGAAAGAATTGGTCAAGGAAAATGTTTTCCATTAGAAAATTGAAGTCACATCATCCAGACTAATGGATGAGTGTCTTTGGCAGAATTTCCAGACAAAGGCTATATGGCCAAGTCACTCCACTTTATACTGACTTGTCAAGTATGACTGGCTAGCCCAGCACTTTCCAAACTGTGTTTCATAGAATGCTAGTATTCCACGAGATATTATTAGACACTAAAGAAATTTCCCTTCTGTAGTCAAATAATTTTGAGATTTAGTGGGTTAAACGTATTTCATTACTATAAGAGTTTCTGAACTCTTTCACATCCTAATGTGATTTGTGAATTTCCAAAAAAATAAGATAGAGCTGATTGGCAACATATGGTTGTGCAAGTTGTGCACTGTACAACTCTAGAGGTAAATATTCACATTGTAGCTTATTATACGACACTCATTTATGTAGTGTACAACCTCTACATGGCAGGACTAGAATATAGCATGCAATATTTTCCATATATTCGACCATGGGACGTTGTCCAGAATACTTGTTAATGTCTACTAGAGCACATTTGGTTCTACGTGAACTCCACCGATGATCTTGTTCATTTTGCTACCTTTCCAGCATTCTATGTTCTAAGTAACTCGACTCCTTTTTCCCAAACAGATTGTGCTTTCTCTCACCCCTGTGAGGAAAGAACACGGTCTTTCATGTGACCCCAGCCTGAGTTCAATACCAGATCTGCCACTTATTTACCAGCTCTGGGCCTTGGTGCTATCTGCAAAATAGAAAGAGTATCATGCACATTACAGGGTGCTTGTGTGGATTAAATGAGCAAGCAAATGTAAAGGCCCAGTACAGACCCAGACACAGAGTAATACATGTTGATTGTCCCTTATCTTAAATGCTTGGGACCAGAAGTGTTTCAATTTTTTGATTTTTTTGGATTTTGGAATATTTCCATTATATTTACCAGTCAAGCATACCTAATGCAAATATCTGAAATCCAAAAAGCATTTTCTTTGAGCACCATGCTGGTACTCAAAAAGTTTCAGATTTTGGAATGTTACAGAGTTGGTGTGTTCAACCTGTATACAACAAATATTCCTCTTCACCGTCAGTGCTTTTGCTGAAATTCCCACTGCCTGCAATGCCTTTCTGTGCTCAGTCTGTCCTTGAAGGAATATCTCATTTACAAAGCCTTCCTGGTGCAGCTACTCCCTTCTTCAAACCTCTGTAGCACTTTGTAGTTCATTCAAAGGTATATTCTAGCACATTATTTCTGATAGAATAATTTTGACCAATTTCTCATCTCCCTTGCTTGAGTATGAAATCTTGAGGGCCGCAGCATTGTCTTGTTCACCTTTGATCCTCAACGGAACCTGGGATATCTTAGGTACTCAGTAGATGTTTGTATAATCTAGTGAAATAAAAATCATAAAGTAGCTGGCAGGTAGCCACAATATTTTTCACTGAAGAGGTGATGATAATAGCTCTTCTGGGCTGACTGGGTGCACATTATAGTCTGGGCAAAAATTTGTCTACTGGTTTGCATAGACAGACACAGCAAATCATAAAGATACATTTTGCATAGCACGAAGAAGACATAGAGGTTTAAATTGCATGAATGTGCTGTATAATTAACATCTTCTATGGAATAAAGGCCTTGAAGCATAGAGTTGATGATTAATCTCATAATTGATTAAAAATTCAAAAATAAGGCAAATACTTTAGAACAGAGTCCCAGACTCAAAGATCGATATACATAAAATCCCTTTTCCTTAAGTTATCTTCAACTGCTAACCTATACTAAACACTAAGCTAAGCCTCTTTAGAAATTTCTATTAAGATGATGCATTTGCTTACATTACAATATCTACTGTTCTGAGTATATGTAGACAGCCCATTTTTACATCAATAAAATATGAATTATCTATACCCAGCGTTATATTTTATTCAGGTTCTCATGCTAAAGTATTTTTAAATGAGATATATATGTCCAAAATAAGTTGCACATTAGCTTTTCAAGTAAGAATTTTGTTATGAAGATTTAAGGTAAATGCAAACAATCTTGTAAAGTGGGGCTACATTCATCAACAGGAATTAGATACTTTAGGAAGAAAATTCAAGATCAAGAACATCTTTTTAAATAATGTCAAAGGGACTTTTTACAAAAATCACCTAGTTAAGACATACAGTTCTATTTCTTAACAAGTGTTTTGGCCCTTGACACCTTATTTGAAGAGTGATTTATCAGAAAACTACAAAATTATGATGGTTGAAGGTGTTGATAACTTCCATAACAACTGATTAGTTTCTATAACAGCATGATATCAAAATGCCCCCATACAACGTGTCAATAATAATAATGTGTAAGCATATGAATTGTTTTAATTTACAAATCCAGAGAGTTGCAGGCTTTATTCAATAATTTAACACTTACATTTCAAAATATATATACTGTGTGGACACAACCCTTAAAGCAAGCAAACAATTGATTATTAAAGTAGTCGTTTCAGGACAAATAAAGAAAGATGCTATTGTAATTGTTGCTGGTTTATTTTTTATTTTTTTATTTTTTTATTTTGAAATGGAGTTTCACTCTTGTTGCCCAGGCTGGAGTGCAATGGCATGATCTCGGTTCACTGCAACCGCTGCCTCCCGGGTTTAAGTGATTCTCTGGCTCAGCCTCCTGAGTAGCTGGGATTACAGGCCTGCGCCACCACGCCCGGCTAATGTTTTGTATTTTTAGTAGAGGCGGGGTTTCACCGTGTTAGCCCGGATAGTCTCGATCTCCTGACCTCGTGATCTGCCCGCCTCAGCCTCCCAAAGTGCTGGGATTACAGGCATGAGCCACTGCACCCAGCCGTCTGTAGCCGTTTTAATGTTCTTGTCTACTCATTCTATAGGTGCCATTTTCTGGTCTCTTTCTATTGAATGGCTTTTCTGCTCTTATTTCCTTTCCTTCATGCGTGATTGGTAACTTTTTATTTGATGTCAGACAATGTGGATTTTACCTTTTTGATGGTGTTTTTCTTCTCCTAATATTATTTTCACACTTAAATCTGAGATGCTTTAAATTTACTTGGAAAAAAAAAACATTGATTCTTTCAAGGCTTGTTTGTAAACTTCATTAGACAGAACCAGACTAGCTATTAATCTAGGACTATTTTTCTTCCACTACTGTGGCGATACCCTCTGACGAACCTACCTAATATCATGTGAAATACAAGGCTTTTCACTCTGACTTGTGGGAACAAGAAATGTTTGAGCTCTAAGAATTGTTTTTTTCTGCTGTTTACAGATAGTTGCTTCTCCAGCTTCAGTTAGTTTCCTCATATTCATGCACTGATTCATGCTCAACTAAAGCTGAGAAGGACCTTCAACAAATCGCTGCAGTTGTCTTATTTTTTGTGCAGCTTTCTTTTCTCTTGTATTCTTCCCTGAAATTTGTAGCTGTATTTCCCTTTTTGGACTCCTAGCTCTGTCTTCTCAACTTAGGGAGGCCACTGGATTCCATTTAGGTTCTCCATTTCTTTTTATTTTATTTATTTACTTATTTGTTTATTTTGAGATGGAGTCTTGCTCTGTCGCCCAGGCTGGAGTGCAGTGGCCAGATCTCAGCTCACTGCAACCTCCGTCTCCAGGGTTCAAGCAATTCTCCTGCCTCAGCCTCCTGAGTAGCTGGGACTACAGGCGTGTGCCCCCACACCTGGCTAATTTTTGGATTTTTAGGGGAGACAGGGTTTCACCGTGTTAGCCAGGATTGTCTCGCTCTCCTGACCTTGTGATCCCCCCACCTTGGCCTCCCAAAATGCTATGGGATTACAGGTGTGAGCCACCGCGGCCGGCCTGAGTTCTCCCTTTCTATGATGTAGCCTGAAGTCTCCTTTCAGACAGTAAGCCAGGACAATCGTAAGGGTTCACTTTGTTTTCCCTCTGTAAGGAATTATTTTCTCACACTACCTAATTTCTAACGCTTAAAAAACATTTATATATATATATATGTATATAGTCCAGTGTTTTTAGTTGTTTCTGCCAGGAAGATAACAACTCCATTACAAGTTACCCCATCTCAGCTAGACAGTTCCTAAGAGAATACATTATTGGCCGGG
Source organism: Homo sapiens (assembly GCF_000001405.40). Lineage (NCBI taxonomy): Eukaryota > Metazoa > Chordata > Mammalia > Primates > Hominidae > Homo > Homo sapiens. The sequence goes on from NC_000023.11 coordinate 141,474,249, forward strand.
CGTGGTGGCTCATGCCTGTAATCCCAGCACTTTGGGAGTCCAAGGCAGGTGGATCGCCTGAGGTCAGGAGTTCGAGACCAGCCTGACCAACATGGAGAAACCCCGTCTCTACTAAAAATACAAAATTAGCTGGGCGTGGTGACACATGCCTGTAATCCCAGCTACTCAGGAGGCTGAGGGAGGAGAATCACTTGAACCCGGGAGGCAGAGGTTGTGGTGAGCTGAGATCACGCCATTGCACTCCAGCCTGGGCAACAAGAGCGAAACTCCGTCTCGGAAAAAAAAAAAAGAATATATTATTATATAACTTTTTATTATGAAAATAATATTTTCTTATAAAAATTTCAAGCAGTGCAGATGTATATACAGAAAAACTTGCATTTCTACCATTCTCTCCACCCTCTATTCTCCCAAAATTCAACTGAATTACTGGTCCTCAAAGGAAACAGCTTGCAATTGGTATGCTCACTTACAGATAATTTTATATTCATTTAAATATATATACAAAGATTCATAATATAGTCATATACATATATGCAAATATTAAAAATACATAATTATATATTTTTTAAACAGGGTCTTGCTCTGTCGCCCAGGCTGCAGTGCAGTGGCATGTTCTCAGCTCTCTGCAGCCTCAACCTCCCAGGCTCAAGCAATTCTCCCACCTCAGCCTCCTGAGTAGCTGGGACTACAGGCATGAGTCACCACACCTGGCTCTTTTTTTTTTTTTTTTTTTTTTTTTTTTTTGTAGAGAAGAGTTCTCACTATGTTGCCCTGGCTGGTCTCGAATTCCCGGACTCAGGCAATCCTCCTGCCTCAGCCTCCCAAAATGTTGGGATTGCAGGCATGAGCTGCTGCGTTTGGCCTACATAAATATTTTGACATAAATGAGATATTAAGTACTTTTGTAAATTAATTTTCTTGTCTAATTCTGTATCTTTGTTTTTCCTCTATATTTGCCATACATATCTATGTCAATATTTTAATTGTCTGCATATAACTTCATAGTATGGATACATCATTTTTAAATGTAGGTATTTCTCTATTGATGTACAAATGTTTTTCACCAGTTTTTCTGTTTAACAAATGTTACAATGAACATTTTTGAATCGTATGTTTTCGTGCACATGTGTAGCATTTCTAAAAGGAAAATTCTTAAAAATTTAATGAGCATTTTAAAGTTTGCTAGAAATTGCCAAAATATCCTGCAAAGTACTTGTACTTTGTTCTAACAGTGTTAGGATTTCCTATTCCTTCATGATTTTTGTTGTCAATCCAATGGAAGAAAATTGCTTCTTTGTTTTAATTTATATTTACTTTACGAATAGTAAAGTTGAATATCTTTTGTTATCTATTTGTAGTTATTAATCTGTGAATTGTTGCCATATTTTTCTATTGGGTTGTTTGATTTTTTATTTATAGAAAAAATTTGTATAGTCATTTGTTTGTTATACATATCACAAGTATTTTCTCCTAATCTCTTCTTTATATTTTAACTTTGTATAAGAAATAATTTGCCGTATAGAAATAGTGCTGGAAAACATGTCTTTTGAGAAAGAACATACCTTGTTCTATTTTTTTCCGCTTTTGAAAATTCCATCTCATCCACCAGCTGCAGGACAAATCACTGAACTAAATGTTTAACTGGTTTTGAGAAAGAGAAAAACAGCTTCTGACATTCACAAGCTATGCCCAGTTGTTGCTAGGAGCTGGCTTGGCACTCACAGCTAGGCCTTGGTATTACTCTATCAGGAACATCAGCATTAAATGAGGCCGCTGTGTGACCATGACGGATGAAGGCGAAAACAAGACCGCTCTGCAATCATGTCTGAACACAGACAGAACATGGACATTGTGCAAGTCACGAGAATGACCAGTTATCTCACTATTCTGAATAATATAAGTTGCTGGGTTTTTTTCTTTTACCAATTACAAGTCTACCCTTGCTTTAGACTGCCCTCACAATAGATAAGGTGTATTAAGATACCTGATCATCATATTACCCCGACTTCCCGAGAGTATTCAACCCAGAGAAAAATTCTGCTTCCTCAAAATCTCCCCCAAATCACCTAATACAAATCCAAACACTATAACAAATCCTTTTATTATCTTCCTACTGAGATGCCCCCATAATTGATAAAAATAGTTCTCTATGATGTATATTCTCTCCTACTGTAATGAGTAATAAACCCGATTTGTTCAACTATAGTGTGTTCCTGATAGTCTTTAGCTAGAGGGCTTTCAAATAATAATATGAAAACATTGTGGTATATAGTCCAACTGCTTTTTATTTTTATTTTATTTCATTTTTAAACATTTATTTATTTTAATTGATGAGTAAAAATTGTATATATTTATTGTGTACATCATATTGTTTTGAAACATGTATATATTGTAGGATGGCTAAATCTAGCTAATTCACATATACATTGCTTCACATATTTATCTTTTTTGTGGTAAGAACATTTAAAATCTATTTTCTTAGCAACGTGCAAGAATATAATGTTTTTATTAACCACAGCCACCATGCTGTCTGCAAAATAGATCTCTTAAACTAATCCTTCCTATCTAGCTGAAATTTTGTATCCTTTGATCAACATCTTCCCGACCCTTATATTTTATTAGAATGAGTCATTTCCAGTCCGATGAAATCCATTACTGTTTTAAAGCCCCATTCCGTGTAGGTCACATACTAGTTTAAGTTTTGAGAGATACTATGTATATTCGGATAAATTGTATCAGGGAGTCAGTATAGGATCCTTGAAGAGCATTGTATTTGATATGAGAACTGGATTTACAACATTCTAGAAGGAGGATTTTGGGGAAATGTGTTAATCACTCTAAGTTTTTGCTTCCTTATTTGTAAATGGAGACAAGAACTCTTATCTTAACACTATTGTGGTAAGGATTCAATGAGGGAGCTTTTTGTAAACTAAAGCTAAAGTTCTGTAAATAGGAAAGACTTTCAAAATAGTAATGGTTGAGCTTGGGTGGAACTGATTGAACTCACATCTCCTTTCATCACCCCTTATTTATTCATGGGAAACAAGAAAGCACAGAGAAGGAGAATTCTTTTACTTTAGGTGGAGATGGACTCCAGGTTTTTTGACTCCTAGTCTAGCATCCTCTATACTTCATGGAAACTGTTTTCTATTTTATTTCTTTTTGCTTCTTTGTAATAATAAAAAATTCTAGTAAATGATTTTTTGGTACATCATGCTATCTTCCGGGATTAACTCCTCAGAGTCCTCCAAACAATTTGCAAAGTTAATGACTCCTGGGTATTTATGAGATTATGGTTAAGTGAAGTTAAGCCACAAAAGTCTATTAAAAAATAATTTCCAGACTTTTCATATGCAAATTATTCTTGTGGATTTACCTCCCACCCTTGTTTATAGTATGTTGACCATCTTCTTTCTAAGCAAGATTCAGGGTCTTATTTCATCATGATTTCACCTGTTGTGATTGGGTTCTGTGTTCTTATGTTTGTTCTGCCCAGCAGTATAGGTTTAAAAAAGAAAAAAATAATAATAATCTTGGAGCCTGAGGAAAGTGTTCTCTTCACTGATGGAAGATTGCTCTCTGTTTGCCTGTCAGCTCTTTGTTCTGGTTACTTATTCTTTCTAACATGCTTGGCTGCACAAATCACAAAATAGAGGGATAAAAAGATCTTTTGGAATCTGTATTTGCTATGTTGCAAGCTCAGTTACCATATGGAACACAAAAGCCCAGAACCTTAAGTATGAAACAGCATTTTGTTGTTTTGCTTTCTTCCTTACCATTTTAGCAATGTGTCTTTTATCACTACGGAAGTGAAGTCTTTACTGAAGAAATTAATTGTGTGTGTGTGTGTGTGTGTGTGTGTGTGTGTGTGTGTGCGTGCACATGCCCCCGTGTATTGTGTATGAAGTGAGTGATGGGGGGGGCACCAAAATTGTTATAAGAAGCAACATTTTATGCCGTAGGCAAAGATGGTACTTTAGGCATTGTAAATAATCAGATATTTCTTGTGAGCCTTCTGAATATTGCTCAGGAATTGATTACTCAAGCATATCCATTATTCTTCTTCTATGTTGTCAGAATAAATGTTTATTATAGCATTACTTAAAAGGTTTTGGATAATGAGAATTGGCTGCAAGGTAGATGAAAGATGAGACAAATAGTCAAGTGAGCCTTTTCTTCATTCATTTCCTCATTCACTTTTCACACAATTTTTTTAATGTATATATATTTTTTATTATACTTTAAGTTCTAGGGTACATGTGCACAACGTGCAGCTTTGTTACATATGTATACATGTGCCCTGTTGGTGTGCTGCACCCATTAACTCGTCATTTACATTAGGTATATCTCCTAATGCTATCCCTCCCCCCTCCCCCCACCCCACAACAGGCCCCGGTGTGTGATGTTCCCCTTCCTGTGTCCAAGTGTTCTCATTGTTCAATTCCCACCTATGAGTGAGAACATGCGGTGTTTGGTTTTTTGTCCTTGCGATAGTTTGCTGAGAATGATGGTTTCCATTTAGTGTCAGAGACTCTGTTCTGGGCATGAGAATGCAGAGTGAGCAAGACATAGGACTACCCTTATTATGAAGTAAGTATAGGGAGACACATGACAGGGAGACAAAGAGCTGCCTGTTGATAGTGACAATTCTATAATTCCTCTGACCTTTGTAGATGAGGCATCTTCTATGCACTCCACTACATAGACTGAGCTTCATTAGTCCTACGCCTTTTGGGATTCCATTGATAAGGCCTCAAGAACTGCAAACCAAATTGGATATTAATGTAGATATATTCTTAGGAAGACACATCTGCTTTTCAGGTTAACATATGACATTTTTTTTTTTTTTGAGACAGAGTCTCACTGTGTCGCCCAGGCTGGAGTGCAATGGCGCGATCTTGGCTCCCTGCAACCTCCGCCTCCCGGGTTCAAGCCATTCTCCTGTCTCAGCCTCTTGAGTAGCTGGGATTACAGGCACACACCACCACACCCGGCTAATTTTTTTTTTGTTTTGTTTTTGTATCTTTAGTAGAGACGGGGTTTCACCATATTGGCCAGGCTGGTCTTGAACTCCTGACCTCGTGATCTGCCTGCCTCGGCCTCCCAAAGTGCTAGAATTACAGGCTTGAGCCACTGCGCCCGGCCAACATATGTCATTCTTGAATCAGACATTAATGGTCATAAATGTGTCTGGCCGCTGATGAGGACATTGGTATAGGTAACAGAATTTTGAGGAAATTTTGTAACTAATACAGTATTTATTTAACCATGAATCTGTTGCCAAAATACCAGAAAATGTAAAATCTTGTGATAGGAAAAAAATTGCAAAAGTAGAGGACACTTTGGAGGTAAGTTTTACTGATAAGGAAATGGAACCTTAAGAGTTTAAATGATGTTCCCAGGATCACCAGCTGGTAAATACTAGAGTTCCAAACATCAACTCATTTAATTCTTTCAACAACCTTTTATTTTAAGTACTACTATTATTTGTATGTTACAAATTGGTGACTGAGGTCCAGAAAAGGTAAGTAATTTGGCCAGGGCCCTGTGGCTAGTAAGTGTCAGAGCCAGGATTCAGGCCAAGAAGTTTGACTCCAGAGTCGATGCTTTTAACTTTACACCATTCTGTCTCTTCAGGAATAGCTGTACTCAGTTTCCAGACTCCACTTCCCTCAACCCCTCCCACTTTTCTTTTCATTCTATTATGGTGCCAAGCACACACATACACACCTGCTAAAAGACATATATACCCCCCTATAAAACATTTTAAACATAAGCATGTATATGTGTATACATTCTTTGCTTCTCAGTGTGTCTGCGGAATGATGATTGATAAATGACTCAAATCAGAAAGCAAAAGAGACTGATTCTGTTTTATCATCAGCCAGAAACAGGAAGCTTCCTTTAGGCATTCTAAGCATAAGGCAAGATGAATGGGGTGCTAATTAGCTCTTCTAGCTCTATCAGCCTGCTGTCCTTTGTTTGGGGCCAAGAATGAAAGAGGTTAGATTGTGCCTAACAATATGGTCCACTGGCCTGATTACAAGGCTCCAAGAGGGCTTTTGCAACATGAGCATACGGACGTTTTGCAATATTTACAGGAGGAAATGTATGCTGATCGGCATACAGGCTGCAAATGGCTTCCTGTTGTAAGCTTCTTCAATGTATTTCCATAGGTATGGTTGCTCATACTCCACTTGGATATATATTTTTTAATTTGAAGAAAATATCTTACTCAATTATAACCTGAGCTGTGATTTTTCTAGTGAATTTAAAATAAAATACCATTAATATAGTATAGTACAAAGAATATTGGTCTTAGAGTCGGAACTCATGAAGTTGGGTCCCATTTTTGCCTTGCACATTAATTACCATTTCTTCATAGCTGGAGAAAATCAAATCATCAGGCACCCTGGTTTAACTTTAATGCTCTCAAAACTCAAGTCAGGTCTCAATACTTCCTGGAATTTCAACTGTTTTTCTATAGCAAGTTCACTTTTTCACTGTCTGAGAACTCATTTTCATATGTTCCCTTTCCTTAAACTTCATATACCCACCTGTCCCAATCCCCTTATTTCCAGTTGTATACCTCACTGAGAAAATCGAAGGAAGCCATGGAAAGAGGTCTGCTCCATCTTTTGACTGTGATATCTCCAAGCCTCATGTTAATATACCCCTTTTCTTTATTTCAAACCAAAAAAGTGTCCCTGTTCCTATGAAGGGGCAGTCCCTCCACAATTGCACTGGGTCCCATTCTCTTTCACCTCCCCAAGGATTTTGCTCTTTCAGTTGCACCATCTTTCTCTTGCAACATCAGTTTCTCCTCTATTGGATCATGTCTGTTAACACCCAAATGTGTTAAAATAACTACTATCTTCAAAATAAAATAATGAAAAACTTTATTCACCCTAAATCTCATCTATAGTCTAATTTATCTGCTCTCCTCACTGCGAAACCTGTTATAAGAGTTGTTGGCTGGGGGCGGTGGCTCACGCCTGTAATTCCAGCACTTTGGGAGGCCGAGGTGTGCGTATCACGAGGTCAGGAGATCAAGACCATCCTGACCAACACGGTGAAACCCTGTCTCTACTAAAAATACAAAAAAAAAAAAAAAAAAAAATAGCCAGGCATGGCGGCGTGCGCCTGTAGTCCCAGCTACTCAGGAGGCTGAGGCAGGAGAATTGCTTGAATCTGAGAGGCAGAGGCTGCAATGAGCTGAGATCGTGCCATTGCACTCCAGCCTGGGCTACAGAGTGAGACTCCATCTAAAAAAAGAAAAAAAGAAAAAAAGAAAAAAGAGTTGTTGATACTCACTGTTTCGTTTTTTCAAAATTCCTATCGCTCCTTAAACCACTCCTGATTTCAATCTGTCCACTCCATTGATCTTGCTTTTGTCAAGGTCATCAGCGACTTCCATATTTCCAATTTAACGGTGACCTACCACTCTTAAACAGTTGGTCATTCTCTCTTTGTTTGAACATCATCTTCCCCTGTCTTTTATAACTTCACATTGAACTTTGTTTTCTTCCTACCTCACTGAATTCTCTTTCTCACTCTCCTTTACTGGCTCCTACTTTATTCAACCCCTAAACATTTGTCTTAGGCTCTCTACTTATTTGCTACTTTCACTAGATTGCACCTCACCTCTGCTTCCAATATGCATTTTTTTTGTTTTACTGTGTGTCCACCATTTTTATTTCGAACTGTTGGGAATAACACTCAAAATTCTAAGGAAATCGAACAGTCGAACAAAGGATTCTTAGCAAAGCCATTTTACTTCTGTGCAGTGAGGTGCCTCCTTGGCCAGTCGCCATGAGAACACACCTGAACAAAGGGGCACCAGAGCCTTTATTCCTGATGCAAGTCCTGCCCCTGTACCCTTTCCCCATTGGCTGGGGTCGGGTCATACAATCTAAACTAATCCCGGTTGGCTAAACATTTGATTTTTTTTTAGACAAGGTGGGCAGGTAAAAGAAAGCAGAGAGGAAAGGGGAAGGGGTGGCTGTAATGAGCTAGAAAGTTAGTCCTCTTTCCAAATAAGGAAAGGAATGTGAGCTGGTACTGATAACGCCTGGTACTGTGGCGTGCCTGGGCATCTAATAAAGGCAAAAAGGAAATAAGGAGAAAAAAGAAAAAAGAAGGGAGGAGGGTACTATGAATTAAAGAATAAAAGATTGATCAGGTTATTTGAAGAGAAACTTCATCATATCCCACATCATACATAGCATTTATCAAAAGCTGATTAGACATAGTTTGTGAAGGAATATAGTTGAGGTTTAGATTGGAGGGTGGTTTCCGATCAGATTTTATACGCCTTGAATACTCAGGTTTACAGTCTCTATCTTATAGTCATCAAGTACCAGATATAATTTTTAAAGCAGGTTGAATTTATACAAACAGGAACAGAACATGGAAGACAATGGAGGTGAAGTCTGTCAGTTAAAAGAGTTTGAGTGTTGTAACATCTTAACGTAAGGTGAACATGACCTGAATTAGGTATTTTGTGGGAGTGCAAATGTAATGAACCACAAAAGACATTCCAAAATACTTGACAAGAGTAGGCAAACGGCTGAATAGGAGGGTTAAAAAACAGAGAATTGTACCTCCCCATGGTTTTTAATCCAAATGACTTGGAGGATAAAGTGCTGCTAATATTGGTAATGAACACATTTCTCTCCAGAGACTGACTGACTCCAAATTTGAAGCCAAATTTACTTTTATGGCTATGCTTAAACTGACATAATGATATATTGGTCTGCTTTCTTTTATGAAATCAGCTCTAAAAATAAATATTCTTGTATTCAGACTTTCTGTGTGTTCTGTTTTCATCTTTTTACTGTAGCTAAAGATCACTTTGTGACTTTTTCTTGTTTTTGGCCAAAGGCTTTTGCAAAAGCAATGAAGTTATGACCTAGTTCTGTGGCAGAACAAGTATGGTCTACAGGGAAACCTGACTTGGAGCAACAGATGTGGTTTTAGACATGTTGGGTTTAAGGTGGTGTCAAGATATCCTAGTGAAAATGGCAGTTACAGAACTATGGCTCAAGGTCAAAGAACACTCTGAATGGTGAATGCAGACTGGAAAGTCATTCAACCATGATATAATGGCCTGGAGACACATAGCTAGTAGTGTCCTAAATATTTAGGCTGGGGTTTACATTTCGCAACTAGCAGATGACATAATAAAGCCAAAGAGAGAGAGAACATGCGAGCAGAAAGGGAAAAAAAAAAGGGAATGAATAGCCAAGGGACACATTTCGCAAGGCTCAAACAAGTTGACTATACTGAATGTTGGGAGAGCTGTCAAGGGAAGTAAAGACTGAAGATTTTGTAATGATAAGGTTGACCTTGAAGAGTATATTTTCCGTGGAGTAGTAGGGGCAGGATTCTTGGAGAAAATGAGATGACTGAATAATGATGAAAAGGAGATAAGCAAAAAAGAAAGAAGATAAATAGCTTTAGGGAGGTGTTTTCAAGGGAAAGTATTTTTTAATACCTTTAATAGGTTATTGCTTTATTCAGTGAAAAATATGTGCCTATTGTAAGATTTAAAAATACAAAAAGTACAAAGAAGAAAGTAAAAAAACCACATGTAATGCAACAATACAGAAAAATAACCACCCTTATTGTTTTGATAATTTTCATACTTGCAGGTTTCAATTAACAGCAACATAAAATTGATTGAAAAGAGTATGTTAGGTTTTTTTTGGAAAATAATTGCTAAACATACAATGTTAATATTTATTGAAAATACATTTCTTGGCCGGGCGTGGTGGCTCATGCCTGTAATCCCAGCACTTTGGGAGACTGAGGCGGGCAGATCACCTGAGGTCGGGATTTCGAGACCAGCCCGACCAACATGGAGAAACCCCATCTCTACTAAAAATACAAAATTAGCTGGGCGTGGTGGCACATGCCAGTAATCCCAGCTACTCGGGAGGCTGAGGCAGGAGAATCGCTTGAACCTGGGAGGCGGAGGTTGCGGTGAGCCAAGATCGCGCCATTGCACTCCAGCCTGGTCAACAGGAGCAAAACTCCGTCTCAAAAAAAAAAAAAAAACTACATTTCTTAATGAGATGGCCCATATTGTTCCTGTTCCCCTCTCATTTACTCCCATTCATTCTTGTAGACATAGATAACTATTACTAATTGCTAGAATAAGAGAGGGTCCATTATTAATTCTATTTTGATTTTTTTCTTTGTCAAAAATAGACTTTGTTTCCATGCATATGTATATAGGAATGGAAGAAGGATTTTTTTTTTTACAGCAATTTCACTCAATTCTTTGAATTCTTCATGAATTACATACCAAAAACTATGTACATGACAATTGCAAGTCATTCAATTTTGTTGAAAACAAAGCATTGGAAATTGCTTGACTTACAAAAGGAGTTGCTATCTAGTCTTTAGAAATTGTTCACCTTGTCAAGTCAATGAGTAATATTCCTAATGTTAAAAGGTAAACTGAGGCACAATACCATTTTTAAAGAGTTTGAGCAAAAAATATTCCCTGAATTGTACAGCTCCAAACTAGAAGCCATTCGGGAGCTCCATCAAGGGAAAACAATGGGGAGAATTTTATAAAACAGACACGGAAGTAAAGCAGATGGTGTTTGATTGGTTACAGTTATACAGTTGCCTCATTTGATCTATCCCATTGGAAAGTCCTAATTCTATAAGTTTGTTAACTGCTTCTGATTGGTTGAGTTTACATTCTGTTTCTCTGTGATATAAACATTGAGAAATAGCTCAAGTTAAGTTTTGCTTATGTTTGCAAATCAAGCAAGGTTGAAGTCACTTCTGAGGCCTAACTGTGTTTTTCTTCTAAGAGATTCTTCCGGTCTCGTCTCTATTTTAATTTGGTTCAGCCTTAATCAACCTCTTGTCCTCAACGTGTTTCTTTTTTGTTGTTTTTATTTTTACCTTTTTATTTTAAGATAAAACTCAGATATGGAAAGCACACGACAAAAGTGTATGGTTTTATTTCCGCCACGCAGATATAAAGCAACAGAATATTGCTACCCAACCTAGTATTCCAACGCAGATACCTTGTCCCAGTCACCATTCCCTTTAGGCCGTTTAACAAAACTAAGACATTTGTCTGTGTTAATAGGAAGCCACTAAGTGGCCAATGAAGAAATGAAGACCAAAGACAAACTAAGAAGAAATACATCATATGAATCAAAGTCTTGAAGAAGGCATGAGTGGAAAGAATCAGATAAATTCTACATCATTGACAAGGTTTAGTCTTAGAAAAAAAGAAATTTCTCTTACCGCAAGTCAGAGAAAAGAGAAGAGACGACAAATTCATTCAACCTATCATTTAACAAAGATTTATTCAGCCCCTATTAATTGGCAGTACTGTAGAAAGCACTAGAGAGAGACTTTAAAGAGGAAAATAAACTGTACTCGGGCTCTCCTGCTAGATGGACTTAATCGCTTCGAAAAAGGAGGAGATGAGGTTGTGGTTCTCAATAAAAGCTGTTTAAGGGATTGTGGATTTGGACATTTGAAGAGTGAGAACGAAATTTCAAAAAGCTACAGTAGAGAAAGCCCTATGGAATCAATACATTTTCTTTGCAGGACTCTGGAAAGAGGCAAGCCTAGCATTTTGTTTGAAAAGCTAAGCTTGGAATGCTTTTATCAGACATCACAGTGAATCTAATTGATTCCATTTTTAAAATTGCACCTGCCATTGGAGTTATGCCAAAACACACATACCAAATTAAAGCACAAAAACCAATAAAACATAACAGGAGCAGAATGCTGCAAACTCAATTGCTTATTAAAAACCTATTAGCTTTAAAATGTCAGCATGTCAGAAAACAGTTTCCTTCTACTAACATCAGCTTTGAAGGCCAGCTAATCGGAAATACATAGAATTAGGACAGGCAGTAAATTCAATAAAGTAGACCTTGCAGTAAAATAAACTTTGCTCCAGGCCCATGCCGTTGCAATTAGAAAGGCATCATCAGGCACAGGCCTGCAGATCAGAGGTCTTAGTAAGCCAGTGGTCATTCTGGTATTTAGAGTCCGCTTGTTATAACTTAAGTCATCTTTTTAAATATCCTATTTGATATAATATTTAATTGTCTCTTTAAGAGTGCTGAAAAAATATCAGGATGCTTGAACACTTTAGAAATAAAAATATCCAAATGAGCTAGCCAGTGGGACTTCTTTTGTGTTTTTCTTTCTTCCAGCAAGACAGCCTTTTTTTTCTTTCAATTCCTTCCTTCTGTTCTCATAAATTAATCTGCATTTGTGATTTTGGATTTGTGCAGAGTGGAGTGTGATTACTGAGGTCTTCACCAACATTCAGGCTGACAGAGAACAGTTGAACCAGCTATTATCTTTTGTGCTGAGAGATATGTTTATGGTAAATGCTCTTGGCTCTCTGAAAAGTTGGGAGAATAGGCCCTTGAAACTGATGAGGGTGTCAAAATGTTGCTTTAGATCCCTATAGCTGAGAGAACTGCAAAGGTGACTTGGCGAAGAGTTATTTATAAGATCATTGAATGGAAGATAAAAAGGAAATTATTTTACTTCAAATATGATATGTTTTGTAATTATTAACTGAATCATAGAATTTGAATTGGAAGCGATTTCATAAGGCAATCAGTCTAGCGATTTCCCAATACTGATTTCTAGACAGACACAAGACTGGGATAATATTTTCACTAATCCATGGCAGAATTAAAAGAAAAATAAGAAAACAGTATAGACAGGTTTTCAATGAAGCTAGATTTGTTATTTGATTTTAATCTTAATATTACATTCTTTTTATTTTTAGTCCTAAAATACTCTTTCTTCTTTGAGATGACAGATGTATATGGTGGGATGTATAAAGTGCTCTTGGTTAGATTAAATGAAACAATCATTGTTCTTTTGGGAACTGGAGTAGGGGTGATGTGAAGCTAGATTAGAAAGTAGGCAGCATTCGGTTTGAGGACCAGGATCTTGTTGTTCCTGAGCTCTTTTCTTCCTCTACGGTACTCAGTATCCTTATTTTTCTATGCAGTTTACAATTTTCATTTTGTTCCGTACTCCCTTCTCTCCCAAATAGAAACCAACCTTGAAAAAGAATCAGCTTTCAGCCATTTATCCAACTCAAAGGCAAGGTGAGAGTGAACTGTTGGTGCTAGAAACCACAATCCACTGCTCTCAATTTTATTTTCTCATGTACGTTAATCTCTCCCTCTCTGCCAGCTCAGTATACATGTGCGATTGTGATCTAAATTCTTATATCACTTTTACAAACTAGAATTCTCCCCGTTGTGTATCCCCCTGCCACCTACCCCCTCATTTGTTTTCTCCACTAAACACACTGTAGCCACTTCCCTCATTTCTTCCCACTTACTTTTCAGTTCAGTTCAATTTGGTTTTGTTCTCATTCCACTGGAACTGCTTTTATCGAGGTCAGCATTACCATCTGCACTATTAAAACCACTGGTTACTTTATCATTTTCCTCTTACTCAAATTCTCGGCATTATTCTGCACATTGGCAACTCTCTGTTCTTCAAACACAGAACTATGCCAAAATTGTCCTATTTTTGAGCCTTGGCAGCTGTTTTTTTTTTTCCTCTTTTTCAATGCTTGCTCTTTCTGATATATCAAATAAGACTTCCTTGGAGAAAGCTTCACTTAGTACCCAATATCAATATACAGTAGTTCTGTCCATTACACTAACCATCACTGCTGTCTGTTACTCTCTTGCAGCATCCCAAAATTTCCTTCACAGCATTTACAACTGCTTGTGTCTTTTATTTATTATCTGTCTCTCCCTGTACATAAAGCTTTATGAAGTTCAGGGACTATGAATCCCATATTCATTGCTGTACCTCCAGAACCCAGCACAGTGCTTGTTGCATAGTAGTTTTTTTAATAAAGACTCGTTGAATAATTTGATGGATAGATGAATGCCAAGAATCCCACAATATTTTTTACTAGCCCCAACTTGAAAACTCATGCCAAGACTTTTTTACTTTATCTTTGCAATGATTCTCGCATCTGTCTCTTTCTTCCAGTCCTTGCTTCCGCTTTCCTTGCCCAGGCCACCATCATCTATTAGTTTAACCATTTAATAAAACTCATAACTCACCTTCTGTCTTCTCTTGTTGATCTTCAATCCATCCTATATATTGCAGTTAGTCTTATACCCTTCCTGAAACTCTGATCTTATTTTCCTATGAAAAACAAAACCAAATAAAACAAACTCCCCTTTGTGTAGACAGTTTGTTCTAAGTTTTCTATCCTGGCATTCATGGGCCTTGAAGACCTGGCTTTAACTGATACCAGCTATAAGTGATATATAATGTCAGACGCATTTGCCTAGCTCTTTTTTTGTGTGAACTTCTCTTTCGAAACTTCTATGACTCAGTGTTGTGTTATTACACCATTTAATAGAATGACAACATGTTGAGGGCAGGTACATGGTATGTTTTCTAATTTCAGCACTTAGCACAGTTTTTGATACACACAAGCTCTATACATATTTACTGAATAAATCATTGTGTGACCCTCTTCTTGAAGTTGTACAATCAGTGTCAAACAGAATATAGAATGTAAAAATGATTAATTGCAAACCCTATCTAGTGTTTGGGTGTAACTAAAAATATTAAGTTCTGTACATTTTGTTTAATGCAACGGATATGACTTATTAGCTGTGCTAATGTTAAATATTGTTGTGCAACTGATGCCTGCAGTTTCCTGAGCCAAAATAGGAGAAATCTTGTCCTTAGAAATTCTTTGACTGAAAGGTCATCCAATTAATTACAAGACCCTTAGCAAAAAAACTGCTGATGCATGCGGCCTTTTCCCCAGAAAGATCTGCAAGATATGAAGAGAACAATAGCCTCAGGCAGTACACTCAGAAGATGAAAGTGTATGTGAAAAAACCCACTCTGAACATTTCTAGCACAGGCTGGCTGCCTGCAGGTCCTGATATTGACCCTCAAGCATGCTGCTCAGACTTCCATTGCAGAGGAATTAAAGTGGCCAAATCTGTGTGTGTGTGTATATATATATATACACTCACTTTGTTGCCCAGACTGGACTGGAGTGCAGTGGCTCCATCTCTGTGCACTGCAGCCTCAGCTTCCTGAGCTCAAGTGATCCTCCCCAGCAGTCCTCTCGCCTTACCTTCCTGAGTAGCTGGGCCCACAGGCACGCACCGCCAGGCCCGGCTAATGTTTGTAGTGTTTGTAGAGACAGGGTTTCACCATATTTTCAAGCTGGTCTTGAACTCCTCAGTTCAAGTGATCCACCCACCTCGGCCTCCCAGAGCGATGGGATTACAGGCATGAGCCACTGCGCCTTACCACATATATTTTTAAATATTTAAAAATACAAATTTTGGCCGGGTGCGGTGGCTCACGCCTGTAATCCCAGCATTTTGAGAGGCCAAGGCGGGCAGATCACGAGGTCAGGAGCTCGAGACCAGCCTGGCCAACACAGTGAAACCCCGTCTCTACTAAAAATACAAAAATTAGCTGGGCGTGGTAGTGGGCGCCTATAATCCCAACTACTTAGGAGGCTGAGGCAGGAGAATGCCTTGAACCCGGGAGGCAGAGGTTGCAGTGAGCTAAGATGGTGCCACTGCACTCCAGTCTGGGCGACAGAGCTAGACTCCATCTCAGAAAAAAATTAATAATTTTGACTTGTATCATGCTGCATGAGAACAGTGTAGTATAATTAAGGGCAGATGAGTAGATAGGAACTTACTTTCATGGATTATTTTTCTTGACATAGAAGCTCTCAATTTTGAATGCGCATTAAAGTTATCTGTCAAGCTTTCCAAAATTCAGATGTCCAGGATCCATCGATCCCCATAAATTCTGATTTAATTGGTCTGGGATAGATCTCCCACGTGGTATGCTTTTTGTAAACTCCCCAGGTAAATCTAAGTTGTTTCTATGGTTGAGAACCGTTTCTACTAATTGAAGATTGCCATTCTGCTGTAAGTTATTCAGGAATAAAATAATTGATGTAGTTGTTGAGGGGCTTTGTGTTTCATTCTAACGTTGATTTTTCTTTCATGAAGCTGTAAGTTTGAGGTTTGAGCACTCCACACTCAACACCTGTAGTGAATGCCAGTGAAACCCTACAGTCAGAATGTTAATTAGTATTCCATTGGGTACTAGCTGTTCCAGCTATATCTGTTAACAGTTAGAAGAGGGTTGACATGACGTGTATAATTGTAATCAATCATGGTCTTGTCTCTGAGTAAACAAAGTGCATGACTGACATTTGAGATAGTTCATGCTTTATCCCTGGCTATCTTCTTATCTTATATTTTCTACTTTTTTTTTTTTTTCTGAGATGGAGTTTTGCTCTTGTTGCCCAGGCTGGAGTGCAATGGTGCGATCTCGGCTTTCCGCAACCTCCGCCTTCCGGGTTCAAGCGCTTCTCCTGCTTCAGCCTCCCGAGTAGCTGGGATTACAGGCATGTGCCACCACGCCTGGCTAATTTTGTATTTTTAGTAGAGACAGGGTTTCTCCGTGTTGGTCAGGCTGGTCTCGAACTCCTGACCTCAGGTAATCCGCCCACCTCGGCCTCCCAAGGTGCTGGGAATATAGGCGTGAGCCACCGCATGCGGGCTCTTTTTTGTTTGTTTTTTTAGACGGAGTTTCACTCTTTTGTCCAGGCTGGAGGGCAATGGCGCCATCTCAGCTCACCACAACCTCCGCCTCCCGGGTTCAAGTGATTCTCTTGCCTCAGCCTCCTGAGTAGCTGGCATTACAGGCGCCTGCCACCATGCCCGGCTAATTTTTGTATTTTTAGTAGAGACTGAGTTTCACCATTTTGGCCAGGCTGGTCTCAAACTCTTGACCTCAGGTGATCTACCTGAGGGAGGCCCACCTGAGGGATCTACCTGAGGGAGGCCTCGGCCTCCCAAAGTGTAGGATTATAGGCATGAGCCACCAGGCCCAGCCTTCTATTTTCATCTTATACCATGACTGGTTAATCTTCCAGTTTATGCTCCAATCACCCTGAATTATGTTATAGTCACCTTGATTCCAATAATGCACAAGCTTTTGTGTCTCCAGGCTCCTGCACATGCTGTTTCCTCTGTGTGGACTCCCCTTCCCTTCTTGTCTGCCTGAAACATTGCTACTCATTCTCCTATACCCAGAGTTCTTGATGATGCACATTCTGAGTTAGTAAGCAAAATATATGTGTATGTTTGTTATATAATTTTTTATTGAAAGAATCATTATAAATTTCATTACATCCTTAAAAGGGTCTGTGACCCTTAAATGTTAAGATTCATTTGTTTCTGCCTATAATCAAATGTGACACAGTGAAAGCATACACTGAGACCTCCTTGTTTCCAACTGCCCCAACCAAGTTATCTGTCACAGATATTCTGTCCCTCTTCTCAGTTTTTATAGAACTTTACATATCTCTGTCTCTCTTTTTTTTTTTTGAGATGGAGTCTCGTTCTGTCGCCCAGGCTGGAGTGCAGTGGCATGATCTCGGCTCACTGCAACCTCTGCCTCCCAGGTTCAAGTGATTCTCCTGCCTCAGCCTCCCAAGTAGCTGGGACTACAGGCGTGTACCACCACACCCAGCTAATTTTTTGTATTTTTAGTAGAAACGGGGTTTTACCGTGTTAGCCAGGATGGCCTCGATGTCCTGACCTCACGATCCACCCACCTTGGCCTCCCAAAGTGCTGGGATTACAGACGTGAGCCACCGCGCCCGGCCTAGATATCTCTCTTTTTATATCATATTTACTTGTCTCCCTTTGGACTGAGATATCACCGAAGGCAGAAACAATGTCTTATTCACCTTTGATCTCAGAACGTAGCACAAATAGATTCATTTTAGCTGGGAGAATGTTGAAGCTTAAATCAACTTGCCTGGAATTTAAAGGTTTTCATATGCTAAAGTTCTGGAGGATACAGTGCTTGCATCTTCTAACTATTACTCATACATTTCAATGTTTAACCAGTCATTGCCCTTCTTTAGGTAACAATGTGAATGCCAAGAAATACAATTCTCCTTAATAAAATATGAAAATCTTGAGCTGTGATAGTTTGACACAGATAGAATCAGTGTGGCGCTATCTTCTTCTCCAAGATAATTTCTTCCAACATTTTAATTATATGAGTTATAGAAAGAAAATAAATACGTAAAAGAAAGGGGACTAAATCGTTAGCAAAATAATTCAATAAAAAGTCTCAGAACTTAAGGATGCTTATTTATAGATTAAAAGGCTAGCACCTCGCAAAATAGATGAAAATAGACTTGTGTCAAGATATATCAGTGTACAATTTCAGGACACTGACAACAAAGAGAAAATTGTATAAGTTTCCAGAGGGGTAAAAATAGTTAAGGGAGAAAGAACGAGGAATCAGATGGCTTAAAAATGTTCAACACCAGCCAGGCGTGGTGGCTCGTGCCTGTAATCCCAGCACTTTGGGAGGCCGAGGTGGGCGGATCACCGGAGGTCAGTTCGAGACCAGCCTGACCAACATAGAGAAACCCTGTCTCTGCCAAAAACACAAAATTAGCAGGGTGTGGTGGCGTTTGCCTGTAATCCCAGCTATTCGGGAGGCTGAGGCAGGAGCATCACTTGAACCCGGGAGGCGGAGTTTGTGGTGAGCCAAGGTCGCGCCACTGCACTCCAGCCTGGGCAACGAGAGTGAAACACCGTCTCAAAAAATAATAATAATAATAATTTGACACCATCACTATAAACCAGAACGCAATGGAGTTATGCTTTGAAAATTCTAAAGGAAAATGATTTCTGGCGTACGTTTCTATTCCCACATAGACTAAAATCAAATGTACAAGGAGAAAACATACACTTTTCAGACATATGAGATCTCTAAAATTTTGTCTCCCTGTGAACCTTTTCTTAGGAAGCTACTAGAGATGTTTTTCCTACCAAAAGGAAGAAGTAAACCAAGAAAGATGAAGATGTGGAATGCGGAAAATAGGAGACACAACACAAGAGAGAGAGAAATTCTTAAAAGTGTAGTGATGGAAAATCCTAGGATGAGAAAATTGAATCAGGCCTAGAGGGCAACCAGTCAAGACAGTTGCAGGGAAGCAGCTTACAAGAGAGTGTTCTTCAAGGTGAGAGCATTTGCACAACAATTGATGTGAATAAAAGTCTTGATATGAGATTTAAAAAATTAGTAAGGAATTTTCAATTGAGTTAGCACAAATTAAAATAAAATTAAGTTGAAATTCAACAACAAAATCAATAACATAAATATTTCTCGGCAATTCATGGATTACCATAATATAAATTTAAAAGTACTTAGAACTTAATGATATTGAAAATATTACAGAGTAAATGTGTGAGTAGCAGTAAAAGTGATATTACAATAGGAGTTTATAGACTTGAATGTTTCTACAACTTGAAAATTAATGTACTACATATTTAAATAAAGAATTAGAAAAGAAACAACAGAATTAATTCTGAAAAACTAAAGTGAGGGGATAATGATGTAGAGAAAATTAGTAAAACATACAAAGCTAAAATTTGGTTGTTGGAGAAATATAATAAAAGGCGCCAACCTCAGGGAAGTTAAGAAAAAAAGAGAGAAAGCACAAATAAAAGTAAGAATTAAAAAGATACATAACTACAGACAGAGTATAGATTAAGAAGCTAATGAGAAAATATGATTAACACTTTATGCTACAAATTTGAAAGCCTAGATCAAATACACAGATTTTTATAAATGTATAACTTAGTAAAATTGAAATAAGAAGTATGTAATCTGAATAGTCTCATAAATGTTAAAGGAAATAAAGGATTGTTCCTACAGATAAAACAGTAGGCCCAGATTTTTTTCCCCAGACAGAGCATTTCAATATATATGAAGGATTCTATAAAATAAAAAAGGGAAAATCCTAAACTTATTCTATGAGGCGAGCAGAACTTTGATACCAACACCACAGAAATTGAGTATAGAAACAGATATTAAAACTAAAGTCCATTCTCATTCATAAAACAAATGGTAAAATCCCAAATGTAAAAAGATTCATGTGGATTCTTTGAGGGTTGGGTTGAAATTTGTTTCTGCCAGATCCTGCTACTCTGGGACAACACACACACAAATTTATGTTTTGAGATTTTCCGTAATACCCAAGCAATACGGAGCTGGCTTGACAATCTGTGATAGCCAGCCTGTGTCATGACTTCTCACGGACACAAATTTTTTTCTGTTTTCCTCCTTGTTCTGCTGAGCTCCAAGACAACTTCTGCGAAAGTTCCTTGAGTTTGGAAATAGGGACGGGTTTCCTTCTGTTTCACCCTTAACATGAAGATACAGTCCTATGGAATCCCAGATCCATCTGGAGAGAGTCGGCTATTAAACTCTTTTCATAAGTACGCCCTGGGCTTTGACTACTGTCTGTCTAGAGATAGGAGGCTGATAGTTCCTTCCTGGCCCATCAGTTTTGGATACAATTAATGTTTCTTCCATTCAGAATTTTCAATTGTTTGGGAGGTGATATGGTTTGGCTGTGTCTCCATTCAAATCTCAACTTCAATTGTATCTCCCAGAATTCCTACCATGTTGTGGGAGGGGGACCCAGGGGGAGGTAATTGAATCATGGGGGCTGGTCTTTCTCGTGCTATTCTTGTGATACTGCATAAGTCTCAGGAGATCTGCTGGGTTTATCAGGGGTTTCCGCTTTTGCTTCTTCCTCATTCCCTCTTGGCACCGCCACGTAAGAAGAGCCTTTGGTCCTACGCCATGAATCTGAGGCCTCCCCAGCCATGTGGAACTGTAAGTCCAATTAAACCTCCTTTTCTTCCCAGTTTCGGGTATGTCTTTATCAGCAGCGTGACAATGAACTAATACAGGTTGGTCCAAATAACCTTGGCTTCCGTTATAGAACGTGGACATTGGTGAAATTTTTAATCTTTCCTGTGGCAAACTTTAGCAGTGGGTATTATTTTTCTGACATTTTTTTTTCTGTTCTATTCACCTTTGTTTCTCATAGGGTGCCTTTTTTTGAGACGGAGTCTCGTTCTGTACCCCAGGCTGGAGTGCAGTGGCACGATCTTGGCTCACCGCGACCTCCACCTCCCAGGTTCAAGCGATTCTCCTGCCTCAGCCTCCTGAGTAGCTGAGATTACAGGCATTCATCATCACATCCAGCTAACTTTTTGTATTTTTAGTAGAGACGGGGTTTCACCATGTTGGTCAGGCTGGTCTTGAACTCCTGACCTCAGGTGATTCACCCGCCTCGGCCTCCTGAAGCGCTGGGATTACAGGTGTGAGCCACCCCTCCCGGCCCTCATAGGGTACTTTTTATTTATTTGTGCCTGCCCTGTTTTGAGCACCTTTTTGATTGAAAAAAGGCTTTTCTGGGCCAAATAATTCCCATCTATCTATCTACGGAAAGTGCATGGGAAGAGTTTGGGGATGGTAGGAATTTTCCTTAATATTCAGAATTTTGCACGTGTGTGCATGTATGTGTATGTGTGTTGATGTGTGTATGAGTGTATTTTTTTTTTCTTTTGAAGCTTCATTTTCCCCTATGTCAATAAAGACATTGGCTGCTCTAGGGATATTTACAACGCAGAGTATTTGTCCTTTTCTTTTCATTCTAAGAATGAGTGCAAGAACGGGTGCAGGAAGTTCGAGAGGTGGTCATTAGTCTTCCGAGTATGGGAGCAGGGAGAGTAAGACAGAGAAGAAAAGTGAATGGAGGGTGCATTACTGAGCTTGTTGTTGGTGTGGGCGACTGAGACTGAGTCTCACTGGGAATCTTTAAAGGAATTGTGTAGGGCATACCTCAGAATTGTCCCTCTGAAAGATAAGGTGGCTGGGGCAATTACCTTCTTACTCCCTCCCACCATCCTTGGAAGTTGGGTGCTCGGGACATTAATTCTGCAACATTTGTAAGCTGCAGCTGAGCACCAGACGAATGGAAGTTGCTGTTCAATGGGTATAATGTTTCAGTTAGGCAAAGTGAGTAAGTTCTAAACCTCTGCTTACAGCATGGTGCCTACAGTTAATAATATTGTACTGTGCACTTTAATATTTGTTAAGATGGTAGATCTCATGTTGAGTGTTCTTAACACAATAAAAAAACTAATTGTATTCATACAATTCAATTAATTAATACAATTAATTGTATTAATTTTGCTACAACATGGAGGAACTTCAAGAACATCACGCTAAATGAAAACAGCCCCCCGACACATAAGGCCACAAATTGTATGAATCGTCTGATTCCATTGATATGAAATATTCCGACAGGCAAATCCACAGAGCCACAAAATGGACTAGTGGTTGCCAGGAGCTAAGGTGAAGAATAACGAGTGTCTCCTGATGAGTCTGGAGTTTCTTTTTAGAGTGATTAAAATATTTGGGAATTAGCGTTGTGAGCTGCGCAACTCTGAATACGATAACACCACCAAACTGTATACTTCTTAAAATGGTTCCTCATTTTGTTTTAAAAGAACCAGAATGTCTAATTAGGTTTATGTCATTAAATACATTTTTTAAAGGGACTTGATGCTTGAAAATGGGAGAGTGATGGGCATTTCTACCTTCTCCGCTCTGAAATAACCCAAATATAGCAGAGGAAACTTAAGATAGCCAAGTTCGCTATTAGCAAAATCTAAGAAACATTTTAATGTACCAACCCAAGGTAGAAGAAAGAGCTGCCCCAAAGAAGTATAGATTTAAATATAATTGAGAGAGGAACCTGAGAAAGTATACCAGTGACCATGCATTTTTTTCCTTCCAGCAGACCCTGGAAACCACCATTCTACTCTTTGTTTTATTATTTTTTTTATTTTTTGAGGTGGAGTCTTGCTCTGTTGCCAGGCTGGAGTGCAGTGGTGCAATCTCGGCTCACTGCAACCTCCGCCTCCCGGGTTCAAGCAATTCTCCTGCCTCAGCCTCCCGAGTAGCTGGGACTACAGGCGCGCACCACCACACCCAGCTAATTTCTGTATTTTTAGTACAGACGGGGTTTCACCATGTTAGCCAGGATGGTCTTGATCTCCTGACATCTTGATCTGCCCGCCTCGGCCTCCCAAAGTGCTGGGATTACAGGCGTGAGCCACCGCGCCCGGCCCTCTTTGTTTTTATGGGTTTGATTATCTTAGATATCTCATATAAGTAGAAACACGAAGTAACTGCCCTTCTGTGACTGATGTATTTCACTTAGCATAACATCCTTCAGGATTATTTATGTCGTAGCATATGGCAGGATTTCATGGCTAAATAATATATTCCACTGAATGCATATATATTTTTCTTATTCATTCATCGACTGACAGACATTTAGGTTTTTCTATTATTAATTTTTTTGAGGAACCATCACACTGCTTTCCATAGTGGCTGCCCTATTTCACATTCCCACCAAGAGTTTACAGGTTCTCAATTTCTCGACATCATTGCCCCACTTGTTATCTTTTGATTTTTTAATTACAGCTATCCTAAAAGCGTGAGTTAATATCTCCTTGTGGTCTTGATTTGCATTGCTTTTATGATTAGTGATATTAAGGATCTTTTAATCCCTTTTTTGGCCATTTGTATGTCTTCTTTGAAGAAATGCCTATTCAGCTCCACTGTCCAGGTTTTTTTTGTGTGTGTGTGTGTGTTTTTTTTTTCTTTTGCTATTGAGTTGTAGGAGTTCCTAATATATTTGGACATGAATCGTTTGTCAGGAGTATGGTTTGGAAACATTTTCTTCCATTATGTAGGTTGTCTTTCACTCTGTTGATTGTGTCCTTTCTACATCAAGCTTTTCAGTTTGATGTAGTACCACTTGTTTAATTTTGCTTCACCTGCTTGCACTTTTGGCTCATCAGTTAGCAGGTGATGAATGCTGCCAGGACTGCATTCTTTCCTTCAAGCCAGCAGGTTCCCTTCTGGCCCAGGGTGCATCTAGAAATATCATCTAGGAGCTAGTGCCTGGAAAGGGAGTCTCATGATTCTGACTGGTGCCCTATCCGGCTATGGCTGAGCTGGTTTCCAAGATGCAAAACAAAGTCCTCCCAACTATTTCCTCTCCTCCCCTTTAGTGGAAGGAAGGGGTGTATTTTAGAACCATGAGCTGTGCAGCTTGGGGTTAGGGGAGCAGTGATGCCAGCACTTCCTTAGAAACTGTAGCTGAAGGCCGTACTCGGTGGTGTACGCCTGCCATTCCAGCACTTTGGGAGGCCGAGGCAGGCGGATCACCTGAGGTCAGGAGTTCACAACCAGCCTCACATGGTGAAACCCCATCTCTACTAAATACAAAATAATTAGCTAGGCGTGGTGACACATGCCTGTAATGCGAGCTACTTGGGAGGCTGAGACAGGAGAATCGTTTGTACCTGGGAGGCGGAGGTTGCAGTGAGCCGAAGTCGCGCCATTGCATTCCACCCTGGGCAACAAGAGTGAAACTCCGTCTCAAAAAAAAAAAAAAAAGAAAGAAAGAAAGAAAGAAGCTCCAGCTGTTTGCTGGGTGGGTCACGTCCACTGGTTCTGGGCCCAGTTCAGCACTAGGTTTCACGGAAAAGTTGCAGTCCTTGTGGTCTAAACTACCATTCAAATTTACTTAGAGCCCCAGGGCACTTTGTCCCGCAGTGATGAGGCTTGCAGGAACTCATGTTTAGACCACTGGTGTCAGAGGCGTTTGAACCAGAGCAATTCTATCTTGAGTAGGAGCTAGGTAAAATGAGGCTGAAACCTACTGGGCTGCATTTCCAGATGGGTAGGCATTCTAAGTCACAGGATGAGCTAGGAGGTCGGCACAAGACACAGGTCATAAAGGCCTCGCTGATAAAACAGGTTGCAGTTTTAAAGAAGCCAACCAAACCCGCCAATACCAAGATGTCGATAGAGTGACGTCTTGTCGTCCTCACTGCTACACTTCCGACAGTGCCATGACAGTATACAAATGCCATGGCAACGTCAGGAAGTTACCCTATATGGTGTAAAAGGCGAGGTATGAATAAGCCACCCCTTGCTTAGCATATAGTCATGAAATAACCGTAAAAATGGGCAACCAGAGCCCTCCGGGCTGCTCTGTCTATGGAGTAGCCATTCTTTTATTCCTTCACTTTCTTCAACTTGCTTTCACTGTACTCTATGGACTCGGCCTGAATTATTTCTTGCACCGGATCCAAGAACCCTCTCTTGGAGTCTGGATCGGGACCCCTTTCTGGTAACAAAAGAATCAGTGATTTCCCTCTGGCTGGGCTGGTTTAAATGCTCCCTCTGTGGGCAGGCATCAGCTGAATTTGGTCTGGTTTTATGTTATGCTATTACAGGGCAGGAGCTACAGTGCTTCACAATTGCTGCACTATCCCTCTCTCCTGCACACGGAAATGCTCCCCACACCACACCACTGCTGCTGAGGGATGAGGGAGAAGTGGCATTGGTGATTCCAGGCACTTTTTCTTACCTCTTCAGTGACTCTTTCAGCAATTTGAAATTAAAACCATGTATTCTGTGTAAACCCCAAGTATCTGAGACAAGTCTCAGTCAATTTAGCAAGTTTATCTTGTCAAAGTTAAGGACGTGCGCCCGTGACACAGCCTCAGGAGGTCCTGGCAACATGTGCCCATGTGCCCAAGGTGGTCGGGGCACAGCTTGGTTTTTCTGTTGTGTTTTTTTTTTTTTTTTTTGAGACGGAGTTTTGCTCTCGTCGCCCAGGCTGGAGTGCAGTGGTGTGATCTTGGCTCACTGCAATCTCCACCTCCCGGGTTCGAGCGATTCTCCTGCCTCAGTCTCCTGACTAGCTGGGATTACAGGCACACGCCACCAGGCCCAGCTAATTATTGTATATTTAGTGGAGACAGGGTTTCACCATGTTGGTCAGGCTGGTCTCGAACTCCTGACCTCGTGATCCGCCCACCTCAGCCCTCCCACAGTGCTGGGATTACAGGCGTGAGCCACCACGCACGGCTACAGTTTGGTTTTATATATTTTTAGGGAGACATGAGACATCAACTAATATATGTAAGATGTCCACTGGTTTTGCCTGGAAAGGTAAGACAACTCGAAGTGGGGACGCGGCTTCCAGGTCATAGGTATGTGAGAGACAAATGGTTGCATTCTTTTGAGTTTCTGATAAGCCTTTCCAAAGAAGGAAATCAGATATGCATTTATCTCAGTGAGCAGAGGGATGACTTTGAATAGAATGGGAGGTAGGTTTGCCGGAAGCAGTCCACAGCTTGACTTTTCCCTTTAGTGTAGTGATTTGGGGGTTCCAAGATTTATTTTCCTTTCATAGTGAGTGCTTACTTGATTTTTGGTTCTTCTGAATGTGCTTTTTTTGTGTGTAGATAATTGTTTACCTGATGTCTTTGTGAGGTGGATGACTGGTAGAACTGTCTATTCTGCCATCTTGCTCCCCAACTTTTCGTTTTCCACTAAAAAATTCTGCTGTGATTTCACTGAGATCATGACGAATGTATAAATTAAATTAGAGAGAACAGGCATGTAAACAATATTAAGTAATCCAATTGATGAACATAGCACATGTCTCTTTTTATTTAGGTCTTCTTTAATTTCTCTCAATGCTGTCTTACAGTTTTTAGTGTGGAAGTTTTAGATACTTATTAAATTCATTTCTAAGCATTTTCTGCTTTTGAATATTATGAAAGTGGTATTTTAAGTTTATTTTGCAATTTTGGTTGCTGGTACATAAACAATAGTCTTTTTACGTCAACTTTGTATGCTGTAAATTTGCTAGATTAACTTTTTAATTTTACTAGTTGTTTTGTATATTACATGGAATTTTCTGTGCAACTGACCGTGTCGTCTGCTAATAAAGTTTTAACTCTTTTCATACTAAAATGTCGACCTTTTATTTAATATTCTTGCTTTATTGCTCTGTCTAGGACTGCCTGTAAAACCATTTCCTCTTTGGAAGTCTTATGCAAACTGTTTACAATTTCACAATAAGTATGATACTAGCCATAAGTTTTTATAGATGATTTTTATTGGAATGAGGAAATTACTGTCTATAACTAGATTATCAAGAATGTTGAATTTTGCCAAGTAGTTTTACTGCATCTATTCAAACAATCAGATGTTCTTTATTTGGATTATTTTGTTAAGATGGTGAAATACACTGGTTGGACTTTAATTGTTAAAACATTTTCTTTTTATTCTCAGAATAAAACTCAGTTGGTCATTGTTCAGAAAAATGTTAATATTGTAGGCCTAGATATTAGAAAGGCTTGCTTGCAAGTTTGGCCATTGGATGGTGTCCGGTAACTTGGATTTTGGGAGACTTCTCCCCAAACGAACTGATAAGAGTGGCTTACTGTGCTTAAACCGTACAATGTGGTTTATACTGAACACCTACTTTACTTTCGGGGGACTGGAATTTTGGTATGCCCTAGGCAGAAAGTCACCACATAATCAACCTCTAATAAACACTGAGTCTTTAAAGAAATTGTCTGGTAGAAAACATTTCACACATTTTGTTACAGCTTGTTGCTGCAAGAAGTAAGTGCGTCCTATGTGACTCTCCCAGGAGAAGACTTGGAAACTTATTCCTGGTTCCCTCCATACCTTTTCTCCTTGCTGATTTTGCTTTATATCATTTCATTTTATTACATCTTAGGCATGAATACAACGTCTATATCCTGAGTCAGTCCTGTAAGTCCTTCTAGTGAATCACCAAGGCTGGTTTTTGGACTTGGGGACACTTAGCACAGTCATGATAAATTACCCTTTTGTTTACTTGATTTTATGTACTTGATTTTGTTGGCTAATGTTTTAATGATTTTCGTGCCTGCATTCATGAGGTATATTGATCTTTAGTTTTCTTTTCTAATAATATCTTTGATAGATTTTGATATCAGGGATTTGCTAGTCTCATACAATGAGTTGAGGAACATTTCTTTCTCCTGTTTTTGAAAGAATTTATGTAAATTAGGTATTATTTCTTTAAATATGTCAGAAGTCACTAGTGAAAACATTGGAGTCTTTTTGTGGAGGGGAGTTAAATTACATATACATAATATAACATATATAACCTTTAAAAGTTCAATTTTTAACAGATTTTGGGCTGTTTGTATATTTGTATATCTCAATTCATTCTTATATTAGTTTTTGTAAGTTGTATTTTTCAAGTAATTTTTTTATTGAGTCTGAATTTTCAAATTTATTGGCATAAAGTTGCTCTCATTTTTTTTTCTTTTTCTTGAGACAGAGTTTCACTGTCGTTGCCCAGGCTACAGTGCAGTGGCATGATCTCTGCTCACTGCAACCTCCACCTCCCTGGGTCAAGTGATTCTCCTGCCTCAGCCTCCCAAGTAGCTGGGAATACAGGTGCGCGCTACCACGCCTGGCTACTTTTGTAGTTTTAGTAGAGACGGGGTTTTACCATGTTGGTCAGGCTGGTCTCAGACTCCTGACCTCAGGTGATCCGCCCGCCTTGGCCTCCCAAAGTGCTGGGATTACAGGCGTGAGCCACCGTGCACGACCAGCTTGCTCTCATATTCCATTAGTATTATTTCACTTTCAGTAGGGCCGGTAGTGCTGTTATGGGCGTGTCTTTGCGTCCAGAGCTACCAAGATGGCGGCAAGCCTCTTGCTCTCTGACCTGGGGTTCTTGGCCTCACGGATTCCAAGGAAGGGAACCTTGGGCCACGCGGTGATCCGTACAGTTCTGTTAGAAGCCCGGGGTTATGGAAGAGAAGCGTGGAAACCAGCGACCAGCGTTCAGGTAGATTAGGACCAACCCCGGCACTTAGCTGCACAGGAACAATGGCGAGCCCCTTTGGGCGCCTCACTGATCAGAAGGGCAGAGGACACCCTGCTGGATCTGGAGGAGTGGAAGTCAATGGCGGGTCTGCGAGGGCGGCGTTCAGCGGTGGTGGACGGAGGGTGTTGAGCGGTGGTGGACGGTGGTGGACGACGGCCTTCGGCGGTGGTGGACGGACGGCCTTCGGCGTTGGTGGACGGACGGCCTTCGGCGGTGGTGGACGGACGGCCTTCGGCGGTGGTGGACGGACGGCCTTCGGCGTTGGTGGACGGACGGCTTTCGGCGGTGGTGAACGGTGAGCGAAAGCCGGAACAAACATGGACGAGAAGAGTGTGCAGTTGCAAGGTTTAATAGAGTGAAAACAGAGTTCCCATACAACCGGAGGGGACCCAAGGGGGTTGCCCACTCCTGGCTTGAATGCCTGGGGTTTATATCCCAATCATTGTCCCTCCCCCAGTGCTCTCAGGCGATAGATGATTTGGTATTTCTTTACCTCCTGTTTTTAGCCTAATTGGTACTTTAGTGAGCTCTCTTTACTACCTGATTGGTCGGGTGTGAGCTGAGTTACAAGCCCGGTGTTTAAAGGTGAGTGCAGTCACCTTCGTCAGCTAGGCTTAGGAACTCTTAGTCGGTCTAGGAAATCCAGCTAGTCCTGTCTCTTAGTGCTGTTCCTCTTTGTTTCGTGACATTGGGAATTTGTATGTTCTCTTATTTTGTTTTCAGTTTTATTGGGAGATTAACAAATTTATTAATCTCTTGAAAAAACTTCTTCCATCCTTTTACATCTAATTGAAAGAAAAGAGCCACACATTTTATGTGTGGGTTTTTATTATTTAGTTTAAAATATTTTGTAAATTCCAGTATGATGCTTTTTCTAATATGTGAGTAATATGAGAGCAATTTGCTAATTTCTAAAAATGTAAACTCATCTTTTAATTTCTGACTTCTACTTTCTTTGTGTGTGTGTGTGTGTGTGTGTATTGTGTGTGTGTGTAAATGAGGCCTAAGATGTAAATTCTTTAAATTTATTTAGATTTTTTTTTTTGAGACAGGGTCTTATTCGGTTGCCACAGCTGGAGTGCAGTGGTGTGATCACAGCTCACTGTAGCCTCCACCTCCAAGGCTCAAGCAATTCTCCTGCCTCAGCCTTGTGAGTAGCTGGGACTACAGGCACATGCCACCATGCCCAGCTAATCTTTAATTTTTGTTCTTTTTTTTGGCAGAGATGAGGTTTTGCCATGGTACCCAGGTTGGTCTCAACTCCTGAGCTCAAGCAATCCATCTTTCTTGGCCTCCCAAAGTGTTGGGATAACAGGCGTGAGCCATTGTGACCAAGCTGAAAATTTTTTATGAGGTGAAACAGTCACATTGGCAAATTTTTATAAGTAAAGAGTTGTTGGCACACAGCCACGCTCATTCGTGTGGGTATTATCTGTGGCTGCTTTTGTACTGTATTGGCAGAGTTGAATATTTGTAAAACAGAGACCTTATAACCCACAGAGCCTACTACATATCTGATTTTTTTTCTTTTTTTGCGACTGAGTTTCGCTCTGTCTCCCAGGCTGGAGTGCAGTGGCGCCATCTCGGCTCACTGCAACCTCCACCTCCCGGGTTCAAGCGATTCTCCTGCCTCAGCCTCTCGAGTAGCTGGGATTACAGGCATGTGCCACCACACCCGGCTAATTTTTTGTGTTTTTAGTAGAGTCCGGGGTTTCACCGTGTTAGCCAGGATGGTCTTGATCTCCTGATGTCGTGATCTGTCTGCCTTGGCCTTCCAAAGTGCTGGGATTACAGGCGTGAGCCACCGCGCCCAGCCACGTATCTGATTGTATACAGAAAAAATTCGCAGACCTCTGACCCAGAGCACAGTCAATTTTTGTAAATGTTCACTGTGTGCGTGAAAAAAAAAAGAACACTTTTCTTCTTATGTCTCTCTCTATTTTCTCCTTTTCGTCTCTTTTTCTACACACATGCACATACATGCATGAACACACACGTTAGATCAAGCATATTCATGGCATTGTTCAAATAATTTTTATAATTTGATATTTTAATTGTTGAGTTTTGAAAAGAAATTCATGTTAAAACTACCTTAGTGGTTTCTTTTTGTGTTTTCTTCAAGTTTTGTTTCATGTGTTTTTGGGTCATGCTGTTCAGTTTTCACAAATTCGAGCTAGGTGGGCTGGGTGGATTATCGTTTCTATCATGATGAAGTATACTTCGTCATATATTTAGTATTTTTTTCTTTGAATTCAACTTATTTTCATATTAATATTGATTGTCGATGTACCAACTTAATTATTTGCCTCATATATCTTTTTCTTTTTTTTTTTTTTTGAGACGAAGTCTCACTCTGTCGCCCAGGCTGGAGTGCAGTGGCACGATCTCTTGCCTCATATATCTTTTTATGTCGTTTTAATTATTTCAACCTTTCTGGTGTTTGTTGCTTTTTTTTTTTTAAAGTGAATTTCTTGTAAGTAGTAAATAGCTAGATTTTTAGATTCAAATATTACTATCTTTCTTGTTAAATAGGCAAATATAATCAACATTGATTTTCATTTTGTATATTTGGAATTATGTCATCTTATATTTTCTACTTACAATTCCTTCTGTACCATATGGGTTTGGACTTGATCCTCTGGGGTAAGAATATTAGGAATCTCCATTTGTATGCAAAATGTGTCCAGTCAATCCAAAGTCATGTAGATGGAGGTAAAAGTTTCTGGAATACTATTTTCCCCTCGGTTCTTCCAACTTACTTTGAAATGAATAACCAGTATAAGCACACTTTAGAAGCAACTTTAAAGCCTACTTGGTGTCCCCATTTACTAAATAACTCTGTATTTAATAAAACTTACTTTTGCTAATGGCAGGAAATGGGAGAATCAGACTCTCCCAGAGATCACAGGCTTCATTTCCCTTCACACTTTATAGCTGGATCAGCAGTTACTGCTGTATCTGAGTTGTCTAAGGCTAATAACGCTGGAGCTGAGAAAAAAATACCTCACTTACTGTTTTACAGCAGTCACTGTCTGATAATCACAGAATGATCTCTGTGTCAGTTATGTGTCTTCCAGGTAAGACCAAAGTGCCAGCTCAAATAATGGGGCAATGCAGTGTCTTAATACAGATATTTCTATAAAATGCTCGGAACACCGGTCTTAAAATTGCAACAGATTTTCTTTCATGCCAATTCCTAGTTAAACTAGGTACTCTATAACATGTATTTATTTAAAAGGTATAACTGAATTCCATTGATGTTAATAGCAAATGTAATATTTGAATGTCTCCATTAAGAAAAATACTGTTGAGCAAATGGCTCATGAAGATGTGTACCAAAATATTCATACTTTCTACAGAGGCTCCATCTTTTAGAGTTCAATTAAAGTTCCTCTACCCATGAAGCTCAGGTGCCAGAAAGGGTTTCAGCTGGAAATCTCTTCATAGAATTAAGGGATTGATAAGAAGAGAATATTTTTTCATTCCTTTTTTATCAGTAGTCCATGTTAACAATTAAAGTTGAACGAGGATTTTTCCTTAAGTTAATTTTTTTTTAAATGCAGAGGTTTAAAAACTTTAAAAGAAAGGAGCTTTCCCCTTAGAGTCCTCACACTAGTTGACTGTGAATTTTAAAAGAATACCTACCACAGGGTACAAGAAACTCACTGGTATGTATCTGAGGCCTGTGTTTTTCCAATCTAGAAGCTACAAGGATATTTGCTGGGAAAGTCCTTATAAGAAAAAGACTTAGCCAGGCACGGTGGCTCACGCTGTAATCCCGGCACTTTGGGAGGCTGAGGTGGGTGCATCACGAGGTCAGGGGATGGAGACCATCCTGGCCAACATGGTGAAACCCGTCTCTACTAAAAATACAAAAATTAGCTGGGCATGGTGGTGCGCGCCTGTAGTGCCAGCTACTCGGGAGGCTGAGGCAGGAGAATCGCTTGAACCCGGGAGGTGGAGGTTGCAGTGAGCCGAGATCACACCACCGCAGTCCAGCCTGGCGACAGAGTGAGACTCTGTCTCAAAAAAGAGAGAAAACTTAACCAAGTTATGTAATAACCACGATTACTTACGCCAGTTAACTCTATGCAGATCAAATTTGGCCTATTGGTGATGGCAATCTACTTCATAAATTTACTTCCAGGTCAGTGAGGGCCTATAGAAGTGTGATTCACATGGCTGAAATGAGAGAGGAATCTGAAGATTGTTTAAGAGAAAGACACCTTGGATAATACATACCCATCAACCAAGGGATACCTTACCTCACCTGAGATTCCCTGTTAAAAATTACTTACTTGATTTCATTCATTTATTTGTTTCAACAAATATTTATTGAGTGCCAGCTATGTGCCAAATACTGTTCTAGACACGGAGGATACAGCAGCAAAGAAAACAGATAGAAATCCTTACTCTCATAGAACTTACCTTTTAATAGAAGGATATAGGCAATAAATGAGAAACAGAAAAATTAAAAAAAAAAAAGCACGAGGAGAGATTGTGCAGCGGTTGGGCAGAGTTTAAGTTTAGATAGGGTGGCCAAGGAAACTTCACTAGGAAAACGACATTTGAGTAAAGGCCTGAAGGAAGTGAGGAAGTGAACTGTGCAGATATCTAAACGATAGCATTTTAGGCATACGGAAGGAACAGCGATTGCAACAACCGTGAAGCACAAGCAAGCCTGATGTTTTTAAGGAATAGCTAGGAGGCTAGTATGGCTGGATCATAATGAGTGAGCAGGAGAGTAGGATGAAATGAAATGAGAAATATATAGAGGAAGATCATGTAGAACCTTATAGACTATTGTAAGGACTGGAACTTCTACGGTGAGTGAGATGAAAATCCACTGGAGAGTTTGATGCAGGAGAGGCAAAATGGAAGGAGGGGGAGGGGAAAAGTTAGGATACTATTGGCAGTGTTCTAGATGAAAGCTGAGGTCTTTGGGATCAAAATGGCAGCAGTGGAGGTTGTGGAAATGTGGAGGTTGTGGAAATGTCAGATTTGTTGATGAACCACATGTGGGTTTTGTGAGGTGGTAGGGAGTAAATGGTGACTCTAATTGTGTGTGTGTGTGTGTGTGTGTGTGTGTGTGTATATGTCTATATATATATGTGTGTTGTATATACATACATATGTATGTGTGTGTATATATATATATGTGTATATATAGAGAGAGAGACGGAGTTTCGCTCTTGTTGCCCAAGCTGGAGTGCAGTGGTGCAATCTCGGCTCACTGCAACCTCTGCCTTCCGGGTTCAAGCGATTCTTCTGCCTCAGCCTCCCGAGTACCTGGGATTACAGGCGCACACCACCACGCCCGGCTAATTTTTTTGTATTTTTAATAGAAACGGGGATTCACCATGTTAGCCAGGCTGGTCTCGAACTCCTGACCTCAGGTAATCCACCTGCCTCGGCCTCCCAAAGTGCTGGGAATACAGGTGTGGCCTCCCCGGCCATGTGGAACTGTTAAGTTCAATGAAACCTCTTTTTCTTCCCAGTCTCGGGTATGTCTATCAGCAGTGTGAAAACGAGCTAATGCAACACATCATAGGTTTTTGTGAGAATTGAATTAATATATTTTTTAAAGTGCTTATGATAAAGTCTGGCAAATAAGAAGAACCTAGCTTAACTATAAGAAATTAGCACACGCTGGGCAGTTTATAAACAATAGACTTTTATTTCACATTTCTGGAAGCTGAAGGTCCAAGATCAAGGTGCTGGCATGGTCAGGTTCTGGTGAGGGCCCTCTTTCCTGTTGCAGACTGTCAACTTCTCACTGAATATGCAAATGGCAGAGAGCAGAGAGAGAAAAAGCAACTGTTTTGCATCTTTATGTAAAGGCATAAATCTCATTGATGAGTGTGTCTTCATGACCTAATTACATCTGAAAAGTCTCTTTTAATACCATCACATCAGGGGTTAGGATCTCAACATATTAATTTTGAGAGAACAGGAAGACTCAGTCATTAATGGCACCACACAAGCATCGGTTGTTACTATTGTTATTATTACTATTAGATATTTTAGTTGAGATGTTAACTAGGCCTTTTAAAAATTTGTACATATTTAGGGGGTACTAATGTGGTATTGTTATCTTACTATATTGTATAGTGGTGAGGTCTGGGCTTTTAATGTAACCATCACCCTAATAGTGTACATTGTACCCATTACGTAGTTTCTCATCTCCCTCAAAGCCTCCTACATTTCCAAGTTTCCAATATCTATTATTCCACCCTCCATATCTATGTGTACACATTATTTAGCTCCCACTTATAAGTGAGAACATGCAATATTTTATTTGTTTCTGAGTTATTTCACTTAAGATAATAAATTTTCAGTTTCATTCATGTTGCTGCAAGAGACATGATTTCATTTTCTTTTCTTTCTTTCTTTCAAGAGTTTCGCTCTTGTTGCCCAGGCTGCAGTGCAGTGGTGCGATCTCGGCTCACTGCAACCTCTGTCTCCCGTGTTCAAGCGATTTATCTTGCCTCAGCCTCCCGAGTAGCTGGGATTACAGGCACCTGCCACCACACCCAGCTAATGTTTTGTATTTTTAGTAGAGACGGGTTTCACTATGTTGGCCAGGCTGGTCTCGAACTCCTAACCTCAGGTGATTCACCTGCCTCAGCCTCCCCAAGTGCTGGGATTACAGGCGTGAGCCACCACACCTGGCCATCTCATTCTTTTTTATAGCTGAGTAGTGCTCCGTATACACACACACACACACACACACACACACACACACACACACACACACACACACACATATATACACACATAGATATATATACATATAACGCACATATATATCTCTCTCACATTTGCTTTATCCAATCATCCATTGATGGGCACTCGCTGATTCCATGACTTTGCTGTTGCAAATAGGGCTGCGATAAACATTCGAGTGCAGGAATCTTTTTGATATCACTGTTTCTTTTCCTTTGGGTAGGTACCAAGTAGTGGGATTGCTAGATTGAATGGTAGTTCTATTATTAGTTCTTTGAGAAATATCCATACTGTTTCCCAAAGAAGCTGTACAAATTTGCATTCTCGCCAACAGAGTACGTGTTCCATTTTCTATACATCCACACCAAGGTCTGTTGTTTTTTGACTTTTTAGTAATAGCCATTCAGACTGTTGTGAGATGGCAACTCATTGTTATTTTAATTTGCATTTCTCTGATGATTAGTGGTGGTGAGCCTTTTTTCATGTTTGTTGGCCATTTGTATGTCTTCTTCTGAAAAATATCTGTTCATGTCTATTGACCACTTTTTTTTTTTTTTTTTTTTTTTTAAGATGGAGTCTCCCTCTGTTGCCCAGGCTGGAAGGCTGGAGTGCAGTGGCACAATCTCGGCTCACTGCAACCTCCGCCTTCCGGGTTCAAGCGATTCTCCTGCTTTAGCTTCTCGAGTAGCTGGGATTATAGGAGTGTGCTACCATGCCCAGCTAATTTTTTGTATTTTTAGTAGAGACGGGGTTTCACCGTGTTAGCCAGGATGGTCTCGATCTCCTGACCTCATGATCACCTGCCTCGGCCTCCCAAAGTGCTGAGATTACAGGCGTGAGCCACCGCGCCCAGCCAAGAATATATAAGAATATTTATATATAAGAATATTGTTATATATAGAATATAAAGGTATACATATAAAGTTCAGAGAAGGGATCTAGTTTGGAAACATAATATTTTGGAGACAGCAGCATGTAGATGGTATTTTGGCCAGGATACAAAGAGACTATCAAATATATGAATGTAGAGAGACTCTTTAAGGGCCAGAAACGCTCTGCCATTTAGAAGCCTCGGAAATAACAAGGAACCTTGAAAGGGAACCAAGAAGCAGTGGAAAGAGTGTTGGGAAGAAATCCAAGTGTGTGGTATTCTGGAAGCTACATGAAGAAAGCCTATCAGAGAAGGGAATATGACCAACTTGTTGAAATGCCGTTGCTAACTTTAATAACGTGAGGCCTCAGAATAGAAAGAGTAGGTTTTAATTCATTTTATTTCAATTCAATTTATTTACTTGTGACTTTGACAAGAGCAGTTTTATTGGAATGGTGGGAGCTCAAGCTTTATTTGGGTTTAAAATGAATTAGAAACAGAATATAGACAATACTTTCTAAGACTTTTGTTTTTCAGAGAAGGACAGAAATGGGGGTGAAGCTGAACAAAGAAGTGGGATCAAGTCAAGTTTTTCTTAAGATGATAGAAATAATAGCATAGTTGTATCTGATGATATTGACCTAGAAGAGTGGGAAAAGAGCAATGCTAGATAGAGGGGAGAATTGCTGGAGTGATGCGATTAAGACATGTTTCTCGACATTACTGGAGAGAAGACATTGCTTTTGGCTGTCCCTGAAGACTTTAGCTATGTAACAGGAAAAATGGAGTACTGACATTGAACTTGGAAAGACAAATTACCAGTAACGTTGCAAACAAATCAGGGAAAGGGGTTATTTTGGAGCTTGCCTCTCTCCCCACTAGTGATGAGCCTTATAAACTACTAGTAATGTTTATGGTCTGAAGAGGGGATATGTTGACAAAGGCACATATCATCAATTCCTGCAAACTCAACAACCAAATTTCTTATGGATCTCTATGCTTTTTTCCATCTGCACCGACAGTGTCTTAGTCCAAGTTGCCATCGTTTCTCATCAGAATTCCTGTAAGACGCTCCTAAGTGGTGATTCTACTTTGATGGTTGCATCTTGGAATCTCTTCACCACATAACAGCAAAAGAAATTATTTTTAAAAAGAAGTCATATAATATCAACATTCTGTTCTGTATTAGTCTGTTTTGTGTTGCTAAAAAGGAATACCCGAGACTGGGTAATTGGTAAATAAAAGAGGTTTATTTGGCTCCCAATTCTGCAGACTGTACAAGCATCACAGCAGCACCCTCAGCTTCTGATGAGGCATCAGGAAACTTGTATTCATGGCAGAAGGTGAAGTGGAAATAGGCATGCCACGTGGTGAGAGAGGGAGCAAGAGAGAGAGAGGAGAAGGTTCTGGGCTCTTTTTAAGCAGCTAGCTCTCACGTGAATTGATAGAATGAGAACCATGGGTAGGGTACCAAGCCATTCATGAGGGATCCACTCTTATGACCCAAACACCTCCCACCAGGCCCCATCTCCAACACTGGGGGTCACATTTCAATGTGAAATTTGGAGGGGACAAACATCCAAACTATATCGTACTCCCACCAGTGTCTTTGTGAAAGAAGGCTTTATCCAAAACTTGGAAAAATCACAAAATAGGAATGACCTGATATGTTAATATCATGTTATAATATGTCCTAAGAAGCCTGATTGATTCTCATCTGACATTCCTCTGACACACATTCTCATCTGATGGCAGCCTTGTCAAAATTTGGCTAATAAGCATCCACAGCTATTAACAGTGAAGTCAGTTTGGAACCCTGTGAAGTTAGAGGTTAACCAAGAAATTGATAAGGTGTTAGAATTGTGTAGTCTGCTGGGAAAGTTAATACCCAAACTGCTATGGTTTTCTTTTCCTGTAGAAAAGCATACAACCATATATCTAACTTAGAAGTCTTACATAGGCATTTTTTTTTCGCCTTGACTATATAAATTCTTGCTTGTCAAATACTCTTGGAACTCTCTTTTCTTTCTTCCCTATTGGTTCCCTTATTAATAAATTAAAATGTTCACATCTATTTATATTAAAACATTGTCACATTACCCATACTATTTTAAATGAACTTCAAAGTTCTTTTTATTGCCGCAAGGCCCTGTGTGATCACACAACTGCTTAACGCTCTGGGCTCATCCCCCACCAGTCTTCTAAGCTGTGCTGGCTTTCTTGCTGTCCTAAAACACAGCAGGTCATGTTTCATCTTAAAGCCCTTTCAGCTTGCTCTACCAACTGCTTGGAAATCTTTCCTCCCAGATTTCAGTTTGGATCCATCCCTCCCATCTGTCAGATCTCTGCTCAAATGTAAGCTCTTCATAGATGCTTCCCTGACCACCCCATCCAAAATGTCAAAAACACATCCACTTTATAAACCCCTTAACCTGCGTCGCTTTTTCAAACGTTTCACTGTCTACCCACCATCGATTCTACCATTAACATTTTTTTTTTTTTGAGATGGAGTTTCGCTCCTGTTGCCCAGGCTGGAGGGCAGTGGTGCGATATCGGCTCACTGCAACCTGCGGCTCCCGGGTTCAAGTGATTCTCCTGCCTCAGCCTCCGGAGTAGCTGGGATCACAGGCATGCGCCACCATGCCCGGCTAATTTTGTATTTTAAGTAGAGATGGGGTTTCTCCATGTCGTTCAGGCTGGTCTCGACTTCCTGACCTCAGGTGTTCCACCCGCCTCGGCCTCCCAAAGTGCTGGGATTACAAGCGTCAGCCATTGCACCTGGTCTACTATGAACATTTTTAACATTGCGTAACATTT
Source organism: Homo sapiens (assembly GCF_000001405.40). NCBI lineage: Eukaryota > Metazoa > Chordata > Mammalia > Primates > Hominidae > Homo > Homo sapiens. The sequence goes on from NC_000023.11 coordinate 141,513,359, forward strand.
TATAAATACACCTGGGGTTGTGCTCATTGTTTTCATGTTTCCACAACTGCAAGTTAAAACCCAGCAGCGTTGTGGCTTTGCCTGTTTTGAGCACTGCTCTATCCTCAGTGTTTGTAACAACTCTTGGGATGCAGCAGATGTGGTAGATTAAATTGTCATAATTATTCAGTCACTTGTAGTACTGGTATTATACATACATTTCCCTGCCATGGCCTTATGATAGTTGGATGATGTAATGGTTAATTTTATATGTCAAGTTGATTGGGTCACCTGGTACCGAGATCTCAAATTAAACATTACTTCTGGGTATGTCTTTGAAAGTGTTTCTAGAGGAGATTATCATGATCTGAGAAGAGAGTTGAAATGTACCTTTGAAGTACCTTTAATGCTGGGCTTGTCTCGTCTACTGCCATTGCTGTGAGAAAAAAAAAAAGATGCCCTGTCTAGTTGCGACTGCTTCAACCTATATACCGGAATGAGACACATAGTGAAGCACACCTATATTCAGTTTTCAGCCTGAATTTATTCTGCCCTCATTGACTTTGAAGACCCATGGATGAGAAAAATGAGTATTTTTGTCTACCTCTGAGATATTATACTTATGTGTTATGTAGCCTTACTGTACCAATAGCTACTTTAGGCTCTAAGTGTTCAATAGGTTATCATTAAATGAATGAAATGAATTGTAAATATTTGGCACATGTTGCTTCGTACGATTAAAAAGCATTTTGTTAAACTACTAGGCATTTTACACTGGGAATCATCATGTTCCTATGTAGAATGTATTAGTAGAGGAAATTTTGGATGTTGGAGTATGGTAGCTCTTCTTCCTGTCTTCATAAATGTCGTCTAATAGCTAAACAGAAGCTGAATGTAGCACTTTGAAAGCTCTAGCAAGGAACGTGATATTGTCAGATTCCAAGCCCATGGTTTGACAAGATCTCTGGCTGGAGTTCCTCGCCAGTAGAATGGATTAAAAGTAAATAGGCTGTTAATTTATGTGTGCTTTACTGCCCAAGAAACAAAAATCCTAGCCAACAACCTTGATCCCTTTGTCTGTATGCTTATACCAATACAAAGCAGACTACTAAAGCAGTGAAGCCTCTTATGAGGAATAATCTGGAAAATGATTATCCTGCCTCTGACTTTGGGGAAATACTGATGAGGGATACTTTCCCAGAACAGAACCAGGGGAAGCCAGCTTGGGTGATCAGGAAACTCAATTCACTTCTAGGACAGAACATCCTCTGTGTTGCTGTCTAACAGATTATATTGTATTGTAAAGCATTATCACTTTATTTTCCCTCCTGTCGTTTTCCAAAAATAATAACTTTTTTTTTTTTATTGAGACAGAGTCTCACTCTTGTCACCAGGCTGGAGTGCATTGGCGCGATCTTGGCTCACTGCATCCTCTGCCTCCCGGGTTCAAGCGATTCTCCTGCCTCAGCCTCCCGAGTAGCTGGAACTACAGGTGGGTGCCGTCATGCACAGCTAATTTTTGTGTTTCTAGTAGAGACGGGGTTTCACCATGTTGGCCAGGATGGTCTAAAATAATCACTTTTATTAATGTTGCCTTGTTTTTCCTGCATCATGGGTACATGAATGTGTTTGGGGTTAGTATAATACTATTTAGTCTTGGATCACTGATGCATCACTTAGAGATTATGGACTTGAGTTGAGTGCATTACCCAGAAGAAACTTTAGGGAGCCTCTCTTTAGGGACACTTGAAGGAATTTCATGTAGGTGTGGACACTTTTAAAGATGTATGTATTAGAAGGACGCAGAACATGGTTGTTGTTTGCCTACAGATTATCCATTTCCCCCTTCTTTCTTCTTAAGAGAACCGTAATTTTCTTAAGGCATTTGCCTTCCTTCATGAAGCTCATGTAATTGAAAAAAAGGTGCCCTTATCTTCAGCTTCAGAATAAATGATAAACTAATCAATCATAATAATGCCTTTCCTCTTGCCAGCAATTATTTCAGGAAGCCAAGCTTAAGCTAATCAGTATGTGGCAATGTCTAGGGATGAAGATGTGATGTAATTTGGCTCAGCGAGAAAGAAGGTATAAATAGGGTGATAGAATTTCTCTGGTAGAAAATGAACAAAGACGTGCATAGCTTTGATGGCTCTTGCAGGTATCATATAACCATGAGGGGTACTAGCATTATTAATACGAAGCTGAAAATGTGGACAGGAGGGCTAAGAAATTACATGAACTAATTACATCATTAAAGAGTTGATCCAGTCCACCCAGAAGCCTTCACTTCACTCGAAATACCTTTTGTGTGTGATAACATACGCCTCATTGCTTGAGTTGTGGATTTTGGTTACTTGCAGCTGTAAGCATTCTGACTGATACAAGTCATTCTTGGTGTGTGATTTTGAATTGGTGACTTAAATTCTCCAAGGTTCAATTTTCTCAACTTTTTTTTCTGAAAATACTATATCAATCACTTTTGTCTTCATAGTATCTAAATAACATTGGGGGTAATCCAGAGAGAAATGTGAGTCAGGGCCTTACCTTTTACTTGGAAACTGAATGAGGGGCAGATATTCTTAACTTCAAGTTGTTGGCATAGACCCAGGGGACGAGCATAGCCATGTGGACGCTTCTGCCAGGAGCTCTGACACTTTAGGAGGTATACTAAGATGTAGAGAAAGTCAACACTTATTTGCAGTGTTTGTGGCAGAGGCTAGAGTCCAGTAGTGTGACAGTATTGAGAAGTGACAGTGCTTCCAGTGGGACCCTAAGAAAACTGCTTCTCTGGGGTGATTCTGGGTGAGCTCTTCCTCCCTTGACTATTGCCATATATTCTTCACCTGACTCTCTGCTCTTCTCATGGACTCTAAGAACAATGTGTTATCTCTCTAACGAATTGTTTTTCTGCTTATATTACCAGACTCGGTGTCTGTTGTTCGCAAATGAAAGCACCAACTAGAATAGTTATTTGCCTAATAAGGTTGATTTGAGGACTAGATGAGATAACATTTAAGTAGATGCTGAATAAAATTAAATTTAAGATTCACAAGGTTTTGCTTGAGTAACAAATGTATCCTACATTTTGGATACATGTAATTATAAATATCTACTTTTCACTCATGCTACAAGTCTACTGTGGATTGGCTATTTCTCGGTGCTATGTCATTTTTTTGAGACGAAGTCTCGTTCTGTCGCCCAGGCTGGAGTGCAGTAGTGCGATCTAGGGTCACTACAACCTCTGCCTCCCAAGTAGCTGAGGTTAAAGTAGCTGTAGTTAAAGTGATTCTCCTGCCTCAGCCTCCCAAGTAGCTGGGATTACAGACGCCCACCACCATGCCTGGCTAATTTCTGTATTTTTAATACAGACAGGGTTTCACCAAGTTGGTCAGGCTGGTTTTGAACTCCTGACCTCAGGTGATCCGCCCGCCTCAGCCACCCAAAGTGCTGGGATTACAGGCGTGAACCACCGCGCCCAGCTGCTATGCTATGTCATCTTTACTTCAGAAAACAAGCTGAGGGAGTATCTTCTTTCTGGAATACTGTCAGTCTTCATGGCAGAGAGAAAGGAGACAAAGTGAACCACTCTCTTAAACCTTCTGCCCGGAAAAGACACATATCACTTCCACATTTCACTAGCCCAAGTGAGTCCCGTGGGCTCTCCTGATTTCATTTGGAGTGGGATGTATCCTTCTACAGGGAAGAAGACTAAAGGAGCAACACTGGAACATTTAGTGAATAGTTACAGAGGCTACCGCAGTATATTTACCTGTTCCTGACGTCTTTACATAGGGACTTGGCCAGTTATAAATTCCTTGGCGGAGTCATGTTAGTTCCTATCAGGTGCTCTACGTGGAGCAGTACTTAGATTTTAGCTTCATTTTTTGGCCTCTAAGGATTTTCCTCATTTTTTGGATGGATGATACATTTGAAAAGTTTTAAAAATAGGTTATACATGGTTTTTAGTTGCTTTGCAGTGAAGGGAAGTTTAGTTTGTCTTGATGCCATTAACAGAATTTGACATTTACAACGCACAAACACATACAAATACATACCACCTGATATGTTGCTGGAGGTTGGGATCTCAAAAACAGACATTGAGGTTGAGTGTATGGGGTGTCAAATATTTATTAAGGATCAACAGCTGTGAGAGGGAGGAGGCTGAAGCAGGATTGGGCAGAGAAAGAGGTGGAACTTCTATGCAGGCGCAACAAAGCCTCATTCAGCCTTACTGGCAGCTCTTGAGAAAGCGTTGTGCATCAGTGATACCGGGCATTGGCCTGGAATGGTGTAGGCTTTATGGCTATAAAGCCACCTGTTCAGATGCCAGATGTAGGCTTCTGTGGGTGTTACCTTGAGCCAGGTGACTCTGCGGCTGAGGCAGACCCTGCAGGAGTTGACAGCTAGAGGCTGTGTGCTGAACCACACTTCCTGCAGATGGGCAGCAAGTCCTTCCTTGAAGTGGGAGCTGGGCAGTATATTTTGTGTCTGCCACACTCCTAGCATTTGATAAATATTATATTTGATTTTACCCAGATTATTTGAAACAAGTAGGGTTTGGATGAAGCTTTGATTTTTGGTTTAAAGAGATTTTCCCTGTAACGGTGGCTATCGCAACAGCATCTGGCCTACTGAAGGCTGAATCTAATCTATCTAGCCAGTGATAATGGCTTAGCATTACACGGTTTCTTTGTCGCTGGCCAGGTCATGAGGAATTACACACAAAGAACGAGGCGCAAGACTTATCAACCCGTAAAATTACGTAGCAGAGCAAGATATCTAACTGTAGTCTGATGTGATTTCATAGAGTCCGTGAAACAGCATCAAGGACTTGGCTTCAAAGGGTTATTTTATAGTACTCTGTGGTACTTGACTTTTACCAATAGCTAAAGTCCATGACCGTATGTGTTCCAATATTTGCCAGAGACATGTTGGTGCCTTTAAAGCTGTATCAGTAAATGATTACACTAGAAAAATTTACATTCCTAATAAAATTAATGTTTGGCAATCAAGAAATGTTTTACTTAACTATTAGAAATCATCTAATAATGCAGTAACTATCATTATAGTAACATTTAACTCTTGTAATAAATGCATTACAGTCAGTTACACAATTAAAGAAATAATGTGGTAGTATGAATCCTAAGATAAAGAAATAGAGAACTATATTACCCAAATTAGATTATGTGTGAAACAATGGTGGATTAAAGAGTTCATTTATGGGAATGAGCTAAAAGAAAAATCACATGCAAAAGGGATAAAAATATACATTTTAGCTTTCATGGTAAAAAAAAAAAAACTAAAGTAGATGATCATTTATTAGTTCATGGAATAGTCATAGGGGTGCTGTAACTCGTGTTGAATTCACTAAATGATAATGTGACTGAGATGCAGTGTTAGAAATTCTGATTTAATTTTTAAAATAATTATTTGAGCATTAATTAACTTGGAAGCATTCATCTTTTGTTCTCCAAAACATTTTAAATGAAAAAAATGTTAATTGTGTTGCTGTGACAGTGATAGTATAGGATTAACCATTATAGTATTCACCTAGATACAACGAGGAATTTTAATGCTATTTAAATGAACTGGCCGTATTTTTGTGGATTTCAGTTTTAGATTTGCTTTGCAGAAATAATAAATAAACCTAGTGTATTTTGATAGCATTATGGAAAGCGGTAAGTAGTTGCAGCCTTTAGATACTTCTGAAAACCAGTAGAATGCATTCCTTTACTTGCAAGTGAGACCTTTGTATAAATTAACCTATAAAACCAAAATGTGAAATGATGATGTGCATGAGTACATCTGGATGTGTAGGAGGACCTTTAATTGCATGGTGACTGAGAAACCCTTTCACATATTGGAGAGATTACAAATGGCAGGAGATTATAGGAATTCTTTAAAGGAATTCAGTTTCTGTGGAGCAGGAGGCATTCCTATGGGTAAGCCTGGGTGTGCTTTATCATTGCCGGGACGTTTCAGTGTGGTCATTGGGTCAGATTGGCAAAGAAGGTTTCTTTATGGGGACAAATTTGTTCTTAAGTTAGATCTGTGAATCTCTGTATAAAACCTGGATGGCTTTATATCAACACAGATTCCTTCATAGAGCTGCTGTGTCTGTAGGGTGACAATTGCCCCATTTAAGCAATCATCAGAGATCATTTATTCCAACTGTCTCACGTCATACATGAAGAAAATAGAACCTGCTCAGTGAATAAACTTTGAAATAGCGGTGTATTTTAGAAGACTGCTCTGTAGAAACATAAATAAATAGATAATGTATGTATAAAGATATAAATGCATAGTTGTATTCAGATGCAGGATTTGGAGATAAATCTGACTTGTCCAACTCACAGTGAGATGTTTAGCAGATCCAGGTCACTGTTTTTTCCCATTGTAGGAACTATGTTGTATTTCCCAGGAAAACAATGTAATCATGGAAATAATATTTTCTTTATTTAAATTCAGAGATTTAATCCTAAGGATTTTAAATGAGCTGTCCTAAATTATTGTTAATTATTTGTATGTTTAAAATTAGGGTTTTAATTTTATGTATGTAAACATTTATATGAATTACATTCCTAGATATAAATTCAATGTATCTTAGTTTTAGAGTCCAAAATTAGAAGTTATCTATTACGCTAGCATTAGAAACAGAAATTGAATCCGTTCTTCCCCTCGCCCACGGGCTTTATGATTCCCATCAAACTCAGTGGGAATTTTCCAGCGTATTGTTGAAAAAAGTGGGCTAATTAAGAACTACCATATGAACTATTACACATTAATTTTATGGCATTCATTGTTGTTTAATTTGTGAAATAACATCAATTTTTCTGATTACCAAAGTAATACATATTAATTGCTCTCAATGTAGCAAATACATAAGACTAAAAAGAAGTGAACTAATTATAATCTCAGTTCTGGAGAACTGTGAACAAGCTGGTATACATTTTCTAGTTATTTTTTCTATGTATGTGTCCAAAGGATAGCTGTAATTTAATGGTGTCTCATTCTGTAATGCTATTTAGTGATTGCTTTTTGGATATATCATAATAAACTTTTGCTATAAGAATTCAAGATTTGTCTAACATTACTCTTAATGGATTTATCATTTTTGGTGTAATTATGCCTTAGGTGCTGGACAAAGATCAGACCAGATGTGAGGAATGCTGAAAATGAAAGGTATGGATACCTATGACTTCTCCTCCTAAGTTTTGTCAAGCTAAAAAAGGTAAGAGAACAGATACGCACAGGACATATCTGAGGTAGGGTAGCTTCTGAATGTCCCTTTTCTGTCCATTGGCAGGAATTTGTTAGATCCGTGGTGTCCTGAGCAAAAGAGTTTGTAGGCTTTTATTTTGACCTCTGCTTAAAGGGTCACATAAGTGCTCCAAAGCATCATATACTAGCCCAAAAGTGAATACTTTTGCGACTCAAGAAGTACCGTTCATTACTAAGGCTTAGCGTTACAATTCCGGGTCCTAAAATAGTTGTTCTTTCACATTTATTCGCAAGCATAGCATTTTCATTCATCTGGGTCTGTGCATCAGGTTATACAATGGCCCTTTGTCTGTGCCTATATGGGAACTAGCAATTTTTTATTCATGTCCAAGAAAGGGCATTCCTGGCTGTTAGAACTGCATGTGAGTGCACCAGTGATTTATCTAATCACTGCTCTGTTGTGTGACCGTGGGTTACTACCAATCTATTTCTAATATAAACAATGTTGCAATGAACGTTATGTGAAAATATATTTATGTGCAAGTCTGATTAGTTCCCTAAGGTAAGTGCCTGAAAGAGAAGTTGCTGGTTTAAAGGATTTGTGTAATTTTAAGGCATTTGATACATACTGTGAAACAGCCTAGTATAGTTAATGAGAATATTCCTTGTGTGCTTGAAAATGAGACCGGGCACGGTGGCTCAAGCCTGTAATCCCAGAGCTTTGAGAGGCTGAGATGGGTGGATGACCTGAGGTCAGGAGTTCAAGACCATCCAGCCTGATCAACATGGTGAAAACCCCATGTCTACTAAAAATAGAAAAATTAGCCGGCCGTGGTGGCGCGTGTCTGTAATTCCAGCTACTTGGGAGGCTGAGGCAGGAGAATCGGTTCAACCTGGGAGGCGGAGGTTTCAGTGAGCCGAGATCTCACCATTGCATTTCAGCCTGGGCAACAGGAGCGAAACTCCGTCTTAAAAATAAAAAAATAAAATGAAGTATGTATTTCGTTTGCCGAATATAAATTTTAAATGTAAACAAATCTACAGTTGATTACACTCGTTTAAGTTTTATCTGCTTGAACTACCAGTGTCTGAGAGGGTTGCATTAAAATCTCCCAAGTACATTTATCAGCTTAATTATTTGGCTGCATAGTTCAGCCACATGCTTTATTTGAAAGCTATATTATTGAGTGCATACATGCTCATAGTCATTGTGTATTTCCCTCGATCCCTCTTGACCATTTACTGGTACATAATGACCTTTTCTTGAAATGAAAAGTTTTTACGTCTGCTTTTTTTTTCTGGTTCACATTTGCTCAGTTTACATTTTCCTGTATTTTTATTTTTGAATCACTGTATCTTTTTGCTCTAAATGCAGTTGCTCTAGATAATATCTTGGCATATATGTGTTTCTTAAAATAATCCAATCATTGAATCTCTTTTTATGATTCTAAAACAGATGTTGTAAGCTTCCTCTGTACAAGGCCAGATAGTGAAATATTTTCAGCATTGTGGGCCATATGGTATGTTTTCCAACTACTCAACTCTGCCATTATAGGATAAAAACATTTATAGACAATATGTAAACAGGTGGGGTCCCTATGACATTTTATATTCTGTTGGGCCCTCAGGTCACAGTTTGTGGAAACTGGTTCTAGAGTTTAATCTATTTACATTTATTATAGTTAGTGTCATATTGGGACTTACATCTGTCATCATAGTCTATGTTTTCTATTTATCCTTCTATTTTCGTTTATTTTTTTCCTTCTTTCCCATCTTTCACCTGGTTTGGAATTTGGATTTTGCTCCTATTGTTATCCTCCCTTCAACTTTCCTGCGATAATATTTTTAGTTCCAGGTTGTGATTAGATTTCTTTTGTAGTGTATCTTTTCTCTTTCATGTATACTACACATTCACAGTCACAATGGCATATTGCATTTAGATTTACTTATCTATATTTCAGTATTTATTGTCACCTCTGTTTCTTTCCTTTCATCATTGTTTCCTCTCTTAAGGCTTTGGCAGAGTTTATTAGATGTTTGATCGGTGTCCATTAGTCTTTTCTTGAAAATATTACTCAAAGAGATCTATGGGCACTATGTATATCTTGCCTGGATTTGGGGGTCACACTTTGTTTTTTTCACAGTGGTTTGCCCCTTAGCCTCCAACTTCTAGTTTTTGGTATTACAGATGACAAGTCCAGTATTAATTTAATTTTTTAAAAAGTTACTTCCCTCTCCAGATGCTATACTCATTTTCTATTTTTTTTTAAGATCAGTATATACCTAGCTGTATATTCCTTAATGAGTCCCTTCTGGAAACCCCCATGTTATTTTCAATAGGTACACTCTGTTCAATTATTTCCTTAATGATTACTTCTTCATCTGTTGATTTTTCTCTTTCTGGAACCCCTATTAATTTCAGGGTCTATGCTCAAAGTTCCTCAGCTTTTCTAGCCAGATTTACATATCTTACTTTAGTTTTATTTTATTTTTAATGGACATATAATTGTACATATTTGTGAAGTACAATGTAATGTTTCAATACATGTATACATTGTTTAGAAATCAAATCGGGGGCCGAGCCCGGTGGCTCACTCCTGTAATCCCAGCATTTTGGGAGGCCAAGGCAGGCAGATCAGGAGGTCAAGAGATTGAGACCATCCTGGCCAACATGGTGAAACCCCGTCTCTACTGAAAATACAAAAATCAGCTGGGCGTGGTGGCACGCGCCTGTAGTCCCAGTTACTCGAGAGGCTGAGGCAGGAGAATCACTTGAACCCGGGACGCAGAGGTTACAGTCAGCCAAGATTGCACCACTGCACTCCAGCCTGGTGACAGAGCGAGAGACTGTCTCAAAAAAAAAAAGAAAAGACAAAAGGAAATAAAAGAAGTAAAATCAGGGTAATTAGCATATCCGTAATCTTAACCATTTTTTTTGTGATAAGAATATTCAAAATCCTCTTTTCTAGCTATTTTGAAATATACAACACGTTATTGCTAACTGTATTCACCATGGTGCACTATAAAGTACCAGAACGTTTTTCTCCTGGCTAACTGTGACATACTCATTGACCAACCTCACCCTATCTCTCCTCCCCAGTACCCTCCTCAGCAACTGGTAACTGCTCTCTACTTTTATGAGATCAGCGTTTTTAAGATTCCACATATAAGTGAGGTTATGCAGTATTTGTCCATCTGTGTCTGGCTTATTTCACTTAAAATAATGTCCTCTAGGTTCATCCGTGTTGTTGCAAAAGACAGGTTTTTGTTATTTGTTATGGTTGAATAGTATTCCATTGTGTACATGCACCACATTTTCTTTATGCATTCATTCACTGATGAACACTTAGGTTGATTCTATATCTTGGCTACTGTAAATGGTACTGCAATAAACATGAGAATGCAGGTATGTCTTGGACATAATGATTCTATCTCCTTTGGATATATACCCAGTACTGGGATTGCTGGATCATACAGTAGTTCCATTTGTAACATTTTGGAGAACCTTTATACTATTGGCCGTAATGGCTGTACTAATTTACACGCTCATCAGCAGCATATAAAAGGTCGCCTTTCACCACATAGACACCAACATTTGTGGGGTTTTTTGGTCTTTTTCATAATAGCCATTCTAAAAGGTGTGAGATGATCTTATTGTGATTCTGATTTGCATTTCCCTAATAATTAGTGTAACGTTCAGCATTTTTTCATATACCTGTTGGTCATTTGTATGTTTTCTTGTGAGAAATGTCTATTCAGATATTTTGCCCATTTTTAAATCAAAGTATTTATTTTTTTGTTACTGAATTCTTTGAATTCCTTATAAATTCCAGATATACATTATATCCCTTATCAGAACATTGTTTGCAAGTATTTCTCCCATTCTGTAGGTTGTAGCTTTGCTCTGTTGATTGTTTCTTTTCCTGTGCAGAAGCTTTTGAGTTTGACTTAATCCCGTTAGTCTGTTTTTGCCGTTGTTGCCTGTGCTTTTGAGTTCTTATCCAAAAAATCCTTGCCTAGACCAATGTCCTGAAGCGTTTTCACTGTTTTCTTCTAGTAGTTCCACAGTTTCAGGTCTTGCATTTAAGCCTTTAATCCATTTTGAGTTGATCTTTGTATATGATGAGATGTAGGGACCTAGTCTTATTTTTTTGCATGTGGAGGTGAAGTTTTCCCATCATCATTTATCTTTTGAGATTTTTCTTCTACTTGATCTTCCAAGGATGTAATTTGTGTTTGGGAAGTATTATCCCGTCTCATTTCATCGTTTAAATGTTTTAATTCACAACTGATATTTTTATTTTTCAGAATCTTTTAATGCCGTAATTGAATTTCTTTGTTTTTTTTTTGGGGGGGGAACAGAGTCTTGCTCTGCTGCGCAGGCTGGAGTGCAGTGGTGTGATCTCGGCTCACTGCAACCTCTGCCTCCCGGGTTCAAGCAATTCTCCTGCCTCAGCCTCCCGAGTAGGTGGGATTACAGGCACACGCTACCATGCCGGGCTAATTTTTGCATTTCGTTAGTAGAGACGAGGTTTCACCATGTTGGCCAGGCTGGTCTCGAACTCCTGACCTTGTGATCCGCCCACCTCGGCCTCCCAAGGTGTTGGGATTACAGGCGTGAGCCACTGTGCCTGGCTGAATTTCTTTAAGTGTTTTTTTATTAACGTATTTTTATTGTCATCCATCTCTGCCAGCAGCTTCATTTCACTAGTAACTTGTTCTCTTGCTTTTTCATTCTTTACTTGACAATGGGTCGTCTTAAAGGAATTCTTACTTTCCTTTGCTTAGTCATGGATATATTTATTATCAGAGCTCAGATCAAGCTATACGGTACCTTAAGCACTGGTAATCGTGATTGTGTCATGTGGCATGGTAGTCTTTATCCCTGTGCAGGTCACTAGTCCTCTGTGGCGATACTCGTATAATGTATTTCTGCCCTCTGGTCTCAGTTGCAAAAATTTCCACTCTGTCCCATTAGGCGTATAGAAGGCTCAAAGCATCTTATAAACTTCCGTAGCACAGTGGGAGCTAGGGACACCACTTCCCATCCTGCAGGAGGACTCACAGATATTCTCTGGCTAAACTCTTTCTAGCAGCTTCTCACCCCTGACTGGCAGATCATGAAGCTCTAGTCTCAGCAGATAGCTACACAGTCATCCTCTAATTTTGTGAGGACCCCAGCACACACGGGGCTTAGTTTTTATAGTCTTGGAGTTTCATAGATCTTTCTGCCTCAGCGGCAGTCTCGTAAATAGAGTAGACTTGTAGTTGGATTAGAATTGGGAGGTGAGGGTTGCACAGATATATGTTAAAGGCGGCATCTTCCCACAGCCTTTTTCCTGATTCCATCAACAATTCCTCACATAACCCCTCCAATTTGTAAATGCCTCCAGGTCATAGTAGTAAGTATTTGTAGAATTTGTGATTGACAGTTTTCTGCCCCCAAACAACTGCAGACACTCATATTTGGAAACTTGAAGATAACACTATTTGAAAGTAAACTTCTGGGGCCAGGCGTGGTGGCTCATGCCTGTTATTCCAGCACTTTGGGCAGCCGAGGCGGGCGGATCACCTGAGGTCAGGAGTTCGAGACCAGCCTGGCCAACATGGTGAAACAACATAGTAGAAATTTTAATCTCTACTAAAAATACAAAAATTAGTTGGGCATGGTGGCGGGTGCCTGTAATCCCAGCTACTCGGGAGGCTGAGGCAGGAATCGCTTGAACCCGGGAAGCGGAGGTTGTGCTGAGCCGAGATTGTGCCACTGCACTGCAGCCTGGGATGCAGATCGAGACTCCATCTAAAAATAAATAAATTAAATAAACTTCTGAGAAAATAAATTTCCTGACATTGCCTTAAAACCCATATGATTTCAGTTATCATAAACTAAATTACATATAAACTTTAATTGTTTATCTTCTTAATAATTAGAGCAGGAGAGTTTTAAATTGCAGGCAAAATAGAGGTAAAGTAATATTTTTTTTACCCCCAGAGAGCTGGAAATGAAATAAAATATTTTACAACTCTTCAGGAAAAGAAAAGTGATACTTTGTCAAGTGTCAATGCAGGAAGCAACATAAATGAAAACAAACAATAATGAAATATCCAGTGTTCATACCAGTATTAGTCTATTCTCATCTTTTTAATAAAGACAGACCTGAGACTTGGTAATTTATAAAGGAAAGAGGTTGAATGGACTCACAGCTCCACATGGCTGGGGAGGCCTCACAATCATGGTGGAAGATGAAGGAAGAGCAAAGGGACATCTTACATGGTGGCAGGCGAAGAGCATATGAGAATCAAGCAAAAGGGAAGACCCCTTATAAAACCGTCAGATCTCTATGAGAACAGTATGGGGGAAACAGCCCCCGTGATTCAATTATCTCCCACTGGCTCCCTCCCACAACACGTAGAAATGATGGAAGCTGGCTGGGTGCGGTGGCTCACCCCAGCACTTTGGGAGGCCAAGGCGGGCGGATCACCTGAGGTCAGGAGTTCGAGACCAGCCTGGCCAACGTGGCAAAATTCCGTCTCTACTAAAAATACGAAAGTTAGCCAGGTGTGGTGGCACGTGCCTGTAATCCCAGCTACTCAGTAGGCGGAGGCAGGAGAATCGCTTGAACCTGGGAGACGGATGTTGCAGTGAGCTGAGATTGTGCCACTGCACTCCAGCCTGGGTGACAGAGCGAGACTCCATCTCAAAGAAAAAAAAGAAAAAAAAAGTATGGGAGCTACAATTCAAGATGAGATTTGGGTGGAGACACAGCCAAACCATAAAAATAGCTCATTTTCCCCAAAGCATTTATTCTTTAGAGTGATAGAAAAATGGACCCCTAAGAGGACGGTGTTTAACAATTTTGCAGAAAGTACCTTCTGGTAGCTACTATAATGTTAGGCTGCTTTTTCCTGGGATCCAAAATTTACTGTAGCATTTCATTGACTTAGAGCTAGTGTGACCATAGATTTTGGATTTTCTAGAAAGTTTTAATTTGGAGGATTCTGTAATATTGTCCAGCCATATTTTGTAGCACTAGGTTCAGAAATATGACCTGTATGTTGCCTTTGAATTTTGTGGCAGAGTTTCTTGAAGGTTATAGAGGATGAACATCTATTAACTAGGTGATGAATAGGTAATGGATTTCGAACCTCTAGCCTGTTTAGCAATTCCTTCCATGTAAAATGATCTTCCTTTTATGAAAATCTAGTCTTGACAGTGATATAGAAAAAAACCCGTAATTTAAATGGACAGATGATTCCCTGATGTGTTACCAGAGAAGTGGCTCCATTCGTGTTGTTCTCTGTTCTGACTTACCACTGAGAAGATAATGTTTAATCTCAATTCTAAAGACTTGGAATAAGTGAAGACCACAAATCACTAAAAATTTCCGGGGTTTCATATAACATTTTACTTTAATGTTCTTCTTGCTTCTTTTCATTTAAGCTTTCCAGTGACCTAGCATGTTCAGGCATGACATAGAATAACTAAAGAAAGAAGTACACTTAATTGAAGTTCCTAAGAATCTATCTGAAAAGGAATTTTCCACCTGTTGTAATTTACTGTGTTAAATATAATATGTTTTATAAATATAACATGTTTTGGTTGCATTTTAATTGCTTGTTCAGAAATACACCAGGGACTAACGTAATAGATGATATGAAGCTGTGTCGTCTACTATAGTAGCAACTGGCCGCAAACGATTGCACATTTGTCACGTGGCCAGTTGCAATAGGAATGTGCTGCAAATGTAACATGCATGCTGGATTTTGAAGACTTAGTACAAATAAGATAATGGATAATATGACGTTAATACATTGTATATCAAATACATAGGAAATGACAATATGTTAGATATATTGGGTTAAATCAAACATGAATTAAAATAATCTCAACTATTTTATGTTTTTATTATGGCTATTAGGAAACTCTAAATGAAATAACTAGCTTATGTTATATTTCTATGAATCAGCACTTGGATAGAGAAAATAGATTTTTAAATGATTTAAAGGACCAGTTGATAAGAAGCTTTTTGCTGTTATTATCTCTGTTAGAGAGGATTTCAAGAAAGACTTGGGCTACTCCAGAAAAGCTAGTCAGCTGCTGGTCCTCCGTCAGAAAAATGCCAGTGTCAGTGTGCTGTAGGCAGGCCCCAGGTCACATTTGACTATTTGTGACTTATTGTGTTTGACTCATATTTAGTGCTCCATAAATGTTTATCGAATTAGTAATGACTTACCGTTGTAATTCATTGGCTTGAGATTCAGAAATAACGAGTTTTATTTCCAACTCCGCCCCAACTAGCTCTGCGATCTTGCACAAAACACATCCTCTTTCCTTATGTCATTTTTTTTTTTTGGGGGGGCGGGGGTGGACAGAATCTTGCTCTCTCGCCCAGGCTGGAGTGCAATGGTGTGGTCTCGGCTCACCGCAACCTCCGCCTCCCGGGTTCAAGCAATTCTCCCTGCCTCAGCCTCCCCAGTAGGTGAGATTACAGGCGGCCACCACCACACCTGGCTAATTTTTGTATTTTTAGTAGAGATGGGGTTTTGCCATGTTGGCCAGGCTGATCTCGAACTCCTGACCTCAGGTGATCTGCCCGCCTCGGCCTCCCAAAGTGCTGGGATTACAGGCGTGGGCCACCGCACTGCGCTCGGCCTCCTTACCTCATTTTTTTTTCCATCATAAAATGAGAAGGTTTAATGTGATGACTGAATAATTTTCAGCTCAGACATACTGTGGTACTGTTATGCGACTCTGTGTTGCTGGTCTACTAGGCAGTTAGAATGTCCATTTCTAAAGTGGCAAATAAGCTGCTGCTTTAGTCAGGATTTTATTTTGCATGTGTCTACCCTCTGATGCTGATTATTCTTTTTCTTGAATATGCTAACGTAGGTTTCTGGAACCTGCAAAGAACCACTCTTCTGTCATCCTTATCTAATAAATAAAATATTCTCATCTCTCAGTTTTCTCTCTCCCCTGTCTACAAAATTAAACTCTTTGATTATCACCCTTCTTGGAATTTTAACTTTGATTTTGCATTAGAATATACCCAGCTTCTCACATGAAGAGTCTCGGTTCAGATGAGAAGATGAGGGCTTTGAGGCATAGTGATGGCTTACTGTGATGCCTTACCTTATTTTAACCTGATTGTCTCTCTTAGCTGAGAGAGCTGGACAGACTCCATTTTTGTTTCTTCACTCGCAGTCCCCCTTATCCCCCTCCCTCAAGGACATAACTAGTGCAAGCTGACTCCAAGCACGTCCAGGAATGCACTTACTGATAAGAGATAGAGGCAAACTGAACCAGCAGCTCCTGGGGATGCGCTCGGTGGGTGGTACCCGAAGCCCCTGCATTATCTCTCTGTGATAGTTTAAGCCCCTGCACCTGGAACTGTTTATTTTTCTGTAACTGTTTCTGTAACCATTAATCTTTTTAACTTTTTGCCTGTTCTGCTTCTGTAAAAATCGCTTCGGCTAAACTCCCCCTCCCCTATTTAGACCAAGGTATCAAAAGAAATCTAGCTCCTTCTTCGGGGCCGAGAGAATTTTGAGCTCTAGCTGTGTCTCAGTCGCCGGCAATAAAGGACTCGTGAATTAATCTTGTAGTGTGGCATTTCTCTATAACTCGCTCGGTTACAATATGACCAGGTGACATGGAGAACCTGTCATAACTTGGGGCCTTAGTTTATTACTCCATGGAATCCATCTAATAATACTCTATGTGTTTCTGCTGACCTATGTGAGAGAAAGTTCTAATCTGGCACCCATGCTTTCAAATGGGAGATAAAGAGGAACTAGGCTGGGTAGAAGGTACCAAGAAAGAAAGGAGTCTTTTAAGGAGATCATTCAACACACTTTATTTTTCCTCTTCATTCGTGTTTCAAGCCCCATTATGTTTATTCGCCTATGCATGTTCCCCAAAGCCACGTTCTCTCATCTGTTTCCCGTAACGATGGAGAGGACTGGAAACGCTGTTGAGTACTTTGAGCTCCTCAAGGAGTACAAATTGCTTGTTTCTGTACATTAACGAATTCTTTGACTTTTTCACACTTAGTTCCTTTCACTAAGAAGCTAATAGGCCGGGCTCGGTGGCTCAAGCCTGTAATCCCAGAACTTCGGGAGGCCAAGGTGGGTGGATCACGAGGTCAGGAGTTTGAGACCAGCCTGGCCAACATGGTGAAACCCCGTCTCTACTAAAAATACAAAAATTAGCTGGGCGTGGTGTGGTGGTGGGCGCCTGTAATCCCAGCTACTCGGGAGGCTGAGGCAGGAGAATCACTTGAATCCGGGAGGCAGAGGTCGTGGTGAGCCAAGATCGCGTCATTATACTCCAGCCTGGGCAACAAGAGCAAAACTGGAAAGAAGCTAATAGTTCAGGAGTAGATGCCACATACAGATACAAATAACAACTTCAAAACAAAGAACATATAAGAAGTGCCAGTAGAATTCAGAGAAGACAGGCTAGAGGCATGAAGGAAAGCTTCAGGAAATACTTGAACATGGGAAGAAAGAGAAGCGAGTAAAGCATTAAAGGCAGAAGGAAGAATGTAAGAAAGGGAATAAGGCAAAAGTAGGAGCCAAGTTAGTGGGACAGCTGATACTCCCATTTGAATTGATACTCAGTCAGGATTAGTAAAATGAACTTTGTAAAATTACTTTAGAGTTTCAAGGGAACTCTAATGGGAAATACTGCAGATGTGAAAGATGCACAATGTGATGGCAAGAGCTGTCGACAGGGAGAGGTGGAGCAAGATTGCAGAATAGAAGGCTCCACCATTCGTCCCCTGCACAAGGACATCAGGTTAACCACCACTACACAGATAAAAACACCTTTATAAGAACCAAAAATTAGATGGGCACTCATAGTACCTGGCTTAACTTCATATGGCTGAAAGAGGCAATGAAGAGATAGAAAAAAATGTCCAGAATCGCCTACGTGACCCCTCTTCCACCCTGGGTAGCAGCTGCATGGTACAGAGAGACTTTCTGGGAGCTGAGAAGGAGAACACAGCAACTGTGAGGCATTGAACTAAGTGGCATCCTGTTAAATCAGGAAGGAAAACTAGACCAAACTCAGATGACACAGAAGGAGCATTTACACTAGCTCTAGCCAGAGGGGAATCGCCAATCCCAGCTCTCTGAACTCGAGTGCTCGGAAGCCTCACCACTGAAAGCCAAACTGCTCTTGGTCCCTAAGTAAACATGAAAGGCAGTCTAATCCATAAGGTCTGCAACTCATAGCCAAGTCGTAGTCTTGAATTAGGCCCAGAGACTGTGGACTAGAGAGACACGCAGCATACCAAGACATCAGCTGGGGCAGGCAAGGGGGTGTTGGCATCGCCACTCCCCTGACCCCAGGCTGCACAGCTCAACTTCGAAAGAGACCCCTTCCTTCCACTTGAAGAGAAGACAAGGAAGAGTGAGTAGGACTTTGGCTTGCATCTGGGATACCAGCTCAGCCACAGCAAGACAGGGCAATGGTTGGAATCAAGAGGCCCCTGTTCCAGGCTCTAGCCCCAGATGACATTTCTAAGCACACTTGGACCGGAAGGGAACAAGCTACCTTGAAACAAAGGACCCGGTCCTGACAGCATTCATTATTTGCTAATTGAAGAGCCCTTGGGCCCTGAATAATGAACAGTGATACCCAGGTACTATGTTTAGGGCCTTGGTGAGCCTCTGAGACTTGCTGGCTTTAGGTAAGACTCAGCATATTACTAGTTGTGGTGGCTATGGGACAAAACTCCTTCTGCTTGAGAAGTGCAGAGGGAAAGGCAGAGGGGACCTTGTCTTGCACTTTAGGTACCAGCACCAATATAGGGGGTTAGAGAGCCAAGTGGGCTCCTGGGGCCCCCCATTCCAGGACTTGAATCTTTGAATTTTTTTTTTTTTTTTTGAGGTAGAGTCTCACTCCTCACTCTATCACCCAGGCTGGAGTGCAGTGATATGATCTCAGCTTACTGCGACCTCTGCCCCGGGCTCAAGCGATCCTCCAACTTCAGCCTCCCAAGTAGCTGGGACCACAGATGCGCACCATCTCACCCAGCTAAGTTTTTGTATTTTTGGTAGAGAGGGGGTTTCACCATGTTGCCCAGGCTGCTCTTGAACTCCTGAGCTCAAGCAATCCACCTGCCTCAGCCTTCCAAAGTGCTGGGATTATAGGCATGAGCCACTGTGCCTGGCCTGGGACTTGACTCTTGAATGGCATTTCCGGACCTGTCCTGGGCAACATGGATACAGTAAAAAAAGTAAAGAAACAACCCACAGACTGGGATAAATTATTTTCAAAGTACCCGTCTGACAAGGGATTAATATCCAGAATATGTAAGATGCTCAAATAACTCTGTAGGGGAAAAAAATGTAATAATTTGATCGAAGAATGGGCAAAATATTTGAATAGACATTTCTCGTAAGACATACTATGGCAAATAGGCATTTGAAAAGGTGCTGAACATCATTGATCATCAGAGAAATGCAAATCAAATCTACAGTGAGATTTCTCACCCCAGTTAAAATGACTTACATCAAAAGGACAGGCAATAACAAATGCTGGCGAGGATATGGAGAAAAGGGAACCCTTCCACACTATTGGTGGGAATATAAATTAGCACAATCACTATGGAGAACAGTTTGGAGGTTTCTCAAAAAACTAAAATGAGGTACCGTATGATCCAGCAATCCCACTGCTGGGTATACACACCCAAAAAAAGGGAGATCAGTATATTGAAGAGATATCTGCACTACTGTGTTTGTTGCAACACTATGTACAATAGCTAAGATTTGGAAGCAACCTGTGTCCATCAACAGATGAATGGAGAAAGAAAATGTGGTACATAGACTCAGGGGAGTTCTATTCAGCCATAAAAAAGAATGAGATCCAGTCATTTGGAACAACATCGATGGAACTGGAGATCATTATGTTCAGCAAAATAAGCTAGGCACAGAAAGACAGACATTGCATGTTCTCACTGATTTGTGGGATCTAAAAGTCAAATGAATTAAAATCATGGGCATAGAGAGTAGAAAGGTGGTTAACAGAGGCTGGAAAGGGTAGTGGGGGATGATGGTGGAGGCTGGGATTGTTAATGGGTACACAAAATAGAAAAAGTAAATAAAACCTACTATTTGATAGCATGATAGGATGACTACAGTCAATAATAATTTAATTGCACATTTTGAAATAAGTTAAGGAGTGTAATTGGATTATTTGTAACTCAAGGTCTAAATGTTTCAGAAGATCGATACCCTGGTCTCCGTGATGTGCCCTGTTCTCCATGATGTGCTTATTTCACATTGCATGCCTGTATCAAAACATCTCATGTACTCTATAAATATACACAACTACTGTGTACCCACCAAAATATAA
The DNA here is from genome assembly GCF_000001405.40 of Homo sapiens. Classification (NCBI taxonomy): domain Eukaryota; kingdom Metazoa; phylum Chordata; class Mammalia; order Primates; family Hominidae; genus Homo; species Homo sapiens. The sequence continues at coordinate 141,533,922 of NC_000023.11, forward strand.
AAAAAACTGGAAAACATTTTAAAAAAAAAAGAGTTGTGGGCATTATTTTATAAGCACTGGAGGAAATGAATGATTTTGAGCAAGGACATGGCATGGTCAGACATGGGGATTGAAAATCGCACAGTTGCAGGATCATTGAAAAGAATGTTTTGAATACCAATTTAAAAAATAGAGAAATGCAGTTATATTAATTGCATTTCTATGGTGTTCCTTGGACTGAGTTCCTGAGTTTGGGATTTAGCCAAATACGGATGAGTTCAGGTCCTCCATTATGAATATCTTCTGATTAAAACAGTATTATTTCATATTCTTTGATTTGTTGTTTATCCTGAAGAGCAGATGTATTTCTGTTCCCTTAATTTCTTTGTAGTTTCCATGTAGATTCCCGTCTTCCCATTTTTGCACCCTCCATCTAGAGAAGATTCTTGCCCAGTCCCTCCCATCTGAATTATTTTTATTCAACCGTTTCCTCATGAGTGCCATAATCTGAGGCTTCCAATTTAAGGCAGTCATCCTGCATTCTCAGCATCTCCTATGTTCACACCAAAATACAAGAGAGATTCAGAGAGGGGATGGAATCCTTAACATAATTCAAAGTAAAGCTAACATCCAACCTTTTGCCAGAAGATGGGAAGAGTTTCTACTAACAGTACTGAAAAAAAAACTGCTATTGGCAGCAGATTTGAAACACTTTGCTGCTTGAGAAACCCACCAGCCTGAAGTGAAATATTTATCCCGCCCTCATTTCTAGTCTTAATTTCTCCCAAGGTCTTACTCAGCAGTCAGTAAACTGAGAAATTGATTCTATATGTTCTGAAATTGCATGCTGAAGAGGCTGTGGCAATAAAATCTCACTCTGGCGGACATCCTCCTTCCTCCAATGAACGGATAATACCCATAAAATTATCTCTTTGTACATGTATTGTAAGAGTATAATCCCTATAAAGTATCATTGTGCCCAGGTTTTCTTGTGGAATAAGTATCAATTATCTACTTCCACAATATTGCTGTGTAACCAACTACTGTAAAACCAGTGGCATGTAACAATACCCAATAATTTCTCATGTGTCTGTGAGGTTCAGTTGATGTACTCTGGGTTTACCTGAGCTTGCTCACATACCTGATGACGGGCTCTGCTCCTCGTCTCTTACTCTTTTTCTGAGACAAGCGTGTTAGCTTGGGCATGTTTTCAAGTTAACAGCAGAGGACAACAGCAAGCAAGAGGATGCACACAACGAGTCATGGAAAACTAGGCTTGGAATGGACACGTTGAAACTCTATTGCATTCTATTGGCCAAAGCAAGTCATAAGAGGAAAAGCAAAATCATGTAAGGGTAGATTCAGGAAGGGGTAAAATAATATGGCCATCATTGCTATCTACCATAGGAAGGCATTGCATAAATGCATAGGAATTAGCAATCATTGCATAAAAAGATATAACGGTGGCTCACGCCTGTAATCCTAGCACTTTGGGATGCCGAGGTGGGTGGATCACCTGAGGTCAAGAGTTCGGGACCAACCTGGCCAACATGCTGAAGCCCTGTCTCTACTAAAAATACAAAAATGAGCTGGGCGTGGTGGCATGTGCCTGTAATCCCAGCTACTCGGGAGGCTGAGGCAGGAGAATTGCTTGAACCTGGGAGGCAGAGGTTGCAGTGAGCCGAGATCGTGCCACTGCGCTCCAGCCTGGTGACAGAGCGAGCATTCGTCTCAAAAAGATAAAAAAAAGGAAAGAAGAAAAAGACACAAAGTTGGTAGAAGAAAAAGAAAGTGAACTAAAAAAGAAATCTTTCCTATATAGTTATTAGTTTTGATAGCTCTTTTATGCATACTTTAAAAATTATACATTTTCCTAGTTTGCCTACAGTTTGTTGTGGAAATGGTTAAAATAGTTTTCCATTTAGTGAATAGTACATTCTCTTTCTACTAGTTTATTTTTAACAGTAGATAAATACTAATATCTTTTTATTGGTGTTTGTATTCGTAAGAGTAATGCTAGGCCGTGCTGACTCCACGACAATCACAAAATAAAATCTCAGTGATTTAACATAACAAAGGTTTGTTTTCTGATGAATGAAACTTCTATCTGGGTGAGCAGAGACTCTTGCATCCAATACCTTATGGAGCCAGGCTTCCTCCATCTTGTTCATTTCCTTGTCAACTCATGGTTGTCAAGGTCACTGTGACAGAAGAAGAGAATGAAGAAGCCACATGAGGGCATAACTGCCTCAACCTTAAAATGATGTGTATGTTTTCTGCACCCGGTTCACTGCCTGCCCAGAGCTAGTCAATTTTGAGACCATCTCAATCTGATTATAAAACAGGCTATAAAATATAGGGAAACACATAGAATCTTTGTGAGCACTCCCTATGGCACATCTTTACATCTACATATACTTGTGTAATTACCTCGTTAAATACATGATTATAAGGTTTTAATATCTGGTAGGATATAACTTCCTCTCATTAATCTTCTTCTAAAATTATCTTAGGCTGGAGATGGTGGCACACACCTGTAATCCCAGCACTTTGGGAGGCTGAGGCAGGAGGATCTCTTGAGCTAAGAAGTTCCAGAAGAACCTAGGCAACATAGTGAGACCTTGTTTCTACAAAAATAATTAATAATAATAATAATAATAATAATAATAATAACCACTACACATAATTAGCTGGGCATGGTGGCATGCACCTGTAGCCTCAGCTGCTCAGAGACTGAGGTGGAAGGATTTCATAAGCCCTGGAGGTGAGGCCGCAGTGAACTGAGATCACACCACTGCACGCCAGCGTGAGCAACAGAGGGAGACCTTGTTTAAAAAAAATGATATTGGACATTATTTGATTTGAAAATGTATTCTGGGCTGGGCGTGGTGGCTCACGCCTGTAATCCCAGCACTTTGGGAGGCTGAGGCGGGTGGATCACCTGAGGTCAGGAGTTGAGACCAGCCTGACCAACATGGAAAAGCCTCGTCTCTACTAAAAATACAAAATTAGCCGGCCATGGTGGCACATGCCTGTAATCCCAGCTACTCGGGGCTGAGGCAGGAGAAACACGTGAACCCGGGAGGCAGAGGTTGCGGTGAGCCAAGATCCCGCCATTGCACTCCAGCCTGGGCAACAGGAGCGAAACTCCGTCTCAAAAAAAAAAAAAAACAAAAACACAGGAAATGTGTTTTGAAGGTATTAACAACTAGTATTTGTTTTTTTTTGTTTTTGTGTGTGTGTGTTTGTGTCTTCCTCTAATTATTATTATTATTTTCTTATACTTTAAGTTCTAGGGTACATGTGCACAACGTGCAAGTGTGTTACATATGTATACATGAGCCACGTTGGTGTGCTGTACCCATTAACTCGTCATTTACATTAGGTATATCTGCTAATGCTATCCCTTCCCCCTCTCCCCACCCCCTGACAGGCCCCAGTGTGTGATGTTCCCCATCCTGTGTCCAAGTGTTCTCATTGTTCAGTTCCCACCTATGAGTGAGAACATGTGGTGTTTGGTTTTCTGTTCTTGCGACAGTTTGCTGAGAATGATGGTTTCCAGCTTCATCCATGTCCCTACAAAGGACATGAACGCATCGTTTTTTATGGCTGCATAGTATTCCGTGGTGTATATGTGCCACATTTTCTTAATCCAGTCTATCATCGATGGACATTTGGGTTGGTTCCAAGTCTTTGCTATTGTGAATAATGCCGCAATAAACATACGTGTGCATGTGTCTTTATAGCATGATTTATAATCCTTTGGGTATGTACCCAGTAATGGGATGGCTGGGTCAAATGGTATTTCTAGTTCTAGATCCTTGAGGAATAGCCACACTGTCTTCCACAACGGTTGAACTAGTTTACAGTCCCACCAACAGTGTAAAAGTGTTCCTATTTCTCCACATCCTCTCTAGCACCTGTTGTTCCCTGACTTTTGAATGATCGCCATGCTAACTGGTGTGAGATGGTATCTCATTGTGGTTCTGATTTGCATTTCTCTGACGGCCAGTGATGATGAGCATTTTTTCGTGTGTCTTTTGGCTGCATAAATGTCTTCTTTTGAGAAGTGTCTGTTCATCTCCATTGCCCCCTTTTTGATGGGGTTGTTTGATTTTTTTCTTGTAAATTTGTTTAAGTTCTTTGTAGATACTGGACATTAGGCCTTTGTCAGACGGGTAGATTGTAAAAATTTTCTCCCATTCTGTAGGTTGCCTGTTCACTCTGATGGTAGTTTCTTCTGTTGTGCAGAAGAGAAGCTCTTTAGTTTAATTAGATCCCATTTGTCAAGTTTGGCTTTTGTTGCCATTGCTTTTGGTATTTTAGTCATGAAGTCCTTGCCCATACCTATGTTCTGAATGATATTGCCTAGGTTTTCTTCTAGGGTTTTTATGGTTTTTTGGGTCTAACATTTAAGTCTTTAATCCATCTTGAATTCATTTTCATATTAGGTGTAAGAAAGGGATGCAGTTTCAGCTTTCTCCATATGGCTAGCCAGTTTTCCCAGCACCATTTATTAAATAGGGAATCCTTTCCCCATTTCTTGTTTTGTGTCAGGTTTGTCAAAGATCAGATGGTTGTAGATGTGTGGTATTATTTCTGAGGGCTCTGTTCTGTTCCATTGGTCTGTATCTCTGTTTTGGTACCTGTACCATGCTATTTTGGTTACTGTCATCTTGTAATATAGTTTGAAGTCAGGTAGCGTGATGCCTCCAGCTTTGTTCTTTTGACTTAGGATTGACTTGGCAATGCGGGCTCTTTTTTGGTTCCATGTGAACTTTAAAGTAGTTTTTTCCAATTCTGTGAAGAAGGTCATTGGTAGCTTGATGGGGATGGCACTGAATCTATAAATTACCTTGGGCAGTATGTCCGTTTTCTCGATGTTGATTCTTCCTATCCATGAGCCTGTAATGTTTTTCCATTTGTTTGTGTCCTCTTTTATTTCATTGAGCAGTGGTTTGTAGTTCTCCTTGAAGAGGTCCTTCACATCCCTTGTAAGTTGGATTTCTAGGTATTTTATTCTCTTTGAAGCAGTTGTGAATGGGAGTTCACTCGTGATTTGGCTCTCTGCCTGTTATTGGTGTATAGGCGTGCTTGTGATTTTTGCAAATTGATTTCGTATCCTGAGATTTTGCTGAAGTTGCTTATCAGCTTAGGGAGATTGGAGGCCGAGACGATGGGGTTTTCTAAATATACAATCATGTCCTCTGCAAACAAGGACAATTTGACTTCCTCTTTTCCTAATTGAATACCCTTTATTTCTATCTGCTGCCTGATCGCCCTGGCCAGAACTTCCAATACTATGTTGAATAGGAGTGGTGAGAGAGGGCATCCCTGTCTTGTGCCAGTTTTCAAAGGGAATGCTTCCAGGTTTTCCCCATTCAGTATTATATTGGCTGTGGGTTTGTCATAAATAGCTCTTATTATTTTGAGATACGTCCCATCAATACCTAGTTTATTGAGAGTTTTTAGCATGAAGAGTTGTTGAATTTTGTCGAAGGCCTTTTCTGCATCTATTGAGATAATCATGTGGTTTTTGTCTTTGGATTACGTTTATTGATTTGGGTATATTGAAGCAGGCTTGCATCCCAGGGACGAAGCCAACTTGATGATGGTGGATAAGCTTTTTGATGTGCTGCTGGATTCCATTTGCCAATATTTTATTGAGGATTTTTGCATCTATGTTCATCAGGCATATTGGTCTAAAATTCTCTTTTTTTTTGTTGAGTCTCTGCCAGGCTTTGGTGTCAGGATGATGCTGGCCTCATAAAATGAGTTAGGGAGGATTCCCTCTTTTTCTGTTAATTGGAATATTTTCAGAAGGAATGGTACCAGCTCCTCTTTGTACCTCTGGTAGAATTCAGCTGTGAGTCTGTCTGGTTCTGGACTTTTTAAGCTGGTAGGCTGTTCATTATTGCCTCAATTTCAGAGCCTGTTATTCGTCTATTTAGGTATTCAACTTCTTCCTGGTCTAGTCTTAGGAGGTTGTATATGTCCAGTAATTTATCCATTTCTTCTAGATTGTCTCGTTTATTTGTGTAGAGGTGTTTATAGTATTCTCTGATGGTAGTTTGCATTTCTGTGGGATCAGTGGTGATATCCCCTTTATCATTTTTGATTGCGTCTATTTGATTCTTGTCTCTTTCCTTCTTTATTAGTCTTGCTAGCGGTCTATCAATTGTGTTGATCTTTTCAGAAAACCAGGTGCTGGATTCATTGATTTGTTGAAGGGTTTTTGGTGTCTCTATCTCCTTCACTTCTGCTGTGATCTTAGTTATTTCTTGCCTTCTGCTAGCTTTTGAATGTGTTTGCTGTTGCTTCTCTAGTTCTTTTAATTGTGATGTTAGGGTGTCAATTTTAGATCTTTCCTGCTTTCTCTTGTGGGCATTTAGTGCTATAAATTTTCCTCTACACGCTGCTTTGAATGTGTCCCAGAGATTCTGGTATGTTGTGTCTTTGTTCTCGTTGATTTCAAAGAACATCTGTATTTCTGGCTGCATTTCGTTATGTACCCCCAGTAGTCATTCAGGAGCAGGTTGTTCAGTTTCCATGTAGTTGAGCGGTTTTGAGTGAGTTTCTCAATCCCGAGTTCCAGTTTGATTGCACTGTGGTCTGAGAGACAGTTTGTTATAATTTCTGTTGTTTTACGTTTGCCTAGGAGTGCTTGACTTCCAACTATGTGGTCAATTTTGGAATAAGTGTGATGTGGTGCTGAGCAGAGCGTATATTCTGTTGATTTGGCGTGGAGAGTTCTGTAGATGTCTATTCGGTCCGCTTGGAGCAGAGCTGAGTTCAATTCCTGGATATCCTTGTTAACTTTCTGTCTCATTGATCTGTCTAATGTTGACAGTGGGGTATTAAAGTCTTCCATTATTATTGTGTGGGAGTCTAAGTCTCTTTGTAGGTCTCTAAGGGCTTGCTTTATGAATCTGGGTGTTCTTGTATTGGGTGCATATATATTTAGGATAGTTAGCTCTTGTTGAATTGATCCCTTTACCGTTATGTAATGGCCTTCTTTGTCTCTTTTGATCTTTGTTGGTTTAAAGTCTGTTTTATCAGAGACTAGGATTGCAACCGCTGCTTTTTTTTTTTTGCTTTCCATTTGCTTGGTAGATCTTCCTCCATCCCTTTCTTTTGAGCCTATGTGTGTCTCTGCACGTGAGATGTGTCTTCTGCATACAGCACAGTGATGGGTCTTGACTCTTCATCCAATTTGTCAGTCTGTGTCTTTGAATTGCAGCATTTAGCCCATTTCCATTTAAGGTTAATATTGTTATGTGTGAATTTGATCCTGTCATTATGATGCTAGCTGGTTATTTTGCTCGTTAGTTGATGCAGTTTCTTCCTAGTCTCGAAGGTCTTTACAGCTTGGCATATTTTTGCAGTGGCTGGTACCGGTCGTTCCTTTCCATGTTCAGTGTTTGCTTCAGGAGCTCTTGTAAGGGAGGCCTGGTGGTGACAAAATCTCTTAGCATTTCCTTGTCTGTAAAGGATTTTGTTTCTCCTTTACTTACGAAGCTTAGTTTGGCTGGAGATGAAATACTGGGTTGAAAATTTTTTCTTTAAGAATGTTGAATATCGGCCCCCACTCTCTTCTGGCTTTTGTAGAGTTTCTGCCGAGAGATCCGCTGTTAGTCTGATGGGCTTCCCTTTGTGGGTAAGCAGACCTTTCTCTCTGGCTGCCCTTAATATTTTTTCCTTCATTTCAACTTTGGTGAATCTGACAATTATGTGTCTTGGAGTTGCTCTTCTCGAGGAGTATCTTTGTGGCATTCTCTGTATTTCCTGAATTTGAATGTTGGCCTGCCTTGCTAGGTTGGGGAGGTTCTCCCGGATAATATCCTGCAGAGTGTTTTCCAACTTGGTTCCATCCTCCCCGTCACTTTCAGGTACACCAATCAGACGTAGATTTGGTCTTTTCACATAGTCCCATATTTCTTGGAGGCTTTGTTCGTTTCTTTTTACTCTTTCTTCTCTAAAGTTGTCTTCTCGCTTCCTTTCATGCATTTGATCTTTAATCGCTGACACCATTTCTTCCACTTGATCGAATCAGCTACTGAAGCTTGTGCATGCACATTCTCCGTCCAGCCGTGTTCTGTTGCTGGCGAAGAGCTGCATTCCTTTGGAGGAGAAGAGGCTCCCTCTGAGTTTTAGAATTTTCAGCTTTTCTGCTCTGGTTTCTCCCCATCTTTGTGGTTTTATCTACCTTTGGTCTTTGATGATAGTGACGTACAGATGGGGTTTTGGTGTGGATGTCCTTTGTGTTTGTTAGTTTTCCTTCTAACAGTCAGGACCCGGACCTGCAGGTCTGTTGGAGTTTCCTGGAGGTCCACTCCAGACCCCGTTTGCCTGGGTATCACCAGCCGAGGCCGCAGAACACCAAATATTGCAGAACGGCAAATGTTGCCGCCTGATCCTTCCTCTGGAAGTTTTGTCTTAGAGGGGCACCCAGCCGTATGAGGTGTCAGTTGGCCCCTACTGGGAGGTGCCTCCCAGTTAGTCTACTCGGGGGTCGGGGACCCACTTGAGGAGGCAGTCTGTCCATTCTCAGATCTCAAATTCCATGCTGGGGGCACCACTGCTCTCTTCAAAGCTGTCAGACAGGGACTTTTAAGTCTGTAGAAATTTGCGCTGCCTTTTGTTCTGCTATGCCCTGCCCCCAGAGGTGGAGTCTACAGAGGCAGGTAGGCCTCCTTGAGCTGCGGTGGGCTCCACCCAGTTCGAGCTTCCCAGCTGCTTTGTTTACCTACTCAAGCCTCATTAATGGTGGACGCCCTTCCCCTAGCCTCGCTGCTGCCTTGCAGTTCGATCTCAGATTACTGTGCTATGAGTGAGTGAGGCTCCGTGGGCGTGGGACCCTCCAAGCCAGGCGTGGGATATGATCTCCTGGTGTGCTGTTTGCTATGACTGTTGGAAAAGCGTAGTATTAGGGTGAGCGTGTCCCGGTTTTCCAGGTACCGTCTGTCATGGCATCCCTTGGATAGGAAAGGGAATTCCCCGACCCCTTGCGCTTCCCGGGTGAGGCGATGCCCTGCCCTGCTTGGGCTCACGCTCCATGGGCTGCACCCACAGTCTGACACGCCCCAGTGAGATGAACCCGATATCTCCGTTGGAAATGCAGAAATCACCCGTCTTCTGAGTCACTCGTGCTGGGAGCTGTAGACTGGAGCTGTTCCTATTTGGCCATCTTGGAACCTTCACACCTAGCATTTTCGACAAATTTTTTACAATTGATTAATTTTCTTTTAAAATTTTAATGTATTTTTATGACATCCTAAAATTTATAATTTTGTGTAGCCAGATATATTAATATTTTTCTTTAAGGTTTTTGACCTTGGTTGGTGTTGTATTTAAAAGAGTTTCCAAACTGAAGATTGTATGAATATTTACCAGTATTTCCTTTTCCCACTTTTATAGTTTTATTTTCAGAAATTATTTAACCTATTTTTATTTCTTTTGGTGCATGATGTGACATTCTTTTCTTTTCAAATGGTATTCTATTTCACCCAGTACCTTGAATAATTCATGTCCCGATGTCAATTGAGGATCCTATAGAGTTTACTTTTAAATATAGTTTCAGCTGTTGATTTGGGATTGTCATTGTCATTGAGGAAGTATGTATCCTAGTCTTAATTTACTATGTTCTTTCAGTTAAAACTCAATGCAGTGATGACAGCAGTAAATATCATTATATAATTTTCCAGTTATCATTGCATTATATATCGCTGTGTAAACAATTACTCTAATATTTAGGCTTAAAAGAAAAACCTGAATTACCTTAACAGTTTCTGTAGGTCAACAATCTGCATGTGGCTTATGTGGTTCCTCTGACTCAGGGATTTTGACAGGATCCAGTCAAGGTTGCAGTCATTTTATGGATGAGCTGGGGGAGGAAATAATTCTGTGCTTGTTGGGAAGTGGGTTTTTCCATTGTTCAGCATACATCAAGGCAGCTGGTTTCATCAGTACGTGCAGGTGAGAGGGCAAAATAGAGTGTCAGTAAGAATACCAGTAACATAACAGGCAGAGTCTTTTGTCATGTCATTTGCAACTGATACGCCGTCACTCATGCCTTATTCTACTTATTAGAAGGAAATCCATGGGTTCAGCTCACACAGAAAGAGACTTGTAATTAGTCAGGGTTCTCCAGAGAAACAGAACCAGTAGGATGGATGGACAGACAGAGATTGAGAGAGAGAAAGAGAAAGAGAGAGAGAGAGAGGGAGGGAGAGGGAGAGAGAGAGGGAGACGGAGAATGGGAACTTACTCATGCATTTGTGAAGGCTAAGTTTCACCATCTGATGTCCGAAAGTTGGAGAACCAGGAAAGCCAGTGGTGTAATTTAGTTTGAGTCTAAAGGCCCAAGAACAAGGAGCTCCAATTTCTAAGGGTAGGAGAAGTTGGATGTTTCAGCTCAAGCAGAAAGAATTCTCCATTCCTCTGCCTTTTGATTCTGTTTTATCTCTCAACATATTAAATGATGTCTACCCACATTGGTGAGTGAAGATCTTCTTTACTCAGTCTACTGATTGAAATACTAATCACTTCAGGAAACACCCTCACAGACATACTCAGAAATAAAGTTTTACCAGCTTTCTGGGCATCCCTTAACCGAGTCAAGTTGACCTTTAAATTAACTATCGCAGAAGGGGATTACGCAAGGGCATAAATACTAAGAGATAGGGACCACTGGAGGACATTTAAAAAACTACCTACTACAGTCACGTGAATATGGTTGATTCTATTTTTAATTTTCAAATATAGGATGATTATTTTAATTTCCTCATCAAACATTACATGGCCCTAGTGTATTATTTATTTTAAAACTCTGCATAATTCAATTTCTAATATTTTATTTAACATTGTTATGGTAATATTTATAAGTGAGAGTATTTTTTCTTTAAATTTGAAAAGTAACAAATCTGTTAACTGTGTTAAGTAAAATGGCAAAACAAGGACTTTTGAAATCATTTCCTCATAAAAGCGGTAAGAACACTGGCAAAAATAGTCAGAATAAATAAACCTCTTCAGAAGTCTGGAAATGATCCAAAGTCAGACTTTGAGAAACATCTGATCATTTATCTTTGTGTAATAAGTGCTTCTTCCTTGCCCCTCGGCAGAGTAAAGTCAAATATCAACCAAGAGCACCAGGGCAATCGGAGGCAGCGCTTAGATTAAGGGGAATCTTCTGGCTCCTACCATGTGCCTTGCCCACCTCATCTCATTAACTTTGTGAGAAAACAGGAAGGCTAGGGAGACATCCTCTAAAGTCATGGAGTCAAAGCGTTGTTATAGGGCCAAAAGTCATACATATTTTGTAAAATGTCTTACCTATGAACATCCAATTGAAGCTAACCATAAGAAAAAAAAATTACCTCTAAAAAGGTTAAGGACTTTACAAAGAACTCTGTATAATTAAAACAGTAGAAAATCATAGGAAAAAAATGAAAATGAAGTATTCACACCGACCTGGGTTTGAAACTTAGCTTTACCTTTTACTAGCTGTGTAAGCTTAGGCAAGCTACCTGACTTCTCTAAGCCTCCATTTCCTCATGTGTGAATCAGGAATAATGAAAGTACTTAACCTCATAGAACCCTCTTTAGGATGAAATATAATAGTACTTAAAAAGCTATGGATAGCTTGGTAAATGCTTGAAAATGAAAGCCTATTTGTATTGCTGACTTGGTATTTTAAGATGCCTGAGCCAAGAATGGATTTTACTAATTTCTTCTCTACTTGTTGCCTCCCTTCATTTTAAAACATATTTTCACTCCCAATATATAACAAACAGTACATAATAAGGATTTAATAAATTAGAAAGGAAATCGGATTGCAAAAAGTTAACCGAAAAGGAAATCTAATATTGTTCTAGTCAAATATTCTTCTTTCCATTTTTTTCTAAAGTCCTGATTTTTTAATTACTAGAATAAGTAAAAACCATAATGAGTGAAAAGAGAAGTCATAAAGAGTAGCATTTCGAATACAGTAAACACTGTATTATGATTGTTGTTCATGATTCAAAACCAGTTTCACATTAAATACCTTTGCCTTTGCTCTTCCTTTTCTAGGTAGAAAAAAAAATGTTTCCCAATAATAACAGGTTTTAGTTACCCTTTGATATGGTTTTGCTGAGTTCCCACCGAAATCTCATCTTGAATTGTAGTAGTTGCCATAATCCCCATGTGTTGTCGGAGAGACCCGGTGGGAGGTAATTTAATCATAGTGCCAGTTACCCCCATGCTGCTGTTCTCCTGATAGTGAGCGAGTTCTCATGATATTTGATGGTTTTATAAGAGGCGTTTCCCCCTTTTGTTGGGCACTTCTCCTTCCTGCCATCATGTGAAGAAGGAAATGTTCGCTTCCCCTTCTGCCGTGATTGTCAGGTTCCTGAGACCTCCCCAGCCACGTAGAACTGTGAGTCAATGAAACCTATTTTCTTTATAAATTACCCAGTCTCAGACAGTCCTTTATAGCAGCATGAGAATGGACTAATACACCCTTCCGGTAAGCCTACCTTCTCCCCTCCTTAGGTAGCACAGACAAGAAATTACCAAGAGGGAAGAAAAGGCTATAACTCTTTTCTGGTTCTTGATATCCTGTTCTCATCCCAAAGTGCGAAGCTATTGACTAGTAAGAAACTCTATGATTGTATTTCTTCAATCAAACATTTTAAGGATTTTTACTTCTGTTTTTGTTCATTTTTAAAATGTAACCACATACCACCTGCTGCCTAAAACTATCTCTAGCCCATTGGTTACATCAGTACCCTGCCTTAAATAGCATATTAGAAAATGAAATGTATGTAGCAAGCGGCTTTGACTCACCTGATTATAATCTTGTCATCAAAAAAGTTATTTAAAATTACACTTATACAATCACAGCTTGCATATAAACTTTAAAAATGCATTTGTGAGAGAAATAAATAAGATATTTTGCAGATATGTAAAGTGGATCTACCTGATTCTATAAACTAGGATTCTGATAAGCGTTAAGAAATTCCACTCGGGAAAATTAAAGTACATTTCTCAGAAGTAGCCAAAGTCATTGCTTTTTTTCTTTTCATTTCATAGCTACAGCAACAGAAGCCATAACCATTTTAATACATAGTGCCTAGCATATAGTAGCATCTCAATAATTTTGTTGAGCATATGGACATAAGAATTAATAAAATAATGCAACATTATGTATAGGGATAACAAGATACCACATGCGCAGACATATATATTGGAAGAAATGTTCATTAAAAATGCGTTGATTATATACATATGAGTGAATATAACCTCTAAAATATTAACCAGATATTAAATAAAGTAAAGTAGAATTTCATCTATAGTATATCTTTGATATGTTTACAAAGGGGTGAGGTGGGGATTGAAAATAGCAAAGAAATATATATGGTATGATTAAATTTTTAAATTAATTTTTGTAATTGATAAATAATACCTGTACATATTTATGCAGTACATAGTGATGCTTTGATATGTACAATGTGTAGTGATCAGATTCGGGTAATTAGCATATCCATCATCTCCAACATTTATCATTTATTTATGTTAGGAACGTTCAATGACCTCTTTTGAGTTGTTCGAAGCTATGTAATACGTTATTGTTTACTAACTTCCACTTCTGTCCATGTTCTCTCCCAACGTGAACAACCAGAAAATGAGAACAAATATTTGAAACAGATGTTTTCATTAATCAGGATAATGGGCAGTATAGCACTGTGTTCACTAAGAGAAACAAAGAGGTGAGCTCTACAATCACTCCAGCTTCCTATCAGGAAGGAATTTTAGAACGATGACACAGAAAGAATTCAAGTAAGAGAGACTTTTGTTTCACGAAATTGAAAAGATAGAAATCAGAATTTAGGTATTTGAAATGAATTGGAATTTTATAGCAGAATAATAGAGAGAGGAGGGAGCTATGCAGAAAAAAAGCTCCAGAAATCTTTCTGTGGGCCCTTTGAATCCTTCACTACTAATCAACACATTTGCAGGGTGAGTCCCGTGAGGCAAGAGAAAGAACGAGTGCCTGGGAATCATCAACTGAAAATTTTTCAGAGCTCACTGTCACTGCCCTACAAGAACACAGTTGTTGTTTAAGAATTTGGGTTTATTACTCACTCGTTGCGGTGAAGGAGAATAAACACCATCTCGTTTGTTTTCCTTCTTTTAGTGATCATAACCCCGCACTGCCCTTTGTCTAGATTAGAAAATAAGTTGTTTCCAATATGTTTTCTGGTTGTTTATATTGGCAGGAAAAGTTGTGTAAGTACCTGACAACTCAGATATAGAGTCTTAGAAAGAACTTCTTATAGGATTTGGGCTTTGGCTGGGTAATTTGGTAAAGGGTCTGAGGAAGAGGGAGTTTTGTCTAGATTAACTGCTGTCAGGAAACGGGAGCAATTCTACAACTGGGTATCTGAGTAGAATTTGTATAAAAGGAGGGCAGGCTAGAACAAATATAAAGCTGTAATTGGGAAAACAAGTAGCAGTCACTCAAATTAGCAGGTAAGTGGGATATTTTGCAGTTTTTGCATTGCACAGCGATCTTATTTGTGTCTATCCTCAGACAAAATTATGAGATGACCTTATTTTATCTTACTTTATCATGGTCTGAAATTGGTGTTCTGTGAAATTGTCCGTCTTCACCAAGAGAATAATATGGCTTAGCTGTGAGTGGCAGCCCAGCTTCTAATAGCACTGAGGCCTAGCTATGAGTGTCTGACCAGTTGCTGGCTGTCAAAGACTGCTTTTCAAAATTTCCTACCACATAGGACTGAAACATCTTTAATACCCCACCAGTGAAATAGAGAAACGCCACTTAATGCTCTAAGCACTCAGTAGGCACCAGAAGGCTAAAGTATCCCAAGAGTAAAGGCTATTCTAGGTATAGCCTAGTGACACTTAATAAACGAACTTTAAAATTAGTATCCAAAAAGATTAAGCTGATCTTCAGTTTATTGCCTAGCAACAACAGCAACGAAACAAAACAAACAAACAAACAAACAAAAAAACAAGCAGCGCAACAGCAAATTGTGACCCATAACCTGGAGGAAATCAGAGATAATTAGATTGGCTGGCAAAGCTTTAAAATAGTTTTGTTTTGTTTTTGTTTTTGTTTTTGAGATGGAGTTTCACTCTGGTCACCCAGGCTGGACTACAGTGGCCCGATCTCGGCTCACTGCAACCTCTGCCTCCCGGGTTCAAGCTAGTCTCCTGTCTCAGTCTCCCAAGTAGCTGGGATTGCAGGTGCCTGCTACCAGGCCAGCTATTTTTTTGTAGTTTTAGTAGAGACGGGGTTTCGCCATGTTGGGCAGGCTGGTCTCCAACTCTTGACCTCTGGTGATCCACCTGCCTTGGCCTCTCAAAGTGCTGGATTACAGGCGTGAGCCACCAGGCCCAGCCTAAAATAGTTATTAAAATACTGTAATGAGAGTAATGGAAGACAAAACATGGAATTTTTGAGCTGAAACATATGCCATCTGATACTGAAAGCGAAGTGTGTGTAATTACTATCACAGTAGACACTGCAAAATAAAAGATATGGGAATTACTTAAACTGAAGCAAAGATAGAAAATTCAGACTGTGACAATAGAATATGACTGATTTACAAATCTATTAAATCATCTTACCGGGGAGGTTAGGAGAAAAGGTGGAAATGAGCTTAGGAGATTAAATGTAAAAGGAGCTCACATAAACACTGCATTCTGTAGTATAACATTGCTTCCCATGGGAACATGGGTTAACAATTCTGAAACCAGTATACATTGACACTGCAGCTAACCAAGTGAGCAAATAAATGATGGACTGTGGGAGCCTAGTTTCTCACAGTTAGAATGAAAGGTTGTAGACAAATGAGGCAGAAAACTAGAATGATGCATGTAGTAATGGATTAGAGCTGAAGACATCAATATAAAGTCATGTTTAACGTAGCATACATACAGAAATATTTATAGATAGGCTGATATACACAGCCTAGTACACATACCTATGTTTTCTTGCTTTGTCAACTGCGAGAGCCTAAAAACAATGGCAACCCATTGACAACCAACAAAGCTAGGACCCAGGTCTAGGTTTCTAATATGATTATCTAATTAAAGAGAAAAACAAAATAGGAATGCCTGAAGAAATGGCTGTTTCTAGAACTAGGGCAGGCAGTACATAAGATGAGCCTGAAGCTTCTTACGGTACCAGAAAGTAAAGAAATTTTTAAAAACAGAAAAATGAGAGCATATCAAAAGGACACAGGAGCCAACTGAAAGAGCACACAATGGCCAAAGTTGAAATAATTTGAGGAAGAAAATTAATGAGGCAATATTAAATTTTACTCCAAAGCATACAATAAGTATCTGGGATTTTATAGTGATATAAATTAATTATTGGAAAAAAAACAAATAATGGAGAATAGAGAAATCCATATAGAAGAATTTCAGATATTTTATGTTGATACTCCCTAATCCAACAAGTGGTGTTTAATCCCCCTCTCTTTTTAGTATTGGCTTCACTTAATGATTTGCTTTGAAAAAGCAATGTATGGAAAACAAGGAGTACCTTTACAGTGGAGAAACCTGTCATACGCTGGTTTGACGACGTGATTAAGCCTAATATCCTCAGCAGTTTGTCATGCGATATCATGTAACCCTGATATAATATGACAAGGAAAATAGTTTGCCTCTGTGAGATTTTCTGCCCCAAATCTCATAATGTTAGTCTAATAATACGAGTATCACCAGACATATCCCAACTGAAGGATGCTCTATAAAACACCTCACTAGTACCTCTCAAAGCTCTGTCAGGGTCATAAAAAGTAAGGACAATCTGAAAAGCTGTCACAGCCAAGAGGAGCCTAAGGAGACTTGAGGAGTAGATGTAATATGGTATCTTGCACAGGATCAGAAAGCAGCAACAGGTAAAACCTAAGGCATACTGAGTAATACAAGGACTTTAGTTAATAATATTGTATGAATATTGGCTATTAGTATTGGGAAATGCACTATACTAGTGTAAGATGTTAATAATAAAAAAACGAGGTATGAGATTTTCTTATGTGGGAAGTTACTATACTATATTCATGTCTTTGCAGTAAATCTGAAACTATTCTGAAATGTTTATTAAATATTAACAGGCCAGGCACGGTGGCTCACGCACATAATCCCAGCACTTGGGGAGGCTGAGGCGGGCAGATGACGCGGTCAAGAGATCGAGACCATCCTGGCCAACATGGTGAAACCCCATCTCTACTAAAAATACAAAAATTAGCTGGCCGTGGTGGTGCGTGCCTGTAGTCCCAGCTCCTCGGGAGGCTGAGGCAGGAGAATTGCTTGAACCCGGGCGGCGGAGGTTGGAGCGAGCCGAGATCACACCACTGCAGTCCAGCCTGGTGATAGAGCGAGACTCCATTTCAAAAAAAAAAAAAAAAAAAATTAACAAAAGCACTAGTGACCAGTAGAATAATACTACATGATTCTGTATATGTATATTAAAAGATCAAGAATGAAAAGAGAGACAAGATTAGAAAAATTATTGGAGGCGAGGTGTGTTGGCTCACACTTTGGGAGGTCAGGGTGGATGGATCACAAGGTCAGGAGATCAAGACCATCCTGGCTAACACGGTGAAACCCCATCTCTACTAAAAGTACAAAAAAGTAGCCAGGCATGGTGGCACACACCTGTAGTCCCTGCTACTGGGGAGGCTGAGGCAGGAGAATCACTTGAACCCAGGAGGCGGAGGTTGCAGTGAGCCGGGATTGCACCAATACCCTCCAGCCTGGGCAACAGAGCGAGACTCCATCTAAAGTGTATGTGTGTGTGTATATATACATATATATATGGACATAATGGACATTTCGTAAATGTGGTTAAAAGCTAAATTCATAGAACCAAGGAGTTCAATAAAACACAGGAGAGTAAACACAAAGAAAACCAAACCAAATGTATCATAGTAAAATTTATAAAACAGGAGATGGCAAATGAAGTTAAAAACAGAACAAAGAAAGATGTGTTACATGTAGAGGAATAAAAAGAATTATTACAGACTTCTTGTCAGAAATTATAAAGCCAGAAAACTCTTTAACGAAACTTGTAAAGCATTAAACAAATCCAGCTATCAATGTAGATTTCTGTATCAAATAAAAAAATTTTGGAGTTAAGATATAGACATTTTCAGAAACACAAATCAAAAGCAGAGATAATTTTATACCAGCAGTCCTGAAACATCAGAAATGTTAAAGGAAGTTTTTCAGATTGAAGGAAAATGATGGGTACTATACAAGTTTTGGAGCTACACAAATTGAAGGGGCTTGAGATCATGATTATGTCGTGTAAGTTTAGAAGAATTTTTTTTCAATGATCAGGAGAAAAATATAGAAGACACAAATTATAAATATAAGGAGTGCAAAGGAGAATGTGACTATATATCCTGTAGTCATTAAAATATTTAAACACATTCCAAACAAGATTATGACAATACATTTGTAACGTAGATTGAAGGGACAACTGCTTTGATAGACACAACTTTGCAAACAACTACAATCCCAAACATGAACTCTGAGGATCCATATTCACATGAAAGTAATTGAGTTCAAAATGAATCCCGTTGCCACAAAGAAAACTCCAAGACAAGGTAACTATACTGGTGATCTTATCAAATGTTAAAATAGAAGTCATGCAAAAATCATATGTGAATTATTTCAGAAACGAAAGGTCAGGGAACCAGGGGTGGTGACATATGCCTATAGTCCTAGCAACTTGGGGGCTGAGGCAGGAGGATTGCTTGAGCCCAGGAGTTCAAGAGCAACCTTGGAGATATACTGAGATGCTGTCTCTTACAACCAAAAAAGAACTAAGAAAAAAGAAAAAAAGGTTTGGGGAAACAGTTCTAATTTTATTTCATAAGGCTGGTGTATTAGTCATTTTCACACTGCTAGTAAAGACATACCCAAGAGTGGGCAATTTCCAAAAGAAAGAGGTTTAATGGCCTTACGGTTCCATGTGGCTGGGGAGGTCTCACAATTATGGCAGAAGGCAAGGAGGGGAGAGTCACATGTTACGTGGATGATGGCAGGTAAGGAGAGAGCTTGTACAGGGCAACTCCCCCTTATGAAACCATCAGATCTCATGATACTTATTCACTATCATGAGAACAGCATGGGAAAGACCTGTCCCTGTGATTCAGTTACCTCCCACCAGGTCCCTCCAACATCACATAAGAATTAAACATGAGATTTGTGTGGGGACACAGCCAAACCATATCATTGTGTCCCTGGACCCTCTCAAATCTCATGTCCTCCTCACATTTCAAAACCAATCATGCCTTCCAAACAGTCCCCCAAAGTCTTATCTCATTTCAGCATTAACTCAAAAGTCCACAGTCTAAAGTTCAAAGTCTCATCTGAGACAAGGCAAGTCCTTTGTGCCTATAAGCCTGTAAAATCAAAAGGAAGTTCGTTACTTCCTAGATACAATGAGGGTACAGGCATTGAGTAGATACAGCCATTCCAAGTGGGAGACATTAGACAAAACTAAGGGGCTACAGATACCATGCAAGTCTGAAATCCAGCGGGGCAGTCAAATTTTAAAATTCCAGAATTATCTCCTTTGACTCCATGTCTCACATCCAGGTCACACTGATAGAAGAGGTAGGTTGCCATGGTCTTAGGCAGCTTCATTCCTGTGGCTTTGCAGGGTACAGCCTCCCTCCTGGCTGCTCTCATGGGCTGGTGTTGAGTGTCTGCTGTTTTTCCAGGTATATGGTGCAAGTGGTCGGAGGAGCTACCATTCTGGGGTCTGGAGGACAGTGGCCCTCTTTTCCCAGCTATCCCTAGGTGGTGCTTCAGTAGAGACCCTGTGTGAGGGTCGTGACCCGACGTCTCCCTTCTGCACTGCCCTAGAAGAGGTTCTCCATGAGGGCCCTGTCCCTCCAGCAAACTTCTGCCCGGGCATCCAAGCATTTCCATACATCTTCTGAAATCTAGGCATAGGTTTCCAAACCTCAATTCTTGACTTCTGTGCACCTGCAGGCTCAAGTGCATGTGGAAACTGCCAAGGCTTGGGGCTTGCACCCTCTGAAGCCACGGCCTGAGCTCTGTGTTGGCCCTTTTCAGCCACAGGTGGAGCAGCTGGGGCACAGGCCACCAAATACCTAGGCTGCACACACCAGGGGATCCTGGGCCCAGCCCATAAAACCGTGTTTTCCTCCTAGGCCTCCAGGCCTATGATGAGAGTGGCTGCCGTGAAGACCTCTGACGTGCCCTGGAGACATTTTACCCATTGTCTTGGGGGTTAACATTCGGCTCCTTGTTATTTATGCAAATTTCTGCAGCTGCCTTGAATTTCTCCTAAGCCAATGGGATTTTCTTTTCTTTTTTTTTCTTTCTTTTTTTTTTTTTTTTTGAGGTGGCGTCTTACTCTGTCACCCAGGCTGGAGTGCAATGGCGTGGTCTCGGCTCACTGCAATCTGCACCTCCCAGTTTCAAGCAATTCTCCCACCTCACCCTCCCGAGTTGCTGGGACTACAGGCGTGTGCCACCACACCCAACTAATTTTTTTGTATTTTTAGTGGAGATGGGGTTTCACTATGTTGGCCAGGCTGGTCTCAAATGCCTGACCTTGTGATCCGACTGCCTCGGCCTCCCAAAGTGCTGGGATTACAGGTGTGAGCCACCGTGCCTGGCTGGGATTTTATTTTCTGTCCCATTGTCAGGCTGAAAATTTTCCAAAGTTGTATGCTCCGCTTCCCTTATAAAACTGAATGCCTTTAACAGCACCCAAGTCACCTCTTGAATGCTTTGCTGCTTAGAAATTTCTTCTGCCAGATACCCTAAATCATCTCCCTCAGGTTCTTTTGCAGGAAGTCAGGGACCCTGCATGGAGGGACTGGCTGGAGCTCTGGCAGAGGAACATAAATTGTGAAGATTTCATGGACATTCATCAGTTCCCAAATAATACTTTTATAATTTCAAAAGCTGTCTTACTTTAGTCTCTTAATCCTGTTATCTTCATAAGTTGAGGATGTACGTCACCTCAGGACCACTGTGATAGTTGTGTTAACTGTAGAAATTGATTGTAAAGCATGTGTGTTTGAACAATATGAAATCAGTGCACCTTAAAAAAGAACAGATTAACAGTGATTTTTAGGGAACAAGGGAAGACAACCATAAGGTCTGACTGCCTGTGTGGTCGGGCAAAAAGAGCCATATTTTTCTTCTTGCAGAGAGCCTATAAATGGACGTGCAAGTAGGGGAGAGATCGCTAAATTCTTTTCCTAGCAAGGAATATTAATATTAATACCCTGGGAAAGGAATGCATTCCTGGGGGAAGGTCTATAATCGGCCGCTCTGGGAATGTCTGTCTTATGCAGTTGAGCTAAGGACTGAGATTCGTCCTGGTCTCCTGCAGTACCCTCGGGCTTACTAGGGTGGGGAAAAAACTCCACCCTGGTAAATTTGTGGTCAGACCAGTTCTCTGCTCTGGAACCCTGTTTTCTTTTGTTTAAGATGTTTATCAAGACAGTACGTGCACCGCTGAACATAGACCCTCATCAGTGGTTCTGCTTTTGCCATTTGCCTTGTGATCTTTGTTGGACCCTTATCAGTGGTTCTGCTTTTTCCCTTTGTCCTGTTCCCTCAGAAGCATGTGATCTTTGTTAGACCCTTATTAGTAGTTCTACTTTTTGCCTTTTGAATCATGTGATCTTTGTACCTACTCTCTGTTTTACACCCCCTCCCCTTTTGAAATCCTTAATAAAAAAACTTGCTGGTTTGAGGCTCAGGTGGGCATCACGGTCCTACCGGTATGTGATGTCACCCCTGGCGGCCCAACTGTAAAATTCCTCTCTTGTACTCTTTCTCTTTATTTCTCAGCTGGTCGACACTTACGGAAAATAGGAAGAACCTACGTGGAAATATTGGGGGTGGGTTCCCCCAATAAAGTTCAGAGTTCTACAGATCTCTATGGCAGGAACAAAATGCTGCCGCCTTTTTGCTAAAACATAACAAGAGTCACCTTTGCTCCAGTTCCCAACAAATTCCTCATATCCATCTGAGACCACCTCAGCCTGGACTTTATCATCCATCTCACCATCCGCATTTTGGGCAAAGCCATTCAACAAGTCTCTAGGAAGTTCCAAACTTTCCCACATTTTCCTGTCTTCTTCTGAGCCCTCCAAACTGTTCCAACCTCTGCCTGTTACCCAGTTCAAAAGTAGCTTCCACATTTTTGGGTATCTTTTCAGCAGCACCTCACTCTACTGGTACTAATTTACTGTATTAGTTTATTTTCATACTGCTAATAAAGACATACCTGGATTGGGTGCTTGGCTCACACCTGTAATCCCAGCACTTTGGGAGGCCAAGGCAGGTGGATCACTTGAGGTCAGGAGTTCGAGAGCAGCCTGGCCAATATGGTGAAACCCCGTCTCTACTAAAAATACAAAAAATCAGCTGGGTGTGTTGGTGCACACCTATAATCACATCTACTTGGGAGGCTGAGACAGGAGAATCACTTCGTCCCGGGACGCAGAGGTTGCAGTGAGCTGACATCATCCTGGGCCTCAGAGCAAGACTTAGTCTCAAAAAAAAAAAAAAAAAAATCCCATACCCGAGACTGGTCAATTTACAAAAGGGAAAGGGGTTTAATGAACTTCCAGTTCCACATGGCTGGGGAGGCCTCACAATCATTGCAGAAGGGAAGGAGGAGCAAGTCACATCTTAACGTAGATGGCAACAGGCAAAGAGAGAGCTTGTGCAGGGGAACTCCACCTTATAAAACTATCAGCAAGGCCGGGTGCACCATGGCTCATGCCTATAATCCCAGCACTTTGGGAGGCCAAGGCGGGTGGACGACCTAAAGTCAGGAGTTTGAGACCAGCCTGGCCAACATAGTGAAACCCCGTCTCTATTAAAAATATAAAAATTAGGCAGGCATGGTGGTGGGTTCCTGTAATTCCAGCTACTAGGGAGGCTGAGGCAGGAGAATCGCTTGAACCCGGAAGGCGGAGGTTGCAGTGACCCGAGATTGCGCCACTGCGCCCCAGCCTGGGCGACAGAGTGAGACTCTGTCAAAAAAATAAAAAAGAAAACCATCAGAGATGTCATGAGACTTATTCACTGTCAAAAGAAGAGCACAGGAAATACCTGCTCCCATGATTCAGTTACCTCCCACCAGGTCCCTCCCACAATACATGGAACTTCAGGATGAGATTTGGGTGGGGACACAGCCAAACCATATCAGCTAGCATCAATCAGTGTGGTATGAAGAATAATGCTTGCTTCTTCCACAAAAATTTCGAAGCCCTAACCTCCAGAACCTGTGACTATGTTACCTTACACATCAAAATAATTTTTCTGATGTGATTAGTTAAGATGCTTATAATGGAATATTTATCCTGGATTGTGGGGTCGCTGTAATCATAAGGGTTATTTTAAAGGGAAAAGGGAAGCAGGAGAGTCAGAAGAGATTTGATAACTGAAGCAGAGAGCGGAGTGATGTAATTGCTGGAAGAAGACCACAAGCCAAAAATTGCAGACAATCTTTAGAATCTGTAAAAAGCTTTCTCCCATAAAAGGCTTCCCCACTAAAGCCTCCAGAGGAGTGCAGTCCTTCAGATACCTCTCCTTTAGCCCTATAAGGCACATTTTAGATTTCTGACTTCCAGAACTGTAAAATAATGTAATTTTATTGGTTTAAGCCATTGAGTTTGTGGTAATTTTTCAAAGCAGCAATAGGAAACGAATACACCGTGATACACAATCTAAACAGAAAGCTAACTAGATAAGAAAATCACAGTACAACTTCCCTTATGAGCACAAATACAAAAGTCCTTCAAAATATCTCCAAACTGAATAATCCATCTTGCCAAAATGTTTTTTATCTCAGTAATGTGAGATTGATTTATCATTTGAAAAACAAACTTTGTACTTCATTAACCAATGAAGGAAGAAAAAAATCTCAATAAATGCAGCAAAAGCTTGTGAGAAAATTCACTATATATTCATGATAAAAATTCTCAGAAAACTGGGTAGAAAAGTAAACTCTCAGTCAGATAACTTGTATCTGTGAAAAAACTACTCCAACTAACAAACTAACATCATGCTCATGATTTAACACTGAATTCCTTCTGGTTAAGAGAAAACAAATAAGATATATACAGCTTTGAAAGGAACATTAAAACTGTATTCACAGAATACATCTCTCTAGATAGACAGATAGATAGATAGATAGATAGATAGATAGATAGATAGATTATCCTAAATTATCTTTTTAAAAAATTACTAGAACTGGTAAGTAAATTTACCAACATGACAGGACAAAAGGCCACCGTGTATAAGATTAGATGTATTCCTGTATCCTAGGCATGGAGAATTAGAAATTAAAAAATTTAAAATGCCATTTGTAACAGTATGAAATATATATATGGGTAAATATACTAAAATGTGCTTGTAAGACCTGTACATGTAAAATTATTAAACACTGCTGAAATAAACTTATGAATACTAAATACATAGACAGCTATACTGTGTTCATGGATTGAAAAAGTCAATATTGTTAATATGTAAGTTTTCTTAAAATTGATCAATACAATCTATTAAGATGTCAGCAGGTTCTTTTTTTTTAATTGAAATTGAGAAACTGAGATAAAAAATTCATATGGAAATAAAAAGAACTTAACGATTCAAAATTATTCTGAAAAAAAGAAAAGTTTCAGGACATGAACAACATGATTTGAAGATTTAATATGAAGCTAAAATAATCAGGACAGCATGGTATTAACATAAGGATAGACAAATTAGTGGAAGATAAGAGATGGTCCAAAAATAGACCTAGAAGGAAATATAAATGTTTATGACATTGTAAAGGGCAAAGATTTCTAATGTGGGACACCAACATTGTGAACTCTACAAGAAAATAAAAATGTTAAACTAGGTTTATCAGTATTAAAAGTTCCTGCTTTTGAGAAGACACTATTAAGAAAATGAAATGGCACATTGGGAGAAAATATTCACAATACACTTATCTGAGAAAACACTTGTGACTTCACAAAAGAAGATATGCAGATGGCCAAGGCACACATTAAGTGTAATTATCAGTCTTTAATCATCGAAGAAATACACATTATACTTGCAATGAGATACTATTTCACACCTGGTAGTATTGCTAACTGGCAAATGATAGAAAATTACAAGTATTGGTGAGGTTATGCAGCAAACCAGAATGCTCATAAATTGCTGGTGAGAAAGTAAAAATTTATAATAGCTTTCAGAAAAGTTGAGCATTTTAAATTAAAATAAACATACATTCACTTTATGGCTCACCAACATAAATGAAAATATACGGCAACATCTATACATGCACATGTATGTTCCAAGGAATTTCATTTGCAATAGCTAATAATCTAGAATAAACTCAAATGCCCATCAACTGGTAATGGATCATCGGGGTATATTCATACAATAGAGTGCAACTCAGGAATCCAAAGGAACGAACTACTGTTATATACAACATATAGATGGATATCAAACACATTATGCTAAGTAAAAGAAGCCAGAGGAAAAAAGTATACAAGTAGTATAATCCTATTTATGAGATTGTACAAGAAGTAAAACTAATCTATTGGAAAAAATAGATCAATGATATGGCTGAAAATAGCGAGGACTTCTAGCAAAGGGCCACAAAAATATTTTTAAGGTAGAGAAAATATTCTATATCTTGATTGTCAGCGTGAATGCATGGGTGTAAAAATTTGTTAAAATGACAAACTGTACACTTAAATAGTTCCATTCTATTGTACATAAAGTATAACTCAATGCAATTGATTTTCAATGTTTACATATGTGTGTGTGTGTATTTTGGCATGTGTTTGTAAGAGGTGGCGAATGAAGTGCAGGAGTGCATACTAGGCTATTTGATTACGTTTGCGCTGTAGACGTGGGGTCGAGGAATGTAATTTTTTGAAACTTTCTTATCTTGTAAGGTTTATTTTTTCAAAAACAGTAAGCATGCATTACTTTTGAAAGTTAATAAATAAGATAGAGACACAATTAAAAGGTAAAAGGCAAGTTCTATTTATTCATCTCTTTCCCAGCTCCATACCGTAGGGTCTAGCACAAATGTGATAATACGGGACTTTGAATTATTTAATCTTTTAAATAGAGGAGCAGGTATCCTGCAGTCCTGACAAATATCAAGTGCTTTATGCCTTATCCTGGTTGAGTTTCCCATGATGGTTAATGGTGGCATCATCCTTACGGGTCTCTGCGCTCGAAAGTCGGCTGTCATTTTCGATATTCCCAAGTTGACAGGCCTGTTTTCTCCCCTCTGTTCCATCTCACATCTGTTTATTGAAATTATGCCTACCCGACAAGTTCTAGTTGAAATAACTCTCCCAGGAAGGATGGGCAAAACTTCTGATTAAAGATTGGCTTATTTAAACTCTTAGATTGCGTTATCATTCTCCTATAGCACTTCACACATGAAATATAAGGAGGAAAGTGTGGTAAAGTGGAAATAGCTTTTGGACTTAGAATGTGAAGGTCAGGACGCACACTCCAGCTCTGTCATTTACTAGATCTGTTACCTGTGGCATCAAGCTTTAGCCACAGGGTCCTCAATCTTCTCATAAACAAAACGTGGGCAGTAACCACTCCTTGGTGTTGTTTTGAAAGTCTGATTAGTTACTTTATGAATAAATGCATAACACACAACTTGGAATATGCCAAATATGTTTAGCAGTTAACCAAAAGATAAGCTTCTATCTTTTAACAGACTGCAAGTCTCTTGATAACCAGGGTCAAGCCCTGCCCACCTGTGTCCTATCCAAATCCTCCCTATGCACCTACTTAGCATATTGCCTGGTACATGACAAACTCAGTCAATGTTAAGTGAATTAAATTTTTTGAATTAGGATAAAAATAACCTGCTGACCAGTACTGAAGACAGCTTATTCTGGTGTTTGTCCCCAAATCTTCATTTTGCCCCATTAGAATTAGGTTGTTTACCACGTATACCCTCTGTGGTTTTGGTTGTAAAAGATGCATGTTTCAGGAACAGATTGTGTTGACTTTTTCTGCAAGATCGTGGCATTTGATGGCACTATATCTCATGTGGTAAAAGACTCTAAGCAGGACCCCACACTCTTTGACGACACCCTATTTTGCATTTACACTGTTGCTCTGAGAGCTACTGTGAAGGGAGCAGTAAGACAGTAGTCTGACAAAGTAAAAATAAGGTTTATTTGGGGTGTAAGTTGGCTAATTCCTTGATTCAAATTTTTTCCCCCTTTGTGATTACTGTGTCTTCGTTTAAAAGACAGAAAACTTATAAATTATACTTTTCTACCTGAGAGAAGATCGAAATGAAGGAGTAATATGAAAGATGTAATTATAATGTGCCAAAATAGGATCATTGCAAGTCGTTCTCTTTTTAAGAATTTATTTTGTTGGGAAGCCGAGTCAGGCAGATCACCTGAGGTCAGGAGTTGGAGACCAGCCTGGCCCACATGGTGAAACCCAATCTCTACTAAAAATACAAAAATTAGCTGGGCGTGGTGGTGGGCGCCTATAATTCCAGCTACTCGGGAGGCTGAGGCAGGAGAATCGCTTGAGCCAGGGAGGCAGAGGTCGCAGTGAGCCGAGATCGCACCACTGCACTCCGGCCTGAGCAACAGAGTGAGACTCTGTCTCAAAAAAAAAAAAATTTATTTTGGATGACATTTAAATTAAACTGCATCTCAATTCAAATACAAAGTAGGAAACTCTGATCACTAACTTTGCCAATCTGTCAATAGACTATCAAAAGTTTTAGCAAGACAGAATTGTCCTTTTGAAAATCTTATACCACATCCCTAGACACAAGGAGAATTACTTTGTTCAAGTTGTCACCTTGTGACATAAACTTAAAACTGCCTTCCCCCACAGTGGTAACAGTCCTTATTCATGAAATAACTTGTATGTGTTGGTAGCTAGATAACTAACATTTCTTAATTATAACAGATGCAGATCCATTAAGGGAATAATATTGCATACTCCGAAACCAGTCATGTGTATAATCGTGAGCAATGAAATAATCATGTAAAACTAATCATAATGGCTGTCGTTTAATGAACACCTACTAAATTTAGGTTTTGTTTGTTTGTTTATTTTTTGAGACAGAGTCTCAACTAGGACCGATATTTATGTATTTAGTTTTTTGCGACAGAGTCTTGCTGTTTGTCACCCAGGCTGGAGTGCAGTGGCACGATTTCAGCTCACTGCAACCTCCGCCTCCTGGGTTCAAGTGATTCTCCTGCCTCAGCCTCCTGAGTAGCTGGGACTACAGGCATGAGCCAGTATGCCCAGCTAATTTTTGTATTTTTAGTAGAGATGGGGTTTCACCAAGTTGGCCAGGATGGTCTTGATCTCTTGAGCTCGTGATCCACCCACGTCGGCCTCCCAGTGTTGGAATTACAGGCGTGAGCCACCGCACCCAGCCATAGATTTTTAAATGATACTTTATTTTTCAAAACTCTCACGGATAGGTAGTATGGCCCATTTAATAAATAAGAAAGTGAGGCTCAGCAAAGTTAAGTCAGTCTTCCAATTTTGCGTAGTTAGGAGGTGCATAGCTTAGTCAGCTTTTCCTGAGTAAAGCTCTTGTTTTTTATCTTATGCCAAAGCCAGGCTAAAAACATGCTGGACTTCAAGCAAGCCTCCTGAAATCCAGTCGTCCAACAGTCAAGTAAGTGCTTCAAGGGCATGTTAACATGCACAGCTGCACTCTAGAAATTATTTTTCAGCACGGTTATTTTTTTTAAGAATTTTTTTTTTTATTTTTTTTACCAGAACAGGTGACTCTCTTTCCACAATCTTGGTGAATCAGAAAGTATGATGGATAACCTCAGCTTCTTTATAATAAATATTTTGCATTATGTTTAAAAAATATTGCCAGTTTTCCTAATTCTTTTATTCTCATTCTTAGTTTTTTACTCAATGATATTATGTCCTATGTTTATGATCATAAAATACTCAATTGCTTTATTTAATATAGACTGATGTGTTTTCCAAAAACAAAACACTGTAAAACTTTGGGAATTTTTTCTTGTGTTTTATTAGTTCATTCCATAGTATTTAGTTAACAAAAATCTGTTGATTGCCTTCTTTACGTGAAGCATTATTCTATGCCCTGGCAATACAACGGTAAAAAAAAAATAAGAAAACATAACATTTTTTCCTTTGAAAAAGCTTAAATTCTCATGGTGCTGTGATATGGTTTGAATGTCACCTCCATAAATCCATGTTGAAACTTTATCCCCAATAAAATAAATAAATAAATAAAAAAGAAACTTTATCCCCAATGTGGCAGTATTGAAAGGTGGTGAGAGGTGGGGCCTCTTTAATATGATTGGATTATGAGGCTTCCGGCCTCATGAATTGATTAATCCATTCATGGATTAATGTGTTAATGGATGAATGGGTTATCACGGGAGGGGAACTGGTAGCTTTATAAGAGGAAGAGAGACCTGAGTATAGCATGCTAGCCTACTCAGTCCTCTTGCCGTGCAATGCCCTTGGTCATCTCAGGACTCGTTAAAGAGAACACACTAGCAAGAAGGCTCCCACCAGATGTGCCCCTCCACTTGGACTTCCAAGCCTCCATAACTGTAAGAAAGAAAGTCATTTTCGTTATAAATTACCACGTTTTCATTATTACGTTATAAGCAACAGAAAATCAATGAAGGGCGATAGAAAACAAACCAGAGAAATGAAATCTAAGCTAGGTGGTATAGTGATGTTAAGTGCTATGAATAGTAAAACCATAGCACACCACCATGAGGATTTAAGCTTTTTGAAAGCAAAAAATGTTATTTTTTCTTATTTTTTTTTACCGTTGTATTCCTAGGGCTTAGAATAGTGCTTCACATAAGGAAGGCAATCAACAAATTTTTGTTTGTCTATACGTTATTGAAAGTGGTACATTAAAGTTTCCAGTTATGACAGCTGAGTTGTCCTATATCTATCTTCAATTTTGTCAGTTTTCGGTTTATTTATTTTTGGGCTCTGTGGCCAGGTCCAAATATTTTCATAATCGTCACATATTCTTGACAGATGAACACATTTACCTTTATAAAATGTCCTTATTTGTCCCTAGCCACAAATTTTGCCTTTTAATCTATTTTGTCAATGGCCACTTCATTGTTCTTTTGTTACTGTTTGCGTGGAATATCATTTTCCATCCTTTTACTTTCAATCCATTTGTGTCTTTGAATCTAAAGTGTCTCTGTTGTACACAGCATATAGTTGGACTATTTAAAATATGTTCTAGAAACCTCTGCCTCTTAATTGAGTTATTTAATCCATTTACCTTTAAGGAAATTGCTGATAAGATAGAATCTATGTCTGCCATTTTAAAAATTTTCTTTCTGTTTGCATGGTGTCTCTTTTGTGTCTCTCTTGATTGACTACTTTTTTCTTCTGTGTTAAATAGACATTTTATAATGTACCATTTTAATGTTTCTTTACGTATATTATTTGTGGTATCTCAGGGGATTGCAATGAACATATTAATTTGTAGTATCTAGCTTCAATTAGTGACAATTTGGTTTTTAAAGTATATAAAAATTTTGCTGATGTATGGCTGTGTTTCTTCCATTTCTTGTCTACCAACAAGAAACGGATTTTCTTAACTCCCTGGTTTGTAGGATGAAGTATCAGTATTTCTTTCCTTCTTCTTTCTTTATGTCCTTCCTGTACCCATCCTTGCCTGCTGCTAGCACCGAGGCTCTGTAAGCACTAAATTTATGTAACTCTCAAGTACTTTTTAAAATCTATAGCTAGTTGATTGTATGGGTAGAAAACCATGAGTGTGTATGTTATTATGATTATATAAATATTATTCACTCTGAAAAAATAGGTGTGCTTAATTAAATTTCTTCCTTTGTGGGCACAATGTCAAGACATCGGTCATACTCCAAGAAGCATATTTCTAGGTGCAAATAGATTCACCTTTTTTTTTTCTTATTGTACTTTAAGTTTTAGAGAACATGTGCACAACGTGCAGGTTAGATACATATGTATATATGTGCCATGTTGGTGAGCTGAACCCAGTAACTCGTCATTTAACATTAGGTATATCTCCAAATGCTATCCCTCCCCCCTCCCCCCACCCCACAACAGGCCCCGGTGTGTGATGTTCCCCTTCCTGTGTCCATGCGTTCTCATTGCTCAATTCCCACGTATGAGTGGGAACATGCGGTGTTTGGTTTTCTGTCCTTGCGATAGTTTGCTGAGAATGATGGTTTCCAGCAAACCCTACAAAGGACATGAACTCATCATTTTTTATGGCTGCATAGTATTCCATGGTGTATATGTGCCACATTTTCTTAATGCAGTCTATCGTTGTTGGACATTTGGCTTGGTTCCAAGTCTTTGCTATTGTGAATAGTGCCGCAATAAACATACGTGTGCATGTGTCTCGATAGCAGCATGATTTATAGCCCTTTGGGTATATACCCAGTAATGGGATGGCTGGGTCAAATGGTATTTCTAGTTCTAGATCCCTGAGGAATCCCCACACTGACTTCCACAATGGTTGAACGAGGTTAGAGTCCCACCAACAGTGTGAAAGTGTTCCTATTTCTCCACATCCTCTCCAGCACCTGTTGTTTCCTGACTTTTTAATGATCGCCATTCTAACTGGTGTGAGATGGTATCTCATTGTGGTTTTGATTTGCATTTCTCTGATGGCCAGTGATGATAAGCATTTTTTCACATGCTTTTTGGCTGCATAAATGTCTTCTTTTGAGAAGTGTCTGTTCATGTCCGTCGCCCACTTTTTGATGGGGTTGTTTGTTTTTTTCTTGTAAATTTGTTTGAGTTCATTGTAGATTCTGGATATGAGCCCTTTGTCAGATGAGTAGGTTGCGAAAATTTTCTCCCATTTTTTGTAGGTTGCCTGTTCACTCTGATGGTAGTTTCTTTTGCTGTGCAGAAGCTCTTTAGTTTAATGAGATCCCATTTGTCAATTTTGTCATTTGTTGCCATTGCTTTTGGTGTTTTAGACATGAAGTCCTTGCCCATGCCTATGTCCTAAATGGTAATGCCTAGGTTTTCTTCTAGAGTTTTTATGGTTTTAGGTCTGACGTTTAAGTCTTTAATCCATCTTGAATTGATTTTTGTATAAGGTGTAAGGAAGGGATCCAGTTTCAGCTTTCTCCATATGGCTAGCCATTTTTCCCAGCACCGTTTATTAAATAGGGAATCCTTTCCCCATTTCTTGTTTTTGTCAGGTTTGTCAAAGATCAGATGGTTGTAGATATGTGGCATTATTTCTGAGGGCTCTGTTCTGTTCCATTGGTCTATATCTCCGTTTTAGTACCAGTACCATGCTGTTGTGGTTTATGTAGCCTTGTATAGTTTGAAGTCAGGTAGCGTGATGCCTCCAGCTTTGTTCTTTTGACTTAGGATTGACTTGGTGATGCGGGCTCTTTTTTGGTTCCATATGAACTTTAAAGTAGTTTTTTCCAATTCTGTGAAGAAAGTCATTGGTAGCTTGATGGGGATGGCATTGAATCTATAAATTACCTTGGGCAGTATGGCCATTTTCACGATATTGATTCTTCCTACCCATAAACTTGAAATGTTCTTCCATTTGTTTGTATCCTCTTTTATTTCGTTGAGCAGTGGTTTGTAGTTCTCCTTGAAGAGGTCCCTCACATCCCTTGTAAGTTGGATTCCTAGGTATTTTATTCTCTTTGAAGCAATTGTGAATGGGAGTTCACTCATGATTTGGATCTCTGTTTGTCCGTTATTGGTGTTATAAGAATGCTTGTGGTTTTTGCATATTGATTTTGTATCCTCAGACTTTGCTGAAGTTGCCTATCAGCTTCAGGAGATTTTGGGCTGAGACGATGGGGTTTTCTAGATATACAATCATGTCATCTGCAAACAGGGACGATTTGGCTTCCTCTTTTCCGAAATGAATACCCTTTATTTCTTTCTCCTGCCCGATTGCCCTGGCCAGAACTTCCAACACTATATTGAATAGGAGTGGTGAGAGAGGGCATCCCTCTCTTGTGCCAGTTTTCAAAGGGAATGCTTCCGGTTTTTGCCCATTCAGTATGATATTGGCTGTGGGTTTGTCATAGATAGCTGTTGCTATTTTGAGATACGTCCCATCCATACCTAATTTATTGAGAGTTTTTAGCATGCAGGGTTGTTGAGTTTTGTGAAAGGCCTTTTCTGCATCTATTGAGATAATCATATGGTTTGTGTCATCGGTTCTGTTTATATGCTGGATTACATTTCTTGATTTGCGTATGTTGAAGCAGCCTTGCATCCGTGGGATGAAGCCCGCTTGATCATGGTGGATAAGCTTTTTGATGTGCTGTTGGATTCGGTTTGCTAGTATTTTATTGAGGATTTTTGCATCGATGTTCATCAGGGATACTGGTCTAAAATTCTCTTTTTTTGTTGTGTCTCTGCCAGGCTTTGGTATCAGGATGATGCTGCCCTCATCAAATGAGTTAGGGAGGATTCCCTGTTTTTCTGTTGATTGGGATCGTTTCAGAAGGAATGGTACCAGCTCCTTCTTGTACCTCTGGTAGAATTTGGTTGTGAATCCATCTGGTCCTGGACTTTTTTTGGTTGGTAAGCTATTAATTATTGCCTCAATTTCAGATCCTTTGATTTGTCTATTCAGAGATTCATCTTCCTGGTTTAGTCTTGGGATGTTGTATGTGTCGAAGAATTTATCCATTTCTTCTAGATTTTCTAGTTTATTTGCATAGAGGTGTTTATAGTATTCTCTGATGGTAGTTTGTATTTCTGTGGGATCGGTGGTGATATCCCCTTTATTGTTTTTTATTGTGTCTATTTGATTCTTCTTTCTTCCTTGTTTGTCTTGCTAGCGGTCTATGAATTTTGTTGATCTTTTCAGAAAACCAGCTCCTGGATTCATTGGTTTTTTTGAAGGGTTTTTTGTATGTCTACTTCCTTCAGTTCTGCTCTGATCTTAGTTATTTCTTGCCTTCTGCTAGCTTTTGAATGTGTTTGCTGTTGCTTCTCTAGTGCTTTTAATTGTGATGTTAGGGTGTCAATTTTAGATCTTTCCTGCGTTCTCTTGTGGGCATTTAGTGCTATAAATTTCCCTCTACACACTGCTTTGAGTGTGTTCCAGAGAGTCTGGTATGTTGTGTCTTTGTTCTCGTTGATTTCAAAGAACATCTTTATTTCTGACTTCATTTCGTTATGTACCCAGTAGTCATTCAGGAGCAGGTTGTTCAGTTTCCATGTAGTTGAGTGGTTTTGAGTGAGTTTCTGAATCCTGAGTTCTAGTTTGATTGCACTGTGGTCTGAGAGACAGTTTGTTATAATTTCTGTTCTTTTCCATTTGCTGAGGAGTGCTTGACTTCCAACTATGTGGTCAATTTTGGAATAAGAGCGATGTGGTGCTGAGAAGAATGTATATCCTGTTGATTTGGGGTGGAGAGTTCTGTAGATGTCTATTCGGTCCACTTGGTGCAGAGCTGAGTTCAATTCCAGAAGGAAAACTAACAAACAGAAAGGACATCCCCCCCAAACACCTTCTGTTCGTCACCGTCATCAAAGACCAAAGGTAGATAAAACCACAAAGATGGGGAAAAAACAGAGCAGAAAAACTGGAAACTCTGAAAATCAGAGTGCCTCTCCTCCTCCAAAGGAACGCTGCTCCTCACCAGCAGCAGAACAAAGCTGCATGGAGAATGACTTTGTCGAGTTGAAGGAAGAATGCTTCAGACGATCAAACTACTCCGAGCTAAAGGAGGAAGTTCGAACCAATGGCAGAGAAGTTAAAATCCTTCAGAAAAAAAATAGATGAATGGCTAACTAGAATAACCAATGCCGAGAAGTCCTTAAAGGACCTGATGGAGCTGAAAACCAAGGCACGAGAACTACATGACGAATGCAGAAGCCTCAGTAGCCAATGCGATCAACTGGAAGAAAGGGTATCAGTGATGGAAGATCACATGAGTGAAATGAAGCGAGAAGAGCAGTTTAGAGAAAAAGAATAAAAAGAAATGAACAAAGCCTCCTCGAAATACGGGATTATGTGAAAAGACCAAATCTGCGTCTGATTGGTGTACCTGAAAGTGATGGGGAGAATGGAACCAAGCTGGAAACCACTCTGCAGGATATTATCCAGGAGAACTTCCCCAATCTAGCAAGGCACGCCGACATTCAAATTCAGGAAATGCGGAGAACGCCACAAAGACACTCCTCGAGAAGAGCAACTCCAAGACATATAATTGTCAGATTCACCAAAGTTGAAATGAAGGAAAAAATGTTAAGGGCAGCCAGAGAGAAAGGTCGGGTTACCCACAAAGGGAAGCCCGTCAGACTAACAGCTGATCTCTCAGCAGGAACTCTACAAGCCAGAAGAGAGTGGGGGCCAATATTCAACATTCTTAAGGAAAAGAATTTTCACCAGAATTTCATATCCAGCCAAACTAAGCTTCATAAGTGAAGGAGACATAAAATCCTTTATAGACAAGCAAATGCTGAGAGATTTTGTCACCACCAGGCCTGCCCTGAAAGAGCTCTTGAAGGAAGCACTGAACATGGAAAGGAACAACCAGTACCAGCCACTGCAAAAACATGCCAAACTGTAAAGACCATCGAAGCTAGGAAGAAACTGCATCAACTAAGGAGCACAATAACCAGCTAACATCATAACGACAGGATCAAATTCACACAGAACAATATTAACCTTAAATGTAAATGGGCTAAATGCTCCAATTAAAAGACACAGACTGGCAAATTGGATAAAGAGTCAAGACCCATCAGTGTGCTGTATTCAGGCAACCCATCTCACGTGCAGAGACACACATAGGCTGAAAATAAAGGGATGGAGGAAGATCTCCCAAGCCAATGGAAAACAAAATAAGGCAGGGGTTGCAATCCTAGTGTCTGATAAAACAGACTTTAAACCAATAAAGATCAAAAGAGACAAAGAAGGCCATTCCATAATGGTAAAGGGATCAATTCAACAAGAAGAGCTAACTATCCT
The DNA here is from genome assembly GCF_000001405.40 of Homo sapiens. Lineage (NCBI taxonomy): Eukaryota > Metazoa > Chordata > Mammalia > Primates > Hominidae > Homo > Homo sapiens. Next base: position 141,569,920 of record NC_000023.11, read on the forward strand.
AAATATATACGCAGCCAATACAGGAGCACCCAGATTCATAAAGGAAGTCCTTAGAGACCTACAAAGGGACCTAGACTCCCACACAATAATAATGGGAGACTTTAACAACCCACTGTCAACATTAGACAGATCAACGAGACAGAAAGTTAACAATAAGTTTCAAAGAATGAAAATGAATCAAGCAGAGATTGTAGAGCTGAAAAATGCAAGTGATAGGCTGAGGAATCTCTCAAGTTCTGTTAATAGCAGAATCAATCAACAGAAGATGGAATTAATAAGCTTGAAGAAAGGCTATTTGAAAATAGTCTTTTGTCAGAAAAGACGAAAGAAAAACCGAGTAGAAAGCAATGAAGCATGTCTGCAGGATCTAGAAAATAGCTTCAAAAGGACATATCTAAGAGTTATTGGCCTTAAGGAGGAGGTACAGAAACACATAGGAGTAGAAAGTTTCTCCAAAGAGATTATAATAGAGAACTTCCCAAACCCAGAGAAAGAGACACATATCCAAGTATAAGAATGTTATAGAACACCAAGGAGACTTAACTGAAAGAAGGGTGCTTCAAGTTATTCAGTAATGAAACTCCCAAAAATCAAGGATAAAGAATTTTTCTTAAAGCAGCAAGAGAAGAGAAACAAATAACATCCAATGGAGCTCCAATATGTCTGGCAGCAGACTTTTCAGTGGAAACCTTACAGGCCCGGAGAGAGTGGCATGACATATTTAAAGTGCTGAAAGAAAAAAATTTTAACCTTAGAATAATATATCTGCAACAACTATCCTTCAAACATGAAGGAGAAATAAAAATGGGCCCAGAGAATCAAAACCTGAGGGATTTCATCATCACTAGCCCTGTCCTGCAAGAAATGTTACAAGGAGTATTTCAATCAGAAAGAAAAGGACGGTAGTGAACAATAAGTTATCAACGGAAGGTACAAAACTCAGTGGTCATTGTAAGTACACAGAAAGAATATTATAAAAAAGTGACTGTAGTGTGTAAACCGCTCTTATTCTAAGTAGAAAGACTAAAGGATAAACCAATCAAAATGTAAAAGCACAACTTTTCAAGACACAGTCAACACAATGAGATACAGAAAGAAATGACAAAAAATTAGCGGTGGGACAAAGTTAAGATGCAGCTTTATTAGTTTTATTTTTGTTTGCTGTTTGTTTGTCAAAATCGTCTTAAGTAAATATCAGATTAAAAATAATGGTTTATAAGATATTATTTGCAAGCCTCAAGGTAACCTGAAACTAAAGAACATGCAATATATACACAAAAATTCGAAGGCAAGGAACTAAATCATCTACCCACAGAAAAATCATCCTAAGAAAAGACGGAAAGGAAAGAAAGAAGGAAGATAAGATCACAAAAACATCTGAACATAAAAATCAAAATGACAGGAGTAAGTTCCTACTTATCAATAGTAACATTGAATGTAAATGGGCTAAACTCTTCCATGAAAAGACATAGACTGGCTGAATGTATGAAAAAACAAGACACATTGATCTGTTGCCTGCCAGAAACACACTTCACTTCTGAAGACACACATAGACTGAAAATAAAGGGATAGAAAGAGATGCTCCATGCGAATGGAACCAGAAAGAAGCAGGATTAGCTATATTCCTAGCAAACAAAATAGATTTCAAGACACAAAATGTAAGAGGAAAAAAAGTCACTATATAATAATGAAGGGATCAGTTCAACAAAAGGCTATAAGAACTTTACATATATGTGCACCCAAGTCTGTAGCACCAAGGTATATAAAGGAAACACTATTACAACTAATGGGAGAGATAGGTCCCAATAGCATAATGGCTGGGGGCTTCAACACCCTACTTTCAGCATTGGACAGTTCTTCCAGACATAAAATCAACACAGAAACATCACACTTAATGTACATTACAGACCAAATGGATGTAACAGACATTTACAAAACACTTCTTCCAAGGACTGCAAAATACACCTTCTTTTACCCAGCACGTGGATCATTCTCAAGGTTAGAATATATGTTAGGTCATAAAACAAGTCTTAAAACATCAACATTCAAATAAATTGAAATAATATCAAGCTCCTTCTCTGACCACCAAAAAACAAAAAAAGAAAATCCCGAAAATAACAAGGGGAACTTTGAAAATTATACAAATCCATAGAATTAAAAAAAAAATATGCTCCTGAATGACCCACAGGTCAATGAAGAAATTAAAAACTAAATTGTAAAATTTCTCAAAATAAATGATCATGGAAACACAACATACCAAAACCCATGGGATACAGCAAAAGCAGTATTAAGAGGGAAGTTTATAGCTATAAGTGCCTACATTGAAAAAGAGGAACACCTGCAAATAATTCATGACGCATCTTAAAAAAACAGAAAAATAAGCTCAAAGTGAACCCCAAATCAGTAGAAGAAAAGAAATAATAAAAGACCAGAGCAGAAATAAATGAAAGTAAAATGAAGAAAGTCAAAACACTATCAAGGAAACAAAAAGTTGGGTTTTTTTTTAAAAAGCTATTCAAAATTGAGAAACCTGTAGCCAATCTAAGGAAGAAAAAGGAGAGATCGAGATAAATAAACTCCAAAATTGAAAGGAGACATTACAGGCTAAAGCTGCAAAAATTCAAAGGGCTCTTGTGGTGACCGTGGGAAACTGTATGTGAATAAATTGGAAGATCTCCCTGAAATGAAAATTACTTCCTGCTGACGAGGGGACGGAGAGTTTTTTGGGTTGACAGTAGGAGCAATGCCGTCTGTAGATGTTTTTGGGTAGTTGTCTGTGAAATGGCCGTGATCCTGTTAGTTAAAATTTTCCGAGAAAGGTTAATTAGGCAGGGTAAGAAAATTAGCCCCAGGCATATTATTAGGAGAGGGCCCAGAAATAGGATGACCCATGCTATGATTGTGTTCCCAAACCAAGAACTTATTTGGTTGTTTTGGTACTCCCTTAGCTTTTTAGCCTTTTCTTTATGTTTGTTTTAGCAGCGTTTTTTTACTAGGCCTGATTGGTTGATAAAGAAACAATATTCCTTACCTAATGAGAGGTAGAAGCACATGTTTGGAAAGGCCCATGTGTTAGTTTCTGTTAGTAAGCGTTATTCCTGCTAAGAGGCTAATAATTAAGCAAAATGCTACAGTAATTGAGATTGTTTTTGTCTGACATTTTACCCTGAGGGTGCTACAGTATATAGTTTTACTGCAAATAGTAGGGTGAGTAAAGCAGTTTCCACAAGGGTGGTGTAGTCAATAATTTCCATTAAAAAGTTGTAATATTTGGCTTGAAAGGAGAGATAGGAATGACAAAAGTGTTTGGTGAGGTAGGGGTGAGACTGAGTAAGACGAGCAATTCTTTCTCGGTTATTTATTTTTTATGATTTTTAGCTTACGATTTCCTATTTCTTTATTTGCTCCTGTGAGGGTTAGGGGGCTTAGAGGCAGTGCCTGCTGAAACATCTAGTTTCCAGTTTATAGGGCTTTAAGAAAGCACAGCTTATTTTGAAGTCTTGTAGTCAGAAAAATTAGAATTTAATTAAACAGTAGCAAATAATAACTGAAAAACATCAGGCAACTCTAGAATTTAACAAGAGGTGTGTCATAGTTTTGGAAACATAATTTCCTCTCTCCACTTTCCCATTTTTATTAAAAGACAAATTATGGTAGGTTTGCTTTAGGATACTTGGCTTACTTGTTTGCATACAGTGCTGCAAGAATAATTATTTGTTACATAGGCCTTTTAAATGGGCTTTGGTGGAATTTGGTTTTGTAGAAGCAATCTGAGATAAAAGACTTTTGAAAGCCAAGCCCAGCCATGGATTTGTACCATTAAATACCTATGACTTGGGTGAATTCCTCTCCTCTTGATGTTTCAAGATAACTTAGGGTTCCTGGCCTGTTAGAAAGTGACATGTTCTGTTTACCACAGATCACAACCCCTGTACGGGGACTGTGTACACAAAATATGAGGCCAGTTTTTCAAGGGCTTTATTGGCTTTATAAGTTAAAGCTGGATTCCTTAAAGGAAAAGCACACCATTCCAGTTAAAGCCTTGGTAAGAATAACCAGTTTTTCCAATCGTGTCCCGTTACAAAAGAAAACAGATTCTTGTTGTATTTATGCAAATAACTATATTGCCATAAGTTAAGAATACTCATAGATAGTTTCCAAATTTTGGAGAGAATCAGGTAGAGAGAAACAAGTATCCTCCAAATTTTGTTGATGGGAGTTAACAGTTAAAAGTTAAACAGTTAAAAGCTGTTAATCGCTTAAAAAAAGTTTCTTTGACTTTGAAAGGTAAAACAAAGGGATAGCAATATTTTAAGCAAAACGTTAAACAGATTAGTTTCCTATTAGTTTGGTTTATGCAGTTAATTCCTGTCCTGCTTTTTATCAGAAACCTGCATTCAGAGCTTTATAGCTGATTAGAAAACCACCCTTTGAAGAGGACTAAAACAAGACAACAATTGTTTATGGATGACAAAAAGTTTTAGGGTAGCCATAGTTAAAGACACAGTTGACAAAGATATCCGTTACCTCTGTGGCACACAATAATTTTAACAAAACAATTATAATTATTAGTGATAACGTACACTAAGATATATTAGAATGATAGGAATCTGCCATAACTTTGGAACACATCCCAATAGCATATTTATACAACTATAGCCCAAAGAAAGCCAAATACCATTTTATATTTGACAATGCTTCCTGTATGATTTTATATCAAATAAGCCGAATTTTACCATTGTATTAGTGTGCTATTAATGTTAAGCTCCATTTTTCATAAAACCTTGTAGACGCATTTACCCAATGTTCATGTTTGACCGGAAGGTAAGGTTTTTATAGACCCTTTTTAACCGTTTATACTTTTTGTTAAAGAGCAGGTTAGTGCTTTAACAGAAACCCATTGTGCTTTTATTTTAATGCTCGATTTACAGAAAACCTGAATGATACCCCTTTAACTTTAGCCAGTATGTACACACACGAAATTTTCTTTACAATTAACCTTCCAAAAGTTGCTTAAACCTTTAAAACAATTTTTTAACCTTTTAATGTAGGCAAAAATCCACATTCTTAGGCCTCCTTATAATCTTTTTACCAAAAGTATATTTTACTTTCCTTACACACCTTGCTCATAAACTATTTCTTCGGTAGTTTTAAATACGTGTTACACTGCTAACTTTTAGCAACCTTTACTTTTGATGAAAACCTTGGTAAGTCTGGGAATCTAATTACGCACTAGGTGTAGGGCCTAGGACCCAGACGGAAGTGCGGAGAAGGTCTGGTTTATTCCAGCATTTAACTCCATGTGTCCTAGGGTTTATTCAGCTGCAAAGCAGGCAAGCTGTACAGCTAAGAGTTAGAGTGAAATTGTATACAGCATTCAGGAGGCCGAATTACTTTTAAATTGTGCGACATTTCTTGCACAAATTCCCTTTTATAAAATTCTTCACGACTTTCACAGACAATTTCTGACATGCCTTACCTTTCTGACTTGTTGTAAAGTCATCCCTTTTTTTAAACAACAGTTAATTTACTTTAGGACAAAAATTTACCATGTGAGATTCTTTCTTATACCAATTATCTTTTCTTTAATATTAAAGATGATAACAGTTCTTTCCCAAAACAAATTTCCTTCATGTCTGTGGACTAGACTGCCTAAGGCCACAAGGTTGGAAGTTAGCATATTTTACTAAATAGTTAAAGATATAGCTATCTTCGTTAAACCAATATTCATGCTTTATTTATTGAAAAAATTACACAAGCAAAGATTATTTTGTTTGGGCTGAGTTGTCGTTTTGTAGCCTCTGTGCCAAATGTTGACACCTTATAGTATTTTGCAGCCATAAGTATGAAATTGCTTGATTAATAAATGCAAATAAAAACGTACGCTGGCACCTCTTAACGACTTTCAACTCAACTTTTAACTTTGCTGTACCGGTAAGTTCTAAAGATTAAAATTACGAGAACTGAAAGGTCCCACAGCTTTTACTTTTCCCTTAAAAATATTTGATTTAAGTGCTTATTTTTTTGGCCAGTTAATTAGAGTTCTTTTAATAGACATCACACACATAAAACATATATAGCCACACAGACAATCAGAAGAAGACTTAGTAGTTATAAGATTTTTTTTCTGCTAATTTTCCAATTGGATTATTGGCCTTCGGGTGAGGCCTTTTAGGAACAGGGCTAAGAAAACAGTTTCTAGGGCCTAATGAACAAGTACAGTTGGAAGACAAAGACAGATCTTTGAGAGGTACTTATTTAAGTCTAGGGGTTTCATAAGGAAAACAGAGGTTTTTCCCAAAACGGGATTTGTGGCACCTTTTTTGTTTTCCCAAGGAGTCCCAGGCCACCAGGAGTCATTTCAGGGTCTTTCATACATGCACCAAGAGTGGCAAGACAGAGTGGAGAAAAGTAATTTAGTCGATCAGGAAAAAACCTTTTCCAGGAAAACAAAATTTATGAAGAGAAAAACATAAACGCGGCTGGGCACGGTGGCTCACGCCTGTAATCCCAGCACTTTGGGAGGCCGAGGTGGGCGGATCTTGAGGTCAGGAGTTCCGAGACCAGCTGGGCCAACATAGTGAAATCCTGTCTCTACTAAAAATAGAAAAATTAGCCGGGTGCGGAGGCAAGCGCCTGTAGTCCCAGCTACTTGGCAGGCTGAGACAGAAGAATCGCTTGAACCCAGGAGGCAGAGGTTGCAGTGAGCCGAGACCACGCCTCTGGGTGGAGGGGAGGAGGTTATTTTGGGGCTGGCATCTTCCTGGCCAGGGTGGGGTTATCTTGGGGCTAGCTTGTCTCTGGTCGGGGAGGAGTCTGGAATGTTTCTGGTTGGAGATGTTATTTGCGGTTTATGGTCATGCTGACCTTAGCCATTAGGCTGATGCCGTTTGGATTTTGGCGGTTTTTGATTAAGGTGAATTTTAAAATGACAGAGCTTGTTCAAGATGGCAATACTCCTGCTTTGTCAGTGATGTCCTAAGCCTCTAGCCCCTGATGCCTTGGTATCGTCACTGATTGCAAAAGCTATGCCATGCCTAATGTGCATTTTCAGGAAGGAACAATCAGCATGTTTCTGAGTTTGGAGACCTGGATTCTTGCAAGAGACTGTGGGTTCCTATGATCCTATGGTCTCTTCCAGCTTTAATATTCTATGATAAAATGATGTCCAGTGCTTTCTCTATTGCAAAAATCTGGCCAGACGTGGTGGCTCACACTGTAATCCCAGCACTTTGGGAGGGTGAGGCAGGTGGGTCACACGGTCAGGAGATCAAGACCATCCTAGCTAACATGGTGAAACCCCATCTCTACTAAAAATACAAAAAATTACCCAGGCATGGTGGCACGCACCTGTAGTCCCAGCTGCTCAGGAGGCTGAGACAGAAGAATTGCTTGAACCCGGGAGACAGAGGTTGCAGTGAGCCGAGATCACGCCACTGCACTCCAGCCTGGGCGACAGAGCTAGACTCTGTTGCAAAAAAAAAATGTGTGTGTGTGTGTGTGTGTGTGTGTGTGTGTGTGTGTGTACATATGTCTGCGTGTGTGTGTGTGTGTGTGTGTATATATAAATCTCGGTTCTAGTTGTTTGATGTCATGAATTTTCACATCCTATTATACTCACTAGTAATAGTTTGTAATTACTGAACATACACTATGTACTAGGCTCTGTGCTAAAAGCTTAAATATATTAATTAATTTGTTTTTCAAAACAATCCTGAGAAGTAGGTGCTAGCATTTTTTCCATTTTTCATACGAAGAATCTAAGACTCAGAGGAGTTAAGAAACTTGACCTACATCACCCGACTAGGACGTAGCAGAATTTCAGATTTGAACCAGGCCCATGATCTTACTTTTATTCCATATTTCCTCTGAACATAACAAGAGTAATACTAACGAGTACAACATTAATATAAGTTTAGTACTACAGTTGGCAATTTAATAACCCTTGCCACAACTGTGAGAACATGTAGCATGAATAGTACTCTATCCATTTTATTGATAGGGAATTAATCACTTACCAGTGTTGCTCCCTGACAGTTAAAACATGTAAATGCTTTCTAGTAATGAAGACTGCAATACTAAATTCAGGTTAACCAAATATTTCATTCACCAAATATTGCTTGCAAGTTTACATGTTCCAGGTACTGTAGTAAAATAACTGATAAAAGTATCATTTTTTTGGAAAGAAGTACAAGTACCATTTAACGTCTTCACCATTAAATGGAGGATAGCCTTTCCAATAAAGTGACGTCTGACTAGTGACCTTAAGAAAATTCGGATACACAGGCTGGGCGTGGTGGCTCACGATTGTAATCTCAGCACTTTGGGAGGCGAAGGCAGGTGGATCACGAGGTCAGGAGTTCAAGACCAGCCTGGCCAACCAATGAAACCCCATCTATACTAAAACTACAAACATTAGCCAGCCGTGGTAGCAGGCGCCTGTAATCTCAGCTACTCAGGAGGCTGAGGCAGGAGAATTGCTTGAAACCAGGAGGTGGAGGTTGCAGAGAGCCGAGAGTGCACCACTGCACTCCAGGCTAGCCGACAAAGCAAGGCTCCATCTCAAAAAAAAAAAAAAAAAAAAAAGGAAAGAAAAAGAAAAGAAAAGAAAATTAGGATACATAGTGGATATTTTAGAGAAGAAGCTTCCAGGCAGAAGTATGCAAAGACCCTGATATGGATGGCAGGTTAGAGGAATCACATGCATGGTGAGTTACAAGAGTCACAGATTGGGGAGTGTGATAGAAGCAGAGTGATTCACGAGAAGAATAAGTATTAATGTCAGAGAGGTAATAGGTGCCCACATCATGTACGGCCTTATTAGGAATTTGGATTTTATTTTCATGAAGATGAAAACTCTGTGGAGTTTTCATCAAAGGAAAAACATGATCTGGCTTAAAATATATTTGTAGGAGATCAAGGATAGAAGAAATAACCCATTGTCATTATTACATTACCAAATATTTTTCAGAATCATTTTTTGTTTGCTCAGATGATTTTCAAAAACATCTTTAGCTACTTAATTTAACTTGTTAAGTATTCAGACTTGTGAAGCTTTCTACCAATTTAGGTTTAAGCTCGTCTCCTCTCTTCTCTCCTCTTCTCCTTTCCTCCCTCCCTCCCTCCCTCCTTCCCTCCCTCCCTTCCTTCCTCCCTCCCTTCCTTCCTTTCTTTCTTCCTTACTTCCTTGTCTTTTAGATTCCTCCCAGAGCATAAGATAACACAGGACGAGGTTTGCTGTCTGAAATGCGTTGAAGTCCCCTGTTATTACAAGAGTTCAAAAACGTGATGACCTCCAAAGGATGCTTAAGAAATAGAATCAGTCTTAAGTTGTAGTGTGGTGTATGGGGATCACTCTCTAGGGTCCATATTTAGTCAATGACAAAATATTTGCTGACTTTCAAATGGATCGGTGATTTCTTGTTTTTGTTTTTGTTGTTTTGAGACAGAGTCTGGCTCTGTCACCCAAGCCGGAGTGCAGTGGCACGATCTCGGCTCACTGCAACCTCCACTGCCTGGATTCAAGCAATTCTCCTGCCTCAGCCTCCCCAGTAGCTGGGATTACAGGCGCCCGCCACCACGCCCAGCTAATTTTTTTTTTGTATTTTAGCAGAGACAGGGTTTCACCATGTTGGCCAGGTTCGTCTCAAATTCCTGACCTCGGGTGATCCGCCCGCCTCGGCCTCCCAAAGTGCTGGGATTACAGGCATGAGCCACTGCACCTGGCCAGATCAGTGATTCTTGATTTTCTTGGCCATGAAGAAAATGATGCAATATGCTCTTCAAGGGCCTTTCTGCAGAATAGAGAAGATGAGATGCAAACTATTCTCATTGATGAACACCTTGGTTATAACTATATCTCTTTCTCTTACATTCAGAAAATTGTATTGGAATGCAAATGGTTGTGAGAGATACCACTTTTTATTGAAACAGCTGGCACATGAATATACCTGGTTACAATGCTTGGCCGAATGAGAAATGCAATGCCATTTTATGTAATTGCACTTAATATGCATGAGTCTCACACTTAATCAATTCAGAATCTCAGAATTTCCCAATGTTGTATCCATCGAACATCTCCTGAGATGCGTATCATCCCATCTGGCCCTAAATGGCTGATTCATGCAGAACATTTTCATGTCATCCCTCAAGCCCAACCACAGGGCACCTTCAGATCCAACTCTCTTTAAAACACTTTAGTGTCCTTCTTAGGGGCATGAGAAACATCAAACTGGTTTCTTTCACCATTCTGATTCTTCAAGAAAGGAAGTAGAGCTGTTATAGGCCATTTAGTGACTATGTGCTGCTCTCAGGTAGCCCCTCTCCCTCTGCTGTCCTGCACAGAAAAACATAGTACATGATTAACTATGTAAGACTCTCTCAGGCCCATCTTCCCAGGCAGAACACTTGGACATGTCTTTCTTCTTTATTTTTATTATTTTAAACTGAACAGATAAAATGGAATGTGTCTATCATGTATCTAATGTTTGAAGTATATACATTGTAGAATGAATAAATATAGCTAATTAACATATGCATCATCCCACAAAGTTATCATTTTGTATTGAGAACACTTACCATCTACTCTCTTAGCATTTATCAATAATACAACATATTATGATCACCTGTAGTCACCGTGTCGTACAATGTATCTCTGCAGCTTATTCCTTCAGTCTAACAGAAATTTGGTATCCTTTGAGCAATGTCTTTCCAGCCACCACCACCGAGCCCCTAGTCACCACCATTCTACGCTCTACCTCTGTGAGACTTCTTAATTTTTTATTATTTTATTTTTAAATTTTTGTTAACTTTTATGTTAGGTTCAGGGGTACATGTGCAGGCTCGTTATAAAGGGAAGTTGCGTGTCACATGGGTTTGGTGTACACATTATTTCATCACCCAGGTAATCAGCATAATAGCTGATAGGTAGCTTTTCAACCCTCACCCTCCTCCCCATCCTTTACCCCCAAGTAGACACGGGTGTCTGTTGTTCCCTTCTTTGTGTCCATGTATACCGATGTTTAGCTCTTGCTTATAAATGGAAAAAGGTGGTATTCCATTTTCTGTTCCCACGTGAGTTCGCTTAGAGTAATGGCCTCCAGCTCCATCCATGTTGCTGCAAAAGACATGATCTCGTTTTTTTATGGCTGCATAGTATTCCGTGCTGTTTATGTACCACATTGTCTTTATCCAGTCTGCTGCTGATGGGCCTTTAGGTTGATTCAAAATCTTTGCTATTGTGAATAGTGCTGTGAAGAACATACGCATGCGTATGTCTTAATGGTAGAATGATATATATCCTTTGGGTATATATCCAGTAATGTGATTGCTGAGATGAATGGTATTTCTAAGTTCTTGCAGAAATCACCAAACTGCTTTCTACAATGGCTGAACTAAGTTACATTCCCATAAACAGTGTATAGGTGTTCTCTTTTCATTTCTTTCAAGGCAGCAGGTTTCTTTCTGGCCTAGGGTGTGTCTAGAAATGTTATCCAGGAGCGAGTGCCTGGAGCAGGGGCTTCACAACCCCGACCGGTGCCCTGTCCCGCTGTAGTTGAGCTGGTATTCAAGATGCAAGAAAAAAAACGCTCCTCACTATTCCATCTCCTCAAGTGGAAGGAGGGGGTCTTTTATGGAGCCGCTAGCTGGGCAGTCTGGGGCTAGGGCAGGGGTGACACCAGCACTCACTTGGCTGCCCCAGCTGGTATCTCAGGAGGTCATGTGCACCCCTCCACATACCCGCCACAATCCACTGCCTCTGGGCCCAATTCTATGCTAGAACTCACCTACGAGTTAGAGATCTTATGGCCTAGACTGCCTTTAAGGTTGTCTGAGAAACCTGGAACCGTTTCTTAGCCCTTGGTGGCAAGGTTTGCAGAAACTCAAGTTCTGATTCCTGGGATGGGTAATTTCCCTCTGGCTAGAGGTGGTTTCAATGCTCCCTTCCCAGATGGGAGTCAGCTAAGTTTGGTCTGGTTTTCCTTTCTCCTGTAAGAGACAGCACCGAGGTCAGCGACCCACAACTGCTCTGCTCTTGCTCGTCCAGCTTCCAGAGATGCTCTTTACACCATACTGCCACTGCCTAGGATAGGGAAGGGGTGGGGTCAGCGATTTAAGACTGTTTCTTCTAACTCTTCAGTGCCTCTTTCAGTGATACCGCCAGGTACTATGAGAGTTCCCCTGATTTTGGGTTCTTATGGAGGTGTTTTCTACTGTGTGGATCGTTGTTAAATTTGTGTCCTTGCGAGGGGGCTGATCTGGGCAGCCTTCTATTCTGCTTTTCTTGCTCCGCCTCTCTCAGCTTAGTTTTGGTTTGGTTTTGTTTGTTTTTCCTCTGCAATGCCTAAGGCTAAAGAATGTGATCCCGTATTACTATCCTAAATATGAAAAATTCTTTAATGTCTCGTGCTGGGTGGAAATAGTAGTTTGCAATGAGGAATACCTTCAATTGTACATATCAAAGAGTAAGAAAAAAAGCATTGGGATTTTTTGTTTTTACCTTGTGGTCCGACAACTTGAAAGAATATTCTTTTATTCCAAAGATGGTACGTGTGGGATTTTGTTCCGGAAATCAGTGCTAGGTATTTAGGTATTTGGTTGGAGAAAAGCAAACTGGTTTTTGTCTATTGATATTTAGTATATTTTATTTTTTCATGTTATCCATGACAGTGTTATGACTTAGCAAACAACAGTTACAAATAACTAAAATTGTAATTGCTCCTGCATTTCTATTTAACTCCCTCATGTATCCTGAGAAGACCTTCTTGTTTTACCTAATGATCTCTCCAACACCCCTGAACTCTCAAGAGGTAGACACTATGTGAAGGTCAATTCAAAGACAGAAACTAAAACCCCATCCACGGGTGACTCCATGGTGAATCCCTGTGGTGTCTTTTCCCGCTAACCGATGTGTATCCACCAAGCAGTTTTCTTTTTCAGTATAAATATTATACTGTTTGACATTTTAAGACACATGGTAATCAAAATCTATAGCCTTAATTAAATGATGACTTTCAGGAAATTATCATGCAAAATGGAAGTGTTAGGAAGCCGATAATAGACACACTCTCCTAAAAATGATCTCACCACATCACACCTAACCCTTCTCACCACCTTGCAGTTCACATTCCATGGGAAAAAGCTCCTCATACTTAAGAGTGTTTTACTTTCCTTTTCCCAAGTCATGGCGATTTTGAATATTCACCCTTTGCGGATATCAACACATTTCTAAAGTATACTTATCTTGATTAAAGACTGCTGAGGTCATTAAAACACTAACAAATATTTAAGATGCATTGAACATTTTGTTTTAGAATTGGCTTTTCAATCATTTCATCACAAGCAATGCTTTCCTGCCGTTTACTTACTCCTACATCTACTATCTTCTTTTGTATTGTGCTTTGTGTTTTACAGAACATTTGCTCTTTATAAAGCATCTATTTCTAGCCTAGGAAAATATCAAATGGAAAGGGGATGGGAATACCTTTGATATGTCCATTCAGCAGAACTATGTGCTGCCGGGTACAGTTGCGTGAACATATACACATCTCCACTTCCTGTGAGATAAAATTTTAAGAAGAAAATTTTCTTTAGGAATCAGTCCTCCCCCAGGCCTTATTTACAATGTCTGGCTTACTGTCAACCTGTGGGTCTGTCCACCAACCCTACAGGACCTCATATCCCTCCCTTCTCAAATGCCTACCTCTTCCCTTCCCTTCCCTTCCCCCGCCACCATCAGAAAACAGGCAGAGATATACACAGCCATCAGCTTCTCAAACTTTATTTTCATTGCCCAAGGTTGAGAGATGTAGCTTCTTGCTACTTTGCAGGTATTTCAACCATTATTTCCATGAATTCCTCCTCCTCCATTTGGAGGGGGTTGATTCTGTTCTCTCGGGCGTGGTCATTCAGCAGTTCCTCTGGAGATGTTCTTTTAAAGTTCCTCCTGTAGCGAACCACTAGTATGGTCGAGGACTCAGATGTTTTCATTTTTTTAGGAGCAGGTTGCGGGTCTGAGTCCCCAGTTGGGGTCTCCGGCATCTGTTAAGAAAGCAGGGAGAGGCCAGGAGGACATTATTTTGGGTGAACAGGATAGAGACTGGATAGCAAGGGGACTTCATGAGAAGAAGGAATGCGGGTTGAGGAAGGGGTTTGATCCAGAGAAGAAGAAGGTTGAAGCACAGAGTAGGGATCTATGGGGAAGAAGAAGAGGAGCGTGGGTAGGGTCACCTGTGAGTCCAAACTGCACCATTTTGTCAGTTCTTTGCTATTTTGCAGACCTTGGTCAAAGTGAAACATCCCATGGGGGTTCAGGCCGTGAGAAACATCCTGCCTAACCACCTGTCCGCAAGGCGGACAAAGGCCCAACTGAAGAAACATCCCTATCATATCTTGCTTGGCAGCGTTCTAAGGAACACCACAATGATATTCCACCAGAAAAAGGGCCAAACCACCTGATCATAAGAACATCTTATCAATATCCTGCCGGGCAGCAAGCCATACTGCCCAGGCCCCTCCCACCCCTACCTACAAGCACCCCAGCCTGTAAGCGGCGGTGGGCTCTGGCATTAAGCGGGCCCCCCACTTCCACAATGGTCTGCAATATTCCTGTGTTGTTGTTTGAGCCGCCCCCGCTCTGTGTGTCTTTCTTTCACCCTCGCCTTCACTTCAGAACCTAACAGTCTTACCATCTCGTTGGCCTCGTTGGAATCACAGGGGACGCTCCTCTTCACCCCGCCGGCACTGGATTGTTTGTCCATTGTATATATTGGTTCTTCAATGTCAGTGGCAGGCTTTTGTAGGTTTTGAATCTTCTCAGTGGCCCGGAGCTCTTGCCCTCCCTATGTATACCCTCCTGGTGACAAGGCAAAGCCACACCCTTGAGCTTTGTTTGATCATACAGGCAGTGTCCCAGCCAATGGCAGCCCTAGGGTGGCTTCACATCACAAAGCCCCACTGCTGACCACTCCCTGGGCTTGCGGGCGAGGGGTGACAGGGGTGTAGAGCAAACCAAATGCTGCTGTTGTTTCAGCATCCCCTGAAGATGCATCCCAAACCGATCTGCCGCCGCTCCTCATTTCTCCATGTTTAATGTTCACGGTTCACATGGAAGTCAGAGGATGATTCCTTCAAGCCCTTCCCCACAGCCATTCCTATTAAGTGATTCATTCTTTTGTCTTCCAGCCCTCACCATGACTTAGTATTTTCGATGTCTCACCTCAAATCCCCCACGCTAGTGTGGCTACATTTATTTATTGGCGGAGATGTGAATTATCCCATTTCCCTCCTACAGTTCCTTCACATGCACCTCGAAGACCATTTACTTTTGGGCTACTGCTGAGATGAATGGTAATTCTAAGTTTTTGACTAAAACAGTTATTAGAACAGAGAGTATTCTTGGATTTTTAAGGAAGAAAGTAGCTTGGACACTTAGAAATGTCTTTGTTAAAAAAAAAAAAAAAAGTACACTGTAAAACCGTCACTTGGTGTAGCCTCATAGTAATTCTCCCTTTTTGGAGACCTAGGATTCAGTGTGGGCTCTGCCCAGAGCTCAGAGATCCAGTTAAAAGACAGGTAGTCCCTATCTAAATACAACTGGTCTCCTTATACAATCCTATATTTCTACAATTTTGTGTTTGATTTGGCATCCATCTTCAATCTCCCTCTAACATCACCAGACTCTTTCTCTCGGTGCTTTGAGATGCAAATTTCACTATCTGATTTTTTTTACCTAAGGGTTCCTTTAATATGCACATTTAGGGCTATCTAGCTGACAATTGCCTAGGGCAATAAAATAGGTTATGAAGAAATTGTAAATCTAAAATACGAGGAAAAAATAAAGGCCTTAGGAATTTATAAGATCTACTTCTATCTACATGTCTAATACATCTATGTATTTATGTGTCATGGATATGACATTTCACTACTTAAAATGTAGAAAAAAGCTCTAATTAATTGGCTTAACAAAGGCACTTAAATCTAATGCTTTTCGGAAAAATAGACTTTAAGCCAAATGCTTTTTCAAGTTCATGTGACTTAAGCAAATCTTCAATAAACAAGCTGGTTTTAAAAATTTTAGTGAAATTGAATTAGAAATGGCTTTGGAATTCTCAACATACATTATTTATCTCTGCTAGATGTCAACATTTGGCATGAGGGTTCTAAAGCTATGAATGCAGCTCAAATAAGAATTATCTTTGTTTATGTAAGATTTAGTAAGTAAGGAATTTAATATTGTTTGGTTAATGAAAATAGCTAAATCCTGAGTTATTGCCAAAAAAACAAAAACAAACAAACGAACAAAAAAACGACCCTTTATCTAACCTTAATGTTCTTACTCAGGACAACCTGAAATTCACAGGTTATAAAAATGGTTAACAAGGACATAACTTTAAATGGTAACTATTACAGTTTTCATAAGTAATCTGGGTAAACTATTAGAAAATTAATTAATTACACAAATGTAACAGAATAAGTTCTTGTAGATTATCTTGTCATATAATTTAAAATCCAAAGTTATATTAAGCTAAATAATAGATATTTATTACACGTCTGGGTCATTTCCAATTTTTTTAATTATAGGATAACATTTTTCTGTAAAAAAGAAATGTGATCTTAAAGGAAAATACTTTTTGTCTAATTCGAAGCTTATTTAAAAGTTATTTATGAAATTAGGTAATCAGTGAATAAAAGCAATGTGAAGGAAGTTATGAACAGGCATTTTTGGCACAAAAGGTTAAAAGGAAAATAATTTTATCTGAGCAAGAATCTTGTATAGTAAATTTTTGTTCTAAAATAAAATAACTGGTTATTTAAGAAAAAGGAAGCCTGGGCATGGTGGCTCATGCTTGTTAATTCCAGCATTTTGGGAGGCCGAGGTGGATGGATCACCTGAGGTCAGGAGTTCGAGACCAGCCTGGCCAACGTGGCAAATCCCTGTCTCTACTAAAAATACAAAAATTAGCCAGGTGTGGTGACACGTGCCTCTAGTCCCAGCTACTCCGGAGGCTGAGGCAGGAGAATTGCTTGTACATGGGAGGCGGAGGTTGCAGGGAGCCGAGATGGCGCCACTGCACGACTCTAGCCTGGGCGACGGAGCAAGACTGTATCTCAAAGGAATAAAGAAAGAGGAAGGGATAAAACAGAAAGTCCAAGCTGTCATAAATGATTTGTATAAAGTTGTCTATAATTAAAGGGAAATTATTTATAATAGTCTTTCCAGATTTAGCTTATGATATTAAAAAAACACTAAAAAAATTCATCAGAACAATAAAATTTTCTTAAGGAGTTGATTTACTCTTAATAAATTAAAAGATTTTAATTGTTTAAACCCAAAGTTTAACTTTTATCACATCTCACCATTTTCGGTTTACTCTCCTCTTTTAAAAGGTGAAAATAATAACTCTCTCTTTCAACTCATTTTCAGCTCATATAAGTTTTTTCTTTTTTTCTCTTGTGTTCTGTTTGTTGTGGCCTCATGCTAAAAATGTTTTTTTTTCTTTTTCTTTTTTTTTTTTTTTTTTTGAGGTGAGGTCTCACTCTGTCACCCAGGCTGAGAGTGCAGTGGCACAATCTTGGCTCACTGCAACCTCCCCCTTCCAGGTTCAAGCAATTCTCCTGCCACCACGCCGGGCTAATTTTTGTATTTGTAGTAGAGACAGGGTTTCACCGTGTTGGCCAGGCTGGTCTCGAACTTCTGACCTCAAGTGATCCACCTGCTTCAGCCTCCCAAAGTGCTAGGATTACAGGCATGAGCCACTATGACAGGCCAAAAATTTTTTCTTCAAGGTCTAAAAAAGTGTTTTCTTCCATCTGTGTAACTTTCTGTATGTGCTTTTAAAGTCCTTGTGCCATTGAGTTATAGGGCTTTGACTTCTGGGTCTAAAAAGGACACCAAGTTCTGCTATATCTTAAACACTGACAGCAATTACAGCCTCATCTTCAGGCCCAGTAGAAGATGCTAATCAAAGTAAACTGCGTTCATGAGATGCAGGGCCAGAAATTAAAACTATTCAACTCCTCAAGGCCCAAGGACTATCGTGGAAGAGGTGGGCATGTGAGATTGTAAGGGCTGATATTAAGAGAAAAGTAGCTCAGTTTCTCTAGGAATTAACCATTAATATCAAAGGCACACTAAAGCAAAACCAGTATCTAGGTTGCTGTGTCAGTTTAACAAGGCTTTCTTGGAGCATTAACTCACTCCTTCATGCAAAATGATAAAGGTTACAAGGTTTATAGAAATTATATTTTATACTCAAGATGATTAAACTTTTATTATAAAATTTCAAAAAAACAAATTTCATTTGCCCATCCTGTTTTTAATTAGGGCTTATTGTTTGGGATATTAAGCCTCCTCTCTCAAAGAATAAAGATTTTCACCTTTTTTTTTTTTTCTTTTTTGAAATCTTTGAGTTACTGCTTTGGTTAAATGAATGACTTATTTTACAATGACCCATGACCCTATTTCGTGATATCAAGCATTTTAAATTTTTTATCTTTGACGAACTTTCCAAAGTCAAATTCTAACTTGATTCCTCATTAATTTTTTGATATGAGTCCTCTGAAGTCCAAAAGAGACATATTGGTCTTATTTGGTATAAAAATCATACAAGAAGCATCGTCAAATATAAAATGCTGTTTGACTTTCTTTGGGCTGTATTTATAGAAATGTCATTGATATGTGCTCCAAAATTATGGGAAACTCTTATAATTCTGAAATAACTTCTGTATGTTATTAATTATAAACTTTATGTTAAATTGTTGTATGCTACAGAAGTAACCAAAATTTACTTGTCAATGGTGGTTTTAATAATGGCCGTCCTGGCTGGGTGTGGTGGCTCACGCCTGTAATCCCAGCACTTTGGAGGCCAAGGCGGGTGGATCACGAGGTCAGGAGTTCAAGACCAGCTTGGCCAAGATGGTGAGACCCCGTCTCTCCTAAAAATACAAAAATTAGCCGGGCGTGGTGGCACAGGCCTGTAATCCCAGCTACTCAGGAGGCTGAGCCAGAGAATCACTTAAACCCAGGAGGCAGAGGTTGCAGTGAGCTGAGATCATGCCATTGCACTCCAGCCTGGGCAACAAGAGTGAAACTCCATTTCAAAAAGAGAAAAAAATATACACCCCTGATTTGAAACAAGACTAGGATACACGGTAAAGAATGTTTATTCACTAAAGTTTTGACAGACTGAAGGCCATTATTTCAGATTGGAAATAGGAAACTTGAACTACACGGACACTGGGTAAAAGAACATGGGTTGAAATTTGCCTGGCAGTAGCCCAAAAGTAAATGGTCTTCGAGGTGCATGTGAAGGAACTGTAGGAGGGAAATGGGATAATTCACATCTCCGCCAATAAATAAATGTAGCCACACTAGCGTGGGGGATTTGAGGTGAGACATCGAAAATACTAAGTCATGGTGAGGGCTGGAAGACAAAAGAATGAATCACTTAATAGGAATGGCTGTGGGGAAGGGCTTGAAGGAATCATCCTCTGACTTCCATGTGAACCGTGAACATTAAACATGGAGAAATGAGGAGCGGCGGCAGATCGGTTTGGGATGCATCTTCAGGGGATGCTGAAACAACAGCAGCATTTGGTTTGCTCTACACCCCTGTCACCCCTCGCCCGCAAGCCCAGGGAGTGGTCAGCAGTGGGGCTTTGTGATGTGAAGCCACCCTAGGGCTGCCATTGGCTGGGACACTGCCTGTATGATCAAACAAAGCTCAAGGGTGTGGCTTTGCCTTGTCACCAGGAGGGTATACATAGGGAGGGCAAGAGCTCCGGGCCACTGAGAAGATTCAAAACCTACAAAAGCCTGCCACTGACATTGAAGAACCAATATATACAATGGACAAACAATCCAGTGCCGGCGGGGTGAAGAGGAGCGTCCCCTGTGATTCCAACGAGGCCAACGAGATGGTAAGACTGTTAGGTTCTGAAGTGAAGGCGAGGGTGAAAGAAAGACACACAGAGCGGGGGCGGCTCAAACAACAACACAGGAATATTGCAGACCATTGTGGAAGTGGGGGGCCCGCTTAATGCCAGAGCCCACCGCCGCTTACAGGCTGGGGTGCTTGTAGGTAGGGGTGGGAGGGGCCTGGGCAGTATGGCTTGCTGCCCGGCAGGATATTGATAAGATGTTCTTATGATCAGGTGGTTTGGCCCTTTTTCTGGTGGAATATCATTGTGGTGTTCCTTAGAACGCTGCCAAGCAAGATATGATAGGGATGTTTCTTCAGTTGGGCCTTTGTCCGCCTTGCGGACAGGTGGTTAGGCAGGATGTTTCTCACGGCCTGAACCCCCATGGGATGTTTCACTTTGACCAAGGTCTGCAAAATAGCAAAGAACTGACAAAATGGTGCAGTTTGGACTCACAGGTGACCCTACCCACGCTCCTCTTCTTCTTCCCCATAGATCCCTACTCTGTGCTTCAACCTTCTTCTTCTCTGGATCAAACCCCTTCCTCAACCCGCATTCCTTCTTCTCATGAAGTCCCCTTGCTATCCAGTCTCTATCCTGTTCACCCAAAATAATGTCCTCCTGGCCTCTCCCTGCTTTCTTAACAGATGCCGGAGACCCCAACTGGGGACTCAGACCCGCAACCTGCTCCTAAAAAAATGAAAACATCTGAGTCCTCGACCATACTAGTGGTTCGCTACAGGAGGAACTTTAAAAGAACATCTCCAGAGGAACTGCTGAATGACCACGCCCGAGAGAACAGAATCAACCCCCTCCAAATGGAGGAGGAGGAATTCATGGAAATAATGGTTGAAATACCTGCAAAGTAGCAAGAAGCTACATCTCTCAACCTTGGGCAATGAAAATAAAGTTTGAGAAGCTGATGGCTGTGTATATCTCTGCCTGTTTTCTGATGGTGGCGGGGGAAGGGAAGGGAAGGGAAGAGGTAGGCATTTGAGAAGGGAGGGATATGAGGTCCTGTAGGGTTGGTGGACAGACCCACAGGTTGACAGTAAGCCAGACATTGTAAATAAGGCCTGGGGGAGGACTGATTCCTAAAGAAAATTTTCTTCTTAAAATTTTATCTCACAGGAAGTGGAGATGTGTATATGTTCACGCAACTGTACCCGGCAGCACATAGTTCTGCTGAATGGACATATCAAAGGTATTCCCATCCCCTTTCCATTTGATATTTTCCTAGGCTAGAAATAGATGCTTTATAAAGAGCAAATGTTCTGTAAAACACAAAGCACAATACAAAAGAAGATAGTAGATGTAGGAGTAAGTAAACGGCAGGAAAGCATTGCTTGTGATGAAATGATTGAAAAGCCAATTCTAAAACAAAATGTTCAATGCATCTTAAATATTTGTTAGTGTTTTAATGACCTCAGCAGTCTTTAATCAAGATAAGTATACTTTAGAAATGTGTTGATATCCGCAAAGGGTGAATATTCAAAATCGCCATGACTTGGGAAAAGGAAAGTAAAACACTCTTAAGTATGAGGAGCTTTTTCCCATGGAATGTGAACTGCAAGGTGGTGAGAAGGGTTAGGTGTGATGTGGTGAGATCATTTTTAGGAGAGTGTGTCTATTATCGGCTTCCTAACACTTCCATTTTGCATGATAATTTCCTGAAAGTCATCATTTAATTAAGGCTATAGATTTTGATTACCATGTGTCTTAAAATGTCAAACAGTATAATATTTATACTGAAAAAGAAAACTGCTTGGTGGATACACATCGGTTAGCGGGAAAAGACACCACAGGGATTCACCA
This sequence comes from Homo sapiens, assembly GCF_000001405.40. Taxonomy (NCBI): domain Eukaryota; kingdom Metazoa; phylum Chordata; class Mammalia; order Primates; family Hominidae; genus Homo; species Homo sapiens. The sequence continues at coordinate 141,591,655 of NC_000023.11, forward strand.
TGGAGTCACCCGTGGATGGGGTTTTAGTTTCTGTCTTTGAATTGACCTTCACATAGTGTCTACCTCTTGAGAGTTCAGGGGTGTTGGAGAGATCATTAGGTAAAACAAGAAGGTCTTCTCAGGATACATGAGGGAGTTAAATAGAAATGCAGGAGCAATTACAATTTTAGTTATTTGTAACTGTTGTTTGCTAAGTCATAACACTGTCATGGATAACATGAAAAAATAAAATATACTAAATATCAATAGACAAAAACCAGTTTGCTTTTCTCCAACCAAATACCTAAATACCTAGCACTGATTTCCGGAACAAAATCCCACACGTACCATCTTTGGAATAAAAGAATATTCTTTCAAGTTGTCGGACCACAAGGTAAAAACAAAAAATCCCAATGCTTTTTTTCTTACTCTTTGATATGTACAATTGAAGGTATTCCTCATTGCAAACTACTATTTCCACCCAGCACGAGACATTAAAGAATTTTTCATATTTAGGATAGTAATACGGGATCACATTCTTTAGCCTTAGGCATTGCAGAGGAAAAACAAACAAAACCAAACCAAAACTAAGCTGAGAGAGGCGGAGCAAGAAAAGCAGAATAGAAGGCTGCCCAGATCAGCCCCCTCGCAAGGACACAAATTTAACAACGATCCACACAGTAGAAAACACCTCCATAAGAACCCAAAATCAGGGGAACTCTCATAGTACCTGGCGGTATCACTGAAAGAGGCACTGAAGAGTTAGAAGAAACAGTCTTAAATCGCTGACCCCACCCCTTCCCTATCCTAGGCAGTGGCAGTATGGTGTAAAGAGCATCTCTGGAAGCTGGACGAGCAAGAGCAGAGCAGTTGTGGGTCGCTGACCTCGGTGCTGTCTCTTACAGGAGAAAGGAAAACCAGACCAAACTTAGCTGACTCCCATCTGGGAAGGGAGCATTGAAACCACCTCTAGCCAGAGGGAAATTACCCATCCCAGGAATCAGAACTTGAGTTTCTGCAAACCTTGCCACCAAGGGCTAAGAAACGGTTCCAGGTTTCTCAGACAACCTTAAAGGCAGTCTAGGCCATAAGATCTCTAACTCGTAGGTGAGTTCTAGCATAGAATTGGGCCCAGAGGCAGTGGATTGTGGCGGGTATGTGGAGGGGTGCACATGACCTCCTGAGATACCAGCTGGGGCAGCCAAGTGAGTGCTGGTGTCACCCCTGCCCTAGCCCCAGACTGCCCAGCTAGCGGCTCCATAAAAGACCCCCTCCTTCCACTTGAGGAGATGGAATAGTGAGGAGCGTTTTTTTTCTTGCATCTTGAATACCAGCTCAACTACAGCGGGACAGGGCACCGGTCGGGGTTGTGAAGCCCCTGCTCCAGGCACTCGCTCCTGGATAACATTTCTAGACACACCCTAGGCCAGAAAGAAACCTGCTGCCTTGAAAGAAATGAAAAGAGAACACCTATACACTGTTTATGGGAATGTAACTTAGTTCAGCCATTGTAGAAAGCAGTTTGGTGATTTCTGCAAGAACTTAGAAATACCATTCATCTCAGCAATCACATTACTGGATATATACCCAAAGGATATATATCATTCTACCATTAAGACATACGCATGCGTATGTTCTTCACAGCACTATTCACAATAGCAAAGATTTTGAATCAACCTAAAGGCCCATCAGCAGCAGACTGGATAAAGACAATGTGGTACATAAACAGCACGGAATACTATGCAGCCATAAAAAAACGAGATCATGTCTTTTGCAGCAACATGGATGGAGCTGGAGGCCATTACTCTAAGCGAACTCACGTGGGAACAGAAAATGGAATACCACCTTTTTCCATTTATAAGCAAGAGCTAAACATCGGTATACATGGACACAAAGAAGGGAACAACAGACACCCGTGTCTACTTGGGGGTAAAGGATGGGGAGGAGGGTGAGGGTTGAAAAGCTACCTATCAGCTATTATGCTGATTACCTGGGTGATGAAATAATGTGTACACCAAACCCATGTGACACGCAACTTCCCTTTATAACGAGCCTGCACATGTACCCCTGAACCTAACATAAAAGTTAACAAAAATTTAAAAATAAAATAATAAAAAATTAAGAAGTCTCACAGAGGTAGAGCGTAGAATGGTGGTGACTAGGGGCTCGGTGGTGGTGGCTGGAAAGACATTGCTCAAAGGATACCAAATTTCTGTTAGACTGAAGGAATAAGCTGCAGAGATACATTGTACGACACGGTGACTACAGGTGATCATAATATGTTGTATTATTGATAAATGCTAAGAGAGTAGATGGTAAGTGTTCTCAATACAAAATGATAACTTTGTGGGATGATGCATATGTTAATTAGCTATATTTATTCATTCTACAATGTATATACTTCAAACATTAGATACATGATAGACACATTCCATTTTATCTGTTCAGTTTAAAATAATAAAAATAAAGAAGAAAGACATGTCCAAGTGTTCTGCCTGGGAAGATGGGCCTGAGAGAGTCTTACATAGTTAATCATGTACTATGTTTTTCTGTGCAGGACAGCAGAGGGAGAGGGGCTACCTGAGAGCAGCACATAGTCACTAAATGGCCTATAACAGCTCTACTTCCTTTCTTGAAGAATCAGAATGGTGAAAGAAACCAGTTTGATGTTTCTCATGCCCCTAAGAAGGACACTAAAGTGTTTTAAAGAGAGTTGGATCTGAAGGTGCCCTGTGGTTGGGCTTGAGGGATGACATGAAAATGTTCTGCATGAATCAGCCATTTAGGGCCAGATGGGATGATACGCATCTCAGGAGATGTTCGATGGATACAACATTGGGAAATTCTGAGATTCTGAATTGATTAAGTGTGAGACTCATGCATATTAAGTGCAATTACATAAAATGGCATTGCATTTCTCATTCGGCCAAGCATTGTAACCAGGTATATTCATGTGCCAGCTGTTTCAATAAAAAGTGGTATCTCTCACAACCATTTGCATTCCAATACAATTTTCTGAATGTAAGAGAAAGAGATATAGTTATAACCAAGGTGTTCATCAATGAGAATAGTTTGCATCTCATCTTCTCTATTCTGCAGAAAGGCCCTTGAAGAGCATATTGCATCATTTTCTTCATGGCCAAGAAAATCAAGAATCACTGATCTGGCCAGGTGCAGTGGCTCATGCCTGTAATCCCAGCACTTTGGGAGGCCGAGGCGGGCGGATCACCCGAGGTCAGGAATTTGAGACGAACCTGGCCAACATGGTGAAACCCTGTCTCTGCTAAAATACAAAAAAAAAATTAGCTGGGCGTGGTGGCGGGCGCCTGTAATCCCAGCTACTGGGGAGGCTGAGGCAGGAGAATTGCTTGAATCCAGGCAGTGGAGGTTGCAGTGAGCCGAGATCGTGCCACTGCACTCCGGCTTGGGTGACAGAGCCAGACTGTCTCAAAACAACAAAAACAAAAACAAGAAATCACCGATCCATTTGAAAGTCAGCAAATATTTTGTCATTGACTAAATATAGACCCTAGAGAGTGATCCCCATACACCACACTACAACTTAAGACTGATTCTATTTCTTAAGCATCCTTTGGAGGTCATCACGTTTTTGAACTCTTGTAATAACAGGGGACTTGAACTCATTTCAGACAGCAAACCTCGTCCTGTGTTATCTTATGCTCTGGGAGGAATCTAAAAGACAAGGAAGTAAGGAAGAAAGAAAGGAAGGAAGGGAGGGAGGAAGGAAGGGAGGGAGGGAGGGAGGGAGGGAGGGAGGGAGGAAAGGAGAAGAGGAGAGAAGAGAGGAGACGAGCTTAAACCCAAATTGGTAGAAAGCTTCACAAGTCTGAATACTTAACAAGTTAAATTAAGTAGCTAAAGATGTTTTTGAAAATCATCTGAGCAAACAAAAAATGATTCTGAAAAATATTTGGTAATGTAATAATGACAATGGGTTATTTCTTCTATCCTTGATCTCCTACAAATATATTTTAAGCCAGATCATGTTTTTCCTTTGATGAAAACTCCACAGAGTTTTCATCTTCATGAAAATAAAATCCAAATTCCTAATAAGGCCGTACATGATGTGGGCACCTATTACCTCTCTGACATTAATACTTATTCTTCTCATGAATCACTCTGCTTCTATCACACTCCCCAATCTGTGACTCTTGTAACTCACCATGCATGTGATTCCTCTAACCTGCCATCCATATCACGGTCTTTGCATACTTCTGCCTGGAAGCTTCTTCTCTAAAATATCCACTATGTATCCTAATTTTCTTTTCTTTTCTTTTTCTTTCCTTTTTTTTTTTTTTGAGATGGAGCCTTGCTTTGTCGGCTAGCCTGGAGTGCAGTGGTGCACTCTCGGCTCTCTGCAACCTCCACCTCCTGGTTTCAAGCAATTCTCCTGCCTCAGCCTCCTGAGTAGCTGCGATTACAGGCGCCTGCTACCACGGCTGACTAATGTTTGTCGTTTTAGTATAGATGGGGTTTCATTGGTTGGCCAGGCTGGTCTTGAACTCCTGACCTCGTGATCCGCCTGCCTTCGCCTCCCAAAGTGCTGAGATTACAATCGTGAGCCACCACGCCCGGCCTGTGTATCCGAATTTTCTTAAGGTCACTAGTCAGAAGTCACTTTATTGGAAAGGCTATCCTCCATTTAATGGTGAAGACATTAAATGGTACTTGTACTTCTTTCCAAAAAAATGATACTTTTATCAGTTATTTTACTACAGTACCTGGAACATGTAAACTTGCAAGCAATATTTGGTGAATGAAATATTTGGTTAACCTGAATTTAGTATTGCAGTCTTCATTACTAGAAAGCATTTACATGTTTTAACTGTCAGGGAGCAACACTGGTAAGTTATTAATTCCCTATCAATAAAATGGATAGAGTACTATTCATGCTACATGTTCTCACAGTTGTGGCAAGGGTTATTAAATTGCCAACTGTAGTACTAAACTTATATTAATGTTGTACTCATTAGTATTACTCTTGTTATGTTCAGAGGAAATATGGAATAAAAGTAAGATCATGGGCCTGGTTCAAATCTGAAATTCTGCTACGTCCTAGTCGGGTGATGTAGGTCAAGTTTCTTAACTCCTCTGAGTCTTAGATTCTTCGTATGAAAAATGGAAAAAATGCTAGCACCTACTTCTCAGGATTGTTTTGAAAAACAAATTAATTAATATATTTAAGCTTTTAGCACAGAGCCTAGTACATAGTGTATGTTCAGTAATTACAAACTATTACTAGTGAGTATAATAGGATGTGAAAATTCATGACATCAAACAACTAGAACCGAGATTTATATATATACACACACACACACACGCAGACATATGTGTACACACACACACACACACACACACACACACATTTTTTTTTGCAACAGAGTCTAGCTCTGTCGCCCAGGCTGGAGTGCAGTGGCGTGATCTCGGCTCACTGCAACCTCTGTCTCCCGGGTTCAAGCAATTCTTCTGTCTCAGCCTCCTGAGCAGCTGGGACTACAGGTGCGTGCCACCATGCCCGGGTAATTTTTTGTATTTTTAGTAGAGATGGGGTTTCACCATGTTAGCTAGGATGGTCTTGATCTCCTGACCGTGTGATCCACCTGCCTCACCCTCCCAAAGTGCTGGGATTACAGTGTGAGCCACCACGTCTGGCCAGATTTTTGCAATAGAGAAAGCATTGGACATCATTTTATCATAGAATATTAAAGCTGGAAGAGACCATAGGATCATAGGAACCCACAGTCTCTTGCAAGAATCCAGGTCTCCAAACTCAGAAACATGCTGATTGTTCCTTCCTGAAAATGCACATTCGGCATGGCATAGCTTTTGCAATCAGTGACGATACCAAGGCATCAGGGGCTAGAGGCTTAGGACATCACTGACAAAGCAGGAGTATTGCCATCTTGAACAAGCTCTGTCATTTTAAAATTCACCTTAATCAAAAACCGCCAAAATCCAAACGGCATCAGCCTAATGGCTAAGGTCAGCATGACCATAAACCGCAAATAACATCTCCAACCAGAAACATTCCAGACTCCTCCCCGACCAGAGACAAGCTAGCCCCAAGATAACCCCACCCTGGCCAGGAAGATGCCAGCCCCAAGATAACCTCCTCCCCTCCACCCAGAGGCGTGGTCTCGGCTCACTGCAACCTCTGCCTCCTGGGTTCAAGCCATTCTCCTGTCTCAGCCTGCCAAGTAGCTGGGACTACAGGCGCTTGCCTCCGCACCTGGCTAATTTTTGTATTTTTAGTAGAGACAGGGTTTCACTATGTTGGCCCAGCTGGTCTCGGAACTCCTGACCTCAAGATCCGCCCACCTCGGCCTCCCAAAGTGCTGGGATTACAGGCGTGAGCCACCGTGCCCAGCCGCGTTCATGTTTTGCTCTTCATAAATTTTGTTTTCCTGGAAAAGGTTTTTTCCTGGTCGACTAAATTACTTTTTCTCCACTCTGTCTTGCCACTCTTGGTGCATGTATGAAAGACCCTGAAATGACTCCTGGTGGCCTGGGACTCCTTGGGAAAACAAAAAAGGTGCCACAAATCCCGTTTTGGGAAAAACCTCTGTTTTCCTTATGAAACCCCTAGACTTAAAGATAAATAAGTACCTCTCAAAGATCTGTCTTTGTCTTCCAACTGTACTTGTTCATTAGGCCCTAGAAACTGCTTTCTTAGCCCTGTTCTTAAAAGGCCTCACCCGAAGGCCAATAATCCAATTGGAAAATTAGCAGAAAAAAAATCTCATAACTACTCAATCTTCTTCTGATTGTCTGTGTGGCTATATATGTTTTATGTGTGCGATGTCTATTAAAAGAACTCTAATTAACTGGCCAAAAAAATAAGCACTTAAATCAAATATTTTTAAGGGAAAAGTAAAAGCTGTGGGACCTTTCAGTTCTCGTAATTTTAATCTTTAGAACTTACCGGTACAGCAAAGTTAAAAGTTGAGTTGAAAGTCGTTAAGAGGTGCCAGCGTACGTTTTTATTTGCATTTATTAATCAAGCAATTTCATACTTATGGCTGCAAAATACTATAAGGTGTCAACATTTGGCACAGAGGCTACAAAACGACAACTCAGCCCAAACAAAATAATCTTTGCTTGTGTAATTTTTTCAATAAATAAAGCATGAATATTGGTTTAACGAAGATAGCTATATCTTTAACTATTTAGTAAAATATGCTAACTTCTAACCTTGTGGCCTTAGGCAGTCTAGTCCACAGACATGAAGGAAATTTGTTTTGGGAAAGAACTGTTATCATCTTTAATATTAAAGAAAAGATAATTGGTATAAGAAAGAATCTCACATGGTAAATTTTTGTCCTAAAGTAAATTAACTGTTGTTTAAAAAAAGGGATGACTTTACAACAAGTCAGAAAGGTAAGGCATGTCAGAAATTGTCTGTGAAAGTCGTGAAGAATTTTATAAAAGGGAATTTGTGCAAGAAATGTCGCACAATTTAAAAGTAATTCGGCCTCCTGAATGCTGTATACAATTTCACTCTAACTCTTAGCTGTACAGCTTGCCTGCTTTGCAGCTGAATAAACCCTAGGACACATGGAGTTAAATGCTGGAATAAGCCAGACCTTCTTCGCACTTCCGTCTGGGTCCTAGGCCCTACACCTAGTGCGTAATTAGATTCCCAGACTTACCAAGGTTTTCATCAAAAGTAAAGGTTGCTAAAAGTTAGCAGTGTAACACGTATTTAAAACTACCGAAGAAATAGTTTATGAGCAAGGTGTGTAAGGAAAGTAAAATATACTTTTGGTAAAAAGATTATAAGGAGGCCTAAGAATGTGGATTTTTGCCTACATTAAAAGGTTAAAAAATTGTTTTAAAGGTTTAAGCAAGTTTTGGAAGGTTAATTGTAAAGAAAATTTCGTGTGTGTACATACTGGCTAAAGTTAAAGGGGTATCATTCAGGTTTTCTGTAAATCGAGCATTAAAATAAAAGCACAATGGGTTTCTGTTAAAGCACTAACCTGCTCTTTAACAAAAAGTATAAACGGTTAAAAAGGGTCTATAAAAACCTTACCTTCCGGTCAAACATGAACATTGGGTAAATGCGTCTACAAGGTTTTATGAAAAATGGAGCTTAACATTAATAGCACACTAATACAATGGTAAAATTTGGCTTATTTGATATAAAATCATACAGGAAGCATTGTCAAATATAAAATGGTATTTGGCTTTCTTTGGGCTATAGTTGTATAAATATGCTATTGGGATGTGTTCCAAAGTTATGGCAGATTCCTATCATTCTAATATATCTTAGTGTACGTTATCACTAATAATTATAATTGTTTTGTTAAAATTATTGTGTGCCACAGAGGTAACGGATATCTTTGTCAACTGTGTCTTTAACTATGGCTACCCTAAAACTTTTTGTCATCCATAAACAATTGTTGTCTTGTTTTAGTCCTCTTCAAAGGGTGGTTTTCTAATCAGCTATAAAGCTCTGATTGCAGGTTTCTGATAAAAAGCAGGACAGGAATTAACTGCATAAACCAAACTAATAGGAAACTAATCTGTTTAATGTTTTGCTTAAAATATTGCTATCCCTTTGTTTTACCTTTCAAAGTCAAAGAAACTTTTTTTAAGCGATTAACAGCTTTTAACTGTTAACTGCTAACTCCCATATGTATGGGAGTTAACTGTTCACTTTTAACTGTTTAACTTTTAACTGTTAACTCCCATCAACAAAATTTGGAGGATACTTGTTTCTCTCTACCTGATTCTCTCCAAAATTTGGAAACTATCTATGAGTATTCTTAAGTTATGGCAATATAGTTATTTGCATAAATACAACAAGAATCTGTTTTCTTTTGTAACGGGACACGATTGGAAAAACTGGTTATTCTTACCAAGGCTTTAACTGGAATGGTGTGCTTTTCCTTTAAGGAATCCAGCTTTAACTTATAAAGCCAATAAAGCCCTTGAAAAACTGGCCTCATATTTTGTGTACACAGTCCCCGTACAGGGTTTGTGATCTGTGGTAAACAGAACATGTCACTTTCTAACAGGCCAGGAACCCTAAGTTATCTTGAAACATCAAGAGGAGAGGAATTCACCCAACTCATAGGTATTTAATGGTACAAATCCATGGCTGGGCTTGGCTTTAAAAAGTCTTTTATCTCAGATTGCTTCTACAAAACCAAATTCCACCAAAGCCCATTTAAAAGGCCTATGTAACAAATAATTATTCTTGCAGCACTGTATGCAAATAAGTAAGCCAAGTATCCTAAAGCAAACCTACCATAATTTGTCTTTTAATAAAAATGGGAAAGTGGAGAGAGGAAATTATGTTTCCAAAACTATGACACCCCTCTTGTTAAATTCTAGAGTTGCCTGATGTTTTTCAGTTATTATTTGCTACTGTTTAAATTAAGTTCTAATTTTTCTGACTACAAGACTTCAAAATAAGCTGTGCTTTCTTAAAGCCCTATAAACTGGAAACTAGATGTTTCAGCAGGCACTGCCTCTAAGCCCCCTAACCCTCACAGGAGCAAATAAAGAAATAGGAAATCGTAAGCTAAAAATCATAAAAAATAAATAACCGAGAAAGAATTGCTCGTCTTACTCAGTCTCACCCCTACCTCACCAAACACTTTTGTCATTCCTATCTCTCCTTTCAAGCCAAATATTACAACTTTTTAATGGAAATTATTGACTACACCACCCTTGTGGAAACTGCTTTACTCACTCTACTATTTGCAGTAAAACTATATACTGTAGCACCCTCAGGGTAAAATGTCAGACAAAAACAATCTCAATTACTGTAGCATTTTGCTTAATTATTAGCCTCTTAGCAGGAATAACGCTTACTAACAGAAACTAACACATGGGCCTTTCCAAACATGTGCTTCTACCTCTCATTAGGTAAGGAATATTGTTTCTTTATCAACCAATCAGGCCTAGTAAAAAAACGCTGCTAAAACAAACATAAAGAAAAGGCTAAAAAGGTAAGGGAGTACCAAAACAACCAAATAAGTTCTTGGTTTGGGAACACAATCATAGCATGGGCCATCCTATTTCTGGGCCCTCTCCTAATAATATGCCTGGGGCTAATTTTCTTACCCTGCCTAATTAAGCTTTTTCAGAAAATTTTAACTAACAGGATCACGGCCATTTCACAGACAACTACCCAAAAACATCTACAGACGGCATTGCTCCTACTGTCAACCCAAAGCCAAAAAACTCTCCGTCCCCTCGTCAGCAGGAAGTAGCCAAAAAGAACACGCTGCCCCTTGTCCTTTTTATAACTATAGGGTCTGGATTGACAAAGCAGGAGTATCGCCATCTTGAACAAGCACTGTCATTTTAAAAGTCACCTTAATCGAAAACTGCCTAAATCCAAAGGGCATTAGCCTAATGGCTAAGGTCAGCATGAGCATTAACCACAAATAATATCTCCAATCGTAAATATTCCAAACTCCTCCGCGACCTGAGACATGCTGGCCCCAAGATTTAAATGTGCTGTCTGGCTTTTGGAGCAAAAAGCAGACACTGTTTTTTTCATAGTTTAAGTTCTAGGGTACACGTGTACAACGTGCAGGTTTGTTACATATGTATACATGTGACATGTTGGTGTTCTGCACCCATTAAGTCGTCATTTACATTAGGTATATCTCCTAATGCTGTCCCTGCCCCTGCTTCTACCCCACAACAGGTCCCGGTGTGTGATGTTCCCCACGCTGTGTCCAAGTGTTCTCATTGTTCAGTTCCCACCTATGAATGAGAACATGTGGTGTTTTGTTTTCTGTCCTTGTGATAGTTTGCTGAGAATGATGGTTTCCAGCTTCATCCATGTCCCTACAAAGGACATTAACTTATCATTTTTTATGGCTGCATAGTATTCCATGGTGTATGTGTGCCACATTTTCTTAATCCAGTCTATCATTGATGGACATTCGGGTTGGTTCCAAGTCTTTGCTATTGTGAATAGTGCTGCAATAAACATACGTGTGCATGTGTCTTTATAGCAGCATGATTTATAATCCTTTGGGTATATACCCAGTAATGGGATCGCTGAGTCAAATGAAATATAACTATGAGAAAGTAGTTATATTTCTAGTTCTAGATCCCTGAGGAATCGCCACACTGTCTTCCACAATGGTTGAACTAGTTTACAGTCCCACCAGCAGTGTAAAAGTGTTCCTATTTCTCTACATCCTTTCCAGCACCTGTTGTTTCCTGACTTTTGAATGATCGCCATTCTAACTGGTGTGAGATGGTGTCTCATTGTGGTTTTGGTTTGCATTTCTCTGATGGCCAGTGATGATGAGCATTTTTTCATGTGTCAAAAAGCAGAGACTTTTATAAGGTAAGGGAGAAATGAGCAAGGGGAGGGGTCCTCCCTGCTACTGGGCAGTTATCTACTGTGCAGTTGTCCAAGTGGACATGCTTTTGGCATATCTTCTCGAGGTGAAACCCTGGAGATGGGAGTTCCAAGGGGACATGCTTTGATCTGCAAATAGGCTGTAAACTCTCGAAGAGAGATCCAGAGCACCCAGATGAACTTGCGCTGCAGAGAATGTCTGATGAGGGAGAGGTGAGAGTTTATTTTGCATTTCAAAAAGCACTGAGTAGGAAGTAAAGGGAAAGGGCAAAAGAGAAAAGAAAGCCATTAAACTATCTCTTAGAAAAATGGGGGCACTTGGTTACAAAAAGAGTCAGAAAAGTTCTTATTTCTTAGTTTTCTTATTGTCAACACTTTTATTTTACACGCAGAGCGTCCACCATTTTCCCATAAGTATTATTTTTTTTCTTATGAATGTTGTACCTTGTATGAATTTTATATCCTACCTTGCAATTTAATTTGATTTGGCTCTCTTTTGGCCCAAACCTAGACTATAATCATTCAGCACTAGTAGTATGCATACCTTCATCGTATAATCCTCATCTAACCTTCATGTTTTCCATCATTTAAGAATAAGAACAAGATACAATATGTGCAATTAAATAAAGAAAACTATTTTCTTTGTTGTTGTTGTTCTAGCCAAAGGAGCCTGGGATTTTTCAATGATAGCAATTCAGATGACTTGTAGCTGCAAAGACTGACTCCAAACTTTTAATGTAAAAAAGTCTTTGAGGATATTTTTCTATCAAAACATCAGTGAATAAATTTCTGTGTAGAAGTCCATAATACCACCTAACTCTTTGATATCGTTTGAATAGACACTTGTACCATTCTCCCATAGGTAGACATTTGAAATGAGAATAAAACTTTGGCTCAGTGGAGAAATTTTATTATTCAAATTCAAGGTGATTTGATGATGAGATCGAAATGTACAGCATATTAATTTGGTTTCATCACAAAGTTATGTGAAAACCCAATGTTTCAACATTTTTTCATAAAAAAAGTGTCACCAAGTACAATATTGATGTTACTGTTCCTTTTTAATCATAGAGGTGGTTAATTAAAATACCAAATCGGAGTTTTCATTTTGGGTTACAAATGGGTTTCTGAAAATGTCCCGTATGTTTATGAGATCATTTAAAAAACCATACATATTTGAGTATAAACTTCTTCAACAATATGTATTGATTATCAATTATGTGGTACTCATTATGCTAGAAAATATGTATACAATGTTGAACAAAATAGACATGGTTCTCATACTTCTTATAATTGTTAAAATAGATATTAATAAGTCAATTACATAAGTATTTTATTATAATCTAAAACAAATTTTATTAAGGCCAAGAACATGATTACATGGAACACATTATAAAGGACCCTAACCTAGACTAGGGAGAAAGGTTGTCCAGGGGAAATTTTCTGCAGGATCGTTACTTGAGCTGAGACCGAGAATATCAGTAGGCTTTAATTAGGTAAAGGGCATAGATGTATGAGAACATGCCAGAAGAAAGCAGTATGTATAATAACTGTATAGCAGGAGAGACTGATACTTTAAAGGCACCAAAATCAGGCTAGAGGGACTGGAGTGTAGAGGGTGAGGATGAGAATGCTGCTAGACATCGCTGGAAAAGTATGGGGAAGTCATACCATACAGAGCCTTGTAGGTCATGTTAAGAATTTTAGTTATTTATTCATGAGAAGTGAGAAACTGATGACTTTTATGCATGCAGTTTGGCATGCTCAATTTTGTGTTTTGAAACACTCTGGTTGCAGGAGGGTAAGTAGATTGAAGTATCCAGAGTAGACGCAAGGAGATCAGTTAGGAGGTTATTTCAGTTGACTAAGGGAAAAATAATGGTAGCTTTAGTTAGACTTGTAACAATGGAGACAAAGGGAAAGACAGGTTAAAAAATTATCAAGGAGGGAACCTTGACAGACTTGATAATGGATTGGAAATGTGTGGCAAGAAAAAGTTTCAAGAATGACTGAGGTTTTTGAGTAGTACTACTTAATGGGAATGATACAGAGACGTTAAAGACTTCTGGATAGGACACTTCTATTTTAAAAAAAGGATCAGAATTCATTTGGAAACAGAGGTTATAGTATAAGGAAACCAAGACCGTTCCAAAATTCTACAAATAATTTATAGTCCACATATCTGCTGTACGAAAGGACTAAAATGTTGCTATCTTGTAAATGTCATGCATTGCCAAGTGAATTGTCTTGTAGGTTAAAATCGTTAATCATTATTAACCTATTTATTCATAAGTCACGTTGATTGCACTGTAGAAAAAAACTTTTTTTTTTGAGATGGAGTGTCGCTTTTTTTGCCCAGGCTGGAGTGCAGTGGCGCGATATGGCTCACCACAAGCTCCGCCTCCCAGGTTCAAGTGATTCTCCTGCCTCAGCCTCCCGAGTAGCTGGGATTACAGGCATACGCCACCACGCCCGGCTAATGTTGTGGTTTTAGTAGAGAAGGGGTTTCTCCATGTTGGTCAGGCTGGTCTTGAACTCCCGACCTCAGGTGATCTGCCCGCCTCGGCCTCCCAAAGTATTGGGATTACAGGCGTGAGCCACCGTGCCTGGCCACAAAACTTTTATATTTATCTCCTTTCCTCCATCTTCTTTCTTCTTTTGTTACATCTGTATCTTCCTTCATTTTCTTTCCTTTCTTCCTTCCTTCCATTTTTACTTCATTTTATCCTTCCTTCTTTCCTCTCTCTCTCTCTCCACATATTTATGGAGGATTTACTAGGAATCATGCATTATGCCAGGCACTAGAGAAAATATGGCAAATCAAATGTATTTGTTGTCTTCATGAAGTTTAAAATCTATCAGGGTAGACATTTTAAAACAGACAGTAAGAAAGAAAGATTTGATTATATCTGTGATAAGTAGCATATAGAACCTTGTAGGTCTAATAAATAAGTAAAATCGATAGGATGCAATGAGAGCTGTAACCAGCATGTTTGGTCACTTGGGTACAAAGAGAAGATGGCTACCTATGTATTGAAATAGCCCATTGGCTTTTGAACTGTGTTTCCTGAAGAAATAACAAAATGGACCATCATCTCCACAACAGGCCTTAACATGGAAAAAATATTTTGTGCTATAATTGTCAGCTCCTGTATTTTCTCTTTTCTGGAATGAGTAATTACAATTCTAGACAAAAGCTGGGATGCCTAAACTATGCTCTGGAATTTACTGAGATGTATAATGTTTCATTGTCATAATCCCTAAATAATCACCTGCTGGAAATGGCCCTGTTTTAGAAATAGTATCTTAATGTAATAGCATTGGGAGACTAGAATTGTCCCTTTGTTTTTGGTTATATTTTAAACCTTATAAGTTTATTATATTATGCATGTAAGCACTTAAAACTGTGATCTGTTATATTAAGTAAAGCCTTTTAGATCTTATTGCATCCATACCTGTGTATACAGTTGTTTTGCTTGAAAGAGGATAGCATAATTTGCCAGCTGACATGAACTTTATGTAGGAATGTTACCTTCTGATATAAGTGGACAAATCTTAATTAAGAAACATGGAGTGATCAGAGAGGGCCACTCAACATGTCTCAGCATTTTGCGTTTACCATCATCTGCCCTTTTAAGTCCCATCTGTGTTCTGTGGGGCCCAAGCACTCGAGAAAGCCGAGGCATTGGCTTAGCCTCCTTCACCTGAAATGCATTCATTGCTAAGTTCTCTGTGCACACGGCTTCCAGATTGTGCACTCACATCTGGACACAGAGGAGATCTGTTGCCCTGAGTGTAGAGGACAAAAGACCCACGACTCCACGACAAGCTCTCCCATCACATTCCTGGTGACCTCACCTAGACTCAGGCTTAAGCACCAAGGGATTGGACAGGTGGAGTCAGGCCTGTTTAGGACCTGTGGGCCACAGAAACACAGGTAGTTGGGATTGTTGGGCTGAGGTTGGAAGGCAGGGACAGAATAAAAATATGACTGTCTGAAGATGAGCCAAGTGGAAGCACTTCTAATACGTTTATTCCAGGAAGGAAGAAGCTGTCTAAAATCTGCATAAATAGAGTGACCCAGTTCAATGGTAGTCAATTAGAGGCCCTAATTGCAATGTCATCCCCAGCTCCACCCTGCTCCAGGTACCTTCTCCGGCCCTGACTGCATTTTTCATCCTGGCTCTGTGGGCCCCAATGTAACCTGCTGCCCCCTCAGCCCCGGCCAAAAACTCAGCCCCAATTACTTCCTTAGCTTTAGCTGCCTCTTGGCTTTAACCTCCTATTTGTCCCTTATCTTTCAGCTCTGTTTCCCACTCTGCCTCATTGACCCCAACTACCTTCTCAGGCCTGGCCCATTAGTGTCCAGTGGCCCCAGGCCCACAGGCCCTGTAGGCCTCAGCCACCCCAAGTGGAGGGAAGGACCCAATAAGCATTTTTGAAGTCAAGGAGAGAAGAAAAAAAAGAATTTCAATTTTTAACTTTTTTTGATCAACATACAATTGTTTCTTTGAATGCAGTCTTCTGTGCGACTGGACCTTGAGGCCAGAAGGTGACCTTTATATGGGTTATATAGTTTTATGCCCCAGGGTGAGGTGAAATCAGTGTCTTTGGGAAATACATTTTGTTCACTTTATGCTGTATACCTGCCTCATAGCCCAGAAACATTTCTCCCTTTCGTTCACACAGTTCTTGCAGCAATTTGAAGGGAATAAAATGGTGCCAGGAAAGTATCTTTAATTAGATGTAGGGTAAGAAAAAAAAGTTTTAACTGGAAGAGCACCACTCCTGTGTTCCCCATCAGCCATGTTTTACTTGCAGCTCTTCATAAGTTGTGCAGGTGTAACTTAGTGAAAGCCTGCTGTACATTATGAATTGCATTAAAGATTTTTTTAAAGCCTTGTTGAACTTTACATTTATGCATATAAAATCTTTCAAATGACAAGCCTCTGTTCTTTATCCATAAACAGAAATAATTTTTTTTGAAACTATCGAGTTTCTAAGAGATTTAAAACCCCATTAACTTTTCAGCAAATATATTCAGCTCTTCAAATTGCACTGAAATATTTGGCTGTGCAAATACAGATGCCACAGACAAAGCCAACTGAGATGGGAGCAAGGGTGCAAATAGCAATCATACTTCCCTAGGTATCTTGATGAGATTCTTAATTCAATACAGTCCATGTTGTGCTGGAAACAGCTTGCATGTGGAATTCAAAGGTCCCAATATTGCACATTTTCATTCCCATTCTTTTCAAGAGGTGAAAGATTTCATGATTTTGCATTACTTTATATGCTTTAATTGTGTTCCTGTATTTGCATGGTGATGTTTAAGACAACATGGTATCTCTTGGAAGCTCCCAGTGGTCCTGCTGGCCAACACTGCAACGTATCCTGTGACAAGGCTGTTTTTCTAGGGACGGTTTCTTTGTCCACTTTCTCTGACCATCTGACCTATAAGGCCTGCAAGCCACATTTTCAAACCTCTTCCCCAGCTCAGTCAGTTAACAGACACTATTATTTGCCTTTTAAATTCAGCCCTATATAGAATTACTACCAGTGATTTTATATTCCACCAAATAACATTTTTATGTTACCAACCTAATCAGAAAATCCCAGTTCAATCAGACTTTCTCAGAGCAGAGCTACAAAATGTCCTCCTATTCTAGTTTTTAATCTCCACCTTGAGAGAAATATGCAGAAAGGGTCTATAGGCAGCAGTTAATCTTACAGTGATTTCTTTACATCAAAAAATAGTTTCTAAAATTATTTCTAAATTTAAAAGATTCATCTCAGGAAGAAAGCATGCAGCAGTCTTTGTAGATAGAATTTTGCATAAGGGAAGGTGCCTCAGATCATGTTTTCCCTTTAGAAGGAAGGAAGGAAAGAAGGTAAGAAACTGACATGTATCAAACACTTACTACCTATCAAATCATGTACTGGACGTTTTCACTGACCTTAATAAACTCAGCTCATTTGACTTTCATCACAACCCCTTGAGGTAGTTACTATGCCTCATTTTTACATGTAACGACCCAGATTCCGAGAAGTTCAGTGACTTCCCTAAGTTCACACAGGTTTCAAGTTCTTTTTTGAATCGAGGCCTGTGTGATTACAAATCCTGTGCTCTTTCCACTACATAACACTGCCTCCTCATTTGGGGGCAGTTGCTTTCTTCCTTCTAGTTAACTTTATAGTTTAACTAAATGTCAGCCTTCCAGACTTATTTTGTTTCTTTCTCAGGTCATCATTATGCTTACTGTTCAAATGCTATCAACTTTCAGTAGAACAACAGGGACAGATTAAGGTCAAGTGCGCCAGCATAAATCACCTGTCCTATTATTCTCTGTAGCTTGTCTTTTTTTTGTCAGCACAAGAAACAACTCTCTAAATCAGGTTTATTATACTGCAAAAACTTTGTGTCCTCCTCAATTTCATGAAAACTTGTAAAGGAACTCTCAGAAGTGAGTCAATGAAACTGCAGGAGAAGATTCACTCTTATCAAGTCATTTTTAAATAGCTGGGGCAGAATCATTAAATTGGAAAAACACAGAAACTTAAGTTCTTGGAACTGGAAGCCATTTTAGAGATCATTTCCAAGAAAGATGAAAAAGTTTCACCTTGACATGTTAACTCTGATAGTCTGGTAGCAGCTGCCTGGATTGTTGGGTTTAGGATTGTGAAGCTATCTGGATTCAGGGAAAAGGGTGCAGTGAACCATTGTGAGTATCTGCCTTAGTTGGAAGAGAAGCTAGTGGAAGCATGTAACTTTTTTCAATTTATTTTAATCGCTATCAATGTTAAGATATACAAATTGGGACCCTAAGAGTGCATGCTTGAGGCCACTTGCCCAATTTCTGAGATCTTATCAGGAAGCTGCTGATCACCAGTTTCAGGTATTTTCTATCTATCAGGAGACTGCCTTTCTCTGGCACTGGCTGTAACCAATTATTATTTTAGAGAGACAGTTAACAACTGCCTGACTATCATCTGATGATCGCTTGACATTCCTGGTGTGTGGCGGGGGGAGGAAGGTGGAGCCCTCTCCTGCCCTGTTCATGCCTGACTAGCTACCTACTGTAACAACTGTATTAGTGTCTTGTGGCTGCTTTAACAAAGGATTATGAACTTTACAGCTTAAAACAACATAAATTTATTATCTTACCATTGTGGCTATCAGACGTTGAAAATGGATATCAAGTGGCTAAATTCTGCAGAGAGTCTGCGGGGCTGTGTTCTTTTCTTGAGACTCTAGGGGAAAATCTGTTCTGTTGCCCCTTTCCAGCTTCTAGAGGTTTCCACATTCCTTGACCCGTAGCTCCCTTTCATATTTAAAGCAAGCAATGGCCAGTGTAGTCTTTCTTATGATGCCATCTCTCTAGTTCTGACTCATCTGTCTTTCTCCCCCTCATTTAAGGAAGGACCTTTGCAATTACATTGATCCCACCTGGATAAGCGGGGATAATCCCTTCATCTCAAGATCTTTAATCATATTTACAAAGTTCCTTTTACCATGTAAGGTAATATGTTTGCAATTTCTGATCATTAAAGTTTAGAAATCTTTGGGCAGTCATTATTCTCTCTACATAGTCACTAAAAAGGGATTAATATAACGTACTTATAAAGTCTCATATCTATTTTTTCAACATTGAAAAAAATGTGGCGAAGCACAGCTGGTTCAGAATAGATGTAAGATTTTAAGCAACTTACTACATGCATATGGAAACAGAATTAACTACACATTTAATTATTTTTAGTAAACGAAATTCCTTCAACAAAAACGCATGTGTCATCTGTCTTAGCATTGCCATTAAGTATGATCATTCAGAGCTGGGGAAAAACACATTCCACTGACACTGGCAAAATCAGTTTCCACCTACTTATTTTAGGCATGTCGTTGCACCAATGAACACATTAAATGTGATTAATTTCTTTGGACATGGAAGTTGAAATTGCTTATCAGTAAGGCCTGAATAAACAGGAAAAAATTTGAATAATACATTACCCTATTAATTTATCCTATCAAAGAAATAAATTGCATTTAACTTTATCTGTAAATGCTATAAAATTTAAGTTTATTTTGGTGAACTAATTGTATATTTTGGTTTACCTAATATGTTATGATAAAGAAAAATTCTCAGTTTATGTTATAATTTACTTTATTATACTGAATGTTCCTATTATATGGAAAATGCCTACCTCCTTATTATTATTATTTTTTGTCTCCTCTATATAATCAAAGGAACTTGGGCTCAGTAATGACTCCAGAGATAATAGAGCTTTCCCATGATGGCAGGACCAAAGCAAATATTAAGTCTGTGATTACTGATTGCCTGATTCACTGATTGATTCATTTTTTCAAGTTTTGTATTGGTTATTAACTAACTGCTTAGCGCTAGGTAAGAAAGGCAAAATGAAAGAGGAAAAAGACATAATCATATAATCCCGGTTTGCTTCTTTGTGAGGCTTGCAGTCCTCCAAGAAGAAAAATAATCAAAAATCACATTGAGTATAGTTGGGCTAATTTTAACAAGTGTAGTCATACCATCAAATATGGCCAGCCCACTATCATGACAAACATCACATCTATTTGACCATGAATGCTGTTGCCTTCGCTTTTAACACGAGGTAAATAATTTCACTAAAATATGCTAATGAATTGGTGGACCAAACAAATGGTACTACAGAAAAAAAATCAGAGTCACTATGTGTTTCTAAACAATACAATGGAAAAAGATAAAGTGTTGATAGTTATATAAATATGACTCCAGAGCTCTCATAGTGTGCCCGCCTTATACCTTAGGGGCTGCTTTGAGAAACAAAAATGCCCTATGACTCTGGAGGGGCAAACTGAAACTGTGATTTCATTCAGAAAAGTTATTAGGCTCTCTGTTGCCACAGAAAGCTTACATGCCTTTGCTCAGTCCCTATTTCTGAAAAAAATCAGTGTAGTTCTGAATGGGTCTGTTCATGCCCCTTGTCAGTTTTACTCTATTTCAGTCTACTAAGCTAGCATGCTTTGGAGTTTTACCTTGTGGCCAATGTGATTTCAAAATAATTAGTTGGTTAAAAGGCAGAAAATTCCATTGATAGGTATTAATTTACCAGTTTCACTGATTATTTTGTAGAGGTGGGGGCTTGCTATGTTGCCTAGGCTCAAACAATCTACCCAAAGTGCTGAGATTACAGGCATGAGCCACCATGCCTGGCCATAATTATAATTTTTTAAATGGAATTAAAAGGTATATCAATTGCAATGCATGGTCCTTATTTGGAGTTTAATTCAAACAAACTGTAAAAATGAAAATTTATAACTTTGTGAGATAATCAGATATTTGAACTATGGCTGAATATTAGATGACATTCAAGAATTACTATTAATTTTTTAGGTGTGATAATGGTATTTTGGCTACATTTAAAAAAAAAACTCTACCTATTAGAGATTTATACTAAAATTTTAATGGTTAAAATTATATAATGTCTAGCATTTGCTTCAGAATAACTGAGTAGCAGGGTAAAAATAGAATGAGATATAAATGAAACAAAATTGGCCATAAATTGACAGTTGTTAAAGCTGGATGGTCAGTATATTGCGTTTCATTAAGTCATTCTGTCAACTTTAGTGTATGTTTGAAATTCTCTATTAGAAATTAGTTTGAATACTAGTTTCGATAGTTCCCTTAGGGCATTTTCAATTTCATTTTTATACATCTTTTCTAGAAACACAGCCGCCATGTAAAGCAAAGTATACACATACCAAGTTCCATTGATTCTGCCTCCTAAATCTTTTTTCTTAGCTCCATGTTTTCACTTAAAAAAAAATCGTATTATTTATATATAATAATATTCATTCATTTTAAGGGTAGCATTTGATGAATTTGGTGGTTGTATACAGTATGTAACCACAATCAAGACATAAAAGAGTTCCTTCATCCTAAAATCTTCCTCCTGCCCTTTGAAGGTGAGTTCCCCAGCCCCTACCCCCGCCAACCACTGATATGCTTTCTGTCATTATAGTTTTGCGTTTTCTACAATTTTATATAAATAGAATCATACAGTACCAAAAACTTCATTTAAATTCATTGATAGATTGACCTGTTTTAGACTCAGGTGGATATACTGCTGCAATGGTATTGTTGCTATTCACATTTAGTAAAATCATGTTTTAGGGATAACTGAACGATGTGTATTAAATTATTGTACTTTCTTTTCTTTTCTTTTCTTTTTTTTTTTTTTTTGAGATGGAGTCTCGCTCTGTCACCCAGGCTGGAGTGCACGATCTCGGCTCACTGCAACCTCCGCCTCCGGGGTTCAAGTGATTCTCTTGCCTCAGCCTCCCGAGTAGCTGGGATTACAGACATGCGCCACCAAGCCTGGCTAATTTTTGTATTTTTAGTAGACACAGGGTTTCACTATGTTGGCCAGGCTGGTATCGAACTCCTGACCTCAAGCGATCCACCTGCCTAGGCCTCCCAAAGTGCTGGGATTATAGGCGTGAGCCACTGCACCCAGCCAAATTATTATACTTTCTAAACTGAAGTCAGGTATGTTTGAAAGGTCACCGACTATTTTAGTGTCACAAATACTGTAGTCACCCTTTTTGAAGCCTTATGACAAGACACATACAATGTATTGCTAGGTAATACTCTCTTATCTTGTGGGGGAGTTTTATCTACTTGTTCTACATTTCTTAAGTATCTTAGGTTAAGAGAAACACTGGGTTCATAGTCATAGTACCACTAGTTTACTAGTAACTTATATTCATCAGTTCTGTGCCTTTCTGCTTGAAATTGCTTGCCTCTCATCCTTCTGCAGAATCCTAATTGAGAAAGAGAACAATCTCAGGGTTGTGTGCAGTAGTGTCCTGGTAAATGTTTAACAACTGGCTCTCTGCAAAAGTAAAGCCCTGGCGTTAAGGGGTGAGCTGTGTACCATGCAAAATGTATATGTTGAAGTCCCAACCTCAGTACCTCAGAATTTGGAAATAAAGTCATGGCAGATGTAATTATTAAGTTAAAATGAGGTCATAAGGGGGTAGGGTGAGCCCTTAATCCAATATAACTGGTGTCCCTATAAAAAGAATGCCATGTGAAAAGAAACAGACACATGTAGAGGAAAGATGATATGAAGAGACATACACAAACAACTCTCTGAGGCTGGTTCGAATCAGCAGATCATGCCTAATCTGGGATGCCTATAAAAGCAGTGAACAGGTAGGTGGTCCTAGGGTAAAAAAAAATGCCTATTACTGAAATAATGTTGATGCTTTTGTTCATGTTTTATTCTCTAAGCTGATTTAATTACATAAAGAAAAAATACAAGTAAATTTAAAAAAGTGGAAGTTGACAATTTATGGCCTGTGATCTGCTTTTGCATGGCCATTGAGCTGACAATATTTATTAAACATAGTTTTCATGTGTGGTGAAGAAGAAAAAGACCAAAAAAAGGAGGAAGAATAGAAGGAGTAACAGAAACCCTATGGCTCACAAAGGGTAAACTACTGTCTGGTCCTTTGCAGAAAAAATTTGCTGGCTCTCAAAGAGTAATTTGAAGTAGAGAATCTCCTGGTCAAGTTAATTCTACTTTAGGGAAAGATATTTGGAAAAAATTTGGTAGGATGTGTGTCATTGACATGGAGACCACAACTGAAAGATCTGGTAAGTGTGCAGTTTTAAGTAAAAGCTCTTAATCGTTGGACACTAATGTTTATATATATATATATATAAAAAGAACCATGTGAGGGATTTCAAAAGTGCCTCTTCATTTGTCTTGTAGAACTTAAATTTGACATGTAGCTCTGCATTTGATTCATAGGGCGAAAGTTTGCAATCTTTAGTCTAGGCCCAAGAAAGAATGGAGATTGATCTGACCAACCCTTATAGAGGAGATTTGAAGGCTATATGGTTTGAAGAGCTCAAGAAGAAAGTATACCATCAAGAAAGGTTGGCACTCTCAGACTAGGAGAAAAGACAAGGAATAGTAAGTTCTGATGTCAGACATTTATATTGGCTTTACAAGCTGTGCCTCAAGGTGGCAGGGCTTTGTATGCCAATGACTGGAGGAGGTGGGACAGCTGTGGTTTGGAGAACATTGGTGGGGGAGCCACACTGCTGAGATCCTGAGAGTCATTATTGGGAAGGAGATCTCTATAGTCAACAGAAGCAACAGATCCTAGAAATTATGGAGAACTATAATCTAACGGTGCTGCTGGACAGCAAAAAAAGCCATGATATTTATCAAGATCAGTTTCATTATCCAATAACCTCACCTTTGTTGTCCCAAATTCTACTTTCTAAGTTTCCAGGTTTGATATTATTTAAAAATAACAAAGCAAAGAAAACATGAACAATATATCATGCCTTATGTATTTTGGGGCATTCTATATGTGCTGTAGTAGAAATCAAGGAATGTAAATTAAGATATTATAGTTTTCATCTAGAATTTAGCAAAAGACAAAAAATGAATGAGACAGTAGTGTATAACATTTAGAGTCACCAGTTTTGGCTACAAATACCAATTCTGCTGCCTCCTTCTTTTGTGTCCTTCAGCAAGCAATGTAACCTCTCTGAGCCTCAGTTTCCTTATTGGTAAAGTAAAACTAATAATCAAACCTACTTCATAGGGTTGTTAGGAGGATCAGTTAAAGCAATGCATGTAAAGTGCTTACAACAGTGTCTGGGACATGGTAACAGCTTGTTGAATGCTAGCTCTAATGACATGATTACTAATTAATGTGAAGAAATTGTTCAGGATAGTGGCAAGGTGGTAGGGCAAGATGAGGTGGCTTTGAGGAATCTGATAGTGAAGCTGGCAGCATGGGAGTGACACTGGTATGGCCCAGCAAGAGTATGGACAAGAGGCATTTCAGAGGAGACAAAGCCAAAAGGATAGTAAAGTGCATCTGATTCCATAAGCACAAGGGAGCCCAATGAATTAACACAGTAGGTGCAAGGAGTGAACATAAATAATGCTACCAGACCACAGTGAATCTATAAAGAGATTTTCATCTCAGGGACAATCTCTGTGACCTTCAGGTCATCCTGTTCACAGAAGCAGCATTGTGCCATTTCTTCCGAGGATTAAAATTTTCACATTGGCCTGTCACTTGCTTACATCTTGAGAAGACAATACACTTGACATATGCCATTCTCTGTGTGGAGACTTGCTGCTGGGCACAGCTTTCCCCCAGACAGCTTGTAATGTATGTTTTGCTTTTGTTAATGTTTCTGTTAAGTTAGTTTAAAACAGCTAAAATTTCAGAGCTAAAGCATAATGTTGGAGCTATATATGAAGACTGAGACTTTTATAGACAATTCTTTGCTACATTTCTGAATAAAGTTATAAGGTATAAAAATGTGTTTTATTCCACTGTAGAAAAATTTAAGCTTGATTACAAAAGTACATATGGTTATTTTTAAATTCAGTGAATGTATTTCTACTGTATAGAATGAAATGTGGAAGGCTTCATAGATTTTGTAAAAAGTCACACATCTGGGCCGGGCGCGGTGGCTCACACCTGTAATCCCAGCACTTTGGGAGGCTGAGGTGGGTGGATCACGAGGTCAGGAGTTTGAGACCAGCCTGACCAACATGGTGAAAACCCGTCTCTACTAAAAATACAAAAATTAGGCGGGCGTGGTGGCGGGTGCCTGTAGTTACAGCTACTTGGGGGGCTCAGGCAGGAGAATCTCTTGAACCCGGGAGGCGGAGGTTGCAGTGAGCTGAGATCGCGCCATTGCACTCCAGCCTGGGCGATGGAGTGAAACTCTGTCTCAAAAAAAAAAAAAAAAAAACTAAAAGACTTCACAATAGTACAATCTTGAATCAGCTCGTAAGAGTTTTCACTTCTGATGTTAGCAACCATATTCATTAAATCACGTTTATTTCATTGACTTTTCAATGAACAATTTTCTTATAGGTAGCCAAAGAGTGCAGCAAAGGAACACCAGTGGCTTATTAAACCAAAGAAATAAAATCTTGTATTTGGTAGCCCAAAAGCATGGCTACAATAAATAATAATTTATTGTACAATTTAAAATGACTAAAAGAGTACAGTCAGAATGTTCGTAACACAAAAAAATGACAAGTGCTTGAGATGATGTCTACCTCATTGACCCTGATGTAATTATTACACATTGTATGCCTGTATCAAAATATCTCATGTACCCCGTAAATATATACACCTGCTGTGTACCCACAAAATTAAAAAGAAAAAAAAAGAGTATCTTCTAACTCAATGAGCATCAGTGACTTTTTTCTATCTACTAGTTACCTATAGAGGACAATGAGTATAAAAATGCAGCTTTGGCCGGGCACCGTGGCTCACGCCTGTAATCCCAGCACTTTGGGAGGCTGAGGTGGGCGGATCACAAGGTCAGGAGTTCAAGACCAGCCTAACCAATATGGTGAAACCCCGTCTCTACTAAAAATAGAAAAAAATTAGCCAGCCTGTAATCCCAGCACTTCGGGAGGCCGAGGTGGGCAGATCACAAGATCAGGAGTTCAAGGCCAGCCTGACCAATATGGTGAAACTTCGTCTCTACTAAAAGTACAAAAAAATTTGCCAGGCATGGTGGTGGGCGCCTGTAGTCCCAGCTACTCAGGAGGCTGAGGCAGGAGAATCGCTTGAACCCGGGAAGGGGAAGTTGCAGTGAGCCGAGATCACGCCACTGCACTCCAGCCTGGGTGACAGCGAGACTCCGTCTCAAAAAAACAAACAAAAAAAATGCAGCCTTTTGGTATACTTTACATTTCGGCAGCTGACAATATTTAAGCAGCAAAACATTGTTATTAGAAGCAATTTCCAGGAAAAGTTTTACATTTTAAATAAAATTATTAACATATAAAGATTGGAAAGATCTTTTGTGGGCATTTGAAGATGTCGGATGTTGACTCCAAACAGGGGAAAGTAATTTTTGATGAGTGCCAGTCTCTGTATTGCTCTCAGCACATATTTTATTTACTTCTAATAATAATTAAACGGGGCAGGCACCATTAATATC
Source organism: Homo sapiens (assembly GCF_000001405.40). Lineage (NCBI taxonomy): Eukaryota > Metazoa > Chordata > Mammalia > Primates > Hominidae > Homo > Homo sapiens. The sequence goes on from NC_000023.11 coordinate 141,617,992, forward strand.
TCCATCTTATAGATGAGGAAAATGGGAACTTAATATGCTCATATGTTACAGATGGTAGATCCATAATTGTCTGGTTCCAAGGATCATTTTCTCAATAATTATCATCTATGGGTCACATTTAATTTCTTACTACTAACTTAATCATTTGCTATGGATTGATTTTGAGACAAACAAACTGAATTGGTCTGAGGAATATAGTAAATGATGGTAGAATAATAATGGGTGATACTTAATTAGCATTTGTTGTGTTCTGGGTTACTGTGCTACACACTATTTCTTTCTTGAGTCACTGAAATTCTGCTCCGCTATCCCCTGCTAGCACACAGGCTTTTAAAAGCAGCTTTATTGAGATATAATTAACATACCATAGGATGTATCCATTTGAAATGTATAATTAAATGTTGGTTAGTATTTCAGAGGTATGTGCAATCATCAAAACGGTCAATTTTAGAACATTTTTATCACTTTATGAAGAAACCCTGTGCCCTTTAGCTATCACTCCCCATGCCACCAACTCCCATCCCCAGCCCTAAGCAATTCTTAAAGTACTTTCTGTCTATTGATTTTCTGTTCTGGTTATTTGATATAAATGAAATCATATAGTATGTGGTCTTTTGTGACTGGCTTATTTCACTGAAGATAATGTTTTCAAGGCTCATGCATGCTGTAGTATGTACCAGTACTTCATCCCTTTTGATGGCTAAGTAATATTCTATTACATGGATTGTCAATTTTTTTATGCATTCATCAGTTGATGAGCATTTGGGTTGTTTTCACCTTTTGGTTATTGTAAATATTGTTTCTATGACAATTTATGTAAAAGTTTTTGTGTGAAAATATTTTCAATTTCTTGGATATATACCTAGGAGAGGAATCTCTGGACTATATGCTAATTTCATGTTTAACTTTTTTGGGAACTTCTGAACTATTTTCCAAAGCAGCCGCACCATTTTACACTCCCACTATCCCTGTATGAGGGCTATTATTTCTCTACATCCTCATCAACACTTGTGAATATCTGACTTTTGGATTCTAGTCATCCTCGTGAGTGTGAGGTAATATCTTTGTGGTTTTGATTTGCAATTCCATGATGACTGATGATGTCAAGGATTTTCTAATGTGTTTGTTAGCTATTTGCATATCTTCCTTGGGAGAAATGCCTGTTCATATCCTTTGCCCATTTTAAACTGGGTTACTTATCTTTTCTTCATTGATTTGTATATGTACGTTATATATTTTGGATACAAATCCCTTATCAGGTATATAATTTAAAATTATTTTCTCTCATCTGTGGATTGTGGTGCTACACTCTTTTTATGGATCCCTTAATCTTTACAATAGCCTCATAAGGAATTATCCACTCATCTCCAGCTTTTAAAATTTTTTTAGAAATGCAAAAGTAGACTGAGTGGGTAAGCACTTAACTCAAAATGTGACTAAGGGATTCCTGGGTTTGAGCTCATATCTCTGTTGGGGATTCAATGAATGCTTCCCTTCTCCTGCCATGATGCTCACATACGTTGTAAGCATTTGACCAAAAACAATTAAATCTTAGGAATGCATTCCCCTGACTGTGCGTAACTCCTAGACATTCCAGTGTATACACATTGAAAAACATACAAAAACAACACTTTGGCAATACTCCCCAAATTTATTCTCTGTGGACTTTGCTGATTTCTAGCAGGAAGGTGTAACCAGAAAGCACTTGAGGCAGGTTGAATTCATATTCTGAGTCAGGATTTATAAGCATGGGGAACTGTTCTCTTAAAAGACAATAACAAAGATAAACCTTCTAATGGGAGCCAGATGCAGTCATGATTTTGATTAAATGTTTGCTAGTAACTATACTTATGTGAGAACATCTGCCCACTGATGAGCTCCCTGGGGTTTTAGCAGGTGAATTTATGTAGGAAATAGAACTTCAAGTGCTGCTTCCTGAGGAGAGAAGTTAGATAAAAAACCTCACTTACCTTTCTTTCATTTTTTTTCCCATCTGCCATTTAGAAAGCCCAAGTAAATACATTCCTACATTGAGCTAATACGCTTCCCTTCAGCCTCTCTGCATCCCCAGCTTCGGCTTTGCAGGTGCCCAGTAAGTGTTGGTGTCTATATCTGGGCCCTGGATGTACAGGCATGTTGGGTTGTTCAAGAATAATGCAGTGCTTCATATGCCTGTAATAGCAACCCAGGGCTGGTCTTTGTTGTTCACACCCACACTCCTAAACATACACACTCCTCTCTTTTCAAATCTTCCCCCTCAAATGTTCTCAATAGTTTATCTTTGGAAGGCTGGATCAGAAAGCAGAATACATGGTATTTAGGGAAAGGTTTTTTTATTGATGCTTTCGGATTCCTCTGAGCTCTAGGTCACTCTTAATTAAGCAGTCAACAGGCCGGTCTTTACTCACTTCCCAGACTGCCATACAAGGTACAGAAAAGAATAGTCTTAAGTATATCTCATATTCCGGATAAATACTCTGGACTGTAGCTTATCTGATTAGTGACCTTCTTCTGAGACCATCAGGATTAATTCCATCTTGTCTCATCACTTTTAAGTCACCTACCTGCAGATTATTCATTGCCTGGTCACTTATCCACATATTGTTATATACATAACAAAAGTAAACCCAGCTCTCTCTCCATCATCATTAGCCCTTCTTTTCTGCCCTCTGTAACTCATAGTCTGCCATTAGAAACTCCCCAGTAGCTTCAAACTCTTCCCTTCCTCTGGTTATAACTGGAATGTAGCTGTTCTTTCATGTGAACACCAGTTTCCCTCACCTACCCCAGAGACTAGAGGTGGAGTAAGTGGCCACTTTGCTCCTTTTTGTCACTTACAAATCATTTCTGTTTCTTGTTCAAAATCCAGAGCTCATTTGAAGTATAGAAATTTTCAAGAGTAGACTGACTGATGTCACCTGAAATTCTTGACCACATATCTCAAATGAGCAATCTTTCCATATTATGTGTCCTTTTCTACTATTAAAACCGACTATTCAACACCTTATTCTCTTCTGAGTTCTTCAGAAACCCAGCCTCTCATGCCTATCATTTTATGACCTTTCCTCTTCCTTCACTGAGAGAATAGAAGAATCAACAGAGATTTATTCCCTTTTATCTTTACCACCAAATTCACCATCTTACCTGCATTTGTAACCATGTCATAATCCTTTCCTTTTCTTCTGTACAATGTATAAAATAACCTGTTCTCATGTAAGGCCAGATCTTCTACTTTGAGTGTAGGTCCCATCTACTAGTGCTCTGATACTCCTCTTGCATTATCAATATTTTTTTTTCTTCTGCAGTTATCCTCTTGCTCTTTACAATCATTGATTTCACTTAATCATTCACATCGGCATAAAGGTATGCTCTAAATCTACCCTCTTAAAAATACACTCTCGGCTGGGCATTGTGGCTCATGCCTGTAATCCCAGCACTTTGGGAGGCTGAGGCAAGCGATCATGAGGTCAGGAGTTCGAGACCAGGCTGACCAACATGGTGAAACTCTGTCTCTACTAAAAATACAAAAATTAGCTGGGCGTGGTGGTGCATGCCTGTAATCTCAGCTACTCAGGAGGCTGAGGCAGGAGAAACACTTGAACCCGGGAGGCAGAGGCTGCAGTGAGCTGAGATCACACCGCTGTACTCCAGCCAGGCGACAGAGTGAGACTCTGTCTCAAACAAACAAACAAACAAAAAACCACACAAACAAAAAAAAACCACTCTCGGGACACCAAATCAATGTCCAACTCCATGGTTTTTCCTTTTCTTAGCATGAAACCTCTCACTTCCTCACCTCATATTGTGTTCTTAATATACGTCATTCAGGTTTACACTAAATATTTTCCATTCTTTTATTCTCCTTTTTTTTCAAGATTACCAATAACTTCCATACTATCAAGTTCAATGATCACTTGTGTTGCCCCATATTACCTGTGAGAAGTATTTCATGAAACTGACTATTTTTTCTTCTTAAAACATCATTTGCCTTTGGCTGTTGTAATGCTCCACTCAACTGTTTTTTTCTGTTTTCAATTATTTTGGTTATATACCTAGGAGTATTATGTTGGGTCATATAGTAAGTTTATGTTTAACTTTTTGAGGAATTGCCAAACTGTTTTACATGGAGACTGCACCATTATACATTTCCTCCAGAAGTGTATGAGGGTTCCAGTTTATCCACATCCTCACCGACGCTTGTTATTTTCCATCTAAAAAATTATTTATATAGGCCAGGCACAGTGGCTCACGCCTGTAATCCCAGCACTTTGGGAGGCCAAGGCGAGTGGATCACCTGAGGTCAGGAGTGTGAGACCAGCCTGGCCAACATGGTGAAACCCCATCTGTACTAAAAATACAAAAAAAATTAGCTGGGCGTGGTGGCACGCGCCTGTAGTGCCAGCTACATGCGAGGCTGAGGCAGGAGAATCACTTGAACCTGGGAGGTGGAGGTTGCAGTGAGCCGAGCTTGGGCTACTGCACTCCAGCCTGGGTGACAAAGCAAGACTCCGTCTCAAAAAAAAAAAAAAAAAAATTAATATAATTATCTTAGTAGGTGTGAAGTGGTATCTTGTTGTGATTTTGATTTGCATTTTCCCTAATGACTGATGATATTAAGCAGCTTTTCATGTATTTGTTGGTTATTTATACATCTTCCTTAGATAAATGTCAGCTTAAGTTCTTTACCCAACTTTTAATTGGGTGTTTTATTTTTTTGTTTTTGAGTTGTAAGAATATTCTGCCTACTAGTTCTTTGCCAAATACGTGATTTGCAAATATGTTTCTCCTTTTCTTTGGGTTGCCTTTTCATTTTTTTGTAAATTTTTTGCAGCGGATTTTTAAATTTGATATAGTCCAGTTTAATCTTTGTTTGTTGCTTGTGCATTTGGTGGCATATCTAAAAAATTACCTAACCAAGTTTTATGTGTTTCTGACCTAGTTCTATATCTTTCTATATGTAACTCTGACCAAATATTCAAACTCATTCACTCAACAGATATATTTGTGACCACTTACTACATACCAGTCCCTACTCTATGCACTAGGAATAAAGTGATGATGGGACAGCTGTAGCAGATTGCTAGCTGATCACCAACACTCAAATAATCCTCTTCTTGGTAGATTCCATTTATCCATCTCTCTTGCAGTTAAATGTGGCTATGTGAGCTCTTGCCAATGAAATGTTAGTGGGAGTGATACATGTCCCTTTCAACCTGGCCTATAAATATTCCCATGTACTTTCCTCAATGATCTTTTCTGCTTCCACAATTGGAATGGAGGTGGCAAAAAGTGTTATTTTGCAAATTACCCCAATAGGGTTTTGACAAGCATTGAATATGGATGTGGTTATAGCTATGCTTTAAATGTGTCTCCTCCAAAATTCAGATTTTGCCAATGTGATAGTATTAAGAGGCGGGGTCATTAACAGGTGATTAGGGTATGAGGGCTCCTTGCTCATGAATAGGATCAGGGCCCTTAAAAAGAGTCTTCATACAACTTTAGACTGGCTTTTCCTTCTACCACCTTCCATGTGAAGACACAGCGTTCCTCCCTGCCAGAGGATGCAGTAAAAAGGTACCATCTTGGAAGCAGAGAGCAAGCCCTTACCAGACAACCAAACCTGCTGGCACCTTGATCTTGCACTTCTCAGCATCTGGAATTGTGAGAAATAAATTTCTGATTTTTCTAACTTACCCAGTCTCAGGTATGACAATTATTTAGCTTAATTTCAGCATGTATTTAGTGGTCAATAAATGTTGGCTTCTGTAATTATGATTACAGTCTTTAATGATCTGAGATAGGAAGAAGGTAAAAAGCCTCACATAATTCAGCAGATAGTGAAATTAGGTCTGCACTCCTGTAGACAGAGTAGCAGACTTGCTGATGGTAACAGCTTTGTCTTTCTGCACAGTTTCTCTGTTGATGAACCAAGATAATCCTAAGCTTTCTTAAAGAATATTTAAAGGACCATAATTTTGGTTATGCTAATGTAATGAAATGCAGCTTATGCCAAAAACAATATGAGAAGCTTGGTTACAGTGGTTTTGAAAATTCTAAATTTTGCTGGAACGTTTTTCATTTACACAACACTTCTGTAAAATAGCTCTGTAATAGAATCTGACTCCATGTTTTACATTTGACGGCTAACAATTTTCACGACCCACCGCTTCCTCTTCCTCTTCTTACCTAGATCTGATAAGAAAGCCCAGGTGATTCCTTCTTTAGGGCTAGTGTGAAGGTCAAACCATGCAAGCCCTAGTCTGTGTGTGGGACACTCATACCAGCTTTACCCCCTAACCGTCATAAAAGCCAAGCCATTTTTTTTTTTTTTCTCTCTGTTCTCTCAAGCATTCTTTTACCTGCTTGGAAACCTGTCCTGATCTCCCCAGAAAGCCTCATTATGTGAGTAATAAAATTTTCCATTCCCTTTTGGTGCGTGTATCATCAGTTTTGACATCCAAACCAAATTTTTGGTGTGGAATCCATCCTGTCACATTGAATCTGTGAACAGGATATCTAGGCAGTCTTCACTACCACCAGGGATCTTTTTTCTCTTGCTTTAGCTTCCTAACTGGCACTGCTACCTGCTGGTGACATGCAGTTTGAGCTACTGCCTGCGGCCTAGCTTGTATTTTAAACTGTACTGCTTTGTGCAGCATTGGTAGGGTTCTACCAAGCCTATGCTAAAGATTTCAACAACGTAAGTCAGCAGTTTAACTAATTGACATTTATTGACAGGAATATTGGGTTGGAGCCCTTCTTAATGCAGCCCTGAATCTTGTGTTTCAGCCTGGATCTGTGAATTCAGATTGAATCATGTGTCTCAATTCCAATATAAGATATGACTGAAACTAGGCTCAAGGATAAACTCTTCCGTTTTTACCATCAGTTGTTTCTAAACCAGGTGTTAGTATTCTTTCTTTAGACAGTTGAGGAGAAAGACTGAGAGTCTCTTCAATATATAGGCCCACTGGTTGGTCACTCATATGGAGGGAGAGCAGTTACTATTTGAAATGCTGAGAACACACTCCTAAAAGCAGATAACTCACTAGGAGCTTTAAAAATGCTTCTTGCGATACTGTTTAGGTCAGTGTCACAAAAAAGATTTTGATCATCAGAGTTTTAGGGAGAAACATCCATGACACCCTTGTGGAAAAAACGGATTCATTCAACCATTTTCATGAAGGAGTCCCATAATCCTGATGATATTGACTTGATATGAGGTTCTCTGAAAGAAGAAACTTATATGAATAAGGTAGAGAGGAATGTCCATGAATTGTATGCAGTAACCACACACACACACACACACACACACACACACACACACACACACCTTGGGAAAGTTGCCTGGTAGAGGCACGTGTTGTTGGAGAAAAGTGAGATAACTCACATCTGTATTTAGACTTAAATATGGGTACACTGGCTCAGAAGGATTTTCGATAAGACATACAAAATATCCAGTATTGGTGAAGGCTGGGAGACAACAGAATGAATGACTGATTGGGGTAGCCATGGGGAATGCCTTGGGGGAAACACCCTTCTAAGCCATGTGACACACCACAATTAAACTAGGAGAGACAAAGAAGGGTGAGAGGTCACTTTGGAATGACCCTTATTGGTGTTGAGGAAGCTCTCCTTTTTCTCTAACCAGACCATTTAGACTCCTCTGTACCCTGTCCCTCCCCGCATGGAATTGTCAGGAGTGGTGCTTTGTGATGTGTAAGCCATGAAATTGTCAGGAGTGTTGCCTGGTGATGTCTAAGCCACCCCAGGGCTACCACTGGCAGAGTAATTTCTTGCTGGCCAATCAAACTGAAGAATGTGGAATCTCATTGTCCTGAGGAGTATATATAGAGAGAGATCATGAGGCCTGGAGTAGGCTACTGTTGCTCTAGGGTGGCAGGGGTTAGGGAAAAATCAGGAGAGGCTGTAGGCTACTGTTCATCTAGGATGGCAGAGTTTAGTGAAGAAGAGGAAGACACTGTACGCTACTGTTGTTCTACAATAGAAGATGTTCCTGAAGAAATAAAAGAGGCTATAGCCTACTTTTGCTCTAAGATGGCGGAGATTAACAAGGAGCCAGAAGGGAATATAGGCCACCATTGCTACATTATCCCAAAGGTTACCGAAGAAGTAGGAGAAGCTAGTTCAGACATGCCTGAACCATCCACAAGCACAAGCCAAGAAAATCCCAGCATGAAATGGAGAAAGAAAACTACTTGTGAAGCTAAAGAAGGTGAAACTGACGAGGTCAGATATCCCTAATTATGTGACTCTTCCTCCCCATTGATACCTAACCCAAGATTCCTACCTTGTCCTTATCTGGCACAAAATCTTTCCTCAACCTGTACACATCATCACAAAATCTCCCTTTCCACACATTCCCCATCCACTTCTCCAAATTAATGTCTCTTTTGGCTCACTCTGTTTTTCTTCCAGTTGTTGAAGGCAGCAAAGAAGATAAGATCATTTGTTCAGCAGAATTCAGAAAGACGTAAAGCGGGGAAAAAGTCAACTGTATTAATTTTTTATTACCACAGTAATAAAAAAAGGGATGAAAATCAGCCAAATGAGGATGAAGACAGCCACGAGTAATCTCCCACCTCAAGTGATTCTGAGAGCTCATCAGAAGACCAAGACCTATCTCATCTCTAGGTTAACCTCTAGAAATGGTCTCCTGTGCAGAGAAACTACATATTGCACCAAGATTCTTGGATGTTGGTGATTAAAATTCAACCAAAAGATTTTGAAAAGTTCTGTATATCTCTGTGGTGTTTTCTAATAATGGAGAGGGAGGGAAAGAAGGGGAAGAGCATGTGTATGAGGAGGGAGGGAGTTGAGAACCTTCCAGGTTGTGAGACAGGCTGGTAGCCACAGTTAGCCAGACATTGGGATTAAGGACTAGATGAGGAACGAGCACTGAAGACAAATTTCCTGCTTAATAATTTATTCCACAGTAAAAGAGGAAAAGGAATTGGTGTTTCTGTGTGTGTGGGAGGGTGTAGATAGGGAGAGTTGTGATGTGTATGGGGTGGTAGTATGCAACAATGGGTTTGATTCCGTTTTTGATGTTTGTCTGCCGCCAGATTTTAAGCTTCATCTCATTCCCTTCTCCTACCCCACATCTGATCAAGCTGATAAAAACAACTGGAGAGTTACTGAATTTAAAATGGAAATGAACAGATATGCCCAGCCTCAACTATTTTAATTATTCCCTTGCCTAAAATCCCCATATCCATGGCATCAATTCTTTCCAAATATCCCCTACTGATCATGGACAATCTAACCTAATGAGTAATAAATTAAAATTAAGTCTTTGGTACTTGTGATCAGCTTGAAAAATGGGACCCTATGGACTGCCTCACGCAGTTAAAATAAGTTAATAATTAACATCTTCCTCCGTTGCTTTTTAAAAAAGCCCAATCTAAATTAAAATAGAATCTTCAATAATTGAAACCCATTATATAAGACCTATTTAGAGAATTAGACCTGTATAGATGATTACCCTCACTGCTTATGCATTTAACAGCCAAATTTGGATTGTTCTTAAATCTGGAAAATATAAATGGTGCCTCAGTGTATATTACTGTAACCTTAATGCCATGGTTCCACTCATCAGGTCTTCATACCTAATATTATTCAATTTACTGATTCCATCCAATACGTATCTGGTAAATAGTTTGCAGTAATAGCAAAGTATTTGGCTAAATGTCCTGTTCACTTCCTGTTTCAACAGCCTCTCACCTGCAGTGTACTTACCTTCACCTTCAAAGGGACACAATACAACTCTACCAGGGTACTTGGTGGGGTATCTTTCCACTTCCGTCATCTCATATAATCTTCACAGGCAGAATATTAACTACATCCAGATTTTCCTAGATGCTCAGGTATGACATTACACTGATGACAACCTCTTCTGAGGAGTTTCCTATGAGACACTTCTTCAGGACATAAAAATGTTAGCAAAAAAGATCACAGAAAGGAAATCAGCCATTGCCCTCACACATAGTACAAAGCCACACTACATCAGTTAAATTTCTGAAAATTATTTGGTAATCAGAGGGCTGCTCCAATGCAACAGTGTCAAGAAAAAGCTTTTAGTCTCAGCACCCACATTTTTAAAACAAGTCTAATATCATTTAGACATTTTTGGATCCTGGAGGTAATATATTCCCTACATACAAATTTATTTAAGTGTATTTGTTCTGTCACTTGTAAATTGGTCCATCTTGAATGAAGCCACCTGCAACAAAAGGCTCTGGAATTTGTCTAAATTGCTATGCAACAGGCACTTGTGTTAGGTCTCCCCAGAGACTTAAGCACTGTAGAGATTTTAGCAACCTCATTTCATACTTACTGAAGTCACCAGACCAGCAATGATAGCCTTTAGTTGCCCATGGGCTTCTGATACAAGGAACTGCTCTGTTTGGCTTTATGCTATATGCCATTAGTGTGGCAACTGGTGGCAACCTACTGGGTTTTGACCAGAAATATAAGTTCTCTCAGGCCCTGTACCTGTGACCCTCAACATCTAGGTGTTCATTATGCCTGGGTCCTGGAATTAGCAACCAGTTAGCTCATCATGGCTAGTGAATCTTCCTCACTACAGGATGGAGCCACACCTGATTTTTCTGT